>NC_000022.11:14421732-15054318 GCF_000001405.40 Homo sapiens
AGAATTCTCAGAAACTTGTTTGTGATGTGTGTCCTCAACTGACAGAGTTGTACCTTTCTATTGATAGAGTAGTTTTGAAACACTCTTTTTGTGGAATCTGCAAGTGAATATTTGGATAGCTTGGAGGATTTCGTTGGAAGCGGGAATTGAAATGAAAGGTAGACAGCAGCATTCTCAGAAATTACTTTCTGATGTCTGCATTCAACTCATAGAGTTGAAGATTCCCTTTCATAGAGCAGGTTTGAAACACTCTTTCTGTAGTATCTGGATGTGGACACTTGGAGCGCTTTGATACCTACGGTGAAAAAGTAAATATCTTCCCATAAAAACTAGACAGAAGGATTCTCAGAAACAAGTTTGTGATGTGTGTACTCAGCTAACAGAGTGGAACCTTTCTTTTTACAGAGCAGCTTTGAAACTCTATTGTTGTGGATTCTGCAAATTGATATTTAGATTGCTTTAACGATATCGTTGGAAAAGGGAATACCGTCATAGAAAATCTAGACAGAAGCATTCTCACAAACTTCTTTGTGATGTGTGTCCTCAACTAACAGAGTTGAACCTTTCTTTTGATGCAGCAATTTGGAAACACCCTTTTGGTAGAAACTGTAACTGGATATTTGGATAGCTCTAACGATTTCGTGGGAAACGGGAATATCATCATCTAAAATGTAGACAGAAGCACTATTAGAAACTACTTGGTGATATCTGCATTCAAGTCACAGAGTAGAACATTCCCTTACTTCGAGCACGTTTGAAACACTCTTTTGGAAGAATCTGGAAGTGGACATTTGGAGCGCTTTGATGCCTTTGGTGAAAAGGAAACGTCTTCCAATAAAAGCCAGACAGAAGCATTCTCAGAAACTTGTTGGTGATGTGTGTACTCAACTAAAAGAGTTGAACCTTTCTATTGATAGAGCAGTTTTGAAACACTCTTTTTGTGGATTCTGCAAGTGGATATTTGGATTGCTTTGAGGATTTCGTTGGAAGCGGGAATTCGTATAAACACTAGACAGCAGCATTCCCAGAATTTTCTTTCGGATATTTCCATTCAACTCATAGAGTTGAACATGGCCTTTCATAGAGCAGGTTTGAAACACTCTTTTTGTAGTTTGTGGAAGTGGACATTTCGATCGCCTTGACGCCTACGCTGAAAAAGGAAATATCTTCCCATAAAAAATAGACAGAAGCATTCTGAGAAACTTGTTGGTGATATGTGTCCTCAACTAACAGAGTTGAACTTTGCCATTGATACAGAGCAGTTTTGAAACACTCTTTTTGTGGAATCTGCAAGTGGATATTTGGATAGCTTGGAGGATTTCGTTGGAAGCGGGAATTCAAATAAAAGGTAGACAGCAGCATTCTCAGAAATTTCTTTCTGATGTCTGCATTCAACTCATAGAGTTGAAGATTCCCTTTCATAGAGCAGGTTTGAAACACTCTTTCTGGAGTATCTGGATGTGGACATTTGGAGCGCTTTGATTCCTACGGTGAAAAAGTAAATATCTTCCCATAAAAACGAGACAGAAGGATTCTCAGAATCAAGTTTGTGATGTGTGTACTCAGCTAACAGAGTGGAACCTCTCTTTTGATGCAGCAGTTTGGAAACACTCTTTTTGTAGAAACTGTAAGTGGATATTTAGATAGCTCTAATGATTTCGTTGGAAACGGGAATATCATCATCTAAAATCTAGACAGAAGCCCTCTCAGAAACTACTTTGTGATATCTGCATTCAAGTCAGAGAGTTGAACATTCGCTTTCTTAGAGCACGTTTGAAACACTCTTTTTGTAGTATCTGGAAGTGGACATTTGGAGCGCTTTGATGCCTTTGGTGAAAAAGGGAACGTCTTCCCATAAAAACTAGACAGAAGCATTCTCAGAAACTTGTTTGTGATGTGTCTACCCAGCTAAAGGAGTTGAACATTTCTATTGATAGAGCAGTTTTGAAACACTCTTTTTGTGGAAAATGCAGGTGGATATTTGGATAGCTTGGAGGATTTCGTTGGAAGCGGGAATTCAAATAAAAAGTAGACAGCAGCATTCTCAGAAATTTCTTTCTGATGTCTGCATTCAACTCATAGAGTTGAAGATTCCCTTTCATAGAGCAGGTTTGAAACACTCTTTCTGGAGTATCTGGATGTGGACAATTGGAGCGCTTTGATGCCTACGGTGGAAAAGTAAATATCTTCTGATAAAAACGAGACAGAAGGATTCTCAGAAACAAGTTTGTGATGTGTGTACTCAGCTAACAGAGTGGAACCTTTCTTTTTACAGAGCAGCTTTGAAACTCTATTTTTGTGGATTCTGCAAATTGATATTTAGATTGCTTTAACGATATCGTTGGAAAAGGGAATATCGTCATACAAACTCTAGACAGAAGCATTCTCACAAACTTCTTTGTGATGTGTGTCCTCAACTAACAGAGTTGAACCTTTCTTTTGATGCAGCAATTTGGAAACACCCTTTTGGTAGAAACTGTAACTGGATATTTGGATAGCTCTAACGATTTCCTTGGAAACGGGAATATCATCATCTAAAATCTAGACAGAAGCACTATTAGAAACTACTTGGTGATATCTGCATTCAAGTCACAGAGTTGAACATACCCTTACTTTGAGCACGTTTGAAACACTCTTTTGGAAGAATCTGGAAGTGGACATTTGGAGCGCTTTGATGCCTTTGGTGAAAAGGAAACGTCTTCCAATAAAAGCCAGACAGAAGCATTCTCAGAAACTTGTTTGTGATGTGTGTACTCAACTAAAAGAGTTGAACCTTTCTATTGATAGAGCAGTTTTGAAACACTCTTTTTGTGGATTCTGCAAGTGGATATTTGGATTGCTTTGAGGATTTCGTTGGAAGCGGGAATTCATATAAAAACTAGACAGCAGCATTCCCAGAAATTTCTTTCGGATATTTCCATTCAACTCATTGAGATGAACATCGCGTTTCATAGAGCAGGTTTGAAACACTCTTTTTGTAGTTTGTGGAAGTGGACATTTCGATCGCCTTGACGCCTACAGTGAAAAAGGAAATATCTTCCCATAAAAAATAGACAGAAGAACTCTCAGAAACTTGTTTGTGATGTGTATCCTCAACTGACAGAGTTGAACCTTGCCATTGATAGAGCAGTTTAGAAACACTGTTTTTGTGGAATCTGCAAGTGGATATTTGGATAGCCTGGAGGATTTTGTTGGAAGCGGGAATTCAAATGAAAGGTAGACAGCAGCATTCTCAGAAATTTCTTTCTGATGTCTGCATTCAACTCATAGAGTTGAAGATTCCCTTTCATAGAGCAGGTTTGAAACACTCTTTGTGGAGTATCTGGATGTGGACATATGGAGCGCTTTGATGCCTACGGTGAAAAGGTAAATATCTTCCCATAAAAACGAGACAGAAGGATTCTCAGAAACAAGTTTGTGATGTGCGTACTCAGCTAACAGAGTGGAACCTCTCTTCTGATGCAGCAGTTTGGAAACACTCTGTTTGTAGAAACTGTAAGTGGATATTTGGATAGCTCTAATGATTTCGTTGGAAACGGGAATATCATCATCTAAAATCTAGACAGAAGCAGTCTCAGAATCTACTTTGTGATATCTGCATTCCAGTCACAGAGTTGAAAACTCCCTTACTTAGAGCAGGTTTGAAACACTCTTTTTGTAGAATCTGGAAGTGGACATTTGGAGCGCTTTGATGCCTTTGGTGAAAAAGGAAATGTCTTCCCTTAAAAAGTAGACAGAAGCATTCTCAGAAACTTGTTTGTGATGTGTATACCTAGCTAAAGGAGTTGAACATTTCTATTGATAGAGCAGTTTTGAAACACTCTTTTTGTGGAAAATGCAGGTGGATATTTGGATAGGTTGGAAGATTTCGTTGGAAGCGGGAATTCAAATAAATGGTAGACAGCAGCATTCTCAGAAATTAGTTTCTGATGTCTGCATTCAACTCATAGAGTTGAAGATTCCCTTTCATAGAGCAGGTTTGAAACACTCTTTCTGGAATATCTGGATGTGGACATTTGGAGCGCTTTGATGCCTACGGTGAAAAAGTAAATATCTTCCCATAAAAACGAGACAGAAGGATACTCAGAAACAAGTTTGTGATGTGTGTACTCAGCTAACAGAGTGGAACCTTTCTTTTTACAGAGCAGCTTTGAAACTCTATTTTTGTGGATTCTGCAAATTGATATTTAGATTGCTTTAACGATATCGTTGGAAAAGGGAATATTGTCATACAAAATCTAGAGAGAAGCATTCTCACAAACTTCTTTGTGATGTGTGTCCTCAACTAACACAGTTGAACTTTTCTTTTGATGCAGCAGTTTGGAAACACTGTTTTTGTAGAAACTGTAAGTGGATATTTGGATAGCTCTAACGATTTCGTTGGAAACGGGAATATCATCATCTAAAATCTAGACAGAAGCACTATTAGAAACTACTTGGTGATATCTGCATTCAAGTCACAGAGTTGAACATTCCCTTACTTTGAACACGTTTGAAACACTCTTTTGGAAGAATCTGGAAGTGGACATTTGGAGCGCTTTGATGCCTTTGGTGAAAAGGAAACGTCTTCCAATAAAAGCCAGACAGAAGCATTCTCAGAAACTTGTTCGTGATGTGTGTACTCAACTAAAAGAGTTGAACCTTTCTATTGATAGAGCAGTTTTGAAACACTCTTTTTGTGGATTCTGCAAGTGGATATTTGGATTGCTTTGAGGATTTCGTTGGAAGCGGGAATTCGTATAAACACTAGACAGCAGCATTCCCAGAAATTTCTTTCGGATATTTCCATTCAACTCATAGAGATGAATATGGCCTTTCATAGAGCAGGTTTGAAACACTCTTTTTGTAGTTTGTGGAAGTGGACATTTCGATCGCCTTGACGCCTACGGTGAAAAAGGAAATATCTTCCCATAAAAAATAGACAGAAGAATTCTCAGAAACTTGTTTGTGATGTGTATCCTCAACTGACAGAGTTGAACCTTGCCATTGATAGAGCAGTTTAGAAACACACTTTTTGTGGAATCTGCAAGTGGATATTTGGATAGCCTGGAGGATTTCGTTGGAAGCGGGAATTCAAATGAAAGGTAGACAGCAGCATTCTCAGAAATTTCTTTGTGATGTTTGCATTCAACTCATAGAGTTGAACATTCCCTTTCATAGAGCAGGTTTGAAACACTCTTTCTGTACTATGTGGATGTGGACATTTGGAACGCTTTGATGCCTATGGTGAAAAAGTAAATATCTTCCCATAAAAGCTAGACAGAAGGATTCTCAGAAACAAGTTTGTGATGTGTGTACTCAGCTAACAGAGTGGAACCTCTCTTTTGATGCAGCAGTTTGGAAACACTCTTTTTGTAGAAACTGTAAGTGGATATTTGGATAGCTCTAATGATTTCGTTGGAAACGGGAATATCATCATCTAAAATCTAGACAGAAGCCCTCTCAGAAACTACTTTGTGATATCTGCATTCAAGTCACAGGGTTGATCATTCGCTTTCTTAGAGCACGTTTGAAACACTCTTTTTGTAGTGTATGGAAGTGGACATTTGGAGCGCTTTGATGCCTTTGGTGAAAAAGGGAACGTCTTCCCATAAAAACTAGACAGAAGCATTCTCAGAAACTTGTTTGTGATGTGTGTACCCAGCCAAAGGAGTTGAACACTTCTATTGATAGAGCAGTTTTGAAACACTCTTGTTGTGGAAAATGCAGGTGGATATTTGGATAGCTTGGAGGATTTCGTTGGAAGCGGGAATTCAAATAAAAGGTAGACAGCAGGATTCTGAGAAACAAGTTTGTGATGTGTGTACTCAGCTAACAGAGTGGAACCTCTCTTTTGATGCAGCAGTTTGGAAACACTCTTTTTGTAGAAACTGTAACTGGATATTTGGATAGCTCTAATGATTTCGTTGGAAACGGGAATATCATCATCTAAAATCTAGACAGAAGCCCTCTCAGAAACTACTTTTTGATATCTGCATTCAAGTCACAGAGTTGAACATTCGCTTTCTTAGAGCACGTTTGAAACACTCTTTTTGTAGTGTCTGGAAGTGGACATTTGGAGCGCTTTGATGCCTTTGGTGAAAAAGGGAATGTCTTCCCATAAAAACTAGACAGAAGCATTCTCAGAAACTTGTTTGTGATGTGTGTACCCAGCCAAAGGAGTTGAACATTTCTATTGATAGAGCAGTTTTGAAACACTCTTGTTGTGGAAAATGCAAGTGGATATTTGGATAGCTTCGAGGATTTCGTTGGAAGCGGGAATTCAAATAAAAGGTAGACAGCAGCATTCTCAGAAATTTCTTTCTGATGTCTGCATTCAACTCATAGAGTTGAAGATTCCCTTTCATAGAGCAAGTTTGAAACACTCTTTCTGGAGTATCTGGATGTGGACATTTGGAGCGCTTTGATGCCTACGGTGAGAAAGTAAATATCTTCCCATAAAAACGAGACAGAAGGATTCTCAGAAACAAGTTTGTGATGCGTGTACTCAGCTAACAGAGTGGAACCTTTCTTTTTACACAGCAGCTTGGAAACTCTATTTTTGTGGATTCTGCAAATTGATATTTAGATTGCTTTAACGATATCGTTGGAAAAGGGAATATCGTCATACAAAATCTAGACAGAAGCATTCTCACAAACATCTTTGTGATGTGTGTCCTCAACTAACAGAGTTGAACCTTTCTTTTGATGCAGCAGTTTGGAAACACCCTTTTGGTTGAAACTGTAACTGGATATTTGGATAGCTCTAACGATTTCGTTGGAAACGGGAATATCATCATCTAAAATCTAGACAGAAGCACTATTAGAAACTACTTGGTGATATCTGCATTCAAGTCACAGAGTTGAACATTCCCTTACTTTGAGCACGTTTCAAACACTCTTTTGGAAGAATCTGGAAGTGGACATTTGGAGCGCTTTGATGCCTTTGGTGAAAAGGAAATGTCTTCCAATAAAAGCCAGACAGAAGCATTCTCAGAAACTTGTTTGTGATGTGTGTACTCAACTAAAAGAGTTGAACCTTTGTATTGATAGAGCAGTTTTGAAACTCTCTTATGTGGATTCTGCAAGTGGATATTTGGATTGCTTTGTGGATTTCGTTGGAAGCGGGAATTCGTATAAAAACTAGACAGCAGCATTCCCAGAAATTTCTTTCGGATATTTCCATTCAACTCATAGAGATGAACATTGCCTTTCATAGAGCAGGTTTGAAACACTCTTTTTGTAGTTTGTGGAAGTGGACATTTCGATCGCCTTGATGCCTACGGTGAAAAAGGAAATATCTTCCCATAAAAAATAGACAGAAGAATTCTCAGAAACTTGTTTGTGATGTGTATCCTCAACTGACAGAGTTGAACCTTTCCATTGATAGAGCAGTTTTGAAACACGCTTTTTGTGGAATCTGCGAGTGGATATTTGGATAGCCTGGGGGATTTCATTGGAAGCGGGAATTCAAATAAAAGGTAGACAGCAGCATTCTCAGAAATTTCTTTCTGATGTCTGCATTCAACTCATAGAGTTGAAGATTCCCTTTCATAGAGCAGGTTTGAAACACTCTTTCTGGAGTATCTGGATGTGGACATTTGGAGCGCTTTGATGCCTACGGTGAAAAAGTAAATATCTTCCCATAAAAACGACACAGAAGGATTCTGAGAAACAAGTTTGTGATGTGTGTACTCAGCTAACAGAGTGGAACCTCTCTTTTGATGCAGCAGTTTCGAAACACTCTTTTTGTAGAAACTGTAAGTGGATATTTGGATAGCTCTAATGATTTCGTTGGAAACGGGAATATCATCATCTAAAATCTAGACAGAAGCCCTCTCAGAAACTACTTTGTGATATCTGCATTCAAGTCACAGAGTTGAACATTCGTTTTCTTAGAGCACGTTTGAAACACTCTTTTTATAGTGTCTGGAAGTGGACATTTGGAGCGCTTTGATGCCTTTGGTGAAAAAGGGAACGTCTTCCCATAAAAACTAGACAGATAAGCATTCTCAGCAAACTTGTTTGTGATGTGTGTACCCAGCTAAAGGAGTTGAACATTTCCATTGATAGAGCAGTTTTGAAACACTCTTTTTGTGGAAAATGCAAGTGGATATTTGGATAGCTTGGAGGATTTCGTTGGAAGCGGGAATTCAAATAAAAGGTAGACAGGAGCATTCTCAGAAATTTCTTTGTGATGTTTGCATTCAACTCATAGAGTTGAACATTCCCTTTAATAGAGCAGGTTTGAAACACTCTTTCTGTACTATGTGGATGTGGACATTTGGAGCGCTTTGACGCCTACGGTGAAAAAGGAAATGTCTTCCCATAAAAAATTGAAGAAGGTTTCTCAGAAACAAGTTTGTGATGTGTGTACTCAGCTAACAGAGTGGAACCCTTCTTTTTAAAGAGCAGCTTTGAAACTCTATTTTTGTGGATTCTGCAAATTGATATTTAGATTGCTTTAACGATATCGTTGGAAAAGGGAATATGGTCACACAAAATCTAGACAAAAGCTTTCTCAGAAACTTGTATGTGATGTGTGTCCTCAACTAACAGAGTTGAACCTTTCTTTTGATGCAGCAGTTTGGAAACACACTTTTGGTAGAAACTGTAAGTGGATATTTGGATAGCTCTAACGATTTCGTTGGAAACGGGAATATCATCATCTAAAATCTAGACAGAAAGCACTATTAGAAACTACTTGGTGATATCTGCATTCAAGTCACAGAGTTGAACATTCCCTTACTTTGAGCACGTTTGAAACACTCTTTTGGAAGAATCTGGAAGTGGACATTTGCAGCGCTTTGATGCCTTTGGTGAAAAGGAAACGTCTTCCAATAAAAGCCAGACAGAAGCATTCTCAGAAACTTGTTCATGATGTGTGTACTCAACCAAAAGATTTGAACCTTTCTATTGATAGAGCAGTTTTGAAACACTCTTTTTGTGGATTCTGCAAGTGGATATTTGGATTGCTTTGAGGATTTCGTTGGAAGCGGGAATTCGTATAAAAACTAGACAGCAGCATTTCCAGAAATTTCTTTCGGATATTTCCATTCAACTCATAGAGATGAACATGGCCTTTCATAGAGCAGGTTTGAAACACTCTTTTTGTAGTTTGTGGAAGTGGACATTTCGATCGCCTTGACGCCTACGGTGAAAAAGGAAATATCTTCCCATAAAAAATAGACAGAAGCATTCTCAGAAACTTGCTGGTGATATGTGTCCTCAACTAACAGAGTTGAACTTTGCCATTGATAGAGAGCAGTTTTGAAACACTCTTTTTGTGGAATCTGCAAGTGGATATTTGGATAGCTTGGAGGATTTCGTTGGAAGCGGGAATTCAAATAAAAGGTAGACAGCAGCATTCTCAGAAATTTCTTTGTGATGTTTGCATTCAACTCATAGAGTTGAACATTCCCTTTCATAGAGCAGGTTTGAAACACTCTTTCTGTACTATCTGGATGTGGACATTTGGAACGCTTTGATGCCTACGGTGAAAAAGTAAATATCTTCCCATAAAACCTAGACAGAAGGATTCTCAGAAAGAAGTTTGTGATGTGTGTACTCAGCTAACAGAGTGGAACCTCTCTTTTGATGCAGCAGTTTGGAAACACTCTTTTTGTAGAAACTGTAACTGGATATTTGGATAGCTCTAATGATTTCGTTGGAAACGGGAATATCATCATGTAAAATCTAGACAGAAGCAGTCTCAGAAACTACTTTGTGATATCTGCATTCCAGTCACAGAGTTGAAAACTCCCTTACTTAGAGCAGGTTTGAAACACTCTTTTTGTAGAATCTGGAAGTGGACATTTGGAGCACTTTGATGCCTTTGGTGAAAAAGGAAATGTCTTCCCTTAAAAAGTAGACAGAAGTATTCTCAGAAACTTGTTTGTGATGTGTGTACCCAGCCAAAGGAGTTGAACATTTCTATTGATAGAGCAGTTTTGAAACACTCTTGTTGTGGAAAATGCAGGTGGATATTTGGATAGCTTGGAGGATTTCGTTGGAAGCGGGAATTCAAATAAAAGGTAGACAGCAGCATTCTCAGAAATTTCTTTCTGATGTCTGCATTCAACTCATAGAGTTGAAGATTCCCTTTCATAGAGCAGGTTTGAAACAGTCTTTCTGGAGTATCTGGATGTGGACATTTGGAGCGCTTAGATGCCTACGGTGAAAAAGTAAATATCTTCCCATAAAAACGAGACAGAAGGATTCTGAGAAACATGTTTGTGATGTGTGTACTCAGCTAACAGAGTGTAACCTTTCTTTTTACAGAGCAGCTTTGAAACTCTATTTTTGTGGATTCTGCAAATTGATATTTAGATTGCTTTAACGATATCGTTGGAAAAGGGAATATCGTCATACAAAATCTAGACAGAAGGATTCTCACAAACTTCTTTGTGATGTGTGTCCTCAACTAACAGAGTTGAACCTTTCTTTTGATGCAGCAGTTTGGAAACACTCTTTTTGTAGAAACTGTAACTGGATATTTGGATAGCTCTAATGATTTCGTTGGAAACGGGAATATCATCATGTAAAATCTAGACAGAAGCACTATTAGCAAACTACTTGGTGATATCTGCATTCAAGTCACAGAGTTGAACATTCCCTTACTTTGAGCACGTTTGAAACACTCTTTTGGAAGAATCTGGAAGTGGACATTTGCAGCGCTTTGATGCCTTTGGTGAAAAGGAAACGTCTTCCAATAAAAGCCAGACAGAAGCATTCTCAGAAACTTGTTTGTGATGTGTGTACTCAACTAAAAGAGTTGAACCTTTCTATTGATAGAGCAGTTTTGAAACACTCTTTTTGTGGATTCTGCAAGTGGATATTTGGATTACTTTGAGGATTTCGTTGGAAGCGGGAATTCGTATAAACACTAGACAGCAGCATTCCCAGAAATTTCTCTCGGATATTTCCATTCAACTCATAGAGATGAACATGGCCTTTCATAGAGCAGGTTTGAAACACTCTTTTTGTAGTTTGTGGAAGTGGACATTTCGATCGCCTTGACGCCTACGGTGAAAAAGGAAATATCTTCCCATAAAAAATAGACAGAAGCATTCTCAAAAACTTGTTGGTGATATGTGTCCTCAACTAACAGAGTTGAACTTTGCCATTGATAGAGAGCAGTTTTGAAACACTCTTTTTGTGGAATCTGCAAGTGGATATTTGGATAGCTTGGAGGATTTCGTTGGAAGCGGGAATTCAAATAAAAGGTAGACAGCAGCATTCTCAGAAATTTCTTTCTGATGTTTGCATTCAACTCATAGAGTTGAACATTCCCTTTAATAGAGCAGGTTTGAAACATTCTTTCTTTACTATCTGGATGTGGACATTTGGAGCGCTTTGACGCCTACGGTGAAAAAGGAAATGTCTTCCCATAAAAAATTGAAGAAGGATTCTCAGAAACAAGTTTGTGATGTGTGTACTCAGCTAACAGAGTGGAACCTTTCTTTTGACAGAGCAGCTTTGAAACTCTATTTTTGTGGATTCTGCAAATGGATATTTAGATTGCTTTAACGATATCGTTGGAAAAGGGAATATCGTCATACAAAATCTGGACAGAAGCATTCTCACAAACTTCTTTATGATGTGTGTCCTCAACTAACAGAGTTGAACCTTTCTTTTGATGCAGCAATTTGGAAACACCCTTTTGGTAGAAACTGTAACTGGATATTTGGATAGCTCTAACGATTTCGTTGGAAACGGGAATATCATCATCTAAAATCTAGACAGAAGCACTATTAGAAACTACTTGGTGATATCTGTATTCAAGTCACAGAGTTGAACATTCCCTTACTTTGAGCACGTTTGAAACACTCTTTTGGAAGAATCTGGAAGTGGACATTTGGAGCACTTTGATGCCTTTGGTGAAAAGGAAACGTCTTCCAATAAAAGCCAGAGAGAAGCATTCTCAGAAACTTGTTTGTGATGTGTGTACTCAACTAAAAGAGTTGAACCTTACTATTGATAGAGCAGTTTTGAAACACTCTTTTTGTGGATTCTGCAAGTGGATATTTGGATTGCTTTGAGGATTTCGTTGGAAGCGGGAATTCGTATAAAACCTAGACAGCAGCATTCCCAGAAATTTCTTTCGGATATTTCCATTCAACTCATAGAGATGAACATGGCCTTTCATAGAGCAGGTTTGAAACACTCTTTTTGTAGTTTGTGGAAGTGGACATTTCGATCGCCTCGACGCATACGGTGAAAAAGGAAATATCTTCCCATAAAAAATAGACAGAAGCATTCTCAGAAACTTGTTGGTGATATGGGTCCTCAACTAACAGAGTTGAACTTTGCCATTGATAGAGAGCAGTTTTGAAACACTCTTTTTGTGGAATCTGCAAGTGGATATTTGGATAGCTTGGAGGATTTCGTTGGAAGCGGGAATTCAAATAAAAGGTAGACAGCAGCATTCTCAGAAATTTCTTTCTGATGTCTGCATTCAACTCATAGAGTTGAAGATTCCCTTTCATAGAGCAGGTTTGAAACAGTCTTTCTGGAGTATCTGGATGTGGACATTTGAAGCGCTTTGATGCCTACGGTGAAAAAGTAAATATCTTCCCATAAAAACGAGACAGAAGGATTCTCAGAAACAAGTTTGTGATGTGTGTACTCAGCTAAAAGAGTAGAACCTTTCTTTTTACAGAGCAGCTTTGAAACTCTATTTTTGTGGATTCTGCAAATTGATATTTAGATTGCTTTAACGATATCGTTGGAAATGAGAATATCGTCATAGAAAATCTACACAGAAGCATTCTCACAAACTTCTTTGTGATGTGTGTCCTCAACTAACAGAGTTGAACCTTTCTTTTGATGCAGCAGTTTGGAAACACTGTTTTTGTAGCAACTGTAAGTGGATATTTGGATAGCTCTAACGATTTCGTTGGAAACGGGAATATCATCATCTAAAATCTAGACAGAAGCACTATTAGAAACTACTTGGTGATATCTGCATTCAAGTCACAGAGTTGAACATTCCCTTACTTTGAGCACGTTTGAAACAGTCTTTTGGAAGAATCTGGAAGTGGACATATGGAGCGCTTTGATGCCTTTGGTGAAAAGGAAACGTCTTCCAATAAAAGCCAGACAGAAGCATTCTCAGAAACTTGTTCGTGATGTGTGTACTCAACTAAAAGAGTTGAACATTTCTATTGATAGAGCAGTTTTGAAACACTCTTTTTGTGGATTCTGCAAGTGGATATTTGGATTGCTTTGAGGATTTCGTTGGAATCGGGAATTCGTATAAACACTAGACAGCAGCATTCCCAGAAATTTCTTTCGGATATTTCCATTCAACTCATTGAGATGAACATCGCCTTTCATAGAGCTGGTTTGAAACACTCTTTTTGTAGTTTGTGGAAGTGGACATTTCGATCGCCTTGACGCCTACAGTGAAAAAGGAAATATCTTCCCATAAAAAATAGACAGAAGAATTCTCAGAAACTTGTTTGTGATGTGTATCCTCAACTGACAGAGTTGAACCTTGCCATTGATAGAGCAGTTTAGAAACACTCTTTTTGTGGAATCTGCAAGTGGATATTTGGATAGACTGGAGGATTTCGTTGGAAGCGGGAATTCAAATGAAAGGTAGACAGCAGCATTCTCAGAAATTTCTTTCTGATGTCTGCATTCAACTCGTAGAGTTGAAGATTCCCTTTCATAGAGCAGGTTTGAAACACTCTTTCTGGAGTATCTGGATGTGGACATTTGGAGCGCTTTGATGCCTACGGTGAAAAAGTATATATCTTCCCATAAAAACGAGACAGAAGGATTCTCAGAAACAAGTTTGTGATGTGTGTACACAGCTAACAGAGTGGAACCTCTCTTCTGATGCAGCAGTTTGGAAACACTCTTTTTGTAGAAACTGTAAGTGGATATTTGGATAGCTCTAATGATTTCGTTGGAAATGGGAATATCATCATCTAAAATCTAGACAGAAGCCCTCTCAGAAACTACTTTGTGATATCTGCATTCAAGTCACAGAGTTGAACATTCGCTTTCTTAGGGCACGTTGGAAACACTCTTTTTGTAGTGTCTGGAAGTGGACATTTGGAGCGCTTTGATGCCTTTGGTGAAAAAGGGAACGTCTTCCCATAAAAACTAGACAGAAGCATTCTCAGAAACTTGTTTGTGATGTGTGTACCCAGCCAAAGGAGTTGAACATTTCTATTGATAGAGCAGTTTTGAAACACTCTTTTTATGGAAAATGCAAGTGGATATTTGGATAGCTTGGAGGATTTCGTTGGAAGCGGGAATTCAAATAAAAGGTAGACAGCAGGATTCTCAGAAACAAGTTTGTGATGTGTGTACTCAGCTAACAGAGTGGAACCTTTCTTTTTACAGAGCAGCTTTGAATCTCTATTTTTGTGGATTCTGCAAATTGATATTTAGATTGCTTTAACGATATCGTTGGAAAAGGGAATATGGTCATACAAAATCTAGACAGAAGCATTCTCACAAACTTCTTTGTGATGTGTGTCCTCAACTAACAGAGTTGAACCTTTCTTTTGATGCAGCAATTTGGAAACACCCTTTTGGTAGAAACTGTAACTGGATATTTGGATAGCTCTAACGATTTCGTTGGAATCGGGAATATCATCATCTAAAATCTAGACAGAAGCACTATTAGAAACTACTTGGTGATATCTGCATTCAAGTCACAGAGTAGAGCATTCCCTTACTTCGAGCACGTTTGAAACACTCTTTTGGAAGAATCTGGAAGTGGACATTTGGAGCGCTTTGATGCCTTTGGTGAAAAGGAAACGTCTTCCAATAAAAGCCAGACAGAAGCATTCTCAGAAACTTGTTTGTGATGTGTGTACTCAACTAAAAGAGTTGAACCTTTCTATTGATAGAGCAGTTTTGAAACACTCTTTTTGTGGATTCTGCAAGTGGATATTTGGATTGCTTTGAGGATTTCGTTGGAAGCGGGAATTCATATAAAAACTAGACAGCAGCATTCCCAGAAATTTCTTTCGGATATTTCCATTCAACTCATAGAGATGAACATCGCCTTTCATAGAGCAGGTTTGAAACACTCTTTTTGTAGTTTGTGGAAGTGGACATTTCGATCGCTTTGATGCCTACGGTGAAAAAGGAAATATCTTCCCATAAAAAATAGACAGAAGCATTCTCAGAAACTTGTTGGTGATATGTGTCCTCAACTAACAGAGTTGAACTTTGCCATTGATAGAGAGCAGTTTGGAAACACTCTTTTTGTGGAATCTGCAAGTGGATATTTGGATAGCTTGGAGGATTTCGTTGGAAGCGGGAATTCAAATAAAAGGTAGACAGCAGCATTCTCAGAAATTTCTTTCTGATGTCTGCATTCAACTCATAGAGTTGAAGATTCCCTTTCATAGAGCAGGTTTGAAACACTCTTTCTGGAGTATCTGGATGTGGACATTTGGAGCGCTTTGATGCCTACGGTGGAAAAGTAAATATCTTCCCATAAAAACGAGACAGAAGGATTCTGAGAAACAAGTTTGTGATGTGTGTACTCAGCTAACAGAGTGGAACCTCTCTTTTGATGCAGCAGTTTGGAAACACTCTTTTTGTAGAAACTGTAAGTGTATATTTGGATAGCTCTAATGATTTCGTTGGAAACGGGAATATCATCATCTAAAATCTAGACAGAAGCACTCTCAGAAACTTCTTTGTGATATCTGCATTCAAGTCACAGAGTTGAACATTCGCTTTCTTAGAGCACGTTTGAAACACTCTTTTTGTAGTGTCTGGAAGTGGACATTTGGAGCGCTTTGATGCCTTTGGTGAAAAAGGGAATGTCTTTCCATAAAAACTAGACAGAAGCATTCTCAGAAACTTGTTTGTGATGTGTGTACCCAGCGAAAGGAGTTGAACATTTCTATTGATAGAGCAGTTTTGAAACACTCTTTTTGTGGAATCTGCAAGTGGATATTTGGATAGCTTGGAGGTTTTCGTTGGAAGAGGGAATTCAAATAAAAGGTAGACAGCAGCATTCTCAGAAATTTCTTTCTGATGTTTGCATTCAACTCATAGTGTTGAACATTCCCTTTAATAGAGCAGGTTTGAAACACTCTTTCTGTACTATCTGGATGTGGACATTTGGAGCGCTTTGACGCCTACGGTGAAAAAGGAAATGTCTTCCCATAAAAAATTGAAGAAGGATTCTCAGAAACAAGTTTGTGATGTGTGTACTCAGCTAACAGAGTGGATCCTTTCTTTTTACAGAGCAGCTTTGAAACTCTATTTCTGTGGATTCTGCAAATTGATATTTGGGTTGATTTAACAATATCGTTGGAAAAGGGAATATCTTCATACAAAATCTAGACAGAAGCATTCTCACAAACTTCTTTGTGATGTGTGTCCTCAACTAACAGAGTTGAACCTTTCTTTTGATGCAGCAATTTGGAAACACCCTTTTGGTAGAAACTGTAACTGGATATTTGGATAACTCTAACGATTTCGTTGGAAACGGGAATATCATCATCTAAAATGTAGACAGAAGCACTATTAGCAAACTACTTGGTGATATCTGCATTCAAGTCACAGAGTTGAACATTCCCTTACTTTGAGCACGTTTGAAACACTCTTTTGGAAGAATCTGGAAGTGGACATTTGGAGCGCTTTGATGCCTTTGGTGAAAAGGAAACGTCTTCCAATAAAAGCCAGACAGAAGCATTCTCAGAAACTTGTTTGTGATGTGTGTACTCAACTAAAAGGAGTTGAACCTTTCTATTGATAGAGCAGTTTTGAAACACTCTTTTTGTGGATTCTGCAAGTGGATATTTGGATTGCTTTGAGGATTTCGTTGGAAGCGGGAATTCGTATAACAACTAGACAGCAGCATTCCCAGAAATTTCTTTCGGATATTTCCATTCAACTCATAGAGAAGAACATGGCCTTTCATAGAGCAGGTTTGAAACACTCTTTTTGTAGTTTGTGGAAGTGGACATTTCGATCGCCTTGACGCCTACGGTGAAAAAGGAAATATCTTCCCATAAAAAAAAGACAGAAGCATTCTCAGAAACTTGTTGGTGATATGTGTCCTCAACTAACAGAGTTGAACTTTGCCATTGATAGAGAGCAGTTTTGAAACACTCTTTTTCCTGAATCTGCAAGTGGATATATGGATAGCTTGGAGGATTTCGTTGGAAGCGGGAATTCAAATAAAAGGTAGACAGCAGGATTCTGAGAAACAAGTTTGTGATGTGTGTACTCAGCTAACAGAGTGGAACCTCTCTTTTGATGCAGCAGTTTGGAAACACTCTTTTTGTAGAAACTGTAAGTGGATATTTGGATAGCTCTAATGATTTCGTTGGAATCGGGAATATCATCACCTAAAATCTAGACAGAAGCACTCTCAGAAACTACTTTGTGATATCTGCATTCAAGTCACAGAGTTGAACATTCGCTTTCTTAGAGCACGTTTGAAACACTCTTTTTGTAGTGTCTGGAAGTGGACATTTGGAGCGCTTTGATGCCTTTGGTGAAAAAGGGAATGTCTTCCCATAAAAACTAGGCAGAAGCATTCTCAGAAACTTGTTTGTAATGTGTGTACCCAGCTAAAGGAGTTGAACGTTTCTATTGATAGAGCAGTTTTGAAACACTCTTTTTGTGGAAAATGCAGGTGGATGTTTGGATAGATAGGAGGATTTCGTTGGAAGCGGGAATTCAAATAAAAGGTAGACAGCAGCATTCTCAGAAATTTCTTTCTGATGTTTGCATTCAACTCATAGAGTTGAACATTCCCTTTAATAGAGCAGGTTTGAAACACTCTTTCTGTACTGTCCGGATGTGGACATTTGGAGCGCTTTGACGCCTACGGTGAAAAAGGAAATGTCTTCCCATAAAAAACTGAAGTATTCTCAGAAACAAGTTTGTGATGTGTGTACTCAGCTAACAGAGTGGAACCTCTCTTTTGACGCAGCAGTTTGGAAACACTCTTTTTGTAGAAACTGTAAGTGGATATTTGGATAGCTCTAATGATTTCGTTGGAAACGGGAATATCATCATCTAAAATCTAGACAGAAGCATTCCCAGAAATTTCTTTCGGATATTTCCATTCGACTCATAGAGATGAACATGGCCTTTCATAGAGCAGGTTTGAAACACTCTTTTTGTAGTTTGTGGAAGTGGACATTTCGATCGCCTTGACGCCTACGGTGAAAAAGGGAATGTCTTCCCATAAAAACTAGACAGAAGCATTCTCAGAAACTTGTTTGTGATGTGTGTACCCAGCCAAAGGAGTTGAACATTTCTATTGATAGAGCAGTTTTGAAACGCTCCTTTTGTGGAAAATGCAGGTGGATATTTGGATAGCTTGGAGGATTTCGTTGGAAGCGGGAATTCAAATAAAAGGTAGACAGCAGCATTCTCAGAAATTTCTTTCTGATGTCTGCATTCAACTCATAGAGTTGAAGATTCCCTTTCATAGAGCAGGTTTGAAACACTCGTTCTGGAGTATCTGGATGTGGACATTTGGAGCGCTTTGATGCCTACGGTGGAAAAGTAAACATCTTCCCATAAAAACGAGACAGAAGGATTCTCAGAAACAAGTTTTTGATGTGTGTACTCAGCTAACAGAGTGGAACCTTTCTTTTTACAGAGCAGCTTTGAAACTCTATTTTTGTGGATTCTGCAAATTGATATTTAGATTGCTTTAACGATATCGTTGGAAAAGGGAATATCGTCATACAAAATCTAGACAGAAGCATTCTCACAAACTTCTTTGTGATGTGTGTCCTCAACTAACAGAGTTGAACCTTTCTTTTGATGCAGCAGTTTGGAAACACCCTTTTTGTAGAAACTGTAAGTGGATATTTGGATAGCTCTAACGATTTCGTTGGAAACGGGAATATCATCATCTAAAATCTAGACAGAAGCACTATTAGAAACTACTTGGTGATATCTGCATTCAAGTCACAGAGTTGAACATTCCCTTACTTTGAGCACGTTTGAAACACTCTTTTGGAAGAATCTGGAAGTGGACATTTGGAGCGCTTTGATGCCTTTGGTGAAAAGGAAACGTCTTCCAATAAAAGCCAGACAGAAGCATTCTGAGAAACTTGTTCGTGATGTGTGTACTCAACTAAAAGAGTTGAACCTTTCTATTGATAGAGCAGTTTTGAAACACTCTTTTTGTGGATTCTGCAAGTGGATATTTGGATTGCTTTGAGGATTTCGTTGGAAGCGGGAATTCGTATAAAAACTAGACAGCAGCATTCCCAGAAATTTCTTTCGGATAATTCCATTCAACTCATAGAGATGAACATCGCCTTTCATAGAGCAGGTTTGAAACACTCTTTTTGTAGTTTGTGGAAGTGGATATTTCGATCGCCTTGACGCCTATGGTGAAAAAGGAAATATCTTCCCATAAAAAATAGACAGAAGCATTCTCAGAAACTTGTTGGTGATATGTGTCCTCAACTAACAGAGTTGAACTTTGTCATTGATAGAGAGCAGTTTTGAAACACTCTTTTTCCTGAATCTGCAAGTGGATATTTGGATAGCTTGGAGGATTTCGTTGGAAGCGGGAATTCAAATAAAAGGTAGACAGCAGCATTCTCAGAAATTTCTTTCTGAGATCTGCATTCAACTCATAGAGTTGAACATTCCCTTTCATAGAGCAGGTTTGAAATACTCTTTCTGTAGTATCTGGATGTGGACATTTGGAGTGCTTTGATGCCTACGGTGAAAAAGTAAATATCTTCCCATAAAAACGAGACAGAAGGATTCTCAGAAACAAGTTTGTGATGTGTGTACTCACCTAACAGAGTGGAACCTCTCTTTTGATGCAGCAGTTTGGAAACACTCTTTTTGTAGAAACTGTAAGTGGATATTTGGATAGCTCTAATGATTTCGTTGGAAACGGGAATATCATCATCTAAAATCTAGACAGAAGCACTCTCAAAAACTACTGTGTGATATCTGCATTCAAGTCACAGAGTTGAACATTCGCTTTCTTAGAGCACGTTTGAAACACTCTTTTTGTAGTGTCTGGAAGTGGACATTTGGAGCGCTTTGATTCCTTTGGTGAAAAAGGGAATGTCTACCCATAAAAACTAGACAGAAGCATTCTCAGAAACTTGTTTGTGATGTGTGTACCCAGCCAAAGGAGTTGAACATTTCTATTGATAGAGCAGTTTTGAAACACTCTTGTTGTGGAAAATGCAAGTGGATATTTGGATACCTTGGAGGATTTCGTTGGAAGCGGGAATTCAAATAAAAGGTAGACAGCAGCATTCTCAGAAATTTCTTTCTGATGTCTGCATTCAACTCATAGACTTGAAGGTTCCCTTTCATAGAGCAGGTTTGAAACACTCTTTCTGGAGTATCTGGATGTGGACATTTGGAGCGCTTTGATGCCTACGGTGAAAAAGTAAATATCTTCCCATAAAAACGAGACAGAAGGATTCTCAGAAACAAGTTTGTGATGTGTGTACTCAGCTAACAGAGTGAAACCTTTCTTTTTACAGAGCAGCTTTGAAACTCTATTTTTGTGGATTCTGCAAATTGATATTTAGATTGCTTTAACGATATCGTTGGAAAAGGGAATATCGTCATACAAAATCTAGACAGAAGCATTCTCACAAACTTCTTTGTGACGTGTGTCCTCAACTAACAGAGTTGAACCTTTCTTTTGATGCAGCAGTTTGGAAACACTGTTTTTGTAGCAACTGTAAGTGGATATTTGGATAGCTTCTAACGATTTCGTTGGAAACGGGAATATCATCATCTAAAATCTAGACAGAAGCACTATTAGAAACTACTTGGTGATATCTGCATTCAAGTCACAGAGTTGAACATTCTCTTACTTTGAGCACGTTTCAAACACTCTTTTGGAAGAATCTGGAAGTGGACATTTGGAGCGCTTTGATGCCTTTGGTGAAAAGGAAACGTCTTCCAATAAAAGCCAGACAGAAGCATTCTCAGAAACTTGTTCGTGATGTGTGTACTCAACTAAAAGAGTTGAACCTTTCTATTGATAGAGCAGTTTTGAAACACTCTTTTTGTGGATTCTGCAAGTGGATATTTGGATTGCTTTGAGGATTACGTTGGAAGCGGGAATTCGTATAAACACTAGACAGCAGCATTCCCAGAAATTTCTTTCGGATATTTCCATTCAACTCATAGAGATGAACATGGCCTTTCATAGAGCAGGTTTGAAACACTCTTTTTGTAGTTTGTGGAAGTGGACATTTCGATCGCCTTGACGCCTACGGTGAAAAAGGAAATATCTTCCCATAAAAAATAGACAGAAGCATTCTCAGAAACTTGTTGGTGATATGTGTCCTTAACTAACAGAGTTGAACTTTGCCATTGATAGAGAGCAGTTTTGAAACACTCTTTTTGTGGAATCTGCAAGTGGATATTTGCATAGCTTGGAGGATTTCGTTGGAAGCGGGAATTCAAATAAAAGGTAGACAGCAGCATTCTCAGAAATTTCTTTCTGATGTCTGCATTCAACTCATAGAGTTGAAGTTTCCCTTTCATAGAGCAGGTTTGAAACACTCTTTCTGGAGTATCTGGATGTGGACATTTGGAGCGCTTTGATGCCTACGGTGAAAAAGTAAATATCTTCCCATAAAAACGAGACAGAAGGATTCTGAGAAACAAGTTTGTGATGTGTGTACTCAGCTAACAGAGTGGAACCTCTCTTTGGATGCAGCAGTTTGGAAACACTCTTTTTGTAGAAACTGTAAGTGGATATTTGGATAGCTCTAATGATTTCGTTGGAAACGGGAATATCATCATCTAAAATCTAGATAGAAGCCCTCTCAGAAACTACTTTGTGATATCTGCATTCAAGTCACAGAGTTGAACATTCGCTTTCTTAGAGCACGTTGGAAACACTCTTTTTGTAGTGTCTGGAAGTGGACATTTGGAGCGCTTTGATGCCTTTGGTGAAAAAGGGAACGTCTTCCCATAAAAACTAGACAGAAGCATGCTCAGAACTTGTTTGTGATGTGTGTACCCAGCCAAAGGAGTTGAACATTTCTATTGATAGAGCAGTTTTGAAACACTCTTTTTGTGGAAAATGCAGGTGGATATTTGGATAGCTTGGAGGATTTCGTTGGAAGCGGGAATTCAAATAAAAGGTAGACAGCAGCATTCTCAGAAATTTCTTTCTGATGTCTGCATTCAACTCATAGAGTTGAAGATTCCCTTTCATAGAGCAGGTTTGAAACACTCGTTCTGGAGTATCCGGATGTGGACATTTGGAGCGCTTTGATGCCTACGGTGGAAAAGTAAATATCTTCCCATAAAAACGAGACAGAAAGGATTCTCAGAAACAAGTTTGTGATGTGTGTACTCAGCTAACAGAGTGGAACCTTTCTTTTTACAGAGCAGCTTTGAAACTCTATTTTTGTGGATTCTGCAAATTGATATTTAGATTGCTTTAACGATATCGTTGGAAAAGGGAATATCGTCATACAAAATCTAGACAGAAGCATTCTCACAAACTTCTTTGTGATGTGTGTCCTCAACTAACAGAGTTGAACCTTTCTTTTGATGCAGCAATTTGGAAACACCCTTTTGGTAGAAACTGTAACTGGATATTTGGATAGCTCTAACGATTTCCTTGGAAAAGGGAATATCATCATCTAAAATGTAGACAGAAGCACTATTAGAAACTACTTGGTGATATCTGCATTCAAGTCACAGAGTTGAACATTCCCTTACTTTGAGCACGTTTGAAACACTCTTTTGGAAGAATCTCGAAGTGGACATTTGGAGCGCTTTGATGCCTTTGGTGAAAAGGAAACGTCTTCCAATAAAAGCCAGACAGAAGCATTCTCAGAAACTTGTTCCTGATGTGTGTACTCAACTAAAAGAGTTGAACCTTTCTATTGATAGAGCAGTTTTGAAACACTCTTTTTGTGGATTCTGCAAGTGGATATTTGGATTGCTTTGAGGATTTCGTTGGAAGCGGGAATTCGTATAAACACTAGACAGCAGCATTCCCAGAAATTTCTTTCGGATATTTCCATTCAACTCATAGAGATGAACATGGCCTTTCATAGAGCAGGTTTGAAACACTCTTTTTGTAGTTTGTGGAAGTGGACATTTCGATCGCCTTGACGCCTACGCTGAAAAAGGAAATATCTTCCCATAAAAAATAGACAGAAGCATTCTCAGAAATTTATTTCTGATGTTTGCATTCAACTCATAGAGTTGAACATTCCCTTTAATAGAGCAGGTTTGAAACACTCTTTCTGTACTATCTGGATGTGGACATTTGGAGCGCTTTGACGCCTACGGTGAAAAAGGAAATGTCTTCCCATAAAAAATTGAAGAAACATTCTCAGAAATTTCTTTCTGATGTGTGCATTCAACTCATAGAGTTGAAGATTCCCTTTCATAGAGCAGGTTTGAAACACTCTTTCTGGAGTATCTGGATGTGGACATTTGGACCGCTTTGATGCCTACGGTGAAAAACTAAATATGTTCCCATAAAAACGAGACAGAAGGATTCTCAGAAACAAGTTTGTGATGTGTGTACTCAGCTAACAGAGTGGAACCTTTCTTTTTACAGAGCAGCTTGGAAACTCTATTTTTGTGGATTATGCAAATTGATATTTAGATTGCTTTAACGATATCGTTGGAAAAGGGAATATCGTCATACAAAATCTAGACAGAAAGCATTCTCACAAACTTCTTTGTGATGTGTGTCCTCAACTAACAGAGTTGAACCTTTCTTTTGATGCAGCAATTTGGAAACACCCTTTTGGTAGAAACTGTAACTGGATATTTGGATAGCTCTAGCGATTTCGTTGGAAACGGGAATATCATCATCTAAAATGTAGACAGAAGCACTATTAGAAACTACTTGGTGATATCTGCATTCAAGTCACAGAGTTGAGCATTCCCTTACTTTGAGCACGTTTGAAACACTCTTTTGGAAGAATCTGGAAGTGGACATTTGCAGCGCTTTGATGCCTTTGGTGAAAAGGAAACGTCTTCCAATAAAAGCCAGACAGAAGCATTCGCAGAAACTTGTTCGTGATGTGTGTACTCAACTAAAAGAGTTGAACCTTTCTATTGATAGAGCAGTTTTGAAACACTCTTTTTGTGGATTCTGCAAGTGGATATTTGGATTGCTTTGAGGATTTCGTTGGAAGCGGGAATTCGTATAAACACTAGACAGCAGCATTCCCAGAAATTTCTTTTGGATATTTCCATTCAACACATAGAGATGAACATGGCCTTTCATATTGAAACACTCTTTTTGTAGTTTGTGGAAGTGGACATTTCGATCGCCTTGATGCCTACGGTGAAAAAGGAAATATCTTCCCATAAAAAATAGACAGAAGCATTCTCAGAAACTTGTTTGTGATGTGTGTACCCAGCTAAAGGAGTTGAACATTTGTATTGATAGAGCAGTTTTGAAACACTCTTTTTGTGGAAAATGCAAGTGGATATTTGGATAGCTTGGAGGATTTCGTTGGAAGCAGGAATTCAAATAAAAGGTAGACAGCAGCATTCTCAGAAATTTCTGTCTGATGTCTGCATTCAACTCATAGAGTTGAAGATTCCCTTTCATAGAGGAGGTTTGAAACACTCTTTCTGGAGTATCTGGATGTGGACATTTGGAGCGCTTTGATGCCTACGGTGAAAAAGTAAATATCTTCCCATAAAAACGAGACAGAAGGATTCTCAGAAACAAGTTTGTGATGTGTGTACTCAGCTAACAGAGTGGAACCTTTCTTTTTACAGAGCAGCTTTGAAACTCTATTTTTCTGGATTCTGGAAATTGATATTTAGATTGCTTTAACGATATCGTTGGAAAAGGGAATATCGTCATACAAAATCTGGACAGAAGCATTCTCACAAACTTCTTTGTGATGTGTGTCCTCAACTAACAGAGTTG
Organism: Homo sapiens; assembly: GCF_000001405.40. Lineage (NCBI taxonomy): Eukaryota > Metazoa > Chordata > Mammalia > Primates > Hominidae > Homo > Homo sapiens. Next base: position 14,446,583 of record NC_000022.11, read on the forward strand.
AACCTTTCTTTTGATGCAGCAGTTTGGAAACACTCTTTTTGTAGAAACTGTAAGTGCATTATTGAATAGCTCTAACGATTTCGTTGGAAACGGGAATATCATCATCTAAAATCTAGACAGAAAGCACTATTAGTAAACTACTTGGTGATATCTGCATTCAAGTCACAGAGTAGAACATTCCCTTACTTCGAGCACGTTTGAAACACTCTTTTGGAAGAATCTGGAAGTGGACATTTGGAGCGCTTTGATGCCTTTGGTGAAAAGGAAACGTCTTCCAATAAAAGCCAGACAGAGGCATTCTCAGAAACTTGTTTGTGATGTGTGTACTCAACTAAAAGAGTTGAACCTTTCTATTGATAGAGCAGTTTTGAAACACTCTTTTTGTGGATTCTGCAAGAGGATATTTGGATTGCTTTGAGGATTTCGTTGGAAGCGGGAATTCGTATAAAAACTAGACAGCAGCATTCCCAGTAAATTTCTTTCGGATATTTCCATTCAACTCATAGAGATGAACATCGCCTTTCATAGAGCACGTTTGAAACACTCTTTTTGTAGTTTGTGGAAGTGGACATTTCGATCGCCTTGACGCCTACGGTGAAAAAGGAAATATCTTCCCATAAAAAATAGACAGAAGCATTCTCAGAAACTTGTTGGTGATATGTGTCCTCAACTAACAGAGTTGAACTTTGCCATTGATAGAGAGCAGTTTTGAAACACTCTTTTTGTGGAATCAGCAAGTGGATATTTGGATAGCTTGAAGGATTTCGTTGGAAGCGGGAATTCAAATAAAAGGTAGACAGCAGCATTCTCAGCAAATTTCTTTCTGATGTCTGCATTCAACTCATAGAGTTGAAGATTCCCTTTCATAGAGCAGGTTTGAAACACTCTTTCTGGAGTATCTGGATGTGGACATTTGGAGCGCTTTGATGCCTACGGTGAAAAAGTAAATATCTTCCCATAAAAACGACACAGAAGGATTCTCAGAAACAAGTTTGTGATGTGTGTACTCAGCTAACAGAGTGGAACCTCTCTTTCGATGCAGCAGTTTGGAAACACTCTTTTTGTAGAAACTGTAAGTGGATATTTGGATAGCTCTAATGATTTCGTTGGAAACGGGAATATCATCATCTAAAATCTAGACAGAAGCCCTCTCAGAAACTACTTTGTGATATCTGCATTCAAGTCACAGAGTTGAACATTCGCTTTCTTAGAGCACGTTTGAAACACTCTTTTTGTAGTGTCTGGAAGTGGACATTTGGAGCGCTTCGATGCCTTTGGTGAAAAAGGGAATGTCTTCCCATAAAAACTAGACAGAAGCATTCTCAGAAACTTCTTTGTGATGTGTGTACCCAGCTAAAGGAGTTGAACGTTTCTATTGATAGAGCAGTTTTGAAACACTCTTTTTGTGGAAAATGCAAGTGGATATTTGAATAGCTTGGAGGATTTCGTTGGAAGCGGGAATTCAAATAAAAGGTAGACAGCAGCATTCTCAGAAATTACTTTCTGATGTCTGCATTCAACTCATAGAGTTGAAGATTCCCTTTCATAGAGCAGGTTTGAAACACTCTTTCTGTAGTATCTGGATGTGGACATTTGGAGCGCTTTGATACCTACGGTGAGAAAGTAAATATCTTCCCATAAAAACTAGACAGAAGGATTCTGAGAGACAAGTTTGTGATGTGTGTACTCAGCTAACAGAGTGGAACCTTTCTTTTTACAGAGCAGCTTTGAAACTCTATTTTTGTGGATTCTGCAAATGGATATTTAGATTGCTTTAATGATATCGTTGGAAAAGGGAATATCGTCATACAAAATCTGGACAGAAGCATTCTCACAAACTTCTTTGTGATGTGTGTCCTCAACTAACAGGGTTGAACCTTTCTTTTGATGCAGCAGTTTGGAAACACTCTTTTTGTAGAAACTGTAAGTGGATATTTGGATAGCTCTAACGATTTCGTTGGAAACGGGAATATCATCATCTAAAATCTAGACAGAAGCACTATTAGAAACTACTTGGTGATATCTGCATTCAAGTCAAAGAGTTGAACATTCCCTTACTTTGAGCACGTTTGAAACACTCTTTTGGAAGAATCTGGAAGTGGACATTTGGAGCGCTTTGATGCCTTTGGTGAAAAGGAAACGTCTTCCAATAAAAGCCAGACAGAAGCATTCTCAGAAACTTGTTTGTGATGTGTGTACTCAACTAAAAGAGTTGAACCTTTGTATTGATAGAGCAGTTTTGAAACTCTCTTATGTGGATTCTGCAAGTGGATATTTGGATTGCTTTGAGGATTTCGTTGGAAGCGGGAATTCGTATAAAAACTAGACAGCAGCATTCCCAGAAATTACTTTCGGATATTTCCTTTCAACTCATAGAGATGAACATGGCCTTTCATAGAGCAGGTTTGAAACACTCTTTTTGTAGTTTGTGGAAGTGGACATTTCGATCGCCTTTACGCCTACGCTGAAAAAGGAATTATCTTCCCATAAAAAATAGACAGAATTCTCAGAAACTTGTTTGTGATGTGTATCCTCAACTGACAGAGTTGTACCTTTCTATTGATAGAGTAGTTTTGAAACACTCTTTTTGTGGAATCTGCAAGTGAATATTTGGATAGCTTGGAGGATTTCGTTGGAAGCGGGAATTCAAATGAAAGGTAGACAGCAGCATTCTCAGAAATTTCTTTCTGATGTCTGCATTCAACTCATAGAGTTGAACATTCCCTTTCATAGAGCAGATTTGAAACACTCTTTCTGGAGTATCTGGATGTGGACATTTGGAGCGCTTTGATGCCTACGGTGAAAAAGTAAATATCTTCCCATAAAAACGAGACAGAAGGATTCTGAGAAACAAGTTTGTGATGTGTGTACTCAGCTAACAGAGTGGAACCTCTGTTTTGATGCAGCAGTTTGGAAACACTCTTTTTGTAGAAACTGTAAGTGGATATTTGGATAGCTCTAACGATTTTTTTGGAAACGGGAATATCATCATCTAAAATCTAGACAGAAGCCCTTTCAGAAACTACTTTGTGATATCTGCCTTCAAGTCACAGAGTTGAACATTCGCTTTCTTAGAGCACGTTTGAAACACTCTTTTTGTAGTGTCTGGAAGTGGACATTTGGAGCGCTTTGATGCCTTTGGTGAAAAAGGGAATGTCTTCCCATAAAAACTAGACAGAAGCATTCTCAGAAACTTGTTTTTGATGTGTGTACCCAGCGAAAAGAGTTGAACATTTCTATTGATAGAGCAGTTTTGAAACACTCTTTTTGTGGAATCTGCAAGTGGATATTTGGATAGCTTGGAGGTTTTCGTTGGAAGCGGGAATTCAAATAAAAGGTAGACAGCAGCATTCTCAGAAATTTCTTTCTGATGTCTGCATTCAACTCATAGAGTTGAAGATTCCCTTTCATAGAGCAGGTTTGAAACACTCTTTCTGGAGTATCTGGATGTGGACATTTGGAGCGCTTTGATGCCTACGGTGAAAATGTAAATATCTTCCCATAAAAACGAGACAGAAGGATTCTCAGAAACAAGTTTGTGATGTGTGAACTCAGCTAACAGAGTGGATCCTTTCTTTTTACAGAGCAGCTTTGAAACTCTATTTCTGTGGATTCTGCAAATTGATATTTGGGTTGATTTAACGACATCGTTGGAAAAGGGAATATCTTCATACAAAATCTAGACAGAAGCTTTCTCAGAAACTTCTTTGTGATGTGTGTCCACAACTAACAGAGTTGAAACTTTCTTTTGATGCAGCAGTTTGGAAACACTCTTTTTGTAGAAACTGTAAGTGGATATTTGGATAGGTCTAACGATATCGTTGGAAACGGGAATATCTTCATCTAAAGTATACACAGAAGCACTATTAGAAACTACTTGGTGATATCTGCATTCAAGTCACAGAGTTGAACATTCCCTTACTTTGAGCACGTTTCAAACACTCTTTTGGAAGAATCTTTAAGTGGACATTTGGAGCGCTTTGATGCCTTTGGTGAAAAGGAAACGCCTTCCAATAAAAGCCAGACAGAAGCATTCTCAGAAACCTGTTCGTGATGTGTGTACTCAACTAAAAGAGTTGAACCTTTCTATTGATAGAGCAGTTTTGAAACACTCTTTTTGTGGATTCTGCAAGTGGATATTTGGATTGATTTGAGGATTTCGTTGGAAGCGGGAATTCATATAAAAACTAGACAGCAGCATTCCCAGAAATTTCTTTCTCATATTTCCATTCAACTCATAGAGATGAACATGGCCTTTCATAGAGCAGGTTTGAAACACTCTTTTTGTAGTTTGTGGAAGTGGACATTTCGATCGCCTTGACGCCTACGGTGAAAAGAAATATCTTCCCATAAAAAATAGACAGAATTCTCAGAAACTTGTTTGTGATGTGTGTCCTCAACTGACAGAGTTGTACCTTTCTATTGATAGAGTAGTTTTGAAACACTCTTTTTGTGGAATCTGCAAGTGAATATTTGGATAGCTTGGAGGATTTCGTTGGAAGCGGGAATTCAAATGAAAGGAAGACAGCAGCATTCTCAGAAATTTCTTTCTGATGTCTTGAATTCAACTCATAGAGTTGAAGATTCCCTTTCATAGAGCAGGTTTGAAACACTCTTTCTGGAGTATCTGGATGTGGACATTTGGAGCGCTTTGATGCCTACGGTGAAAAAGTAAATATCTTCCCAGAAAAACGAGACAGAAGGATTCTCAGAAACAAGTTTGTGATGTGTGTACTCAGCTAACAGAGTGGAACCTTTCTTTTTACAGAGCAGCTTTGAAACTCTATTTTTGTGGATTCTGCAAATTGGTATTTAGATTGCTTTAACGATATCGTTGGAAAAGGGAATATCGTCATACAAAATCTAGACAGAAGCATTCTCACAAACTTCTTTGTGATGTGTGTCCTCAACTAATAGAGTTGAACCTTTCTTTTGATGCAGCAGTTTGGAAACAACCTTTTGGTAGAAACTGTAACTGGATATTTGGATAGCTCTAACGATTTCTTTGGAAACGGGAATATCATCATCTAAAATCTAGACAGAAGCACCATTAGAAACTACTTGGTGATATCTGCATTCAAGTCACAGAGTTGAACATTCCCTTACTTTGAGCACGTTTGAAACACTCTTTTGGAAGAATCTGGAAGTGGACATTTGTAACGCTTTGATGCCTTTGGTGAAAAGGAAACGTCTTCCAATAAAAGCCAGACAGAAGCATTCTCAGAAACTTGTTTGTGATGTGAGCACTCAACTAAAAGAGTTGAACCTTTCTATTGATAGAGCAGTTTTGAAACACTCTTTTTGTGGATTCTGCAAGTGGATATTTGGATTGCTTTGAGGATTTCGTTGGAAGCGGGAATTCGTATAAACACTAGACAGCAGCATTCCCAGAAATTTCTTTCGGATATTTCCATTCAACTCATAGAGATGAACATTGCCTTTCATAGAGCAGGTTTGAAACACTCTTTTTGTAGTTTGTGGAAGTGGACATTTCGATCGCCTTGACGTCTACGGTGAAAAAGGAAATATCTTCCCATAAAAAATAGACAGAAGAATTCTCAGAAACTTGTTTGTGATGTGTATCCTCAACTGACAGAGTTGAACCTTGCCATTGATAGAGCAGTTTAGAAACACTCTTTTTGTGGAATCTGCAAGTGGATATTTGGATAGCTTGGAGGATTTCGTTGGATGCGGGAATTCAAATGAAAGGTTGACAGCAGCATTCTCAGAAATTACTTTCTGATGTCTGCATTCAACTCATAGAGTTGAAGATTCCCTTTCATAGAGCAGGTTTGAAACACTCTTTCTGTAGTATCTGGATGTGGACATTTGGAGCGCTTTGATACCTACAGTGAAAAAGTAAATATCTTCCCATAAAAACTAGACAGAAGGATTCTCAGAAACAAGTTTGTGATGTGTGTACTCAGCTAACAGAGTGGAACCTCTCTTTTGATGCAGCAGTTTGGAAACACTCTTTTTGTAGAAACTGTAAGTGGATATTTGGATAGCTCTAATGATTTCGTTGGAAATGGGAATATCATCATCTAAAATCTAGACAGAAGCCCTCTCAGAAACTACTTTGTGATATCTGCATTGAAGTCACAGAGTTGAACATTCGGTTTCTTAGAGCACGTTTGAAACAATCTTTTTGTAGTGTCTGGAAGTGGACATTTGGAGCGCTTTGATGCCTTTGGTGAAAAAGGGAATGTCTTCCCATAAAAACTAGACAGAAGCTTTCTCAGAAACTTGTTTGTGATGTGTGTACCCAGCGAAAGGAGTTGAACATTTCTATTGATAGAGCAGTTTTGAAACACTCTTTTTGTGGAATCTGCAAGTGGATATTTGGGTAGCTTGGAGGTTTTTGTTGGAAGCGGGAATTCAAATAAAAGGTAGACAGCAGCATTCTCAGAAATTTCTTTCTGATGTCTGCATTCAACTCATAGAGTTGAAGATTCCCTTTCATAGAGCAGGTTTGAAACACTCTTTCTGGAGTATCTGGATGTGGACATTTGGCGCGCTTTGATGCCTGCGGTGAAAAAGTAAATATCTTCCCATAAAAACGAGACAGAAGGATTCTCAGAAACAAGTTTGTGATGTGTGTACTCAGCTAACAGAGTGGAACCTTTCTTTTTACAGAGCAGCTTTGAAACTCTATTTTTGTGGATTCTGCAAATTGGTATTTAGATTGCTTTAACCGATATCGTTGGAAAAGGGAATATCGTCATACAAAATCTAGACAGAAGCATTCTCACAAACTTCTTTGTGATGTGTGTCCTCAACTAACAGAGTTGAACCTTTCTTTTGATGCAGCAGTTTGGAAACACCCTTTTTGTAGAAACTGTAACTGGATATTTGGATAGCTCTAACGATTTCGTTGGAAACGGGAATATCATCATCTAAAATCTAGAGAGAAGCACTATTAGAAACTACTTGGTGATATCTGCATTCAAGTCACAGAGTTGAACATTCCCTTACTTTGAGCACGTTTGAAACACTCTTTTGGAAGAATCTGGAAGTGGACATTTGGAGAGCTTTGATGCCTTTGGTGAAAAGGAAACGTCTTCCAATAAAAGCCAGACAGAAGCATTCTCAGAAACTTGTTTGTGATGTGTGTACTCAACTAAAAGAGTTGAACCTTTCTATTGATAGAGCAGTTTTAAAACACTCTTTTTGTGGATTCTGCAAGTGGATATTTGGATTGCTTTGAGGATTTCGTTGGAAGCGGGAATTCGTATAAAAACTAGACAGCAGCATTCCCAGAAATTTCTTTCGGATATTTCCATTCGACTCATAGAGATGAACATGGCCTTTCATACAGCAGGTTTGAAACACTCTTTTTGTAGTTTGTGGAAGTGGACATTTCGATCGCCTTGACGCCTACGGTGAAAAAGGAAATATCTTCCCATAAAAAATAGACAGAAGATTTCTCAGAAACTTATTTGTGATGTGTATCCTCAACTGACAGAGTTGAACCTTGCCATTGATAGAGCAGTTTAGAAACCCTCTGTTTGTGGACTCTGCAAGTGGATATTTGGATAGCCTGGAGGATTTCGTTGGAAGCGGGAATTCAAATGAAAGGTAGACAGCAGCATTCTCAGAAATTTCTTTCTGATGTCTGCATTCAACTCATAGAGTTGAACATTCCCTTTCAGAGAGCAGGTTTGAAACACTCTTTCTGGAGTATCTGGATGTGGACATTTGGAGCGCTTTGATGCCTACGGTGAAAAAGTAAATATCTTCCCATAAAAACGAGACAGAAGGATTCTGAGAAACAAGTTTGTGATGTGTGTACTCAGCTAACAGAGTGGAACCTCTCTTTTGATGCAGCAGTTTGGAAACACTCTTTTTGTAGAAACTGTAAGTGGATATTTGGATAGCTCTAATGATTTCGTTGGAAACGGGAATATCATCATCTAAAATCTACACAGAAGCCCTCTCAGAAACTACTTTGTGATATCTGCATTCAAGTCACAGAGTTGAACATTCGCTTTCTTAGAGCACGTTTGAAACACTCTTTTTGTAGTGTCTGGAAGTGGACATTTGGCGCACTTTGATGCCTTTGGTGAAAAAGGGAATGTCTTCCCATAAAAACTAGACAGATAAGCATTCTCAGAAACTTGTTTGTGATGTGTGTACCCAGCTAAAGGAGTTGAACATTTCTATTGATAGAGCAGTTTTGATACACTCTTTTTGTGGAAACTGCAAGTGGATATTTGGATAGCTTGGAGGATTTCGTTGGAAGCGGGAATTCAAATAAAAGGTAGACAGCAGGATTCTGAGAAACAAGTTTGTGATGTGTGTACTCAGCTAACAGAGTGGAACCTTTCTTTTTACAGAGCAGCTTTGAAACTCTATTTTTGTGGATTCTGCAAATGGATATTTAGATTGCTTTAACGATATCGCTGGAAAAGGGAATATGGTCATACAAAATACTAGACAGAAAGCATTCTCACAAACTTCTTTGTGATGTGTGTCCTCAACTAACAGAGTTGAACCTTTCTTTTGATGCAGCAGTTTGGAAACACTCTTTTTGCAGAAACTGTAAGTGGATATTTGGATAGCTCTAACGATTTCGTTGGAAACGGGAATATCATCATCTAAAATCTAGACAGAAGCACTATTAGAAACTACTTGGTGATATCTGCATTCAAGTCAAAGAGTTGAACATTCCCTTACTTTAAGCACGTTTGAAACACTCTTTTGGAAGAATCTGGAAGTGGACATTTGGAGCGCTTTGATGCCTTTGGTGAAAAGGAAACGTCTTCCAATAAAAGCCAGACAGAAGCATTCTCAGAAACTTGTTTGTGATGTGTGTACCCAGCCAAAGGAGTTGAACATTTCTATTGATAGAGCAGTTTTGAAACACTCTTTTTGTGGATTCTGCAAGTGGATATTTGGATTGCTTTGAAGATTTCGTTGGAAGCGGGAATTCGTATAAACACTAGACAGCAGCATTCCCAGAAATTTCTTTCGGATATTTCCATTCAACTCATAGAGATGAACATGGCCTTTCATAGAGCAGGTTTGAAACACTCTTTTTGTAGTTTGTGGAAGTGGACATTTCGATCGCCTTGACGCCTATGGTGAAAAAGGAAATATCTTCCCATAAAAAATAGACAGAATTCTCAGAAACTTGTTTGTGATGTGTGTCCTCAACTGACAGAGTTGTACCTTTCTATTGATAGAGTAGTTTTGAAACACTCTTTTTGTGGAATCTGCAAGTGAATATTTGGATAGCTTGGACGATTTCGTTGGAAGCGGGAATTCAAATGAAAGGTAGACAGCAGCATTCTCAGAAATTTCTTTCTGATGTCTGCATTCAACTCATAGAGTTGAAGATTCCCTTTCATAGAGCAGGTTTGAAACACTCTTTCTGGAGTATCTGGATGTGGACATTTGGAGCGCTTTGATGCCTACGGTGAGAAAGTAAATATCTTCCCATAAAAACGAGACAGAAGGATTCTGAGAAACAAGTTTGTGATGTGTGTACTCAGCTAACAGAGTGGAACCTCTCTTTGGATGCAGCAGTTTAGAAACACTCTTTTTGTAGAAACTGTAAGTGGATATTTGGATAGCTCTAATGATTTCGTTGGAAACGGGAATATCATCATCTAAAATCTAGACAGAAGCACTCTCAGAAACTACTTTGTGATATCTGCATTCAAGTCACAGAGTTGAACATTCGCTTTCTTAGAGCACGTTTGAAACACTCTTTTTGTAGTGTCTGGAAGTGGACATTTGGAGCGCTTTGATTCCTTTGGTGAAAAAGGGAATGTCTACCCATAAAAACTAAACAGAAGAATTCTCAGAAACTTGTTTGTGATGTGTATCCTCAACTGACAGAGTTGAACCTTGCCATTGATAGAACAGCTTTGAAACACTCTTTTTGTGGATTCTGCAAGTGGATATTTGGATAGCCTGGAGGATTTCGTTGGAAGCGGGAATTCAAATAAAAGGTAGACAGCAGCATTCTCAGAAATTTCTTTGTGATGTTTGCATTCAACATATAGAGTTGAACATTCCCTTTCATAGAGCAGGTTTGAAACACTCTTTCTGTACTATCTGGAAATGGACATTTGGAACGCTTTGATGCCTACGGTGAAAAAGTAAATATCTTCCCATAAAAACTAGACAGAAGGATTCTCAGAAACAAGTTTGTGATGTGTGTACTCAGCTAACAGAGTGGAACCTTTCTTTTTACAGAGCAGCTTTGAAACTCTATTTTTGTGGATTCTTCAAATTGATATTTAGATTGCTTTAACGATATCGTTGGAAAAGGGAATATCGTCATACAAAATCTAGACAGAAGCATTCTCACAAACTTCTTTGTGATGTGTGTCCTCAACTAACAGAGTTGAACCATTCTTTTGATGCAGCAGTTTGGAAACACCCTTTTGGTAGAAACTGTAACTGGATATTTGGATAGCTCTAACGATTTCGTTGGAAACGGGAATATCATCATCTAAAATCTAGAGAGAAACACTATTAGAAACTGCTTGGTGATATCTGCATTCAACTCACAGAATTGAACATTCCCTTACTTTGAGCACGTTTGAAACACTCTTTTGGAAGAATCTGGAAGTGGACATTTGGAGCGCTTTGATGCCTTTGGTGAAAAGGAAACGTCTTCCAATAAAAGCCAGACAGAAGCTTTCTCAGAAACTTGTTTGTGATGTGTGTACTCAACTAAAAGAGTTGAACCTTTCTATTGATAGAGCAGTTTTGAAACACTCTTTTTGTGGAATCTGCAAGTGGATATTTGGATTGCTTTGAGGATTTCGTTGGAAGCGGGAATTCATAAAAAAGTAGACAGCAGAATTCTCAGAAACTTGTTTGTGATGTGTATCCTCAACTGACAGAGTTGAACCTTGCCATTGATAGAGCAGTTTTGAAACACTCTTTTTGTGGAATCTGCAAGTGGATATTTGGATAGCCTGGAGGATTTCGTTGGAAGCGGGAATTCAAATGAAAGGTAGACAGCAGAAATCTCAGAAACTTGTTTGTGATGTGTATCCTCAACTGACAGAGTTGAACCTTGCCATTGATAGAGCAGTTTTGAAACCCTCTTTTTGTGGAATCTGCAAGTAGATATTTGGAAAGCCTGGAGGATTTCGTTGGAAGCGGGAATTCAAATAAAAGGTAGACAGCAGCATTCTCAGAAATTTCTTTGTGATGTTTGCATTCAACTCATAGAGTTGAACATTCCCTTTCACAGAGCAGGTTTGAAACACTCTTTCTGTACTATCTGGATGTGGACATTTGGAACGCTTTGATGCCTACGGTGAAAAAGTAAATATCTTCCCATAAAAACTAGACAGAAGGATTCTCAGAAACAAGTTTGTGATGTGTGTACTCAGCTAACAGAGTGGAACCTCTCTTTTGACGCAGCAGTTTGGAAACACTCTTTTTGTAGAAACTGTAAGTGGATATTTGGATAGCTCTAATGATTTCTTTGGAAACGGGAATATCATCATCTAAAATCTAGACAGAAGCACTCTCAGAAACTACTTTGTGATATCTGCATTCAAGTCACAGAGTTGAACATTCGCTTTCTTACAGCACTTTTGAAACACTCTTTTTGTAGTATCTGGAAGTGGACATTTGGAGCTCTTTGATGCCTTTGGCGAAAAAGGAAATGTCTTCCCATAAAAACTAGACAGAAGCATTCTCAGAAACTTGTTTGTGATGTGTGTACCCAGCTAAAGGAGTTGAACATTTCTATTGATAGAGCAGTTTTGAAACACTCTTTTTGTGGAAAATGCAAGTGGATATTTGGATAGCTTGGAGGATTTCGTTGGAAGCTTGAATTCAAATAAAAGGTAGACAGCAGCATTCTCAGAAATTTCTTTCTGATGTCTGCATTCAACTCATAGAGTTGAAGATTCCCTTTCATAGAGCAGGTTTGAAACACTCTTTCTGGAGTATCTGGATGTGGACATTTGGAGCGCTTTGATGCCTACGGTGAAAAAGTAAATATCCTCCCATAAAAACGAGACAGAAGGATTCTCAGAAACAAGTTTGTGATGTGTGTACTCAGCTAACAGAGTGGAACCTTTCTTTTTACAGAGCAGCTTTGAAACTCTATTTTTGTGGATTCTGCAAACTGATATTTAGATTGCTTTAACGATATCGTTGGAAAAGGGAATATCGTCATACAAAATCTGGACAGAAGCATTCCCACAAACTTCTTTGTGATGTGTGTCCTCAACTAACAGAGTTGAACCTTTCTTTTGATGCAGCAGTTTGGAAACACTCTTTTTGTAGAAACTGTAAGTGGATATTTGGATAGCTCTAACGATTTCGTTGGAAACGGGAATATCATCATCTAAAATCTAGACAGAAGCACTATTAGAAACTACTTGGTGATATCTGCATTCAAGTCAAAGAGTTGAACATTCCCTTACTTTGAGCACGTTTGAAACACTCTTTTAGAAGAATCTGGAAGTGGACATTTGGAGCGCTTTGATGCCTTTGGTGAAAAGGAAACGTCTTCCAATAAAAGCCAGACAGAAGCATTCTCAGAAACTTGTATGTGATGTGTGTACTCAACTAAAAGAGTTGAACCTTTCTATTGATAGAGCAGTTTTGAAACACTCTTTTTGTGGAATCTGCAAGTGGATATTTGGATTGCTTTGAGGATTTCGTTGGAAGCGGGAATTCATAAAAAAGTAGACAGCAGCATTCCCAGAAATTTCTTTCGGATATTTCCATTCAACTCATAGAGATGAACATTGCCTTTCATAGAGCAGGTTTGAAACACTCTTTTTGTAGTTTGTGGAAGTGGACATTTCGATCGCCCTGATGCCTATGGTGAAAAAGGAAATATCTTCCCATAAAAAATAGACAGAAGCATTCTCAGAAACTTGTTGGTGATATGTGTCCTCAACTAACAGAGTTGAACTGTGCCATTGATAGAGAGCAGTTTTGAAACACTCTTTTTGTGGAATCTGCAAGTGGATATTTGGATAGCTTGGAGGATTTCGTTGGAAGCGGGAATTCAAATAAAAGTTAGACAGCAGCATTCTCAGAAATTTCTTTCTGATGTCTGCATTCAACTCATAGAGTTGAAGATTCCCTTTCATAGAGCAGGTTTGAAACACTCTTTCTGGAGTATCTGGATGTGGACATTTGGAGCGCTTTGATGCCTACGGTGAGAAAGTAAATATCTTCCCATAAAAACGAGACAGAAGGATTCTGAGAAACAAGTTTGTGATGTGTGTACTCAGCTAACAGAGTGGAACCTTTCTTTTTACAGAGCAGTTTTGAAACTCTATTTTTGTGGATTCTGCAAATTGATATTTAGATTGCTTTAACGATATCGTTGGAAAAGGGAATATCGTCATACAAAATCTAGACAGAAAGCATTCTCACAAACTTCTTTGTGATGTGTGTCCTCAACTAACAGAGTTGAACTTTTCTTTTGATGCAGCAGTTTGGAAACACTCTTTTTGTAGAAACTGTAAGTGGATATTTGGATAGCTCTAACGATTTCGTTGGAAACGGGAATATCATCATCTAAAATCTAGACAGAAGCACTATTAGAAACTACTTGGTGATATCTGCATTCAAGTCACGGAGTTGAACATTCCCTTACTTTGAGCACGTTTGAAACACTCTTTTGGAAGAATCTGGAAGTGGACATTTGGAGCGCTTTGATGCCTTTGGTGAAAAGCAAACCTCTTCCAACAAAAGCCAGACAGAAGCATTCTCAGAAACTTGTTCGTGATGTGTGTACTCAACTAAAAGATTTGAACCTTTCTATTGATAGAGCAGTTTTGAAACACTCTTTTTGTGGATTCTGCAAGTGGATATTTGGATTGCTTTGAGGATTTCATTGGAAGCGGGAATTCGTATAAAAACTAGACAGCAGCATTCACAGAAATTTCTTTCGGATATTTCCATTCAACTCATAGAGATGAACATGGCCTTTCATAGGGCAGGTTTGAAACACTCTTTTTGTAGTTTGTGGAAGTGGACATTTCGATCGCCTTGACGCCTACGGTGAAAAAGGAAATATCTTCCCATAAAAAATAGACAGAAGCATTCTCAGAAACTTGTTGGTGATATGTGTCCTCAACTAACAGAGTTGAACTTTGCCATTGATAGAGAGCAGTTTTGAAACACTCTTTTTGTGGAATCTGCAAGTGGATATTTGGATAGCTTGGAGGATTTCGTTGCAAGCGGGAATTCAAATAAAAGGTAGACAGCAAGGATTCTGAGAAACAAGTTTGTGATGTGTGTACTCAGCTAACAGAGTGGAACCTCTGTTTTGATGCAGCAGTTTGGAAACACTCTTTTTGTAGAAACTGTAAGTGGATATTTGGATAGCTCTAATGATTTCGTTGGAAACGGGAATATCATCATCTAAAATCTAGACAGAAGCACTCTCAGAAACTACTTTGTGATATCTGCATTCAAGTCACAGACTTGAACATTCGCTTTCTTAGAGCACGTTTGAAACACTCTTTTTGTAGTGTCTGGAAGTGGACATTTGGAGCGCTTTGATGTCTTTGGTGAAAAAGGGAATGTCTTCCCATAAAAACTAGACAGAAGCATTCTCAGAGACTTGTTTGTGATGTGTGTACCCAGCCAAAGGAGTTGAACATTTCTATTGATAGAGCAGTTTTGAAACACTCTTGTTGTGGAAAATGCAGGTGGATATTTGGATAGCTTGGAGGATTTCGTTGGAAGCGGGAATTCAAATAAAAGGTAGACAGCAGCATTCTCAGAAACTACTTTCTGATGTCTGCATTCAACTCATAGAGTTGAAGATTCCCTTTCATAGAGCAGGTTTGAAACACTCTTTCTGTAGAATCTGGATGTGGACATTTGGAGCGCTTTGATACCTACGGTGAAAAAGTAAATATCTTCCCATAAAAACTAGACAGAAGGATTCTGAGAAACAAGTTTGTGATGTGTGTACTCAGCTAACAGAGTGGAACCTTTCTTTTTACAGAGCAGCTTTGAAACTCTATTTTTGTAGATTCTGCAAATTGGTATTTAGATTGCTTTAACGATATCGTTGGAAAAGGGAATATCGTCATACAAAATCTAGACAGAAGCATTCTCACAAACTTCTTTGTGATGTGTGTCCTCAACTAACAGAGTTGAACCTTTCTTTTGATGCAGCAATTTGGAAACACCCTTTTGGTAGGAACTGTAACTGGATATTTGGATAGCTCTAACGATTTCGTTGGAAACGGGAATATCATCATCTAAAATCTAGACAGAAGCACTATTAGAAACTACATGGTGATATCTGCATTCAAGTCACAGAGTAGAACATTCCCTTACTTCGAGCACGTTTGAAACACTCTTTTGGAAGAATCTGGAAGTGGACATTTGGAGCGCTTTGATGCCTTTGGTGAAAAGGAAACGTCTTCCAATAAAAGCCAGACAGAAGCATTCTGAGAAACTTGTTCGTGATGTGTGTACTCAACTAAAAGAGTTGAACCTTTCTATTGATATAGCAGTTTTGAAACACTCTTTTTGTGGATTCTGCAAGTGGATATTTGGATTGCTTTGAGGATTTCGTTGGAAGCGGGAATTCATATAAACACTAGACAGCAGCATTCCCAGAAATTACTTTCGGATATTTCCATTCAACTCATAGAGATGAACATGGCCTTTCATAGAGCAGGTTTGAAACACTCTTTTTGTAGTTTGTGGAAGTGGACATTTCGATCGCCTTCACGCCTACGGTGAAAAAGGAAATATCTTCCCATAAAAAATAGACAGAAAGCATTCTCAGAAACTTGTTGGTGATATGTGTCCTCAACTAACAGAGTTGAACTTTGCCATTGATAGAGAGCAGTTTTGAAACACTCTTTTTGTGGAATCTGCAAGTGGATATTTGGATAGCTTGGAGGATTTCGTTGGAAGCGGGAATTCAAATAAAAGGTAGACAGAGCATTCTCAGAAATTTCTTTCTGATGTCTGCATTCAACTCATAGAGTTGAAGATTCCCTTTCATAGAGCAGGTTTGAAACACTCTTTCTGTACTATCTGGATGTGGACATTTGGAGCGCTTTGACGCCTACGGTGAAAAAGTAAATATCTTCCCATAAAAAAGAGACAGAAGGATTCTGAGAAACAAGTTTGTGATGTGTGTACTCAGCTAACAAAGTGGAACCTCTCTTTTGATGCAGCAGTTTGGAAACACTCTTTTTGTAGAAACTGTAAGTGGATATTTGGATAGCTCTAATGATTTCGTTGGAAACGGGAATATCATCATCTAAAATCTAGACAGAAGCCCTCTCAGAAACTACTTTGTGATATCTGCATTCAAGTCACAGAGTTGAACATTCGCTTTCTTAGAGCACGTTTGAAACACTCTTTTTGTAGTTTCTGGAAGTGGACATTTGGAGCGCTTTGATTCCTTTGGTGAAAAAGGGAATGTCTACCCATAAAAACTAGACAGAAGCATTCTCAGAAACTTGTTTGTGATGTGTATACCCAGCTAAAGGAGTTGAACATTTCTATTGATAGAGCAGTTTTGAAACACTCTTTTTGTGGAAAATGCAAGGGGATATTTGGATAGCTTGGAGGATTTCGTTGGAAGCGGGAATTCAAATAAAAGGTAGACAGCAGCATTCTCAGAAATTTCTTTGTGATGTCTGCATTCAACTCATAGAGTTGAAGATTCCCTTTCATAGAGCAGGTTTGAAACAGTCTTTCTGGAGTATCTGGATGTGGACATTTGGAGCGCTTTGATGCCTACGGTGAAAAAGTAAATATCTTCCCATAAAAACGAGACAGAAAGATTCTCAGAAACAAGTTTGGGATGTGTGAACTCAGCTAACAGAGTGGATCCTTTCTTTTTACAGAGCAGCTTTGAAACTCTATTTCTGTGGATTCTGCAAATTGATATTTGGGTTGATTTAACGACATCGTTGGAAAAGGGAATATCTTCATACAAAATCTAGACAGAAGCATTCTCACAAACTTCTTTGTGACGTGTGTCCTCAACTAACAGAGTTGAACCTTTCTTTTGATGCAGCAATTTGGAAACACCCTTTTGGTAGAAACTGTAACTGGATATTTGGATAGCTGCTAGCGATTTCGTTGGAAACGGGAATATCATCATCTAAAATCTAGACAGAAGCACTATTAGAAACTACTTGGTGATATCTGCATTCAAGTCACAGAGTAGAACATTCCCTTACTTCGAGCACGTTTGAAACACTCTTTTGGAAGAATCTGGAAGTGGACATTTGGAGCGCTTTGATGCCTTTGGTGAAAAGGAAACGTCTTCCAATAAAAGCCAGACAGAAGCATTCTCAGAAACTTGTTTGTGATGTGTGTACTCAACTAAAAGAGTTGAACCTTTCTATTGATAGAGCAGTTTTGAAACACTCTTTTTGTGGATTCTGCAAGTGGATATTTGGATTGCTTTGAGGATTTCGTTGGAAGCGGGAATTCATATAAAATCTAGACAGCAGCATTCCCAGAAATTTCTTTCGGATATTTCCATTCAACTCATAGAGATGAACATCGCCTTTCATAGAGCAGGTTTGAAACACTCTTTTTGTAGTTTGTGGAAGTGGACATTTCGATCGCCTTGACGCCTACGGTGAAAAAGGAAATATCTTCCCATAAAAAATAGACAGAATTCTCAGAAACTTGTTTGTGATGTGTGTCCTCAACTGACAGAGTTGTACCTTTCTATTGATAGAGTAGTTTTGAAACACTCTTTTTGTGGAATCTGCAAGTGAATATTTGGATAGCTTGGAGGATTTCGTTGGAAGCGGGAATTCAAATGAAAGGTAGAAAGCAGCATTCTCAGAAATTTCTTTCTGATGTCTGCATTCAACTCATAGAGTTGAAGATTCCCTTTCATAGAGCAGGTTTGAAACACTCTTTCTGAAGTATCTGGATGTGGACATTTGGAGCGCTTTGATGCCTACGGTGAAAAAGTAAATATCTTCCCATAAAAACGAGACAGAAGGATTCTCAGAAACAAGTTTGTGATGTGTGTACTCAGCTAACAGAGTGGAACCTCTCTTTTGATGCAGCAGTTTGGAAACACTCTTTTTGTAGAAACTGTAAGTGGATATTTGGATAGCTCTAATGATTTCGTTGGAAACGGGAATATCATCATATAAAATCTAGAGAGAAGCACTCTCCAGAAACTACTTTGTGATATCTGCATTCAAGTCACAGAGTTGAACATTCGCTTTCTTAGAGCACGTTTGAAACACTCTTTTTGTAGTGTCTGGAAGTGGACATTTGGAGCGCTTTGATGCCTTTGGTGAAAAAGGGAATGTCTTCCCATAAAAACTAGACAGAAGCATTCTCAGAAACTTGTTTGTGATGTGTGTACCCAGCCAAAGGAGTTGAACATTTCTATTAATAGAGCAGTTTTGAAACACTCTTTTTGTGGAAAATGCAGGTGGATATTTGGATAGCTTGGAGGATTTCGTTGGAAGCGGGAATTCAAATAAAAGTTAGACAGCAGCATTCTCAGAAATTACTTTCTGATGTCTGCATTCAACTCATAGAGTTGAAGATTCCCTTTCATAGAGCAGGTTTGAAACACTCTTTCTGTAGTATCTGGATGTGGACATTTGGAGCGCTTTGATACCTACAGTGAAAAAGTAAATATCTTCCCATAAAAACTAGACAGAAGGATTCTCAGAAACAAGTTTGTGATGTGTGTACTCAGCTAACAGAGTGGAACCTTTCTTTTTACAGAGCAGCTATGAAACTCTATTTTTGTGGATTCTGCAAATTGATATTTAGATTGCTTTAACGATATCGTTGGAAAAGGGAATATGGTCATACAAAATCTAGACAGAAGCATTCTCACAAACTACTTTGTGACGTGTGTCTTCAACTAACAGAGTTGAACCTTTCTTTTGATGCAGCAGTTTGGAAACACTCTTTTTGTAGAAACTGTAAGTGGATATTTGGATAGCTCTAACGATTTCGTTGGAAACGGGAATATCATCATCTAAAATCTAGACAGAAGCACTATTAGAAACTACTTGGTGATATCTGCATTCAAGTCACAGAGTTGAACATTCCCTTACTTTGAGCACGTTTGAAACACTCTTTTGGAAGAATCTGGAAGTGGACATTTGGAGCGCTTTGATGCCTTTGGTGAAAAGGAAACGTCTTCCAATACAAGCCAGACAGAAGCATTCTCAGAAACTTGTTCGTGATGTGTGTACTCAACTAAAAGAGTTGAACCTTTCTATTGATAGAGCAGTTTTGAAACACTCTTTTTGTGGATTCTGCAAGTGGATATTTGGATTGCTTTGAGGATTTCGTTGGAAGCGGGAATTCGTATAAACACTAGACAGCAGCATTCCCAGAAATTTCTTTCGGATATTTCCATTCAACTCATAGAGATGAACATGGCCTTTCATAGAGCAGGTTTGAAACACTCATTTTGTAGTTTCTGGAAGTGGACATTTCGATCGCCTTGACGCCTACGGTGGAAAAGGAAATATCTTCCCATAAAAAATAGACAGAAGCATTCTCAGAAACTTGTTGGTGATATGTGTCCTCAACTAACAGAGTTGAACTTTGCCATTGATAGAGAGCAGTTTTGAAACACTCTTTTTGTGGAATCTGCAAGTTGATATTTGGATAGCTTGGAGGATTTCGTTGGAAGCGGGAATTCAAATAAAAGGTAGACAGCAGCATTCTCAGAAATTTCTTTGTGATGTTTGCATTCAACTCATAGAGTTGAACATTCCCTTTCATAGAGCAGGTTTGAAACAATCTTTCTGTACTATCTGGATGTGGACATTTGGAACGCTTTGATGCCTACGGTGAAAAAGTAAATATCTTCCCATAAAAGCTAGACAGAAGGATTCTGAGAAACAAGCTTGTGATGTGTGTACTCAGCTAACAGAGTGGAACCTCTCTTTTGATGCAGCAGTTTGGAAACACTCTTTTTGTAGAAACTGTAAGTGGATATTTGGATAGCTCTAATGATTTCGTTGGAAACGGGAATATCATCATCTAAAATCTAGACAGAAGCCCTCTCATAAACTACTTTGTGATATCTGCATTCAAGTCACAGAGTTGAACATTCGCTTTCTTAGAGCACGTTTGAAACACTCTTTTTGTAGTGTCTGGAAGTGGACATTTGGAGCGCTTTGATGCCTTTGGTGAAAAAGTGAATGTCTTCCCATAAAAACTAGACAGAATTCTCAGAAACTTGTTTGTGATGTGTGTCCTCAACTGACAGAGTTGTACCTTTCTATTGATAGAGTAGTTCTGAAACACTCTTTTTGTGGAATCTGCAAGTGAATATTTGGATAGCTTGGAGGATTTCGTTGGAAGCGGGAATTCAAATGAAAGGTAGACAGCAGCATTCTCAGAAATTACTTTCTGATGTCTGCATTCAACTCATAGAGTTGAGGATTCCCTTTCATAGAGCAGGTTTGAAACCCTCTTTCTGTAGTATCTGGATGTGGACATTTGGAGCGCTTTGATACCTACGGTGAAAAAGTAAATATCTTCCCATAAAAACTAGACAGAAGGATTCTCAGAAACAAGTTTGTGATGTGTGTACTCAGCTAACAGAGTGGATCCTTTCTTTTTACAGAGCAGCTTTGAAACTCTATTTCTGTGGATTCTGCAAATTGATATTTGGGTTGATTTAACGACATCGTTGGAAAAGGGAATATCTTCATACAAAATACAGACAGAAGCTTTCTCAGAAACTTCTTTGTGATGTGTGTCCTCAACTAACAGAGTTGAACCTTTCTTTTGATGCACTAGTTTGGAAACACACTTTCTGTAGAAACTGTAAGTGGATATTTGGGTAGGTCTAACGATATCGTTGGAAACGGGAATATCTTCATCTAAAGTATACACAGAAGCACTATTAGACACTGCTTGGTGATATCTGCATTCAAGTCACAGAGTTGAACATTCCCTTACTTTGAGCACGTTTGAAACACTCTTTTGGAAGAATCTGGAAGTGGACATTTGGAGCGCTTTGATGCCTTTGGTGAAAAGGAAACGTCTTCCAATAAAAGCCAGACAGAAGCATTCTCAGAAACTTGTTTGTGATGTGTGTACTCAACTAAAAGAGTTGAACCTTTCTATTGATAGAGCAGTTTTGAAACACTCTTTTTGTGGATTCTGCAAGTGGATATTTGGATTGCTTTGAGGATTTCGTGGAAGCGGGAATTCGTATAAAAACTAGACAGCAGCATTCCCAGAAATTTCTTTCGGATATTTCCATTCAACTCATAGAGATGAACATGGCCTTTCATAGAGCAGGTTTGAAACACTCTTTTGGTAGTTTGTGGAAGTGGACATTTTGATCGCCTTGACGCCTACGGTGAAAAAGGAAATATCTTCCCATAAAAAATAGACAGAAGCATTCTCAGAAACTTGTTGGTGATATGTGTCCTCAACTAACAGAGTTGAACTTTGCCATTGATAGAGAGCAGTTTTGAAACACTCTTTTTGTGGAATCTGCAAGTGGATATTTGGATAGCTTGGAGGATTTCTTTGGAAGCGGGAATTCAAATAAAAGGTAGACAGCAGCATTCTCAGAAATTTCTTTGTGATGTTTGCATTCAACTCATAGAGTTGAACATTCCCTTTAATAGAGCAGGTTTGAAACACTCTTTCTGTACTATGTGGATGTGGACATTTGGAGCGCTTTGACGCCTACGGTGAAAAAGGAAATGTCTTCCCATAAAAAATTGAAGAAGGATTCTGAGAAACAAGTATGTGATGTGTGTACTCAGCTAACAGAGTGGAACCTTTCTTTTTACAGAGCAGCTTTGAAACTCTATTTTTGTGGATTCTGCAAATGGATATTTAGATTGCTTTAACGATATCGTTGGAAAAGGGAATATCGTCATACAAAATCTAGACAGAAGCATTCTCACAAACTTCTTTGTGATGTGTGTCCTCAACTAATAGAGTTGAACCTTTCTTTTGATGCAGCAGTTTGGAAACACCCTTTTGGTAGGAACTGTAACTGGATATTTGGATAGCTCTAACGATTTCGTTGGAAACGGGAATATCATCATCTAAAATCTAGACAGAAGCACTATTAGAAACTACTTGGTGATATCTGCATTCAAGTCACAGAGTTGAACATTCCCTTACTTTGAGCACGTTTCAAACACTCTTTTGGAAGAATCTGGAAGTGGACATTTGGAGCGCTTTGATGATGCCTTTGGTGAAAAGGAATCGTCTTCCAATAAAAGCCAGACAGAAGCATTCTCAGAAACTTGTTCGTGATGTGTGTACTCAACTAAAAGATTTGAACCTTTCTATTGATAGAGCAGTTTTGAAACACTCTTTTTGTGGATTCTGCAAGTGGATATTTGGATTGCATTGAGGATTTCGTTGGAAGCGGGAATTCGTATAAAAACTGGACAGCAGCATTCCCAGAAATTTCTTTCGGATATTTCCATTCAACTCATAGAGATGAACATGGCCTTTCATAGAGCAGGTTTGAAACACTCTTTTTGTAGTTTGTGGAAGTGGACATTTCGATCGCCTTGACGCCAACGGTGAAAAAGGAAATATCTTCCCATAAAAAATAGACAGAAGCATTCTCAGAAACTTGTTGGTGATATGTGTCCTCAACTAACAGAGTTGAACTTTGCCATTGATAGAGAGCAGTTTTGAAACACTCTTTTTGTGGAATCTGCAAGTGGATATTTGGATAGCTTGGAGGATTTCGTTGGAAGCGGGAATTCAAATTAAAGGTAGACAGCAAGGATTCTGAGAAACAAGTTTGTGATGTGTGTACTCAGCTAACAGAGTGGAACCTCTGTTTTGATTCAGCAGTTTGGAAACACTCTTTTTGTAGAAACTGTAAGTGGATATTTGGATAGCTCTAATGATTTCGTTGGAAAAGGGAATATCATCATCTAAAATCTAGACAGAAGCACTCTCAGAAACTACTTTGTGATATCTGCATTCAAGTCACAGAGTTGAACATTCGCTTTCTTAGAGCACTTTTGAAACACTCTTTTTGTAGTATCTGGAAGTGGACATTTGGAGCTCTTTGATGCCTTTGGTGAAAAAGGAAATGTCTTCCCATAAAAACTAGGCAGAAGCATTCTCAGAAACTTGTTTGTGATGTGTGTACCCAGCGAAAGGAGTTGAACATTTCTATTGATAGAGCAGTTTTGAAACACTCTTTTTGTGGAATCTGCAAGTGGATATTTGGATAGCTTGGAGGTTTTCGTTGGAAGCAGGAATTCAAATAAAAGGTAGACAGCAGCATTCTCAGAAATTTCTTTCTGATGTCTGCATTCAACTCATAGAGTTGAAGATTCCCTTTCCTAGAGCAGGTTTGAAACACTCTTTCTGGAGTATCTGGATGTGGACATTTGGAGCGCTTGGATGCCTACGGTGAAAAAGTAAATATCTTCCCATAAAAACGAGACAGAAGGATTCTCAGAAACAAGTTTGTGATGTGTGTACTCAGCTAACAGAGTGGAACCTCTCTTTTGAAGCAGCAGTTTGGAAACACTCTTTTTGTAGAAACTGTAAGTGGATATTTGGATAGCTCTAATGATTTCGTTGGAAACGGGAATATCATCATCTAAAATCTAGACAGAAGCACTCTCAGAAACTACTTTGTGATATCTGCATTCAAGTCACAGAGTTGAACATTCGCTTTCTTAGAGCACTTTTGAAACACTCTTTTTGTCGTATCTGGAAGTGGACATTTGGAGCTCTTTGATGCCTTTGGTGAAAAAGGAGATGTCTTCCCATAAAAACTAGACAGAAGCTTTCTCAGAAACTTGTTTGTGATGTGTGTACCCAGCGAAAGGAGTTGAACATTTCTATTGATAGAGCATTTTTGAAACACTCTTTTTGTGGAATCTGCAAGTGGATATTTGGATAGCTTGTAGGTTTTCGTTGGAAGCGGGAATTCAAATAAAAGGTAGACAGCAGCATTCTCAGAAATTTCTTTCTGATGTTTGCATTCAACTCATAGAGTTGAACATTCCCTTTAATAGAGCAGGTTTGAAACACTCTTTCTGTAGTATCTGGATGTGGATAATTGGAGCGCTTTGACGCCTACGGTGAAAAAGGAAATGTCTTCCCATAAAAAATTGAAGAAGGATTCTGAGAAATAAGTTTGTGATGTGTGTACTCAGCTAACAGAGTGGAACCTCTCTTTTGATGCAGCAGTTTGGAAACACTCTTTTTGTAGAAACCGTAAGTGGATATTTGGATAGCTCTAATGATTTCGTTGGAAACGGGAATATCATCATCTAAAATCTAGACAGAAGCCCTCTCAGAAACTACTTTGTGATATCTGCATTCAAGTCAGAGAGTTGAACATTCGCTTTCTTAGAGCACGTTTGAAACACTCTTTTTGTAGTGTCTGGAAGTGGACATTTGGAGCGCTTTGATGCCTTTGGTGAAACAGGGAATGTCTTCCCATAAAAACTAGACAGAAGCATTCTCAGAAACTTGTTTGTGATGTGTGTACCCAGCCAAAGGAGTTGAACATTTCTATTGATAGAGCAGTTTTGAAACACTCTTTTTGTGGAAAATGCAGGTGGATATTTGGATAGCTTGGAGGATTTCGTTGGAAGCGGGAATTTCAAATAAAAGTTAGACAGCAGGATTCTGAGAAACAAGTTTGTGATGTGTGTACTCAGCTAACAGAGTGGAACCTCTCTTTTTACAGAGCAGCTTTGAAACTCTATTTTTGTGGATTCTGCAAATGGATATTTAGATTGCTTTAACGATATCGCTGGAAAAGGGAATATGGTCATACAAAATCTAGACAGAAGCATTCTCACAAACTTCTTTGTGATGTGTGTCCTCAACTAACAGAGTTGAACCTTTCTTTTGATGCAGCAGTTTGGAATCACCCTTTTGGTAGAAACTGTAACTGGATATTTGGATAGCTCTAACGATTTCGTTGGAAACGGGAATATCATCATCTAAAATCTAGACAGAAGCACTATTAGAAACTACTTGGTGATATCTGCATTCAAGTCACAGAGTTGAACATTCCCTTACTTCGAGCACGTTTGAAACACTCTTTTGGAAGAATCTGGAAGTGGACATTTGGAGCCCTTTGATGCCTTTGGTGAAAAGGAAACGTCTTCCAATAAAAGCCAGACAGAAGCATTCTCAGAAACTTGTTCGTGATGTGTGTACTCAACTAAAAGAGTTGAACCTTTCTATTGATAGAGCAGTTTTGAAACGCTCTTTTTGTGGATTCTGCAAGTGGATATTTGGATTGCTTTGAGGATTTCGTTGGAAGCGGGAATTCGTATAAACACTAGACAGCAGCATTCCCAGAAATTTCTTTCGGATATTTCCATTCAACTCATAGAGATGAACATGGCCTTTCATAGAGCAGGTTTGAAACACTCTTTTTGTAGTTTGTGGAAGTGGACATTTCGATCGCCTTGACGCCTACGGTGAAAAAGGAAATATCTTCCCATAAAAAATAGACAGAAGCATTCTCAGAAACTTGTTGGTGATATGTGTCCTCAACTAACAGAGTTGAACTTTGCCATTGATAGAGAGCAGTTTTGAAACACTCTTTTTGTGGAATCTGCAAGTGGATATTTGGATAGCTTGGAGGATGTCGTTGGAAGCGGGAATTCAAATTAAAGGTAGACAGCAGCATTCTCAGAAATTTCTTTCTGATGTCCGCATTCAACTCATAGAGTTGAACATTCCCTTTCATAGAGCAGGTTTGAAACACTCTTTCTGGAGTATCTGGATGTGGACATTTGGAGCGCTTTGATGCCTACGGTGAAAAAGTAAATATCTTCCCATAAAAACGAGACAGAAGGATTCTGAGAAACAAGTTTGTGATGTGTGTACTCAGCTAACAGAGTGGAACCTCTCTTTTGATGCAGCAGTGTGGAAACACTCTTTTTGTAGAAACTGTAAGTGGATATTTGGATAGCTCTAATGATTTCGTTGGAAACGGGAATATCATCATCTAAAATCTAGACAGAAGCCCTCTCAAAAACTACTTTGTGATATCTGCATTCAAGTCACAGAGTTGAACATTCGCTTTCTTAGAGCACGTTTGAAACACTCTTTTTGTAGTGTCTGGAAGTGGAAATTTGGAGCGCTTTGATGCCTTTGGTGAAAAAGGGAATATCTTCCCATAAAAACTAGACAGAAGCTTTCTCAGAAACTTGTTTGTGATGTGTGTACCCAGCGAAAGGAGTTGAACATTTCTATTGATAGAGCAGTTTTGAAACACTCTTTTTGTGGAATCTGCAAGTGGATATTTGGATAGCTTGTAGGTTTTCGTTGGAAGCGGGAATTCAAATAAAAGGTAGACAGCAAGCATTCTCAGAAATTTCTTTCTGATGTCTGCATTCAACTCATACAGTTGAAGATTCCCTTTCATAGAGCAGGTTTGAAACACTCGTTCTGGAGTATCTGGATGTGGACATTTGGAGCGCTTTGATGCCTACGGTGGAAAAGTAAATATCTTCCCATAAAAACGAGACAGAAGGATTCTCAGAAACAAGTTTGTGATGTGTGTACTCAGCTAACAGAGTGGAACCTTTCTTTTTACAGAGCAGCTTTGAAACTCTATTTTTGTGGATTCTGCAAATTGATATTTAGATTGCTTTAACGATATCGTTGGAAAACGGAATATCGTCATACAAAATCTAGACAGAAGCATTCTCACAAACTTCTTTGTGATGTGTGTCCTCAACTAACAGAGTTGAACCTTTCTTTTGATGCAGCAATTTGGAAACACCCTTTTGGTAGAAACTGTAACTGGATATTTGGATAGCTCTAACGATTTCGTTGGAAACGGGAATATCATCATCTAAAATATAGACAGAAGCACTATTAGAAACTACTTGGTGATATCTGCATTCAAGTCACAGAGTTGAACATTCGCTTACTTTGAGCACGTTTGAAACACTCTTTTGGAAGAATCTGGAAGTGGACATTTGGAGCGCTTTGATGCCTTTGGTGAAAAGGAAACGTCTTCCAATAAAAGCCAGACAGAAGCATTCTCAGAAACTTGTTCGTGATGTGTGTACTCAACTAAAAGAGTTGAACCTTTCTATTGATAGAGCAGTTTTGAAACACTCTTTTTGTGGATTCTGCAAGTGGATATTTGGATTGCTTTGAGGATTTCGTTGGAAGCGGGAATTCGTATAAACACTAGACAGCAGCATTCCCAGAAATTTCTTTCGGATATTTCCATTCAACTCATAGAGATGAACATGGCCTTTCATATTGAAACACTCTTTTTGTAGTTTGTGGAAGTAGACATTTCGATCACCTTGACGCCTGCGGTGAAAAAGGAAATATCTTCCCATAAAAAATAGACAGAAGCATTCTCAGAAACTTGTTGGTGATATGTGTCCTCAACTAACAGAATTGAACTTTGCCATTGATAGAGAGCAGTTTTGAAACACTCTTTTTGTGGAATCTGCAAGTGGATATTTGGATAGCTTGGAGGATTTCGTTGGAAGCGGGAATTCAAATAAAAGGTAGACAGCAGCATTCTCAGAAATTTCTTTCTGATGTCTGCATTCAACTCATAGAGTTGAAGATTCCCTTTCATAGAGCAGGTTTGAAACACTCTTTCTGGAGTATCTGGATGTGGACATTTGGAGCGCTTTGATGCCTACGGTGAGAAAGTAAATATCTTCCCATAAAAACGAGACAGAAGGATTCTGAGAAACAAGTTTGTGATGTGTGTACTCAGCTAACAGAGTGGAACCTCTCTTTTGATGCAGCAGTTTGGAAACACTCTTTTTGTAGAAACTGTAAGTGTTTATTTGGATAGCTCTAATGATTTCGTTGGAAACGGGAATATCATCATCTAAAATCTAGACAGAAGCACTCTCAGAAACTACTTGTTGATATCTGCATTCAAGTCACAGAGTTGAACATTCGCTTTCTTAGAGCACTTTTGAAACACTCTTTTTGTAGTATCTAGAAGTGGACATTTGGAGCTCTTTGATGCCTTTGGTGAAAAAGGAAATGTCTTCCCATAAAAACTAGACAGAAGCATTCTCAGGAAACTTGTTTGTGATGTGTGTACCCAGCCAAAGGAGTTGAACATTTCTATTGATAGAGCAGTTTTGAAACACTCTTGTTGTGGAAAATGCAGGAGGATATTTGGATAGCTTGGAGGATTTCGTTGGAAGCGGGAATTCAAATAAAAGGTAGACAGCAGGATTCTGAGAAACAAGTTTGTGATGTGTGTACTCAGCTAACAGAGTGGAACCTTTCTTTTTACAGAGCAGCTTTCAAACTCTATTTTTGTGGATTCTGCAAATTGATATTTAGATTGCTTTAACGATATCGTTGGAAAAGGGAATATCCTCATACAAAATCTAGACAGAAGCATTCTCACAAACTTCTTTGTGATGTGTGTCCTCAACTAACAGTAGTTGAACCTTTCTTTTGATGCAGCAATTTGGAAACACCCTTTTGGTAGAAACTGTAACTGGATATTTGGATAGCTCTAACGATTTCGTTGGAAACGGGAATATCATCATCTAAAATGTAGACAGATCTAGAAACTACTTGGTGATATCTGCATTCAAGTCAAAGAGTTGAACATTCCCTTACTTTGAGCACGTTTGAAACACTCTTTTGGAAGAATCTGGAAGTGGACATTTGGAACGCTTTGATGCCTTTGGTGAAAAGGAAACGTCTTCCAATAAAAGCCAGACAGAAGCCTTCTCAGAAGCTTGTTCGTGATGTGTGTACTCAACTAAAAGAGTTGAACCTTTCTATTGATAGAGCAGTTTTGAAACACTCTTTTTGTGGATTCTGCAAGTGGATATTTGGATTGCTTTGAGGATTTCGTTGGAAGCGGGAATTCGTATAAACACTAGACAGCAGCATTCCCAGAAATTTCTTTCGGATATTTCCATTCAACTCATAGAGGTGAACATGGCCTTTCATACAGCAGGTTTGAAACACTCTTTTTGTAGTTTGTGGAAGTGGACATTTCAATCGCCTTGATGCCTACGGTGAAAAAGGAAATATCTTCCCATAAAAAATAGACAGAAGCATTCTCAGAAACTTGTTGGTGATATGTGTCCTCAACTAACAGAGTTGAACTTTGCCATTGATAGAGAGCAGTTTTGAAACAGTCTTTTTGTGGAATCTGCAAGTGGATATTTGGATAGCTTGGAGGATTTCGTTGGAAGCGGGAATTCAAATAAAAGGTAGACAGCAGCATTCTCAGAAATTTCTTTCTGATGTCTGCATTCAACTCATAGAGTTGAAGATTCCCTTTCATAGAGCAGGTTTGAAACACTCGTTCTGGAGTATCTGGATGTGGACATTTGGAGCGCTTTGATGCCTACGGTGCAAAAGTAAATATCTTCCCATAAAAACGAGACAGAAGGATTCTCAGAAACAAGTTTGTGATGTGTGTACTCAGCTAACAGAGTGGAACCTCTCTTTTGATGCAGCAGTTTGGAAACACTCTTTTTGTAGAAACTGTAAGTGGATATTTGGAAAGCTCTAATGATTTCATTGGAAACGGGAATATCATCATCTAAAATCTAGACTGAAGCACTCTCAGAAACTACTTTGTGATATCTGCATTCAAGTCACAGAGTTGAACATTCGCTTTCTTAGAGCACTTTTGAAACACTCTTTTTGTAGTATCTGGAAGTGGACATTTGGAGCTCTTTGATGCCTTTGGTGAAAAAGGAAATGTCTTCCCATAAAAGCTAGACAGAAGCATTCTCAGAAACTTGTTTGTGATGTGTGTACCCAGCGAAAGGAGTTGAATATTTCTATTGATAGAGCAGTTTTGAAACACTCTTTTTGTGGAATCTGCAAGTGGATATTTGGATAGCTTGGAGGTTTTCATTGGAAGCGGGAATTCAAATAAAAGATAGACAGCAGCATTCTCAGAAATTTCTTTCTGATGTCTGCATTCAACTCATAGAGTTGAAGATTCCCGTTCATAGAGCAGGTTTGAAACACTCGTTCTGGAGTATCTGGATGTGGACATTTGGAGCGCTTTGATGCCTACGGTGGAAAAGTAAATATCTTCCCATAAAAACGAGACAGAAGGATTCTCAGAAACAAGTTTGTGATGTGTGTACTCAGCTAACAGAGTGGATCCTTTCTTTTTACAGAGCAGCTTTGAAACTCTATTTCTGTGGATTCTGCAAATTGATATTTGGGTTGATTTAACGATATCGTTGGAAAAGGGAATATCTTCATACAAAATCTAGACAGAAGCATTCTCACAAACTTCTTTGTGATGTGTGTCCTCAACTAACAGAGTTGAACCTTTCTTTTGATGCAGCAATTTGGAAACACCCTTTTGGTAGAAACTGTAACTGGATATTTGGATAGCTCTAGCGATTTCGTTGGAAACGGGAATATCATCATCTAAAATCTAGACAGAAGCACTATTAGAAACTACTTGGTGATATCTGCATTCAAGTCAAAGAGTTGAACATTCCCTTACTTTGAGCACGTTTGAAACACTCTTTTGGAAGAATCTGGAAGTGGACATTTGGAGCGCTTTGATGCCTTTGGTGAAAAGGAAACGTCTTCCAATAAAAGCCAGACAGAAGCATTCTGAGAAACTTGTCCGTGATGTGTGTACTCAACTAAAAGAGTTGAACCTTTCTATTGATAGAGCAGTTTTGAAACACTCTTTTTGTGGATTCTGCAAGTGGATATTTGGATTGCTTTGAGGATTTCGTTGGAAGCGGGAATTCGTATAAACACTAGACAGCAGCATTCCCAGAAATTTCTTTCGGATATTTCCATTCAACTCATAGAGATGAACATGGCCTTTCATAGAGCAGGTTTGAAACACTCTTTCTGTAGTTTGTGGAAGTGGACATTTCGATCGCCTTGACGCCTACGGTGAAAAAGGAAATATCTTCCCATAAAAAATAGACAGAAGAATTCTCAGAAACTTGTTTGTGATGTGTGTCCTCAACTGACAGAGTTGTACCTTTCTATTGATAGAGTAGTTTTGAAACACTCTTTTTGTGGAATCTGCAAGTGAATATTTGGATAGCTTGGAGGATTTCGTTGGAAGCGGGAATTCAAATGAAAGGTAGACAGCAGCATTCTCAGAAATTTCTTTCTGATGTCTGCATTCAACTCATAGAGTTGAAGATTCCCTTTCATAGAGCAGGTTTGAAACACTCTTTCTGGAGTATCTGGATGTGGACATTTGGAGCGCTTTGATGCCTACGGTGAAAAAGTAAATATCTTCCCATAAAAACGACACAGAAGGATTCTGAGAAACAAGTTTGTGATGTGTGTACTCAGCTAACAGAGTGGAACCTCTCTTTTGATGCAGTAGTTTGGAAACACTCTTTTTGTAGAAACTGTAAGTGGATATTTGGATAGCTCTAATGATTTCGTTGGAAACGGGAATATCATCATCTAAAATCTAGAGAGATGCCCTCTCAGAAACTACTTTGTGATATCTGCATTCAAGTCACAGAGTTGAACATTCGCTTTCTTAGAGCACGTTGGAAACACTCTTTTTGTAGTGTCTGGAAGTGGACATTTGGAGCGCTTTGATGCCTTTGGTGAAAAAGGGAATGTCTTCCCATAAAAACTAGACAGAAGCATTCTCAGAAACTTGTTTGTGATGTGTGTACCCAGCTAAAGGAGTTGAACATTTCTATTGATAGAGCAGTTTTGAAACACTCTTTTTGTGGAAAATGCAAGTGGATATTTGGAGAGCTTGGAGGATTTCGTTGGAAGCGGGAATTCAAATAAAAGGTAGACAGCAGCATTCTCAGAAATTTCTTTCTGATGTCTGCATTCAACTCATAGAGTTGAAGATTCCCTTTCATAGAGCAGATTTGAAACACTCTTTCTGGAGTATCTGGATGTGGACATTTGGAGCGCTTTGATGCCTACGGTGAAAAAGTAAATATCTTCCCATAAAAACGAGACAGAAGGATTCTCAGAAACAAGTTTGTGATGTGTGTACTCAGCTAACAGAGTGGAACCTTTCTTTTTACAGAGCAGCTTTGAAACTCTATTTTTGTGGATTCTGCAAATGGATATTTAGATTGCTTTAATGATATCGCTGGAAAAGGGAATATGGTCATACAAAATCTAGACAGAAGCATTCTCACAAACTTCTTTGTGATGTGTGTCCTCAACTAACAGAGTTGAAGCTTTCTTTTGATGCAGCAGTTTGGAAACACCCTTTTGGTAGAAACTGTAAGTGGATATTTGGATAGCTCTAACGATTTCGTTGGAAACGGGAATATCATCATCTAAAATCTAGACAGAAGCACTATTAGAAACTACTTGGTGATATCTGCATTCAAGTCAAAGAGTTGAACATTCCCTTACTTTCAGCACGTTTGAAACACTCTTTTGGAAGAATCTGGAAGTGGACATTTGGAGCGCTTTGATGCCTTTGGTGAAAAGGAAACGTCTTCCAATAAAAGCCAGACAGAAGCATTCTCAGAAACTTATTCGTGATGTGTGTACTCAACTAAAAGAGTTGAACCTTTCTATTGATAGAGCAGTTTTGAAACACTCTTTTTGTGGATTCTGCAAGTGGATATTTGGATTGCTTTGAGGATTTCGTTGGAAGCGGGAATTCGTATAAACACTAGACAGCAGCATTCCCAGAAATTTCTTTCGGATATTTCCATTCGACTCATAGAGATGAACATGGCCTTTCATAGAGCAGGTTTGAAACACTCTTTTTGTAGTTTGTGGAAGTGGACATTTCGATCGCCTTGACGCCTACGGTGAAAAAGGAAATATCTTCCCATAAAAAATAGACAGAAGCATTCTCAGAAACTTGTTGGTGATATGTGTCCTCAACTAACAGAGTTGAACTTTGCCATTGATAGAGAGCAGTTTTGAAACACTCTTTTTGTGGAATCTGCAAGTGGATATTTGGATACCTTGGAGGATTTCGTTGGAAGCGGGAATTCAAATAAAAGGTAGACAGCAGCATTCTCAGAAATTTCTTTCTGATGTCTGCATTCAAGTCATAGAGTTGAAGATTCCCTTTCATAGAGCAGGTTTGAAACACTCTTTCTGGAGTATCTGGATGTGGACATTTGGAGCGCTTTGATGCCTACGGTGAGAAAGTAAATATCTTCCCATAAAAACGAGACAGAAGGATTCTAAGAAACAAGTTTGTGATGTGTGTACTCAGCTAACAGAGTGGAACCTCTCTTTTGATGCAGCAGTTTGGAAACACTCTTTTTGTAGAAACTGTATGTGGATATTTGGATAGCTCTAATGATTTCATTGGAAACGGGAATATCATCATCTAAAATCTAGACAGAAGCACTCTCAGAAACTACTTTGTGATATCTGCATTCAAGTCACAGAGTTGAACATTCCCTTTCTTAGAGCACGTTTGAAAGACTCTTTTTGTAGTGTCTGGAAGTGGACATTTGGAGCGCTTTGATTCCTTTGGTGAAAAAGGGAATGTCTACCCATAAAAACTAGACAGAAGCATTCTCAGAAACTTGTTTGTGATGTGTGTACCCAGCTAAAGGAGTTGAACATTTCTATTGATAGAGCAGTTTTGAAACACTCTTTTTGTGGAAAATGCAAGTGGATATTTGGATTGCTTGGGGGATTTCGTTGGAAGCGGGAATTCAAATAAAAGGTAGACAGCAGCATTCTCAGAAATTTCTTTCTGATGTCTGCATTCAATTCATAGAGTTGAAGATTCCCTTTCATAGAGCAGGTTTGAAACACTCGTTCTGGAGTATCT
Source organism: Homo sapiens (assembly GCF_000001405.40). Taxonomy (NCBI): domain Eukaryota; kingdom Metazoa; phylum Chordata; class Mammalia; order Primates; family Hominidae; genus Homo; species Homo sapiens. The sequence goes on from NC_000022.11 coordinate 14,480,250, forward strand.
GGATGTGGACATTTGGAGCGCTTTGATGCCTACGGTGGAAAAGTAAATATCTTCCCATAAAAACGAGACAGAAGGATTCTGAGAAACAAGTTTGTGATGTGTGTACTCAGCTAACAGAGTGGAACCTTTCTTTTTACAGAGCAGCTTTGAAACTCTATTTCTGTGGATTCTGCAAATTGATATTTAGATTGCTTTAACGATATCGTTGGAAAAGGGAATATCGTCATACAAAATCTAGACAGAAGCATTCTCACAAACTTCTTTGTGATGTGTGTCCTCAACTAACAGAGTTGAACCTTTCTTTTGATGCAGCAATTTGGAAACAGCCTTTTGGTAGAAACTGTAACTGGATATTTGGATAGCTCTAACGATTTCGTTGTAAACGGGAATATCATCATCTAAAATCTAGACAGAAGCACTATTAGAAACTACTTGGTGATATCTGCATTCAAGTCACAGAGTAGAACATTCCCTTACTTCGAGCACGTTTGAAACACTCTTTTGGAAGAATCTGGAAGTGGACATTTGGAGCGCTTTGATGCCTTTGGTGAAAAGGAAACGTCTTCCAATAAAAGCCAGACAGAAGCATTCTCAGAAACTTGTTCGTGATGTGTGTACTCAACTAAAAGAGTTGAACCTTTCTATTGATAGAGCAGTTTTGAAACACTCTTTTTGTGGATTCTGCAAGTGGATATTTGGATTGCTTTGAGGATTTCGTTGGAAGCGGGAATTCGTATAAACACTAGACAGCAGCATTCCCAGAAATTTCTTTCGGATATTTCCATTCAACTCATAGAGATGAACATGGCCTTTCATAGAGCAGGTTTGAAACACTCTTTTTGTAGTTTGTGGAAGTGGACATTTCGATCGCCTTGACGCCTACGGTGATAAAGGAAATATCTTCCCATAAAAAATAGACAGAAGCATTCTCAGAAACTTGTTGGTGATATGTGTCCTCAACTAACAGAGTTGAACTTTGCCATTGATAGAGAGCAGTTTTGAAACACTCTTTTTGTGGAATCTGCAAGTGGATATTTGGATAGCTTGGAGGATTTCGTTGGAAGCGGGAATTCAAATAAAAGGTAGACAGCAGCATTCTCAGAAATTTCTTTCTGATGTCTGCATTCAACTCATAGAGTTGAAGATTCCCTTTCATAGAGCAGGTTTGAAACACTCTTTCTGGAGTATCTGGATGTGGACATTTGGAGCGCTTTGATGCCTACGGTGGAAAAGTAAATATCTTCCCATAAAAACGAGACAGAAGGATTCTGAGAAACAAGTTTGTGATGTGTGTACTCAGATAACAGAGTGGAACCTCTCTTTTGATGCAGCAGTTTGGAAACACTCTTTTTGTAGAAACTGTAAGTGGATATTTGGATAGCTCTAATGATTTCGTTGGAAACGGGAATATCATCATCTAAAATCTAGACAGAAGCACTCTCAGAAACTACTTTGTGATATCTGCATTCAAGTCACAGAGTTGAACATTCGCTTTCTTAGAGCACGTTTGAAACACTCTTTTTGTAGTGTCTGGAAGTGGACATTTGGAGCGCTTTGATGGCTTTGGTGAAAAAGGGAACGTCTTCCCATAAAAACTAGACAGAAGCATTCTCAGAAACTTGTTTGTGATGTGTGTACCCAGCTAAAGGAGTTGAACATTTCTATTGATAGAGCAGTTTTGATACACTCTTTTTGTGGAAACTGCAAGTGGATATTTGGATAGCTTGGAGGATTTCGTTGGAAGCGGGAATTCAAATAAAAGGTAGACAGCAGCATTCTCAGAAATTTCTTTCTGATGTCTGCATTCAACTCATAGAGTTGAAGATTCCCTTTCATAGAGCAGGTTTGAAACACTCTTTCTGGAGTATCTGGAAGTGGCCATTTGGACCGCTTTGATGCCTACGGTGAAAAACTAAATATGTTCCCATAAAAACGAGACAGAAGGATTCTCAGAAACAAGTTTGTGATGTGTGTACTCAGCTAACAGAGTGGAACCTTTCTTTTTACAGAGCAGCTTTGAAACTCTATTTTTGTGGATTCTGCAAATTGATATTTAGATTGCTTTAACGATATCGTTGGAAAAGGGAATATCGTCATACAAAATCTAGAAAGAAGCATTCTCACAAACTTCTTTGTGATGTGTGTCCTCAACTAACAGAGTTGAACCTTTCTTTTGATGCAGCAATTTGGAAACACCCTTTTGGTAGAAACTGTAACTGGATATTTGGATAGCTCTAAAGATTTCGTTGGAAACGGGAATATCATCATCTAAAATCTAGACAGAAGCACTATTAGAAACTACTTGGTGATATCTGCATTCAAGTCACAGAGTTGAACATTCCCTTACTTTGAGCACGTTTGAAACACTCTTTTGGAAGAATCTGGAAGTGGACATTTGGAGCGCTTTGATGCCTTTGGTGAAAAGGAAACGTCTTCCAATAAAAGCCAGACAGAAGCATTCTCAGAAACTTGTTTGTGGTGTGTGTACTCAACTAAAAGAGTTGAACCTTTCTATTGATAGAGCAGTTTTGAAACACTCTTTTTGTGGATTCTGCAAGTGGATATTTGGATTGCTTTGAGGATTTCGTTGGAAGCGGGAATTCGTATAAAAACTAGACAGCAGCATTCCCAGAAATTTCTTTCGGATATTTCCATTCAACTCATAGAGATGAACATGGCCTTTCATAGAGCAGGTTTGAAACACTCTTTTTGTAGTTTGTGGAAGTGGACATTTCGATCGCCTTGACGCCTACGGTGAAAAAGGAAATATCTTCCCATAAAAAATAGACAGAAGCATTCTCAGAAACTTGTTGGTGATATGTGTCCTCAACTAACAGAGTTGAACTTTGCCATTGATAGAGAGCAGTTTTGAAACACTCTTTTTGTGGAATCTGCAAGTGGATATTTGGATAGCTTGGAGGATTTCGTTGGAAGCGGGAATTCAAATAAAAGGTAGACAGCAGCATTCTCAGAAATTTCTTTCTGATGTCTGCATTCAACTCATAGAGTTGAACATTCCCTTTCATAGAGCAGGTTTGAAACACTCTTTCTGGAGTATCTGGATGTGGACATTTGGAGCGCTTTGATGCCTACGGTGAAAAAGTATAATCTTCCCATAAAAACGAGACAGAAGGATTCTCAGAAAGAAGTTTGTGATGTGTGTACTCAGCTAACAGAGTGGAACCTCTCTTTTGAAGCAGCAGTTTGGAAACACTCGTTTTGTAGAAACTGTAAGTGGATATTTGGATAGCTCTAATGATTTCGTTGGAAACGGGAATATCATCATCTAAAATCTAGACAGAAGCCCTCTCAGAAACTACTTTGTGATATCTGCATTCAAGTCACAGAGTTGAACATTCGCTTTCTTAGAGCACGTTGGAAACACTCTTTTTGTAGTGTTTGGAAGTGGACATTTGGAGCGCTTTGATGCCTTTGGTGAAAAAGGGAATGTCTTCCCATAAAAACTAGACAGAAGCATTCTCAGAAACTTGTTTGTGATGTGTGTACCCAGCTAAAGGAGTTGAACATTTCCATTGATAGAGCAGTTTTGAAACACTCTTTTTGTGGAAAATGCAAGTGGATATTTGGATAGCTTGGAGGATTTCGTTGGAAGCGGGAATTCAAATAAAAGGTAGACAGCAGCATTCTCAGAAATTTCTTTCTGATGTCTGCATTCAACTCATAGAGTTGAAGATTCCCTTTCATAGCAGCAGGTTTGAAACACTCTTTCTGGAGTATCTGGATGTGGACATTTGGAGCGCTTTGATGCCTACGGTGAAAAAGTAAATATCTTCCCAGAAAAACGAGACAGAAGGATTCTGAGAAACAAGTTTGTGATGTGTGTACTCAGCTAACAGAGTGGAACCTTTCTTTTTACAGAGCAGCTTTGAAACTCTATTTTTGTGGATTCTGCAAATGGATATTTAGATTGATTTAATGTTATCGCTGGAAAAGGGAATATGGTCATACAAAATCTAGATAGAAGCATTCTCACAAACTTCTTTGTGATGTGTGTCCTCAACTAACAGAGTTGAACCTTTCTTTTGATGCAGCAGTTTGGAAACACCCTTTTGGTAGAAACTGTAAGTGGATATTTGGATAGCTCTAACTATTTCATTGGAAACGGGAATATCATCATCTAAAATCTAGACAGAAGCACTATTAGAAACTACTTGGTGATATCTGCATTCAAGTCACAGAGTTGAACATTCCCTTACTTTGAGCACGTTTGAAACACTCTTTTGGAAGAATCTGGAAGTGGACATTTGCAGCGCTTTGATGCCTTTGGTGAAAAGGAAACGTCTTCCAATAAAAGCCAGACAGAAACATTCTCAGAAACTTGTTTGTGATGTGTGTACTCAACTAAAAGAGTTGAACCTTTCTATTGATAGAGCAGTTTTGAAACACTCTTTTTGTGGATTCTGCAAGTGGATATTTGGATTGCTTTGAGGATTTCGTTGGAAGCGGGAATTCGTATAAACACTAGACAGCAGCATTCCCAGAAATTTCTTTCGGATATTTCCATTCAACTCATAGAGATGAACATGGCCTTTCATAGAGCAGGTTTGAAACACTCTTTTTGTAGTTTGTGGAAGTGGACATTTCGATCGCCTTGACGCCTACGGTGAAAAAGGAAATATCTTCCCATAAAAAATAGACAGAAGCATTCTCAGAAACTTGTTGGTGATATGTGTCCTCAACTAACAGAGTTGAACTTTGCCATTGATAGAGAGCAGTTTTGAAACACTCTTTTTGTGGAATCTGCAAGTGGATATTTGGATAGCTTGGAGGATTTCGTTGGAAGCGGGAATTCAAATAAAAGGTAGACAGCAGGATTCTCAGAAACAAGTTTGTGATGTGTGTACTCAGCTAACAGAGTGGATCCTTTCTTTTTACAGAGCAGCTTTGAAACTCTATTTCTGTGGATTCTGCAAATTGATATTTGGGTTGATTTAACGACATCGTTGGAAAAGGGAATATCTTCATACAAAATCCAGACAGAAGCATTCTCAGAAACTTCTTTCTGATGTCTGTCCTCAACTAACAGAGTTGAACCTTTCTTTTGATGCAGAAGTTTGGAAACACTCTTTTTGTAGAAACTGTAAGTGGATATTTGGATAGGTCTAACGATATCGTTGGAAACGGGAATATCTTCATCTAAAGTATACACAGAAGCACTATTAGAAACTACTGGGTGATATCTGCATTCAAGTCACAGAGTTGAACATTCCCTTACTTTGAGCACGTTTCAAACACTCTTTTGTAAGAATCTGGAAGTGGACATTTGGAGCGCTTTGATGCCTTTGGTGAAAAGGAAACGTCTTCCAATAAAAGCCAGACAGAAGCATTCTCAGAAACTTGTTCGTGATGTGTGTACTCAACTAAAAGAGTTGAACCTTTCTATTGATAGAGCAGTTTTGAAACACTCTTTTTGCGGATTCTGCAAGTGGATATTTGGATTGCTTTGAGGATTTCGTTGGAAGCGGGAATTCGTATAAACACTAGACAGCAGCATTCCCAGAAATTTCTTTCGGATATTTCCATTCGACTCATAGAGATGAACATGGCCTTTCATAGAGCAGGTTTGAAACACTCTTTTTGTAGTTTGTGGAAGTGGACATTTCGATCGCCTTGACGCCTACGGTGAAAAAGGAAATATCTTCCCATAAAAAATAGACAGAAGCATTCTCAGAAACTTGTTGGTGATATGTGTCCTCAACTAACAGAGTTGAACTTTGCCATTGATAGAGAGCAGTTTTGAAACACTCTTTTTGTGGAATCTGCAAGTGAATATTTGGATAGCTTGGAGGATTTCGTTGGAAGCGGGAATTCAAATAAAAGGTAGACAGCAGCATTCTCAGAAATTTCTTTCTGATGTCTGCATTCAACTCATAGAGTTGAACATTCCCTTTCATAGGACAGGTTTGAAATACTCTTTCTGTAGTATCTGGATGTGGACATTTGGAGCGCTTTGATGCCTACGGTGAGAAAGTAAATCTCTTCCCATAAAAACGAGACAGAAGGATACTCAGAAACAAGTTTGTGATGTGTGTACTCAGCTAACAGAGTGGAACCTCTCTTTTGATGCAGCAGTTTGGAAACACTCTTTTTGTAGAAACTGTAAGTGGATATTTGGATAGCTCTAATGATTTCGTTGGAAACGGGAATATCATCATCTAAAATCTAGACAGAAGTCCTCTCAGAAACTACTTTGTGATATCTGCATTCAAGTCACAGAGTTGAACATTCGCTTTCTTAGAGCACGTTTGAAACACTCTTTTTGTAGTGTCTGGAAGTGGACATTTGGAGCGCTTTGATGCCTTTGGTGAAAAAGGGAACGTCTTCCCATAAAAACTAGACAGAAACATTCTCAGAAACTTGTTTGTGATGTGTGTACCCAGCCAAAGGAGTTGAACATTTCTATTGATAGAGCAGTTTTGAAACACTCTTTTTGTGGAAAATGCAGGTGGATATTTGGATAGCTTGGAGGATTTCGTTGGAAGCGGGAATTCAAATAAAAGGTAGACAGCAGCATTCTCAGAAATTTCTTTGTGATGTTTGCATTCAACTCATAGAGTTGAACATTCCCTTTAATAGAGCAGGTTTGAAACACTCTTTCTGTACTATCTGGATGTGGACAGTTGGAGCGCTTTGACGCCTACGGTGAAAAAGGAAATGTCTTCCCATAAAAAATTGAAGAAGGATTCTGAGAAACAAGTTTGTGATGTGTGTACTCAGCTAACAGAGTGGAACCTTTCTTTTTACAGAGCAGCTTTGAAACTCTATTTTTGTGGATTCTGCAAATCGATATTTAGATTGCTTTAACGATATCGTTGGAAAAGGGAATATCGTCATACAAAATCTAGACAGAAGCATTCTCACAAACTTCTTTGTGATGTGTGTCCTCAACTAACAGAGTTGAACCTTTCTTTTGATGCAGCAATTTGCAAACACCCTTTTGGTAGAAACTGTAACTGGATATTTGGATAGCTCTAACGATTTCGTTGGAAACGGGAATATCATCATCTAAAATGTAGACAGAAGCACTATTAGAAACTACTTGGTGATATCTGCATTCAAGTCACAGAGTAGAACATTCCCTTACTTCGAGCACGTTTGAAACACTCTTTTGGAAGAATCTGGAAGTGGACATTTGGAGCGCTTTGATGCCTTTGGTGAAAAGGAAACGTCTTCCAATAAAAGCCAGACAGAAGCATTCTCAGAAACTTGTTCGTGATGTGTGTACTCAACTAAAAGCAGTTGAACCTTTCTATTGATAGAGCAGTTTTGAAACACTCTTTTTGTGGATTCTGCAAGTGGATATTTGGATTGCTTTGAGGATTTCGTTGGAAGCGGGAATTCATATAAAAACTAGACAGCAGCATTCCCAGAAATTTCTTTCGGATATTTCCATTCAACTCATAGAGATGAACATCGCCTTTCATAGAGCAGGTTTGAAACACTCTTTTTGTAGTTTGTGGAAGTGGACATTTCGATCGCCTTGACGCCTACGGTGAAAAAGGAAATATCTTCCCATAAAAAATAGACAGAAGCATTCTCAGAAACTTGTTGGTGATATGTGTCCTCAACTAACAGAGTTGAACTTTGCCATTGATAGAGAGCAGTTTTGAAACACTCTTTTTGTGGAATCTGCAAGTGGATATTTGGATAGCTTGGAGGATTTCGTTGGAAGCGGGAATTCAAATAAAAGGTAGACAGCATCATTCTCAGAAATTTCTTTCTGATGTCTGCATTCAACTCATAGAGTTGAAGATTCCCTTTCATAGAGCAGGTTTGAAACACTCGTTCTGGAGTATCTGGATGTGGACATTTGGAGCGCTTTGATGCCTACGGTGGAAAAGTAAATATCTTCCCATAAAAACGAGACAGAAGGATTCTGAGTAAACAAGTTTGTGATGTGTGTACTCAGCTAACAGAGTGGAACCTCTCTTTTGATGCAGCAGTTTGGAAACTCTCTTTTTGTAGAAACTGTAAGTGGATATTTGGATAGCTCTAATGATTTCGTTGGAAACGGGAATATCATCATCTAAAATCTAGACAGAAGCCCTCTCAGAAACTACTTTGTGATATCTGCATTCAAGTCACAGAGTTGAACATTCGCTTTCTTAGAGCACGTTGGAAACACTCTTTTTGTAGTGTCTGGAAGTGGACATTTGGAGCGCTTTGATGCCTTTGGTGAAAAAGGGAATGTCTTCCCATAAAAACTAGACAAAAGCATTCTCAGAAACTTGTTTGTGATGTGTGTACCCAGCCAAAGGAGTTGAACATTTCTATTGATAGAGCAGTTTTGAAACACTCTTGTTGTGGAAAATGCAAGTGGATATTTGGATAGCTTGGAGGATTTCGTTGGAAGCGGGAATTCAAATAAAAGGTAGACAGCAGCATTCTCAGAAATTTCTTTCTGATGTCTGCATTCAACTCATAGAGTTGAAGATTCCCTTTCGTAGAGCAGGTTTGAAACACTCGTTCTGGAGTATCTGGATGTGGACATTTGGAGCGCTTTGATGCCTACGGTGGAAAAGTAAATATCTTCCCATAAAAACGAGACAGAAGGATTCTCAGAAACAAGTTTGTGATGTGTGTACTCAGCTAACAGAGTGGAACCTTTCTTTTTACAGAGCAGCTTTGAAACTCTATTTTTGTGGATTCTGCAAATTGATATTTAGATTGCTTTAACGATATCGTTGGAAAAGGGAATATGGTCATACAAAATCTAGACAGAAGCATTCTCACAAACTTCTTTGTGATGTGTGTCCTCAACTAACAGAGTTGAACCTTTCTTTTGATGCAGCAGTTTGGAAACACTCTTTTTGTAGAAACTGTAAGTGCATTATTGGATAGCTCTAACGATTTCGTTGGAAACGGGAATATCATCATCTAAAATCTAGACAGAAGCACTATTAGAAACTACTTGGTGATATCTGCATTCAAGTCACAGAGTTGAACATTCCCTTACTTTGAGCACGTTTGAAACACTCTTTTGGAAGAATCTGGAAGTGGACATTTGGAGCGCTTTGATGCCTTTGGTGAAAAGGAAACGTCTTCCAATAAAAGCCAGACAGAAGCATTCTCAGAAACTTGTTCGTGATGTGTGTACTCAACTAAAAGAGTTGAACCTTTCTATTGATAGAGCAGTTTTGAAACACTCTTTTTGTGGATTCTGCAAGTGGATATTTGGATTGCTTTGAGGATTTCGTTGGAAGCGGGAATTCATATAAACACTAGACAGCAGCATTCTCAGAAATTTCTTCCTGATGTTTGCATTCAACTCATAGAGTTGAACATTCCCTTTAATAGAGCAGGTTTGAAACACTCTTTCTGTACTATCTGGATGTGGACATTTGGAGCGCTTTGATGCCTACGGTGAAAAAGGAAATGTCTTCCCATAAAAAATTGAAGAATTCTCAGAAACTTGTTTGTGATGTGTGTCCTCAACTGACACAGTTGTACCTTTCTATTGATAGAGTAGTTTTGAAACACTCTTTTTGTGGAATCTGCAAGTGAATATTTGGATAGCTTGGAGGATTTCGTTGGAAGCGGGAATTCAAATGAAAGGTAGACAGCAGCATTCTCAGAAATTACTTTCTGATGTCTGCATTCAACTCATAGAGTTGAAGATTCCCTTTCATAGAGCAGGTTTGAAACACTCTTTCTGTAGTATCTGGATGTGGACATTTGGAGCGCTTTGATACCTACGGTGAAAAAGTAAATATCTTCCCGTAAAAACTAGACAGAAGGATTCTGAGAAACAAGTTTGTGATGTGTGTACTCAGCTAACAGAGTGGAACCTCTCTTTTGATGCAGCAGTTTGGAAACACTCTTTTTGTAGAAACTGTACGTGGATATTTGGATAGCTCTAATGATTTCGTTGGAAACGGGAATATCATCATCTAAAATCTAGACAGAAGCCCTCTCAGAAACTACATTGTGATATCTGCATTCAAGTCACAGAGTTGAACATTCGCTTTCTTAGAGCACGTTTGAAACACTCTTTTTGTAGTGTCTGGAAGTGGACATTTGGAGCGCTTTGATGCCTTTGGTGAAAAAGGGAATGTCTTCCCATAAAAACTAGACAGAAGCATTCTCAGAAACTTGTTTGTGATGTGTGTACCCAGCTAAAGGAGTTGAACATTTCTATTGATAGATTAGTTTTGAAACACTCTTTTTGTGGAAAATGCAAGTGGATATTTGGATAGCTTGGAGGATTTCGTTGGAAGCGGGAATTCAAATAAAAGGTAGACAGCAGCATTCTCAGAAATTTCTTTCTGATGTCTGCATTCAACTCATAGAGTTGAAGATTCCCTTTCATAGAGCAGGTTTGAAACACTCTTTCTGGAGTATCTGGATGTGGACATTTGGAGCGCTTTGATGCCTACGGTGAAAAAGTAAATATCTTCCCATAAAAACTAGACAGAAGGATTCTCAGAAACAAGTTTGTGATGTGTGTACTCAGCTAAAAGAGTGGAACCTTTCTTTTTACAGAGCAGCTTTGAAACTCTATTTTTGTGGATTCTGCAAATTGATATTTAGATTGCTTTAACGATATCGTTGGAAAAGGGAATATCGTCATACAAAATCTAGACAGGAAGCATTCTCACAAACTTCTTTGTGATGTGTGTCCTCAACTAACAGAGTTGAACCTTTCTTTTGATGCAGCAGTTTGGAAACACTCTTTTTGTAGAAACTGTAAGTGGATATTTGGATAGCTCTAACGATTTTGTTGGAAACGGTAATATCATCATCTAAAATCTAGACAGAAGCACTATTAGAAACTACTTGGTGATATCTGCATTCAAGTCACAGAGTTGAACATTCCCTTACTTTGAGCACCTTTCAAACACTCTTTTGGAAGAATCTGGAAGTGGACATTTGGAGCGCTTTGATGCCTTTGGTGAAAAGGAAACGTCTTCCAATAAAAGCCAGACAGAAGCATTCTCAGAAACTTGTTCGTGATGAGTGTACTCAACTAAAAGATTTGAACCTTTCTATTGATAGAGCAGTTTTGAAACACTCTTTTTGTGGATTCTTCAAGTGGATATTTGGATTGCTTTGAGGATTTCGTTGGAAGCGGGAATTCGTATAAAAACTATACAGCAGCATTCCCAGAAATTTCTTTCGGATATTTCCATTCGACTCATAGAGATGAACATGGCCTTTCATAGAGCAGGTTTGAAACACACTTTTTGTAGTTTGTGGAAGTGGACATTTCGATCGCCTTGACGCCTACGGTGAAAAAGGAAATATCTTCCCATAAAAAATAGACAGAAGCATTCTCAGAAACTTGTTGGTGATATGTGTCCTCAACTAACAGAGTTGAACTTTGCCATTGATAGAGAGCAGTTTTGAAACACTCTTTTTGTGGAATCTGCAAGTGGATATTTGGATAGCTTGGAGGATTTCGTTGGAAGCGGGAATTCAAATAAAAGGTAGACAGCAGCATTCTCAGAAATTTCTTTCTGATGTCTGCATTCAACTCATAGAGTTGAAGATTCCCTTTCATAGAGCAGGTTTGAAACACTCTTTCTGGAGTATCTGGATGTGGACATTTGGAGCGCTTTGATGCCTACGGTGAAAAAGTAAATATCTTCCCATAAAAACGACACAGAGGATTCTGAGAAACAAGTTTGTGATGTGTGTACTCAGCTAACAGAGTGGAACCTTTCTTTTTACAGAGCAGCTTTGAAACTCTATTTTTGTGGATTCTGCAAATTGGTATTTAGATTGCTTTAACGATATCGTTGGAAAAGGGAATATCGTCATACAAAATTCTAGACAGAAAGTATTCTCACAAACTTCTTTGTGATGTGTGTCCTCAACTAACAGAGTTGAACCTTTCTTTTGATGCAGCAGTTTGGAAACACCCTTTTGGTAGAAACTGTAAGTGGATATTTGGATAGCTCTAACGATTTCGTTGGAAACGGGAATATCATCATCTAAAATCTAGACAGAAGCACTATTAGAAACTACTTGGTGATATCTGCATTCAAGTCACAGAGTTGAACATTCCCTTACTTTGAGCACGTTTGAAACACTCTTTTGGAAGAATCTGGAAGTGGACATTTGGAGCGCTATGATGCCTTTGGTGAAAAGGAAACGTCTTCCAATAAAAGCCAGACAGAAGCATTCTCAGAAACTTGTTTGTGATGTGTGTACTCAACTAAAAGAGTTGAACCTTTCTATTGATAGAGCAGTTTTGAAACACTCTTTTTGTGGATTCTGCAAGTGGATATTTGGATTGCTTTGAGGATTTCGTTGGAAGCGGGAATTCGTATAAAAACTAGACAGCAGCATTCCCAGAAATTTCTTTCGGATATTTCCATTCGACTCATAGAGATGAACATGGCCTTTCATAGAGCAGGTTTGAAACACTCTTTTTGTAGTTTGTGGAAGTGGACATTTCGATCGCCTTGACGCCTACGGTGAAAAAGGAAATATCTTCCCATAAAAAATAGACAGAAGCATTCTCAGAAACTTGTTGGTGATATGTGTCCTCAACTAACAGAGTTGAACTTTGCCATTGATAGAGAGCAGTTTTGAAACACTCTTTTTGTGGAATCTGCAAGTGGATATTTGGATAGCTTGGAGGATTTCGTTGGAAGCGGGAATTCCAATAAAAGGTAGACAGCAGCATTCTCAGAAATTTCTTTCTGATGTCTGCATTCAACTCATAGAGTTTAAGATTCCCTTTCATAGAGCAGGTTTGAAACACTCTTTCTGGAGTATCTGGATGTGGACATTTGGAGCGCTTTCATGCCTATGGTGAAAAAGTAAATATCTTGTCATAAAAACGAGACAGAAGGATTCTGAGAAACAAGTTTGAGATGTGTGTACTCAGCTAACAGAGTGGAACCTTTCTTTTTACAGAGCAGCTTTGAAACTCTATTTTTGTGGATTCTGCAAATGGATATTTAGATTGCTTTAACGATATCGTTGGAAAAGGGAATATCGTCATACAAAATCTGGACAGAAGCATTCTCACAAACTTCTTTGTGATGTGTGTCCTCAACTAACAGAGTTGAACCTTTCTTTTGATGCAGCAATTTGGAAACACCCTTTTGGTCGAAACTGTAACTGGATATTTGGATAGCTCTAACGATTTCGTTGGAAACGGGAATATCATCATCTAAAATCTAGACAGAAGCACTATTAGAAACTACTTGGTGATATCTGCATTCAAGTCACAGAGTTGAACATTCCCTTACTTTGAGCACGTTTGAAACACTCTTTTGGAAGAATCTGGAAGTGGACATTTGGAGCGCCTTGATGCCTTTGGTGAAAAGGAAACGTCTTCCAATAAAAGCCAGACAGAAGCATTCTCAGAAACTTGTTTGTGATGTGTGTACTCAACTAAAAGAGTTGAACCTTTCTATTGATAGAGCAGTTTTGAAACACTCTTTTTGTGGATTCTGCAAGTGGATATTTGGATTGCTTTGAGGATATCGTTGGAAGCGGGAATTTGTATAAAAACTAGACAGCAGCATTCCCAGAAATTTCTTTCGGATATTTCCATTCAACTCATAGAGATGAACATGGCCTTTCATAGAGCAGGTTTGAAACACTCTTTTTGTAGTTTGCGGAAGTGGACATTTCGATCGCCTTGACGCCTACGGTGAAAAAGGAAATATCTTCCCATAAAAAATAGACAGAAGCATTCTCAGAAACTTGTTGGTGATATGTGTCCTCAACTAACAGAGTTGAACTTTGCCATTGATAGAGAGCAGTTTTGAAACACTCTTTTTGTGGAATCTGCAAGTGGATATTTGGATAGCTTGGAGGATTTCGTTGGAAGCGGGAATTCAAATAAAAGGTAGACAGCAGCATTCTCAGAAATTTCTTTCTGATGTCTGCATTCAACTCATAGAGTTGAAGATTCCCTTTCATAGAGCAGGTTTGAAACACTCTTTCTGTAGTATCTGGATGTGGACATTTGGAGCGCTTTGATGCCTACAGTGAAAAAGTATAATCTTCCCATAAAAACGAGACAGAAGGATTCTCAGAAACAAGTTTGTGATGTGTGTACTCAGCTAACAGAGTGGAACCTTTCTTTTTACAGAGCAGCTTTGAAACTCTATTTTTGTGGATTCTGCAAATTGATATTTAGATTGCTTTAACGATATCGTGGAAAAGGGAATATCGTCATACAAAATCTAGACAGAAGCATTCTCACAAACTTCTTTGTGATGTGTGTCCTCAACTAACAGAGTTGAACCTTTCTTTTGATGCAGCAATTTGGAAACACCCTTTTGGTAGAAACTGTAACTGGATATTTGGATAGCTCTAACGATTTCGTTGGAAACGGGAATATCATCATCTAAAATGTAGACAAAAGCACTATTAGAAACTACTTGGTGATATCTGCATTCAAGTCACAGAGTTGAACATTCCCTTACTTTGAGCACGTTTGATACACTCTTTTGGAAGAATCTGGAAGTGGACATTTGGAGCGCTTTGATGCCTTTGGTGAAAAGGAAACGTCTTCCAATAAAAGCCAGACAGAAGCATTCTCAGAAACTTGTTTGTGATGTGTGTACTCAACTAAAAGAGTTGAACCTTTCTATTGATAGAGCAGTTTTGAAACACTCTTTTTGTGGAATCTGCAAGTGGATATTTGGATAGCTTGGAGGATTTCGTTGGAAGCGGGAATTCAAATGAAATGTAGACAGCAGCATTCCCAGTAAATTTCTTTCGGATATTTCCATTCAACTCATTGAGATGAACATCGCCTTTCATAGAGCAGGTTTGAAACACTCTTTTTGTAGTTTGTGGAAGTGGACATTTCGATCGCCTTGACGCCTACAGTGAAAAAGGAAATATCTTCCCATAAAAAATAGACAGAAGCATTCTCAGAAACTTGTTGGTGATATGTGTCCTCAACTAACAGAGTTGAACTTTGCCATTGATAGAGAGCAGTTTTGAAACACTCTTTTTGTGGAATCTGCAAGTGGATATTTGGATAGCTTGGAGGATTTCGTTGGAAGCGGGAATTCAAATAAAAGGTAGACAGCAGCATTCTCAGAAATTTCTTTCTGATGTCTGCATTCAACTCATAGAGTTGAGCATTCCCTTTCATAGGGCAGGTTTGAAATACTCTTTCTGTAGTATCTGGATGTGGACATTTGGAGCGCTTTGATGCCTACGGTGAAAAAGTAAATATCTTCCCATAAAAACGAGACAGAAGGATTCTGAGAAAAAAGTTTGTGATGTGTGTACTCAGCTAACAGAGTGGAACCTCTCTTTTGATGCAGCAGTTTGGAAACACTCTTTTTGTAGAAACTGTAAGTGGATATTTGGATAGCTCTAATGATTTCGTTGGAAACGGGAATATCATCATCTAAAATCTAGACAGAAGCGCTCTCAGAAACTACTTTGTGATATCTGCATTCAAGTCACAGAGTTGAACATTCGCTTTCTTACAGCACTTTTGAAACACTCTTTTTGTAGTATCTGGAAGTGGACATTTGGAGCTCTTTGATGCCTTTGGTGAAAAAGGAAATGTCTTCCCATAAAAACTAGACAGAAGCATTCTCAGAAACTTGTTTGTGATGTGTGTACCCAGCTAAAGGAGTTGAACATTTCTATTGATAGAGCAGTTTTGAAACGCTCTTTTTGTGGAAAATGCAGGTGGATATTTGGATAGCTTGGAGGATTTCGTTGGAAGCGGGAATTCAAATAAAAGGTAGACAGCAGCATTCTCAGAAATTTCTTTCTCATGTCTGCATTCAACTCATAGAGTTGAAGATTCCCTTTCATAGAGCAGGTTTGAAACACTCTTTCTGGAGTATCTGGATGTGGACATTTGGAGCGCTTTGATGCCTACGGTGGAAAAGTAAATATCTTCCCATAAAAACGAGACAGAAGGATTCTGAGAAACAAGTTTGTGATGTGTGTACTCAGCTAACAGAGTGGAACCTCTCTTTTGATGCAGCAGTTTGGAAACACTCTTTTTGTAGAAACTGTAAGTGGATATTTGGATAGCTCTAATGATTTCGTTGGAAACGGGAATATCATCATCTAAAATCTAGAGAGAAGCCCTCTCAGAAACTACTTTGTGATATGTGCATTCAAGTCACAGAGTTGAACATTCGCTTTCTTAGAGCACGTTTGAAACACTCTTTTTGTAGTGTCTGGAAGTGGACATTTGGAGCGCTTTGATGCCTTTGGTGAAAAAGGGAACGTCTTCCCATAAAAACTAGACAGAAGCATTCACAGAAACTTGTTTGTGATGTGTGTACCCAGCCAAAGGAGTTGAACATTTCTATTGATAGAGCAGTTTTGAAACACTCTTTTTGTGGAAAATGCAGGTGGATATTTGGATAGCTTGGAGGATTTCGTTGGAAGCGGGAATTCAAATAAAAGGTAGACAGCAGCATTCTCAGAAATTTCTTTCTGATGTCTGCATTCAACTCATACAGTTGAAGATTCCCTTTCGTAGAGCAGGTTTGAAACACTCCTTCTGGAGTATCTGGATGTGGACATTTGGAGCGCTTTGATGCCTACGGTGGAAAAGTAAATATCTTCCCATAAAAACGAGACAGAAGGATTCTCAGAAACAAGTTTGTGATGTGTGTACTCAGCTAACAGAGTGGATCCTTTCTTCTTACAGAGCAGCTTTGAAACTCTATTTCTGTGGATTCTGCAAATTGACATTTGGGTTGATTTAACGACATCGTTGGAAAAGGGAATATCTTCATACAAAATCTAGACAGAAGCATTCTCACAAACTTCTTTGTGATGTGTGTCCTCAACTAACAGAGTTGAACCTTTCTTTTAATGCAGCAGTTTGGAAACACTCTTTTTGTAGAAACTGTAAGTGGATATTTGGATAGCTCTAACGATTTCGTTGGAAACGGGAATATCATCATCTAAAATCTAGACAGAAGCACTATTAGAAACTACTTGGTGATATCTGCATTCAAGTCACAGAGTTGAACATTCCCTTACTTCGACCACGTTTGAAACTCTCTTTTGGAAGAATCTGGAAGTGGACATTTGGAGCGCTTTGATGCCTTTGGTGAAAAGGAAACGTCTTCCAATAAAAGCCAGACAGAAGCATTCTCAGAAACTTGTTGGTGATGTGTGTACTCAACTAAAAGAGTTGAACCTTTCTATTGATAGAGCAGTTTTGAAACACTCTTTTTGTGGATTCTGCAAGTGGATATTTGGATTGCTTTGAGGATTTCGTTGGAAGCGGGAATTCATATAAAAACAAGACAGCAGCATTCCCAGAAATTTCTTTCGGATATTTCCATTCAACTCATTGAGATGAACATCGCCTTTCATAGAGCAGGTTTGAAAC
This sequence comes from Homo sapiens, assembly GCF_000001405.40. Lineage (NCBI taxonomy): Eukaryota > Metazoa > Chordata > Mammalia > Primates > Hominidae > Homo > Homo sapiens. The sequence continues at coordinate 14,497,567 of NC_000022.11, forward strand.
ACTCTTTTTGTAGTTTGTGGAAGTGGACATTTCGATCGCCTTGACGCCTACAGTGAAAAAGGAAATATCTTCCCATAAAAAATAGACAGAAGCATTCTCAGAAACTTGTTGGTGATATGTGTCCTCAACTAACAGAGTTGAACTTTGCCATTGATAGAGAGCAGTTTTGAAACACTCTTTTTGTGGAATCTGCAAGTGGATATTTGGATAGCTTGGAGGATTTCGTTGGAAGCGGGAATTCAAATAAAAGGTAGACAGCCAGCATTCTCAGAAATTTCTTTCTGATGTCTGCATTCAACTCATAGAGTTGAAGATTCCCTTTCATAGAGCAGGTTTGAAACACTCTTTCTGGAGTATCTGGATGTGGACATTTGGAGCGCTTTGATGCCTACGGTGAAAAAGTAAATATCTTCCCATAAAAACGACACAGAGGATTCTCAGAAACAAGTTTGTGATGTGTGTACTCAGCTAACAGAGTGGAACCTCTCTTTTGATGCAGCAGTTTGGAAACACTCTTTTTGTAGAAACTGTAAGTGGATATTTGGATAGCTCTAATGATTTCGTTGGAAACGGGAATATCATCATCTAAAATCTAGACAGAAGCCCTCTCAGAAACTACTTTGTGATATCTGCATTCAAGTCACAGAGTTGAACATCCGGTTTCTTAGAGCACGTTTGAAACACTCTTTTTGTAGTGTCTGGAAGTGGACATTTGGAGCGCTTTGATGCCTTTGGTGAAAAAGGGAATGTCTTCCCATAAAAACTAGACAGAAGCATTCTCAGAAACTTGTTTGTGATGTGTGTACCCAGCTAAAGGAGTTGAACATTTCTATTGATAGAGCAGTTTTGAAACACTCTTTTTGTGGAAAATGCAAGTGGATATTTGGATAGCTTGGAGGATTTCGTTGGAAGCGGGAATTCAAATAAAAGATAGACAGCAGCATTCTCAGAAATTTCTTTCTGATGTCTGCATTCAACTCATAGAGTTGAAGATTCCCTTTCATAGAGCAGGTTTGAAACACTGTTTCTGGAGTATCTGGATGTGGACATTTGGAGCGCTTTGATGCCTACGGTGAAAAAGTAAATATCTTCCCATCAAAACGAGACAGAAGGATTCTCAGAAACAAGTTTGTGATGTGTGTACTCAGCTAACAGAGTGGAACCTTTCTTTTTACAGAGCAGCTTTGAAACTCTATTTTTGTGGATTCTGCAAATGGATATTTAGACTGCTTTAATGATATCGCTGGAAAAGGGAATATGGTCATACAAAATCTAGACAGAAGCATTCTCGCAAACTTCTTTGTGATGTGTGTCCTCAACTAACAGAGTTGAACCTTTCTTTTGATGCAGCATTTTGGAAACACCCTTTTGGTAGAAACTGTAACTGGATATTTGGATAGCTCTAACGATTTCGTTGGAAACGGGAATATCATCATCTAAAATGTAGACAGAAGCACTATTAGAAACTACTTGGTGATATCTGCATTCAAGTCACAGAGTTGAACATTCCCTTACTTTGAGCACGTTTGAAACACTCTTTTGGAAGAATCTGGAAGTGGACATTTGGAGCGCTTTGATGCCTTTGGTGAAAAGGAAACGTCTTCCAATAAAAGCCAGACAGAAGCATTCTCAGAAACTTGTTCGTGATGTGTGTACTCAACTAAAAGAGTTGAACCTTTCTATTGATAGAGCAGTTTTGAAACACTCTTTTTGTGGATTCTGCAAGTGGATATTTGGATTGCTTTGAGGATTTCGTTGGAAGCGGAAATTCGTATAAACACTAGACAGCAGCATTCCCAGAAATTTCTTTCGGATATTTCCATTCAACTCATAGAGGTGAACATGGCCTTTCATAGAGCAGGTTTGAAACACTCTTTTTGTAGTTTGTGGAAGTGGACATTTCGATCGCCTTGATGCCTACGGTGAAAAAGGAAATATCTTCCCATAAAAAATAGACAGAAGCATTCTCAGAAACTTGTTGGTGATATGTGTTCTCAACTAACAGAGTTGAACTTTGCCATTGATAGAGAGCAGTTTTGAAACACTCCTTCTGTGGAATCTGCAAGTGGATATTTGGATAGCTTGGAGGATTTCGTTGGAAGCGGGAATTCAAATAAAAGGTAGACAGCAGCATTCTCAGAAATTTCTTTGTGATGTGTACATTCAACTCATAGAGTAGAACATTCCCTTTCATAGAGCAGGTTTGAAACACTCTTTCTGTACTATCTGGATGTGGACATTTGGAACGCTTTGATGCCTACGGTGAAAAAGTAAATATCTTCCCATAAAAACTAGACAGAAGGATTCTGAGAAACAAGTTTGTGATGTGTGTACTCAGCTAACAGAGTGGAACCTTTCTTTTTACAGAGCAGCTTTGAAACTCTATTTTTGTGGATTCTGCAAATGGATATTTAGATTGCTTTAATGATATCGTTGGAAAAGGGAATATCGTCATACAAAATCTAGACAGAAGCATTCTCACAAACTTCTTTGTGATGTGTGTCCTCAACTAACAGAGTTGAACCTTTCTTTTGATGCAGCAGTTTGGAAACACTCTTTTTGTAGAAACTGTAAGTGGATATTTGGATAGCTCTAATGATTTCGTTGGAAACGGGAATATCATCATCTAAAATCTAGACAGAAGCACTATTAGAAACTACTTGGTGATATCTGCATTCAAGTCACAGAGTTGAACATTCCCTTACTTTGAGCACGTTTGAAACACTCTTTTGGAAGAATCTGGAAGTGGACATTTGGAGCGCTTTGATGCCTTTGGTGAAAAGGAAACGTCTTCCAATAAATGCCAGACAGAAAGCATTCTCAGTAAACTTGTTCGTGATGTGTGTACTCAACTAAAAGAGTTGAACCTTTCTATTGATAGAGCAGTTTTGAAACACTCTTTTTGTGGATTCTGCAAGTGGATATTTGGATTGCTTTGAGGATTTCGTTGGAAGCGGGAATTCGTATAAACACTAGACAGCAGCATTCCCAGAAATTTCTTTCGGATATTTCCATTCAACTCATAGAGATGAACATCGCCTTTCATAGAGCACGTTTGAAACACTCTTTTTGTAGTTTGTGGAAGTGGACATTTCGATCGCCTTGACGCCTACGGTGAAAAAGGAAATATCTTCCCATAAAAAATAGACAGAAGCATTCTCAGAAACTTGTTGGTGATATGTGTCCTCAACTAACAGAGTTGAACTTTGCCATTGATAGAGAGCAGTTTTGAAACACTCTTTTTGTGGAATCTGCAAGTGGATATTTGGATAGCTTGGAGGATTTCGTTGGAAGCGGGAATTCAAATAAAAGGTAGACAGCAGGATTCTGAGAAACAAGTTTGTGATGTGTGTACTCAGCTAACAGAGTGGAACCTCTCTTTTGATGCAGCAGTTTGGAAACACTCTTTTTGTAGAAACTGTAAGTGGATATTTGGATTGCTCTAATGATTTCGTTGGAAACGGGAATATCATCATCTAAAATCTAGACAGAAGCACTCTCAGAAACTACTTTTTGATATCTGCATTCAAGTCATAGAGTTGAACATTCGCTTTCTTAGAGCACTTTTGAAACACTCTTTTTGTAGTATCTGGAAGTGGACATTTGGAGCTCTTTGATGCCTTTGGTGAAAAAGGAAATGTCTTCCCATAAAATCTAGAAAGAAGCTTTCTCAGAAACTTGTTTGTGATGTGTGTACCCAGCGAAAGGAGTTGAACATTTCTATTGATAGAGCAGTTTTGAAACACTCTTTTTGTGGAATCTGCAAGTGGATATTTGGATGGCTGGGAGGTTTTTGTTGGAAGCGGGAATTCAAATAAAAGGTAGACAGCAGCATTCTCAGAAATTTCTTTCTGATGTCTGCATTCAACTCATAGAGTTGAAGATTCCCTTTCATAGAGCAGGTTTGATACAGTCTTTCTGGAGTATCTGGATGTGGACATTTGGAGCGCTTTGATGCCTACGGTGAAAAAGTAAATATCTTCCCATAAAAACGAGACAGAAGGATTCTCAGAAACAAGTTTGTAATGTGTGTACTCAGCTAACAGAGTGGAACCTTTCTTTTTACAGAGCAGCTTTGAAACTCTATTTTTGTGGATTCTGCAAATTGATATTTAGATTGCTTTAACGATATCGTTGGAAAAGGGAATATCGTCATACAAAATCTAGACAGAAGCATTCTCACAAACTTCTTTGTGATGTGTGTCCTCAACTAACAGAGTTGAACCTTTCTTTTGATGCAGCAATTTGGAAACACCCTTTTGGTAGAAACTGTAACTGGATATTTGGATAGCTCTAGCGATTTCGTTGGAAACGGGAATATCATCATCTAAAATGTAGACAGAAAGCACTATTAGAAACTACTTGGTGATATCTGCATTCAAGTCACAGAGTTGAACATTCCCTTACTTCGAGCACGTTTGAAACACTCTTTTGGAAGAATCTGGAAGTGGACATTTGGAGCGCTTTGATGCCTTTGGTGAAAAGGAAACGTCTTCCAATAAAAGCCAGACAGAAGCATTCTCAGAAACTTGTTCATGATGTGTGTACTCAACTAAAAGAGTTGAACCTTTCTATTGATAGCGCAGTTTTGAAACACTCTTTTTGTGGATTCTGCAAGTGGATATTTGGATTGCTTTGAGGATTTCGTTGGAAGCGGGAATTCATATAAAAACTAGACAGCAGCATTCCCAGAAATTTCTTTCGGATATTTCCATTCAACTCATAGAGATGAACATGGCCTTTCATAGAGCAGGTTTGAAACACTCTTTTTGTAGTTTGTGGAAGTGGACATTTCGATCGCCTTGACGCCTACGCTGAAAAAGGAAATATCTTCCCATAAAAAATAGACAGAAGCATTCTCAGAAACTTGTTGGTGATATGTGTCCTCAACTAACAGAGTTGAACTTTGCCATTGATAGAGAGCAGTTTTGAAACACTCTTTTTGTGGAATCTGCAAGTGGATATTTGGATAGCTTGGAGGATTTCGTTGGAAGCGGGAATTCAAATAAAGGTAGACAGCAGCATTCTCAGAAATTTCTTTCTGATGTCTGCATTCAACTCATAGAGTTGAAGATTCCCTTTCATAGAGCACGTTTGAAACCCTCTTTCTGGAGTATCTGGATGTGGACATTTGGAGCGCTTTGATGCCTACGGTGAGAAAGTAAATATCTTCCCATAAAAACGAGACAGAAGGATTCTGAGAAACAAGTTTGTGATGTGTGTACTCAGCTAACAGAGTGGAACCTCTCTTTTGATGCAGCAGTTTGGAAACACTCTTTTTGTAGAGACTGTAAGTGGATATTTGGATAGCTCTAATGATTTCGTTGGAAACGGGAATATCATCATCTAAAATCTAGACAGAAGCCCTCTCAGAAAACTACTTTGTGATATCTGCATTCAAGTCACAGAGTTGAACATTCGCTTTCTTAGAGCACGTTGGAAACACTCTTTTTGTAGTGTCTGGAAGTGGACATTTGGAGCGCTTTGATGCCTTTGTTGAAAAAGGGAACGTCTTCCCATAAAAACTAGACAGATAAGCATTCTCAGAAACTTGTTTGTGATGTGTGTACCCAGCCAAAGGAGTTGAACATTTCTATTGATAGAGCAGTTTTGAAACGCTCTTTTTGTGGAAAATGCAGGTGGATATTTGGATAGCTTGGAGGATTTCGTTGGAAGCGGGAATTCAAATAAAAGGTAGACAGCAGCATTCTCAGAAATTTCTTTCTGATGTCTGCATTCAAGTCATAGAGTTGAAGATTCCCTTTCATAGAGCAGGTTTGAAACAGTCTTTCTGGAGTATCTGGATGTGGACATTTGGAACGCTTTGATGCCTACGGTGGAAAAGTAAATATCTTCCCATAAAAACGAGACAGAAGGATTCTCAGAAACAAGTTTGTGATGTGTGTACTCAGCTAACAGAGTGGAACCTTTCTTTTTACAGAGCAGCTTTGAAACTCTATTTTTGTGGATTCTGCAAATTGATATTTAGATTGCTTTAACTATATCGTTGGAAAAGGGAATATGGTCATACAAAATCTAGACAGAAGCATTCTCACAAACTTCTTTGTGATGTGTGTCCTCAACTAACAGAGTTGAACCTTTCTTTTGATGCAGCAGTTTGGAAACACTCTTTTTGTAGAAACTGTAAGTGGATATTTGGATAGCTCTAACGATTTCGCTGGAAACGGGAATATCGTCATCTAAAATCTAGACAGAAGCCCTCTCAGAAACTACTTTGTGATATCTGCATTCAAGTCACAGAGTTGAACATTCGCTTTCTTAGAGCACGTTTGAAACACTCTTTTTGTAGTGTCTGGAAGTGGACATTTGGAGCGCTTTGATGCCTTTGTTGAAAAAGGGAATGTCTTCCCATAAAAACTAGACAGAAGCATTCTCAGAAACTTGTTTGTGATGTGTGTACCCAGCCAAAGGAGTTGAACATTTCTATTGATAGAGCAGTTTTGAAACACTCTTGTTGTGGAAAATGCAGGTGGATATTTGGATAGCTTGGAGGATTTCTTTGGAAGCGGGAATTCAAATAAAAGGTAGACAGCAGCATTCTCAGAAATTTCTTTCTGATGTCTGCATTCAACTCATAGAGTTGAAGATTCCCTTTCATAGAGCAGGTTTGAAACACTCCTTCTGGAGTATCTGGATGTGGACATTTGGAGCGCTTTGATGCCTACGGTGAAAAAGTAAATATCTTCCCAGAAAAACGAGACAGAAGGATTCTCAGAAACAAGTTTGTGATGTGTGTACTCAGCTAAAAGAGTGGAACCTTTCTTTTTACAGAGCAGCTTTGAAACTCTATTTTTGTGGATTCTGCAAATTGATATTTAGATTGTTTTAACGATATCGTTGGAAAAGGGAATATCGTCATACAAAATCTAGACAGAAGCATTCTCACAAACTTCTTTGTGATGTGTGTCCTCAACTAACAGAGTTGAAGCTTTCTTTTGATGCAGCAATTTGGAAACACCCTTTTGGTAGAAACTGTAACTGGATATTTGGATAGCTCTAACGATTTCGTTGGAAACGGGAATATCATCATCTAAAATCTAGACAGAAGCACTATTAGAAACTACTTGGTGATATCTGCATTCAAGTCACAGAGTTGAACATTCCCTTACTTTGAGCACGTTTGAAACACTCTTTTGGAAGAATCTGGAAGTGGACATTTGGAGCGCTTTGATGCCTTTTGTGAAAAGGAAACGTCTTCAAATAAAAGCCAGACAGAAGCGTTCTCAGAAACTTGTTCGTGATGTGTGTACTCAACTAAAAGAGTTGAACCTTTCTATTGATAGAGCAGTTTTGAAACACTCTTTTTGTGGATTCTGCAAGTGGATATTGGGATTGCTTTGAGGATTTCGTTGGAAGCGGGAATTCGTATAAAAACTAGACAGCAGCATTCCCAGAAATTTCTTTCGGATATTTCCATTCGACTCATAGAGATGAACATGGCCTTTCATAGAGCAGGTTTGAAACACTCTTTTTGTAGTTTGTGGAAGTGGACATTTCGATCGCCTTGACGCCTACGGTGAAAAAGGAAATATCTTCCCATAAAAAATAGACAGAAGCATTCTCAGAAACTTGTTGGTGATATGTGTCCTCAACTAACAGAGTTGAACTTTGCCATTGATAGAGAGCAGTTTTGAAACACTCTTTTTGTGGAATCTGCAAGTGGATATTTGGATAGCTTGGAGGATTTCGTTGGAAGCGGGAATTCAAATCAAAGGTAGACAGCAGCATTCTCAGAAATTACTTTCTGATGTCTGCATTCAACTCATAGAGTTGAAGATTCCCTTTCATAGAGCAGGTTTGAAACACTCTTTCTGTAGTACCTGGATGTGGACATTTGGAGCGCTTTGATACCTACGGTGAAAAAGTAAATATCTTCCCATAAAAACTAGACAGAAGGATTCTGAGAAACAAGTTTGTGATGTGTGTACTCAGCTAACAGAGTGGAACCTCTCTTTTGATGCAGCAGTTTGGAAACACTCTTTTTGTAGAAACTGTAAGTGGATATTTGGATAGCTCTAATGATTTCGTTGGAAACGGGAATATAATCATCTAAAATCTAGACAGAAGCAGTCTCAGAAACTACTTTGTGATATCTGCATTCCAGTCACAGAGTTGAAAACTCCCTTACTTAGAGCAGGTTTGAAACACACTTTTTGTAGAATCTGGAAGTGGACATTTGGAGCGCTTTGATGCCTTTGGTGAAAAAGGAAATGTCTTCCCTTAAAAAGTAGACAGAATCATTCTCAGAAACTTGTTTGTGATGTGTGTACCCAGCTAAAGGAGTTGAACTTTGCCATTGATAGAGAGCAGTTTTGAAACCCTCTTTTTGTGGAAAATGCAAGTGGGTATTTGGATAGCTTGGAGGATTTCGTTGGAAGCGGGAATTCAAATAAAAGGTAGACAGCAGCATTCTCAGAAATTTCTTTCTGATGTGTGCATTCAACTCATAGAGTTGAAGATTCCCTTTCATAGAGCAGGTTTGAAACACTCTTTCTGGAGTATCTGGATGTGGACATTTGGAGCGCTTTGATGCCTACGGTGGAAAAGTAAATATCTTCCCATAAAAACGAGACAGAAGGATTCTGAGAAACAAGTTTGTGATGTGTGTACTCAGCTAACAGAGTGGAACCTCTCTTTTGATGCAGCAGTTTGGAAACACTCTTTTTGTAGAAACTCTAAGTGGATATTTGGATAGCTCTAATGATTTCGTTGGAAACGGGAATATCATCATCTAAAATCTAGACAGAAGCACTCTCAGAAACTACTGTGTGATATCTGCATTCAAGTCACAGAGTTGAACATTCGCTTTCTTAGAGCACGTTTGAAACACTCTTTTTGTAGTGTCTGGAAGTGGACATTTGGAGCGCTTTGATGTCTTTGGTGAAAAAGGGAATGTCTTCCCATAAAAACTAGACAGAAGCATTCTCAGAGACTTGTTTGTGATGTGTGTACCCAGCCAAAGGAGTTGAACATTTCTATTGATAGAGCAGTTTTGAAACACTCTTTTTGTGGAAAATGCAGGTGGATATTTGGATAGCTTGGAGGATTTCGTTGGAAGCGGGAATTCAAATAAAAGTTAGACAGCAGCATTCTCAGAAATTTCTTTCTGATGTCTGCATTCAAGTCATAGAGTTGAAGATTCCCTTTCATAGAGCAGGTTTGAAACACTCGTTCTGGAGTATCTGGATGTGGACATTTGGAGCGCTTTGATGCCTACGGTGGAAAAGTAAATATCTTCCCATAAAAACGAGACAGAAGGATTCTCAGAAACAAGTTTGTGATGTGTGTACTCAGCTAACAGAGTGGAACCTTTATTTTTACAGAGCAGCTTTGAAACTCTATTTTCGTGGATTCTGCAAATTGATATTTAGATTGCTTTAACGATATCGTTGGAAAAGGGAATATCGTCATACAAAATACTAGACAGAAGCATTCTCACAAACTTCTTTGTGATGTGTGTCCTCAACTAACAGAGTTGAACCTTTCTTTTGATGCAGCAGTTTGGAAACACTCTTTTTGTAGAAACTGTAAGTGGATATTTGGATAGCTCTAACGATTTTGTTGGAAACGGGAATATCATCATCTAAAATCTAGACAGAAGCACTATTAGAAACTACTTGGTGATATCTGCATTCAAGTCACAGAGTTGAACATTCCCTTACTTTGAGCACGTTTGAAACACTCTTTTGGAAGAATCTGGAAGTGGACATTTGGAGCGCTTTGATGCCTTTGTTGAAAAGGAAACGTCTTCCAATAAAAGCCAGACAGAAGCATTCTGAGAAACTTGTTCGTCATGTGTGTACTCAACTAAAAGAGTTGAACCTTTCTATTGATAGAGCAGTTTTGAAACACTCTTTTTGTGGATTCTGCAAGTGGATATTTGGATTGCTTTGAGGATTTCGTTGGAAGCGGGAATTCGTATAAACACTAGACAGCAGCATTCCCAGAAATTTCTTTCGGATATTTCCATTCACCTCATAGAGATGAACATGGCCTTTCAGAGAGCAGGTTTGAAACACTCTTTTTGTAGTTTGTGGAAGTGGACATTTCGATCGCCTTGACGCCTACGGTGAAAAAGGAAATATCTTCCCATAAAATATAGACAGAAGCATTCTCAGAAACTTGTTGGTGATATGTGTCCTCAACTAACAGAGTTGAACTTTGCCATTGATAGAGAGCAGTTTTGAAACACTCTTTTTGTGGAATCTGCAAGTGGATATTTGGATAGCTTGGAGGATTTCGTTGGAAGCGGGAATTCAAATAAAAGGTAGACAGCAGCATTCTCAGAAATTTCTTTGTGATGTCTGCATTCAACTCATGGAGTTGAAGATTCCCTTTCATAGAGCAGGTTTGAAACACTCTTTCTGGAGTATCTGGATGTGGACATTTGGAGCGCTTTGATGCCTACGGTGGAAAAGTAAATATCTTCCCATAAAAACGAGACAGAAGGATTCTGAGAAACAAGTTTGTGATGTGTGTACTCAGCTAACAGAGTGGAACCCTTTCTTTTTACAGAGCAGCTTTGAAACTCTATTTTTGTGGATTCTGCAAATTGATATTTAGATTGCTTTAACGATATCGTTGGAAAACGGAATATCGTCATACAAAATCTAGACAGAAGCATTCTCACAAACTTCTTTGTGATGTGTGTCCTCAACTAACAGAGTTGAACCTTTCTTTTGATGCAGCAGTTTGGAAACACTCTTTTTGTAGAAACTGTAAGTGGATATTTGGATAGCTCTAACGATTTCGTTGGAAACGGGAATATCATCATCTAAAACCTAGACAGAAGCACTATTAGAAACTACTTGGTGATATCTGCATTCAAGTCACAGAGTTGAACATTCCCTTACTTTGAGCACGTTTGAAACACTCTTTTGGAAGAATCTGGAAGTGGACATTTGGAACGCTTTGATGCCTTTGGTGAAAAGGAAACGTCTTCCAATAAAAGCCAGACAGAAGCATTCTCAGAAAATTGTTTGTGATGTGTGTACTCAACTAAAAGAGTTGAACCTTTCTATTGATAGAGCAGTTTTGAAACACTCTTTTTGTGGATTCTGCAAGTGGATATTTGGATTGCTTTGAGGATTTCGTTGGAAGCGGGAATTCGTATAAAAACTAGACAGCAGCATTCCCAGAAATTTCTTTCGGATATTTCCATTCGACTCATAGAGATGAACATGGCCTTTCATAGAGCAGGTTTGAAACACTCTTTTTGTAGTTTGTGGAAGTGGACATTTCGATCGCCTTGACGCCTACGGTGAAAAAGGAAATATCTTCCCATAAAAAATAGACAGAAGCATTCTCAGAAACTTGTTTGTGATGTGTGTACCCAGCTAAAGGAGTTGAACATTTCTATTGATAGAGCAGTTTTGAAACACTCTTTTTGTGGAAAATGCAAGTGGATATTTGGATAGCTTGGAGGATTTCGTTGGAAGCGGGAATTCAAATAAAAGGTAGCAGCATTCTCAGAAATTTCTTTCTGATGTCTGCATTCAACTCATAGAGTTGAAGATTCCCTTTCATAGAGCAGGTTTGAAACACTCTTTCTGGAGTATCTGGATGTGGACATTTGGAGCGCTTTGATGCCTACGGTGAAAAAGTAAATATCTTCCCATAAAAACGAGACAGAAGGATTCTCAGAAACAAGTTTGTGATGTGTGTACTCAGCTAACAGAGTGGAACCTTTCTTTTTATAGAGCAGCTTTGAAACTCTATTTTTGTGGATTCTGCAAATTGATATTTAGATTGCTTTAACGATATCGTTGGAAAAGGGAATATCGTCATACAAAATCTAGACAGAAGCATTCTCACAAACTTCTTTGTTATGTGTGTCCTCAACTAACAGTAGTTGAACCTTTCTTTTGATGCAGCAGTTTGGAAACACTCTTTTTGTAGAAACTGTAAGTGGATATTTGGATAGCTCTAACGATTTCGTTGGAAACGGGAATATCATCATCTAAAATCTAGACAGAAGCACTGTTAGAAACTACTTGGTGATATCTGCATTCAAGTCAAAGAGTTGAACATTCCCTTACTTTGAGCACGTTTGAAACACTCTTTTGGAAGAATCTGGAAGTGGACATTTGGAGCGCTTTGATGCCTTTGGTGAAAAGGAAACGTCTTCCAATAAAAGCCAGACAGAAGCATTCTCAGAAACTTGTTTGTGATGTGTGTACTCAACTAAAAGAGTTGAACCTTTCTATTGATAGAGCAGTTTTGAAACACTCTTTTTGTGGATTCTGCAAGTGGATATTTGGATTGCTTTCAGGAATTCGTTGGAAGCGGGAATTCGTATAAAAACTAGACAGCAGCATTCCCAGAAATTTCTTTCGGATATTTCCATTCGACTCATAGAGATGAACATGGCCTTTCATAGAGCAGGTTTGAAACACTCTTTTTGTAGTTTGTGGAAGTGGACATTTCGATCGCCTTGACGCCTACGGTGAAAAAGGAAATATCTTCCCATAAAAAATAGACAGAAGCATTCTCAGAAACTTGTTGGTGATATGTGTCCTCAACTAACAGAGTTGAACTTTGCCATTGATAGAGAGCAGTTTTGAAACACTCTTTTTGTGGAATCTGCAAGTGGATATTTGGATAGCTTGGAGGATTTCGTTGGAAGCGGGAATTCAAATAAAAGTTAGACAGCAGCATTCTCAGAAATTTCTTTCTGATGTCTGCATTCAACTCATAGAGTTGAAGATTCCCTTTCATAGAGCAGGTTTGAAACACTCTTTCTGGAGTATCTGGATGTGGACATTTGGAGCGCTTTGATGCCTACGGTGAAAAAGTAAATATCTTCCCATAAAATCGAGACAGAAGGATTCTGAGAAACAAGTTTGTGATGTGTGTACTCAGCTAACAGAGTGGAAACCTCTTTTGATGCAGCAGTTTGGAAACACTCTTTTTGTAGATACTGTAAGTGGATATTTGTATAGCTCTAATGATTTCGTTGGAAACGGGAATATCATCATCTAAAATCTAGACAGAAGCCCTCTCAGAAACTACTTTGTGATATCTGCATTCAAGTCACAGAGTTGAACATTCGCTTTCTTAGAGCACGTTTGAAACACTCTTTTTGTAGTGTCTGGAAGTGGACATTTGGAGTGCTTTGATGCCTTTGGTGAAAAAGGGAACGTCTTCCCATAAAAACTAGACAGAAGCATTCTCAGAAACTTGTTTGTGATGTGTGTACCCAGCTAAAGGAGTTGAACATTTCTATTGATAGAGCAGTTTTGAAACACTCTTTTTGTGGAAAATGCAGGGGGATATTTGGATAGCTTGGAGGATTTCGTTGGAAGCGGGAATTCAAATAAAAGGTAGACAGCAGCATTCTCAGAAATTTCTTTCTGATGTCTGCATTCAACTCATAGAGTTGAAGATTCCCTTTCATAGAGCAGGTTTGAAACACTCTTTCTGGAGTATCTGGATGTGGACCTTTGGAGCGCTTTGATGCCTACGGTGAAAAAGTAAATATCTTCCATAAAAACGAGACAGAAGGATTCTCAGAAACAAGTTTGTGATGTGTGTACTCAGCTAACAGAGTGGAACCTTTCTTTTTACAGAGCAGCTTTGAAACTCTATTTTTGTGGATTCTGCAAATTGATATTTAGATTGCTTTAACGATATCGTTGGAAAAGAGAATATGGTCATACAAAATCTAGACAGAAGCATTCTCACAAACAGCTTTGTGACGTGTGTCCTCAACTAACAGTAGTTGAACCTTTCTTTTGATGCAGCAGTTTGGAAACACCCTTTTGGTAGAAACTGTAAGTGGATATTTGGATAGCTCTAACGATTTCGTTGGAAACGGGAATATCATCATCTAAAATCTAGACAGAAGCACTATTAGAAACTACTTGGTGATATCTGCATTCAAGTCACAGAGTTGAACATTCCCTTACATTGAGCACGTTTGCAACACTCTTTTGGAAGAATCTGGAAGTGGACATTTGGAGCGCTTTGATGCCTTTGGTGAAAAGGAAACGTCTTCCAATAAAAGCCAGACAGAAGCATTCTCAGAAACTTGTTTGTGATGTGTGTACTCAACTAAAAGAGTTGAAACTTTCTATTGATAGAGCAGTTTTGAAACACTCTTTTTGTGGATTCTGCAAGTGGATATTTGGATTGCTTTGAGGATTTCGTTGGAAGCGGGAATTCGTATAACAACTAGACAGCAGCATTCCCAGAAATTTCTTTCGGATATTTCCATTCGACTCATAGAGATGAACATGGCCTTTCATAGAGCAGGTTTGAAACACTCTTTTTGTAGTTTGTGGAAGTGGACATTTCGATCGCCTTGACGCCTACGGTGAAAAAGGAAATATCTTCCCATAAAAAATAGACAGAAGCATTCTCAGAAACTTGTTGGTGATATGTGTCCTCAACTAACAGAGTTGAACTTTGCCATTGATAGAGAGCAGTTTTGAAACACTCTTTTTGTGGAATCTGCAAGTGGATATTTGGATAGCTTGGAGGATTTCGTTGGAAGCGGGAATTCAAATAAAAGGTAGACAGCAGCATTCTCAGAAATTTCTTTCTGATGTCTGCATTCAACTCATAGAGTTGAAGATTCCCTTTCATAGAGCAGGTTTGAAACACTCTTTCTGGAGTATCTGGATGTGGACATTTGGAGCGCTTTGATGCCCACGGTGAAAAAGTAAATATCTTCCCAGAAAAACGAGACAGAAGGATTCTGAGAAACAAGTTTGTGATGTGTGTACTCAGCTAACAGAGTGGAACCTTTCTTTTTACAGAGCAGCTTTCAAACTCTTTTTTTGTGGATTCTGCAAATTGATATTTAGATTGCTTTAACGATATCGTTGGAAAAGGGAATATGGTCATACAAAATCTAGACAGAAGCTTTCTCAGAAACTTCTTTGTGATGTGTGTCCTCAACTCACAGAGTTGAACCTTTCTTTTGATGCAGCAGTTTGGAAACACTCTTCTTGTAGAAACTGTTAGTGGATATTTGGATAGGTCTAACGATATCGTTGGAAACGGAAATATCTTCATCTAAAGTATACACAGAAGCACTATTAGAAACTACTTGGTGATATCTGCATTCAAGTCACAGAGTTGAACATTCCCTTACTTCGACCACGTTTGAAACACTCTTTTGGAAGAATCTGGAAGTGGACATTTGGAGCGCTTTGATGCCTTTGGTGAAAACGAAACGTCTTCCAATAAAAGCCAGACAGAAGCATTCTCAGAAACTTGTTTGTGATGAGTGTACTCAACTAAAAGAGTTGAACCTTTCTATTGATAGAGCAGTTTTGAAACACTCTTTTTGTGGATTCTGCAAGTGGATATTTGGATTGCTTTGAGGATTTCGTTGGAAGCGGGAATTCGTATAAAAACTAGACAGCAGCATTCCCAGAAATTTCTTTCGGATATTTCCATTCAACTCATAGAGATGAACATGGCCTTTGCATAGAGCAGGTTTGAAACACTCTTTTTGTAGTTTGTGGAAGTGGACATTTCGATCGCCTTGACGCCTACGGTGAAAAAGGAAATATCTTCCCATAAAAAATAGACAGAAGCATTCTCAGAAACTTGTTGGTGATATGTGTCCTCAACTAACAGAGTTGAACTTTGCCATTGATAGAGAGCAGTTTTGAAACACTCTTTTTGTGGAATCTGCAAGTGGATATTTGGATAGCTTGGAGGATTTCGTTGGAAGCGGGAATTCAAATAAAAGGTAGACAGCAGCATTCTCAGAAATTTCTTTCTGATGTCTGCATTCAACTCATAGAGTTGAAGATTCCCTTTCATAGAGCAGGTTTGAAACACTCTTTCTGGAGTATCTGGATGTGGACATTTGGAGCGCTTTGATGCCTACGGTGAAAAAGTAAATATCTTCCCAGAAAAACGACACAGAAGGATTCTGAGAAACAAGTTTGTGATGTGTGTACTCAGCTAACAGAGTGGAACCTCTCTTTTGATGCAGCAGTTTGGAAATACTCTTTTTGTAGAAACTGTAAGTGGATATTTGGATAGCTCCTAATGATTTCGTTGGAAACGGGAATATCATCATGCTAAAATACTAGACAGAAAGCCCTCTCAGAAACTACTTTGTGATATCTGCATTCAAGTCACAGAGTTGAACATTCGCTTTCTTAGAGCACGTTTGAAACACTCTTTTTGTAGTGTCTGGAAGTGGACATTTGGAGCGCTTTGATGTCTTTGGTGAAAAAGGGAATGTCTTCCCATAAAAACTAGACAGAAGGATTCTCAGAAACTTGTTTGTGATGTGTGTACCCAGCTAAAGGAGTTGAACATTTCTATTGATAGAGCAGTTTTGAAACACTCTTTTTGTGGAATCTGCAGGTGGATATTTGGATAGCTTGGAGGATTTCGTTGGAAGCGGGAATTCAAATAAAAGGTAGACAGGAGCATTCTCAGAAATTTCTTTCTGATGTCTGCATTCAACTCATAGAGTTGAAGATTCCCTTTCATAGAGCAGGTTTGAAACACTCGTTCTGGAGTATCTGGATGTGGACATTTGGAGCGCTTTGATGCCTACGGTGGAAAAGTATATATCTTCCCATAAAAACGAGACAGAAGGATTCTCAGAAACAAGTTTGCGATGTGTGTACTCAGCTAACAGAGTGGAACCTTTCTTTTTACAGAGCAGCTTTGAAACTCTATTTTTGTGGATTCTGCAAATTGATATTTAGATTGCTTTAACGATATCGTTGGAAAAGGGAATATCGTCATACAAAATCTAGACAGAAGCATTCTCACAAACTTCCTTGTGATGTGTGTCCTCAACTAACAGAGTTGAACCTTTCTTTTGATGCAGCAGTTTGGAAACACTCTTTTTGTAGAAACTGTAAGTGGATATTTGGATAGCTCTAACGATTTCGTTGGAAACGGGAATATCATCATCTAAAATCTAGACAGAAGCACTATTAGAAACTACTTGGTGATATCTGCATTCAAGTCAAACAGTTGAACATTCCCTTACTTTGAGCACGTTTGAAACACTCTTTTGGAAGAATCTGGAAGTGGACATTTGGAGCGCTTTGATGCCTTTGGTGAAAAGGAAACGTCTTCCAATAAAAGCCAGACAGAAGCATTCTCAGAAACTTGTTCGTGATGTGTGTACTCAACTAAAAGAAGTTGAACCTTTCTATTGATAGAGCAGTTTTGAAACACTCTTTTTGTGGATTCTGCAAGTGGATATTTGGATTGCTTTGAGGATTTCGTTGGAAGCGGGAATTCGTATAAACACTAGACAGCAGCATTCCCAGAAATTTCTTTCGGATATTTCCATTCAACTCATAGAGATGAACATGGCCTTTCATAGAGCAGGTTTGAAACACTCTTTTTGCAGTTTGTGGAAGTGGACATTTCGATCGCCTTGACGCCTACGCTGAAAAAGGAAATATCTTCCCATAAAAAATAGACAGAAGCATTCTCAGAAACTTGTTGGTGATATGTGTCCTCAACTAACAGAGTTGAACTTTCCCATTGATAGAGAGCAGTTTTGAAACACTCTTTTTGTGGACTCTGCAAGTGGATATTTGGATAGCTTGGAGGATTTCGTTGGAAGCGGGAATTCAAATAAAAGGTAGACAGCAGCATTCTCAGAAATTTCTTTCTGATGTCTGCATTCAACTCATAGAGTTGAAGATTCCCTTTCATAGAGCAGGTTTGAAACACTCTTTCTGGAGTATCTGGATGTGGACATTTGGAGAGCTTTGATGCCTACGGTGAGAAAGTAAATATCTTCCCATAAAAACGTGACAGAAGGATTCTCAGAAACAAGTTTGTGATGTGTGTACTCAGCTAACAGAGTGGAACCTTTCTTTTTACAGAGCAGCTTTGAAACTCTATTTTTGTGGATTCTGCAAATGGATATTTAGATTGCTTTAACGATATCGCTGGAAAAGGGAATATGGTCATACAAAATACTAGACAGAAGCTTTCTCAGAAACTTCTTTGTGATGCGTGTCCTCAACTAACAGAGTTGAACCTTTCTTTTGATGCAGCAGTTTGGAAACACTCTTTTTATAAAAACTGTAAGTGGATATTTGGGTAGGTCTAACGATATCGTTGGAAACGGGGATATCTTCATCTAAAGTATACACAGAAACACTATTAGAAACTACTTGGTGATATCTGCATTCAAGTCACAGAGTTGAACATTCCCTTACTTTGAGCACGTTTGAAACACTCTTTTGGAAGAATCTGGAAGTGGACATTTGGAGCGCTTTGATGCCTTTGGTGAAAAGGAAACGTCTTCCAATAAAAGCCAGACAGAAAGCATTCTCAGTAAACTTGTTTGTGATGTGTGTACTCAACTAAAAGAGTTGAACCTTTCTATTGATAGAGCAGTTTTGAAACACTCTTTTTGTGGATTCTGCAAGTGGATATTTGGATTGCTTTGAGGATTTCGTTGGAAGCGGGAATTCATATAAAAACTAGACAGCAGCATTCCCAGAAATTTCTTTCGGATATTTCCATTCAACTCATAGAGATGAATATGGCCTTTCATAGAGCAGGTTTGAAACACTCTTTTTGTAGTTTGTGGAAGTGGACATTTCGATCGCCTTGACGCCTACGGTGAAAAAGGAAATATCTACCCATAAAAAATAGACAGAAGCATTCTCAGAAACTTGTTGGTGATATGTGTCCTCAACTAACAGAGTTGAACTTTGCCATTGATAGAGAGCAGTTTTGAAACACTCTTTTTGTGGAATCTGCAAGTGGATATTTGGATAGCTTGGAGGATTTCGTTGGAAGCGGGAATTCAAATAAAAGGTAGACAGCAGCATTCTCAGAAATTTCTTTCTGATGTCTGCATTCAACTCATAGAGTTGAAGATTCCCTTTCATAGAGCAGGTTTGAAACACTCTTTCTGGAGTATCTGGATGTGGACATTTGGAGCGCTTTGATGCCTACGGTGAAAAAGTAAATATCTTCCCATAAAAACGACACAGAAGGATTCTGAGAAACAAGTTTGTGATGTGTGTACTCAGCTAACAGAGTGGAACCTCTCTTTTGATGCAGCAGTTTGGAAACCCTCTTTTTGTAGAAACTGTAAGTGGATATTTGGATAGCTCTAATGATTTCGTTGGAAACGGGAATATCATCATCTAAAATCTAGACAGAAGCACTCTCAGAAACTACTTTGTGATATCTGCATTCAAGTCACAGAGTTGAACATTCGCTTTCTTAGAGCACTTTTGAAACACTCTTTTTGTATATCTGGAAGAGGACATTTGGAGCTCTTTGATGCCTTTGGTGAAAAAGGAAATGTCTTCCCATAAAAACTAGACAGAAGCATTCTCAGAAAGTTGATTGTGATGTGTGCACCCAGCTAAAGGAGTTGAACATTTATTGATAGAGCAGTTTTGAAGCACTCTTTTTGTGGAAAATGCAAGTGGATATTTGGATAGCTTGGAGGATTTCGTTGGAAGCGGGAGTTCAAATAAAAGGTAGACAGCAGCATTCTCAGAAATTACTTTCTGATGTCTGCATTCAACTCATAGAGTTGAAGATTCCCTTTCATAGAGCAGGTTTGAAACACTCTTTCTGTAGTATCTGGATGTGGACATTTGGAGCGCTTTGATACCTACGGTGAAAAAGGAAATATCTTCCCATAAAAACTAGACAGAAGGATTCTCAGAAACAAGTTTGTGATGTGTGTACTCAGCTAACAGATTGGAACCTTTCTTTTTACAGAGCAGCTTTGAAACTCTATTTTTGTGGATTCTGCAAATTGATATTTAGATTGCTTTAACGATATCGTTGGAAAAGGGAATATGGTCATACAAAATCTAGACAGAAGCATTCTCACAAACTTCTTTGTGATGTGTGTCCTCAACTAACAGAGTTGAACCTTTCTTTTGATGCAGCAGTTTGGAAACACTCTTTTTGTAGAAACTGTAAGTGGATATTTGGATACTTCTAACGATTTCGTTGGAAACGGGAATATCATCATCTAAAATCTAGACAGAAGCACTATTAGAAACTACTTGGTGATATCTGTATTCAAGTCACAGAGTTGAACATTCCCTTACTTTGAGCACGTTTGAAACACTCTTTTGGAAGAATCTGGAAGTGGACATTTGGAGCGCTTTGATGCCTTTGGTGAAAAGGAAACGTCTTCCAATAAAAGCCAGACAGAAGCATTCTCAGAAACTTGTTTGTGATGTGTGTACTCAACTAAAAGAGTTGAACCTTTCTATTGATAGAGCAGTTTTGAAACACTCTTTTTGTGGATTCTGCAAGTGGATATTTGGATTGCTTTGAGGATTTCATTGGAAGCGGGAATTCGTATAAAAACTAGACAGCAGCATTCCCAGAAATTTCTTTCGGATATTTCCATTCAACTCATTGAGATGAACATCGCCTTTCATAGAGCAGGTTTGAAACACTCTTTTTGTAGTTTGTGGAAGTGGACATTTCGATCGCCGT
Organism: Homo sapiens; assembly: GCF_000001405.40. Lineage (NCBI taxonomy): Eukaryota > Metazoa > Chordata > Mammalia > Primates > Hominidae > Homo > Homo sapiens. The sequence goes on from NC_000022.11 coordinate 14,518,018, forward strand.
GACGCCTACAGTGAAAAAGGAAATATCTTCCCATAAACAATAGACAGAAGCATTCTCAGAAACTTGTTGGTGATATGTGTCCTCAACTAACAGAGTTGAACTTTGCCATTGATAGAGAGCAGTTTTGAAACACTCTTTTTGTGGAATCTGCAAGTGGATATTTGGATAGCTTGGAGGATTTCGTTGGAAGCGGGAATTCAAATAAAAGGTAGACAGCAGCATTCTCAGAAATTTCTTTCTGATGTCTGCATTCAACTCATAGAGTTGAAGATTCCCTTTCATAGAGCAGGTTTGAAACACTGTTTCTGGAGTATCTGGATGTGGACATTTGGAGCGCTTTGATGCCTACGGTGAGAAAGTAAATATCTTCCCATAAAAACGAGACAGAAGGATTCTGAGAAACAAGTTTGTGATGTGTGTACTCAGCTAACAGAGTGGAACCTCTCTTTTGATGCAGCAGTTTGGAAACACTCTTTTTGTAGAAACTGTAAGTGGATATTTGGATAGCTCTAATGATTTCGTTGGAAACGCGAATATCATCATCTAAAATCTAGACAGAAGCACTCTCAGAAACTACTTTTTGATATCTGCACTCAAGTCACAGAGTTGAACATTCGCTTTCTTAGAGCACTTTTGAAACACTCTTTTTGTAGTATCTGGAAGTGGACATTTGGAGCTCTTTGATGCCTTTGGTGAGAAAGGAAATGTCTTCCCATAAAAACTAGACAGAAGCATTCTCAGAAAGTTGTTTGTGATGTGTGTACCCAGCTAAAGGAGTTGAACATTTCTATTGATAGAGTAGTTTTGAAACACTCTTTTTGTGGAAAATGCAAGTGGATATTTGGATAGCTTGGAGGATTTCGTTGGAAGCGGGAATTCAAATAAAAGGTAGACAGCAGCAGCATTCTCAGAAATTTCTTTCTGATGTCTGCATTCAACTCATAGGGTTGAAGATTCCCTTTCATAGAGCAGGTTTGAAACACTCTTTCTGGAGTATCTGGATGTGGACATTTGGAGCGCTTTGATGCCTACGGTGAAAAAGTAAATATCTTCCCATAAAAACGAGACAGAAGGATTCTCAGAAACAAGTTTGTGATGTGTGTACTCAGCTAACAGAGTGGAACTTTTATTTTTACAGAGCAGCTTTGAAACTCTATTTTTGTGGATTCTGCAAATTGATATTTAGATTGCTTTAACGATATCGTTGGAAAAGGGAATATCGTCATACAAAATCTAGACAGAAGCATTCTCACAAACTTCTTTGTGATGTGTGTCCTCAACTAACAGAGTTGAACCTTTCTTTTGATGCAGCAATTTGGAAACACCCTTTTGGTAGAAACTGTAACTGGATATTTGCTTAGCTCTAACGATTTCGTTGGAAACGGGAATATCATCATCTGAAATCTAGACGGAAGCACTATTAGAAACTACTTGGTGATATCTGCATTCAAGTCACAGAGTTGAACATTACCTTACTTTGAGCACGTTTGAAACACTCTTTTGGAAGAATCTGGAAGTGGACATTTGGAGCGCTTTGATGCCTTTGGTGAAAAGGAAACGTCTTCCAATAAAAGCCAGACAGAAGCATTCTCAGAAACTTGTTCGTGATGTGTGTACTCAACTAAAAGAGTTGAACCTTTCTATTGATAGAGCAGTTTTGAAACACTCTTTTTGTGGATTCTGCAAGTGGATATTTGGATTGCTTTGAGGATTTCGTTGGAAGCGGGAATTCGTATAAACACTAGACAGCAGCATTCCCAGAAATTTCTTTCGGATATTTCCATTCAACTCATAGAGATGAACATGGCCTTTCATAGAGCAGGTTTGAAACACTCTTTTTGTAGTTTGTGGAAGTGGACATTTCGATAGCCTTGACGCCTACGGTGAAAAAGGAAATATCTTCCCATAAACAATAGACAGAAGCATTCTCAGAAACTTGTTGGTGATATGTGTCCTCAACTAACAGAGTTGAACTTTGCCATTGATAGAGAGCAGTTTTGAAACACTCTTTTTGTGGAATCTGCAAGTGGATATTTGGATAGCTTGGAGGATTTCGTTGGAAGCGGGAATTCAAATAAAAGGTAGACAGCAGCATTCTCAGAAATTTCTTTCTGATGTCTGCATTCAACTCATAGAGTTGAAGATTCCCTTTCATAGAGCAGGTTTGAAACACTCTTTCTGTAGTATCTGGATGTGGACATTTGGAGCGCTTTGATACATACGGTGAAAAAGGAAATATCTTCCCGTAAAAACTAGACAGAAGGATTCTCAGAAACAAGTTTGTGATGTGTGTACTCAGCTAATAGAGTGGATCCTTTCTTTTTACAGAGCAGCTTTGAAACTCTATTTCTGTGGATTCTGCAAATTGATATTTGGGTTGATTTAACGACATCGTTGGAAAAGGGAATATCTTCATACAAAATCTAGACAGAAGCATTCTCACAAACTTCTTTGTGATGTGTGTCCTCAACTAACAGAGTTGAACCTTTCTTTTGATGCAGCAGTTTGGAAACACCCTTTTGGTAGAAACTGTAAGTGGATATTTGGATAGCTCTAACGATTTCGTTGGAAACGGGAATATCATCATCTAAAATGCTAGACAGAAGCACTATTAGAAACTACTTGGTGATATCTGCATTCAAGTCACAGAGTTGAACATTCCCTTACTTTGAGCACGTTTGAAACACTCTTTTGGAAGAATCTGGAAGTGGACATTTGGAGCGCTTTGATGCCTTTGGTGAAAAGGAAACGTCTTCCAATAAAAGCCAGACAGAAGCATTCTCAGAAACTTGTTTGAGATGTGTGTACTCAACTAAAAGAGTTGAACCTTTCTATTGATAGAGCAGTTTTGAAACACTCTTTTTGTGGATTCTGCAAGTGGATATTTGGATTGCTTTGAGGATTTCGTTGGAAGCGGGAATTCGTATAACAACTAGACAGCAGCATTCCCAGAAATTTCTTTCGGATATTTCCATTCAACTCATAGAGATGAACATGGCCTTTCATAGAGCAGGTTTGAAACACTCTTTTTGTAGTTTGTGGAAGTGGACATTTCGATCGCCTTGACGCCTACGGTGAAAAAGGAAATATCTTCCCATAAAAAATAGACAGAAGCATTCTCAGAAACTTGTTGGTGATATGTGTCCTCAACTAACAGAGTTGAACTTTGCCATTGATAGAGAGCAGTTTTGAAACACTCTTTTTGTGGAATCTGCAAGTGGATATTTGGATAGTTTGGAGGATTTCGTTGGAAGCGGGAATTCAAATAAAAGGTAGACAGCAGCATTCTCAGAAATTTCTTTCTGATCTCTGCATTCAACTCATAGAGTTGAACATTCCCTTTCATAGGGCAGGTTTGAAATACTCTTTCTGTAGTATCTGGATGTGGACATTTGGAGCGCTTTGATGCCTACGGTGAAAAAGTAAATATCTTCCCATAAAAACGAGACAGAAGGATTCTGAGAAACAAGTTTGTGATGTGTGTACTCAGCTAACAGAGTGGAACCTCTGTTTTGATGCAGCAGTTTGGAAACACTCTTTTTGTAGAAACTGTAAGTGGATATTTGGATAGCTCTAATGATTTCGTTGGAAACGGGAATATCATCATCTAAAATCTAGACAGAAGCCCTCTCAGAAACTACTTTGTGATATCTGCATTCAAGTCACAGAGTTGAACATTCGCTTTCTTAGAGCACGTTGGAAACACTCTTTTTGTAGTGTCTGGAAGTGGACACTTGGAGCGCTTTGATGCCTTTGGTGAAAAAGGGAACGTCTTCCCATAAAAACTAGACAGAAGCATTCTCAGAAACTTGTTTGTGATGTGTGTACACAGCCAAAGGAGTTGAACATTTCTATTGATAGAGCAGTTTTGAAACACTCTTGTTGTGGAAAATGCAGGTGGATATTTGGATAGCTTGGAGGATTTCGTTGGAAGCGGGAATTCAAATAAAAGGTAGACAGCAGGATTCTGAGAGACAAGTTTGTGATGTGTGTACTCAGCTAACAGAGTGGAACCTTTCTTTTTACAGAGCAGCTTTGAAACTCTATTTTTGTGGATTCTGCAAATGGATATTTAGATTGCTTTAACGATATCGTTGGAAAAGGGAATATGGTCATACAAAATCTGGACAGAAGAATTCTCACAAACTTCTTTGTGATGTGTGTCCTCAACTAACAGAGTTGAACCTTTCTTTTGATGCAGCAGTTTGGAAACACCCTTTTGGTAGAAACTGTAAGTGGATATTTGGATAGCTCTAACGATTTCGTTGGAAACGGGAATATCATCATCTAAAATCTAGACAGAAGCACTATTAGAAACTTCTTGGTGATATCTGCATTCAAGTCACAGAGTTGAACATTCCCTTACTTCGAGCACGTTTGAAACACTCTTTTGGAAGAATCTGGAAGTGGACATTTGGAGCGCTTTGATGCCTTTGGTGAAAAGGAAACGTCTTCCAATAAAAGCCAGACAGAAGCATTACCAGAAATTTCTTTCGGATATTTCCATTCAACTCATAGAGAAGAACATGGCCTTTCATAGAGCAGGTTTGAAACACTCTTTTTGTAGTTTGTGGAAGTGGACATTTCGATCGCCTTGACGCCTACGGTGAAAAAGGAAATATCTTCCCATAAAAAATAGACAGAAGCATTCTCAGAAACTTGTTGGTGATATGTGTCCTCAACTAACAGAGTTGAACTTTGCCATTGATAGAGAGCAGTTTTGAAACACTCTTTTTGTGGAATCTGCAAGTGGATATTTGGATAGCTTGGAGGATTTCGTTGGAAGCGGGAATTCAAATAAAAGGTAGACAGCAGCATTCTCAGAAATTTCTTTCTGATGTCTGCATTCAACTCATAGAGTTGAAGATTCCCTTTCATAGAGCAGGTTTGAAACACTCTTTCTGGAGTATCTGGATGTGGACATTTGGAGCGCTTTGATGCCTACGGTGAAAAGTAAATATCTTCCCATAAAAACGAGACAGAGTATTCTCAGAAACAAGTTTGTGATGTGTGTACTCAGCTAACAGAGTGGATCCTTTCTTTTTACAGAGCAGCTTTGAAACTCTATTTCTGTGGATTCTGCAAATTGATATTTGGGTTGATTTAACGATATCGTTGGAAAAGGGAATATCTTCATACAAAATCTAGACAGAAGCATTCTCACAAACTTCTTTGTGACGTGTGTCCTCAACTAACAGAGTTGAACCTTTCTTTTGATGCAGCAGTTTGGAAACACTGTTTTTGTAGCAACTGTAAGTGGATATTTGGATAGATCTAACGATTTCGTTGGAAACGGGAATATCATCATCTAAAATCTAGACAGAAGCACTATTAGAAACTACTTGGTGATATCTGCATTCAAGTCACAGAGTAGAACATTCCCTTACTTCGACCACGTTTGAAACACTCTTTTGGAAGAATCTGGAAGTGGACATTTGGAGCACTTTGATGCCTTTGGTGAAAAGGAAACGTCTTCCAATAAAAGCCAGACAGAAGCATTCTCAGAAACTTGTTTGTGATGTGTGTACTCAACTAAAAGAGTTGAACCTTTCTATTGATAGAGCGGTTTTGAAACACTCTTTTTGTGGATTCTGCAAGTGGATATTTGGATTGCTTTGAGGATTTCGTTGGAAGCGGGAATTCATATAAAAACTAGACAGCAGCATTCCCAGAAATTTCTTTCGGATATTTCCATTCAACTCATTGAGATGAACATCGCCTTTCATAGAGCAGGTTTGAAACACTCTTTTTGTAGTTTGTGGAAGTGGACATTTCGATCTCCTTGACGCCTACAGTGAAAAAGGAAATATCTTCCCATAAAAAATAGACAGAAGCATTCTCAGAAACTTGTTTGTGATGTGTGCACCCAGCTAAAGGAGTTGAACATTTCTATTGATAGAGCAGTTTTGAAGCACTCTTTTTGTGGAAAATGCAAGTGGATATTTCGATAGCTTGGAGGATTTCGTTGGAAGCGGGAGTTCAAATAAAAGGTAGACAGCAGCATTCTCAGAAATTTCTTTCTGATGTCTGCATTCAACTCATAGAGTTGAAGATTCCCTTTCATAGAGCAGGTTTGAAACACTCTTTCTGGAGTATCTGGATGTGGACATTTGGAGCGCTTTGATGCCTACGGTGAAAAAGTAAATATCTTCCCAGAAAAACGAGACAGAAAGGATTCTCAGAAACAAGTTTGTGATGTGTGTACTCAGCTAACAGAGTGGAACCTTTCTTTTGACAGAGCAGCTTTGAAACTCTATTTTTGTGGATTCTGCAAATGGATATTTAGATTGCTTTAACGATATCGTTGGAAAAGGGAATATCGTCATACAAAATCTGGACAGAAGCTTTCTCAGAAACTTCTCTGTGATGTGTGTCCTCAACTCACAGAGTTGAACCTTTCTTTAGATGCAGCAGTTTGGAAACACTTTTTTTGTAGAAACTGTAAGTGGATATTTGGGTAGGTCTAACGATATCATTGGAAACGGGAATACCTTCATCTAAAGTATACACAGAAGCACTATTAGAAACTACTTGGTGATATCTGCATTCAAGTCACAGAGTTGAACATTCCCTTACTTTGAGCACGTTTGAAACACTCTTTTGGAAGAATCTGGAAGTGGACATTTGGAGCGCTTTGATGTCTTTGGTGAAAAGGAAACGTCTTCCAATAAAAGCCAGACAGAAGCATTCTCAGAAACTTGTTTGTGATGTGTGTACTCAACTAAAAGAGTTGAACCTTTCTATTGATAGAGCAGTTTTGAAACACTCTTTTTGTGGATTCTGCAAGTGGATATTTGGATTGCTTTGAGGATTTCGTTGGAAGCGGGAATTCGGTATAAAAACTAGACAGCAGCATTCCCAGAAATTTCTTTCGGATATTTCCATTCGACTCATAGAGATGAACATGGCCTTTCATAGAGCAGGTTTGAAACACTCTTTTTGTAGTTTGTGGAAGTGGACATTTCGATCGCCTTGACACCTACGGTGAAAAAGGAAATATCTTCCCATAAAAAATAGACAGAAGCATTCTCAGAAACTTGTTGGTGATATGTGTCCTCAACTAACAGAGTTGAACTTTGCCATTGATAGAGAGCAGTTTTGAAACACTCTTTTTGTGGAATCTGCAAGTGGATATTTGGATAGCTTGGAGGATTTCGTTGGAAGCGGGAATTCAAATAAAAGGTAGACAGCAGCATTCTCAGAAATTTCTTTCTGATGTCTGCATTCAACTCATAGAGTTGAACATTCCCTTTCATAGAGCAGGTTTGAAACACTCTTTCTGGAGTATCTGGATGTGGACATTTGGAGCACTTTGATGCCTACGGTGAAAAAGTAAATATCTTCCCATAAAAACGAGACAGAAGGATTCTCAGAAACAAGTTTGTGATGTGTGTACTCAGCTAACAGAGTGGAACCTTTCTTTTTACAGAGCAGCTTTGAAACTCTATTGTTGTGGATTCTGCAAATTGATATTTAGATTGCTTTAACGATATCATTGGAAAAGGGAATATCGTCATACAAAATCTAGACAGAAGCATTCTCACAAACTTCTTTGTGATGTGTGTCCTCAACTAACAGAGTTGAACTTTTCTTTTGATGCAGCAGTTTGGAAACACTGTTTTTGTAGAAACTGTAAGTGGATATTTGGATAGCTCTAACGATTTCATTGGAAACGGGAATATCATCATCTAAAATCTAGACAGAAACACTATTAGAAACTACTTGGTGATATCTGCATTCAAGTCACAGAGTTGAACATTCCCTTACTTTGAGCACGTTTCAAACACTCTTTTGGAAGAATCTGGAAGTGGACATTTGGAGCGCTTTGATGCCTTTGGTGAAAAGGAAACGTCTTCCAATAAAAGCCAGACAGAAGCATTCTCAGAAACTTGTTTGTGATGTGTGTACTCAACTAAAAGAGGTGAACCTTTCTATTGATAGAGCAGTTTTGAAACACTCTTTTTGTGGATTCTGCAAGTGGATATTTGGATTGCTTTGAGGATTTCGTTGGAAGCGGGAATTCATATAAAAACTAGACAGCAGCATTCCCAGAAATTTCTTTCGGATATTTCCATTCAACTCATAGAGGTGAACATGGCCTTTCATAGAGCAGGTTTGAAACACTCTTTTTGTAGTTTGTGGAAGTGGACATTTCGATCGCCTTGACGCCTACGCTGAAAAAGGAAATATCTTCCCATAAAAAATAGACAGAAGCATTCTCAGAAACTTGTTGGTGATATGTGTCCTCAACTAACAGAGTTGAACTTTGCCATTGATAGAGAGCAGTTTTGAAACACTCTTTTTGTGGAATCTGCAAGTGGATATTTGGATAGCTTGGAGGATTTCGTTGGAAGCGGGAATTCAAATAAAAGGTAGACAGCAGGATTCTGAGAAACAAGTTTGTGATGTGTGTACTCAGCTAACAGAGTGGAACCTTTCTTTTTACAGAGCAGCTTTGAAACTCTATTTTTGTGGATTCTGCAAATGGATATTTAGATTGCTTTAATGATATCGTTGGAAAAGGGAATATCGTCATACAAAATCTGGACAGAAGCATTCTCACAAACTTCTTTGTGATGTGTGTCCTCAACTAACAGAGTTGAACCTTTCTTTTGATGCAGCAGTTTGCAAACACCCTTTTGGTAGAAACTGTAACTGTATATTTGGATAGCTCTAACGATTTCGTTGGAAACGGGAATATCATCATCTAAAATCTAGACAGAAGCACTATTAGAAACTACTTGGTGATATCTGCATTCAAGTCACAGAGTTGAACATTCCCTTACTTTGAGTACGTTTCAAACACTCTTTTGGAAGAATCTGGAAGTGGACATTTGGAGCGCTTTGATGCCTTTGGTGAAAAGGAAACGTCTTCCAATAAAAGCCAGACAGAAGCATTCTCAGAAACTTTTTTGTGATGTGTGTACTCAACTAAAAGAGTTGAACCTTTCTATTGATAGAGCAGTTTTGAAACACTCTTTTTGTGGATTCTGCAAGTGGATATTTGGATTGCTTTGAGGATTTCGTTGGAAGCGGGAATTCATATAAACACTAGACAGCAGCATTCCCAGAAATTTCTTTCGGATATTTCCATTCGACTCATAGAGATGAACATGGCCTTTCATAGAGCAGGTTTGAAACACTCTTTTTGTAGTTTGTGGAAGTGGACATTTCGATCGCCTTGACGCCTACGGTGAAAAAGGAAATATCTTCCCATAAAAAATAGACAGAAGCATTCTCAGAAACTTGTTGGTGATATGTGTCCTCAACTAACAGAGTTGAACTTTGCCATTGATAGAGAGCAGTTTTGAAACACTCTTTTTGTGGAATCTGCAAGTGGATATTTGGATAGCTTGGAGGATTTCGTTGGAAGCGGGAATTCAAATAAAAGGTAGACAGCAGCATTCTCAGAAATTTCTTTCTGATGTCTGCATTCAACCTCATAGAGTTGAAGATTCCCTTTCATAGAGCAGGTTTGAAACACTCTTTCTGGAGTATCTGGATGTGGACATTTGGAGCGCTTTGATGCCTACGGTGAAAAAGTAAATATCTTCCCATAAAAACGACACAGAAGGATTCTCAGAAACAAGTTTGTGATGTGTGTACTCAGCTAACAGAGTGGAACCTCTCTTTTGATGCAGCAGTTTGGAAACACTCTTTTTGTAGAAACTGTAAGTGGATATTTGGATAGCTCTAATGATTTCGTTGGAAACGGGAATATCATCATCTAAAATCTAGACAGAAGCACTCTCAGAAACTACTTTTTGATATCTGCATTCAAGTCACAGAGTTGAACATGCGCTTTCTGAGAGCACTTTTGAAACACTCTTTTTGTAGTATCTGGAAGTGGACATTTGGAGCTCTTTGATGCCTTTGGTGAAAAAGGAAATGTCTTCCCATAAAAACTAGACAGAAGCATTCTCAGAAACTTGTTTGTGATGTGTGTACCCAGCCAAAGGAGTTGAACATTTCTATTGATAGAGCAGTTTTGAAACACTCTTGTTGTGGAAAATGCAGGTGGATATTTGGATAGCTTGGAGGATTTCGTTGCAAGCGGGAATTCAAATAAAAGGTAGACAGCCAGCATTCTCAGAAATTTCTTTCTGATGTCTGCATTCAACTCATAGAGTTGAAGATTCCCTTTCATAGAGCAGGTTTGAAACACTCGTTCTGGAGTATCTGGATGTGGACATTTGGAGCGCTTTGATGCCTACGGTGGAAAAGTAAATATCTTCCCATAAAAACGAGACAGAGGATTCTCAGAAACAAGTTTGTGATGTGTGTACTCAGCTAACAGAGTGGAACCTTTCTTTTTACAGAGCAGCTTTGAAACTCTATTTTTGTGGATTCTGCAAATTGATATTTAGATTGCTTTAACGATATCATTGGAAAAGGGAATATCGTCATACAAAATCTGGACAGAAGCATTCTCACAAACTTCTTTGTGATGTGTGTCCTCAACTAACAGAGTTGAACCTTTCTTTTGATGCAGCAATTTGGAAACACCCTTTTGGTAGAAACTGTAACTGGATATTTGGATAGCTCTAACGATTTCGTTGGAAACGGGAATATAATCATCTAAAATGTAGACAGAAGCACTATTAGAAACTACTTGGTGATATCTGCATTCAAGTCACAGAGTTGAACATTCCCTTACTTTGAGCACGTTTGAAACACTCTTTTGGAAGAATCTGGAAGTGGACATTTGGAGCGCTTTGATGCCTTTGGTGAAAAGGAAACGTCTTCCAATAAAAGCCAGAGAGAAGCATTCTCAGAAACTTGTTCGTGATGTGTGTACTCAACTAAAAGGGTTGAACCTTTCTATTGATAGAGCAGTTTTGAAACACTCTTTTTGTGGATTCTGCAAGTGGATATTTGGATTGCTTTGAGGATTTCGTTGGAAGCGGGAATTCGTATAAACACTAGACAGCAGCATTCCCAGAAATTTCTTTCGGATATTTCCATTCAACTCATAGAGATGAACATGGCCTTTCATAGAGCAGGTTTGAAACACTCTTTTTGTAGTTTGTGGAAGTGGACATTTCGATCGCCTTGACGCCTACGCTGAAAAAGGAAATATCTTCCCATAAAAAATAGACAGAAGCATTCTCAGAAACTTGTTGGTGATATGTGTCCTCAACTAACAGAGTTGAACTTTGCCATTGATAGAGAGCAGTTTTGAAACACTCTTTTTGTGGAATCTGCAAGTGGATATTTGGATAGCTTGGAGGATTTCGTTGGAAGCGGGAATTCAAATAAAAGGTAGACAGCAGGATTCTGAGAAACAAGTTTGTGATGTTTGTACTCAGCTAACAGATTGGAACCTCTCCTTTGATGCAGCAGTTTGGAAACACTCTTTTTGTAGAAACTGTAAGTGGATATTTGGATAGCTCTAATGATTTCGTTGGAAACGGGAATATCATCATCTAAAATCTAGACAGAAGCACTCTCAGAAACTACTTTGTGATATCTGCATTCAAGTCACAGAGTTGAACATTCGCTTTCTTAGAGCGCGTTTGAAACACTCTTTTTGTAGTGTCTGGAAGTGGACATTTGGAGCGCTTTGATGCCTTTGGTGAAAAAGGGAATGTCTTCCCATAAAAACTAGACAGAAGCATTCTCAGAAACTTGTTTGTGATGTGTGTACCCAGCCAAAGCAGTTGAACATTTCTATTGATAGAGCAGTTTTGAAACACTCTTGTTGTGGAAAATGCAGGTGGATATTTGGATAGCTTGGAGGATTTCGTTGGAAGCGGGAATTCAAATAAAAGGTAGACAGCAGCATTCTCAGAAATTTCTTTCTGATGTCTGCATTCAACTCATAGAGTTGAGGATTCCCTTTCATAGAGGAGGTTTGAAACACTCGTTCTGGAGTATCTGGATGTGGACATTTGGAGCGCTTTGATGCCTACGGTGGAAAAGTAAATATCTTCCCATAAAAACGAGACAGAAGGATTCTCAGAAACAAGTTTGTGATGTGTGTACTCAGCTAACAGAGTGGAACCTTTGTTTTTACAGAGCAGCTTTGAAACTCTAGTTTTGTGGATTCTGCAAATTGATATTTAGATTGCTTTAACGATATCGTTGGAAAAGGGAATATCGTCATACAAAATCTAGACAGAAGCATTCTCACAAACTTCTTTGTGATGTGTGTCCTCAACTAACAGAGTTGAACCTTTCTTTTGATGCAGCAGTTTGGAAACACTCTTTTTGTAGAAACTGTAAGTGGATATTTGGATAGCTCTAAAGATTTCGTTGGAAACGGGAATATCATCATCTAAAATCTAGACAGAAGCACTATTAGAAACTACTTGGTGATATCTGCATTCAAGTCACAGAGTTGAACATTCCCTTACTTTGAGCACGTTTGAAACACTCTTTTGGAAGAATCTGGAAGTGGACATTTGGAGCGCTTTGATGCCTTTGGTGAAAAGGAAACGTCTTCCAATAAAAGCCAGACAGAAGCATTCTCAGAAACTTGTTTGTGATGTGTGTACTCAACTAAAAGAGTTGAACCTTTCTATTGATAGAGCAGTTTTGAAACACTCTTTTTGTGGATTCTGCAAGTGGATATTTGGATTGCTTTGAGGATTTTGTTGTAAGCGGGAATTCGTATAAAAACTAGACAGCAGCATTCCCAGAAATTTCTTTCGGATATTTCCATTCAACTCATAGAGATGAACATGGCCTTTCATAGAGCAGGTTTGAAACACTCTTTTTGTAGTTTGTGGAAGTGGACATTTCGATCGCCTTGACGCCTACGGTGAAAAAGGAAATATCTTCCCATAAAAAATAGACAGAAACATTCTCAGAAACTTGTTGGTGATATGTGTCCTCAACTAACAGAGTTGAACTTTGCCATTGATAGAGAGCAGTTTTGAAACACTCTTTTTGTGGAATCTGCAAGTGGATATTTGGATAGCTTGGAGGATTTCGTTGGAAGCGGGAATTCAAATAAAAAGTAGACAGCAGCATTCTCAGAAATTTTTTTCTGATGTCTGCATTCAACTCATAGAGTTGAAGATTCCCTTTCATAGAGCAGGTTTGAAACACTCTTTCTGGAGTATCTGGATGTGGACATTTGGAGCGCTTTGATGCCTACGGTGAAAAAGTAAATATCTTCCCATAAAAACGAGACAGAAGGATTCTGAGAAACAAGTTTGTGATGTGTATACTCAGCTAACAGAGTGGAACCTCTCTTTTGATGCAGCAGTTTGGAAACACTCTTTTTGTAGAAACTGTAAGTGGATATTTGGAAGCTCTAATGATTTTGTTGGAAACGGGAATATCATCATCTAAAATCTAGACAGAAGCACTCTCAGAAACTACTTTGTGATATCTGCATTCAAGTCACAGAGTTGAATATTCGCTTTCTTAGAGCACGTTGGAAACACTCTTTTTGTAGTGTCTGGAAGTGGACATTTGGAGCGCTTTGATGCCTTTGGTGAAAAAGGGAATGTCTTCCCATAAAAACTAGACACAAGCATTCTCAGAAACTTGTTTGTGATGTGTGTACCCAACTAAAGGAGTTGAACATTTCTATTGATAGAGCAGTTTTGAAACACTCTTTTTGTGGAAAATGCAAGTGGATATTTGGATAGCTTGGAGGATTTCGTTGGAAGCGGGAATTCAAATAAAAGGTAGACAGCAGGATTCTGAGAAACAAGTTTGCGATGTGTGTACTCAGCTAACAGAGTGGAACCTTTCTTTTTACAGAGCAGCTTTGAAACTCTATTTTTGTGGATTCTGCAAATGGATATTTAGATTGCTTTAACGATATCGTTGGAAAAGGGAATATCGTCATACAAAATCTAGACAGAAGCATTCTCACAAACTTCTTTGTGATGTGTGTCCTCAACTAACAGAGTTGAACCTTTCTTTTGATGCAGCAGTTTGGAAACACTGTTTTTGTAGCAACTGTAAGTGGATATTTGGATAGCTCTAACGATTTCGTTGGAAACGGGAATATCATCATCTAAAATCTAGACAGAAGCACTATTAGAAACTACTTGGTGATATCTGCATTCAAGTCACAGAGTTGAACATTCCCTTACTATGAGCACGTTTGAAACACTCTTTTGGTAGAATCTGGAAGTGGACATTTGGAGCGCTTTGATGCCTTTGGTGAAAAGGAAACGTCTTCCAATAAAAGCCAGACAGAAGCATTAACAGAAACTTGTTTGTGATGTGTGTACTCAACTAAAAGAGTTGAACCTTTCTATTGATAGAGCAGTTTTGAAACACTCTTTTTGTGGATTCTGCAAGTGGATATTTGGATTGCTTTGAGGATTTCGTTGGAAGCAGGAATTCGTATAAAAACTAGACAGCAGCATTCCCAGAAATTTCTTTCGGATATTTCCATTCGACTCATAGAGATGAACATGGCCTTTCATAGAGCAGGTTTGAAACACTCTTTTTGTAGTTTGTGGAAGTGGACATTTCGATCGCCTTGACGCCTACGGTGAAAAAGGAAATATCTTCCCATAAAAAATAGACAGAAGCATTCTCAGAAACTTGTTGGTGATATGTGTCCTCAACTAACAGAGTTGAACTTTGCCATTGATAGAGAGCAGTTTTGAAACACTCTTTTTGTGGAATCTGCAAGTGGATATTTGGATAGCTTGGAGGATTTCGTTGGAAGCGGGAATTCAAATAAAAGGTAGACAGCAGCATTCTCAGAAATTTCTTTCTGATGTCTGCATTCAACTCATAGTGTTGAAGATTCCCTTTCATAGAGCAGGTTTGAAACACTCTTTCTGGAGTATCTGGATGTGGACATTTGGAGCGGTTTGATGCCTACGGTGAAAAAGTAAATATCTTCCCATAAAAACGAGACAGAAGGATTCTGAGAAACAAGTTTGTGATGTGTGTACTCAGCTAACAGAGTGGAACCTCTCTTTTGATGCAGCAGTTTGGAAACACTCTTTTTGTAGAAACTGTAAGTGGATATTTGGATAGCTCTAATGATTTCGGTTGGAAACGGGAATATCATCATCTAAAATCTAGACAGAAGCCCTCTCAGAAACTACTTTGTGATATCTGCATTCAAGTCACAGAGTTGAACATTCGCTTTCTTAGAGCACGTTTGAAACACTCTTTTTGTAGTGTCTGGAAGTGGACATTTGGAGCGCTTTGATGCCTTTGGTGAAAAAGGGAATGTCTACCCATAAAAACTAGACAGAAGCATTCTCACAAACTTGTTTGTGATGTGTGTACCCAGCCAAAGGAGTTGAACATTTCTATTGATAGAGCAGTTTTGAAACACTCTTGTTGTGGAAAATGCAGGTGGATATTTGGATAGCTTGGAGGATTTCGTTGGAAGCGGGAATTCAAATAAAAGGTAGACAGCAGCATTCTCAGAAATTTCTTTCTGATGTCTGCATTCAACTCATAGAGTTGAAGATTCCCTTTCATAGAGCAGGTTTGAAACACTGTTTCTGGAGTATCTGGATGTGGACATTTGGAGGGCTTTGATGCCTACGGTGAAAAAGTAAATATCTTCCCATAAAAACGAGACAGAAGGATTCTCAGAAACAAGTTTGTGATGTGTGTACTCAGCTAACAGAGTGGAACCTTTCTTTTTACAGAGCAGCTTTGAAACTCTATTTTTGTGGATTCTGCAAATTGATATTGAGATTGCTTTAACGATATCGTTGGAAAAGGGAATATCGTCATACAAAATCTAGACAGAAGCATTCTCACAAACTTCTTTGTGATGTGTGTCCTCAACTAACAGAGTTGAACCTTTCTTTTAATGCAGCAGTTTGGAAACACCCTTTTGGTAGAAACTGTAAGTGGATATTTTGATAGCTCTAACGATTTCGTTGGAAACGGGAATATCATCATCTAAAATCTAGACAGAAGCACTATTAGAAACTACTTGGTGATATCTGCATTCAAGTCACAGAGTTGAACATTCCCTTACTTTGAGCACGTTTGAAACACTCTTTTGGAAGAATCTGGAAGTGGACATTTGGAGCGCTTTGATGCCTTTGGTGAAAAGGAAACGTCTTCCAATAAAAGCCAGACAGAAGCATTCTCAGAAACTTGTTCGTGATGTGTGTACTCAACTAAAAGAGTTGAACCTTTCTATTGATAGAGCAGTTTTGAAACACTCTTTTTGTGGATTCTGCAAGTGGATATTTGGATTGCTTTGAGGATTTCGTTGGAAGCGGGAATTTGGTATAAACACTAGACAGCAGCATTCCCAGAAATTTCTTTCGGATATTTCCATTCAACTCATAGAGATGAACATGGCCTTTCATAGAGCAGGTTTGAAACACTCTTTTTGTAGTTTGTGGAAGTGGACATTTCGATCGCCTTGACGCCTACGGTGAAAAAGGAAATATCTTCCCATAAAAAATAGACAGAAGCATTCTCAGAAACTTGTTGGTGATATGTGTCCTCAACTAACAGAGTTGAACTTTGCCATTGATAGAGAGCAGTTTTGAAACACTCTTTTTGTGGAATCTGCAAGTGGATATTTGGATAGCTTGGAGGATTTCGTTGGAAGCGGGAATTCAAATAAAAGGTAGACAGCAGCATTCTCAGAAATTTCTTTGTGATGTTTGCATTCAACTCATAGAGTTGAACATTCCCTTTCATAGAGCAGGTTTGAAACATTCTTTCTGTACTATCTGGATGTGGACATTTGTAACGCTTTGATGCCTACGGTGAAAAAGTAAATATCTTCCCATAAAAACTAGACAGAAGGATTCTCAGAAACAAGTTTGTGATGTGTGTACTCAGCTAACAGAGTGGAACCTCTCTTTTGACGCAGCAGTTTGGAAACACTCTTTTTGTAGAAACTGTAAGTGGATATTTGGAAAGCTCTAATGATTTCGTTGGAAACGGGAATATCATCATCTAAAATCTAGACAGAAGCACTCTCAGAAACTACTTTGTGATATCTGCATTCAAGTCACAGAGTTGAACATTCGCTTTCTTAGAGCACTTTTGAAACACTCTTTTTGTAGTATCTGGAAGTGGACATTTGGAGCTCTTTGATGCCTTTGGTGAAAAAGGAAATGTCTTTCCATAAAAACTAGACAGAAGCATTCTCAGAAACTTGTTTGTGATGTGTGAACCCAGCGAAAGGAGTTGAACATTTCTATTGATAGAGCAGTTTTGAAACACTCTTTTTGTGGAATCTGCAAGTGGATATTTGGATAGCTTGGAGGTTTTCGTTGGAAGCGGGAATTCAAATAAAAGGTAGACAGCCAGCATTCTCAGAAATTTCTTTCTGATGTCTGCATTCAACTCATAGAGTTGAAGATTCCCTTTCATAGAGCAGGTTTGAAACACTCTTTCTGGAGTATCTGGATGTGGACATTTGGAGCGCTTTGATGCCTACGGTGAAAAAGTAAATATCTTCCCATAAAAACGAGACAGAAGGATTCTCAGAAACAAATTTGTGATGTGTGTACTCAGCTAACAGAGTGGAACCTTTCTTTTTACAGAGCAGCTTTGAAACTCTATTGTTGTGGATTCTGCAAATTGATATTTAGATTGCTTTAACGATATCGTTGGAAAAGGGAATACCGTCATACAAAATCTAGACAGAAGCATTCTCACAAACTTCTTTGTGATGTGTGTCCTCAACTAACAGAGTTGAACCTTTCTTTTGATGCAGCAGTTTGGAAACACTCTTTTTGTAGAAACTGTAACTGGATATTTGGATAGATCTAACGATTTCGTTGGAAACGGGAATATCATCATCTAAAATCTAGACAGAAACACTATTAGAAACTACTTGGTGATATCTGCATTCAAGTCACAGAGTTGAACATTCCCTTACTTCGACCACGTTTGAAACACTCTTTTGGAAGAATCTGGAAGTGGACATTTGGAGCGCTTTGATGCCTTTGGTGAAAAGGAAACGTCTTCCAATAAAAGCCAGACAGAAGCATTCTCAGAAACTTGTTTGTGATGTGTGTACTCAACTAAAAGAGTTGAACCTTTCTATTGATAGAGCAGTTTTGAAACACTCTTTTTGTGGATTCTGCAAGTGGATATTTGGATTGCTTTGAGGATTTCGTTGGAAGCGGGAATTCATATAAAAACTAGACAGCAGCATTCCCAGAAATTTCTTTCGGATATTTCCATTCAACTCATAGAGATGAACATGGCCTTTCATAGAGCAGGTTTGAAACACTCTTTTTGTAGTTTGTGGAAGTGGACATTTCGATCGCCTTGACGCCTACGGTGAAAAAGGAAATATCTTCCCATAAAAAATAGACAGAAGCACTCTCAGAAACTTGTTGGTGATATGTGTCCTCAACTAACAGAGTTGAACTTTGCCATTGATAGAGAGCAGTTTTGAAACACTCTTTTTGTGGAATCTGCAAGTGGATATTTGGATAGCTTGGAGGATTTCGTTGGAAGCGGTAATTCAAATAAAAGGTAGACAGCAGCATTCTCAGAAATTTCTTTCTGATGTCTGCATTCAACTCATAGAGTTGAGCATTCCCTTTCATAGGGCAGGTTTGAAATACTCTTTCTGTAGTATCTGGATGTGGACATTTGGAGCGCTTTGAGGCCTACGAAGAAAAAGTAAATATCTTCCCATAAAAACGAGACAGAAGGATTCTCAGAAACAAGTTTGTGATGTGTGTACTCAGCTAACAGAGTGGAACCTCTCTTCTGATGCAGCAGTTTGGAAACACTCTTTTTGTAGAAACTGTAAGTGGATATTTGGATAGCTCTAATGATTTCGTTGGAAATGGGAATATCATCAACTAAAATCTAGACAGAAGCACTCTCAGAAACTACTTTGTGATATCTGCATTCAGGTCACAGAGTTGAACATTCGCTTTCTTAGAGCACGTTTGAAACACTCTTTTTGTAGTGTCTGGAAGTGGACATTTGGAGCGCTTTGATGCCTTTGGTGAAAAAGGGAATGTCTTCCCATAAAAACTAGACAGAAGCATTCTCAGAAACTTGTTTGTGATGTGTGTACCCAGCCAAAGGAGTTGAACATTTCTATTGATAGAGCAGTTTTGAAACACTCTTGTTGTGGAAAATGCAGGTGGATATTTGGATAGCTTGGAGGATTTCGTTGGAAGCAGGAATTCAAATAAAAGGTAGACAGCAGCATTCTCAGAAATTTCTTTCTGATGTCTGCATTCAACTCATAGAGTTGAAGATTCCCTTTCATAGAGCAGGTTTGAAACACTCTTTCTGGAGTATCTGGATGTGGACATTTGGAGCGCTTTGATGCCTACGGTGGAAAAGGAAATATCTTCCCATAAAAACGAGACAGAAGGATTCTCAGAAACAAGTTTGTGATGTGTGTACTCAGCTAACAGAGTGGAACATTTCTTTTTACAGAGCAGCTTTGAAACTCTATTTTTCTGGATTCTGCAAATTGATATTTAGATTGCTTTAACGATATCGTTGGAAAAGGGAATATCGTCATACAAAATCTAGACAGAAGCATTCTCACAAACTTGTTTGTGATGTGTGTCCTCAACTAACAGAGTTGAACCTTTCTTTTGATGCAGCAATTTGGAAACACCCTTTTGGTAGAAACTGTAACTGGATATTTGGATAGCTCTAACGATTTCGTTGGAAACGGGAATATCATCATCTAAAATGTAGACAGAAGCACTATTAGAAACTACTTGGTGATATCTGCATTCAAGTCACAGAGTTGAACATTCCCTTACTTTGAGCACGTTTGAAACACTCTTTTGGAAGAATCTGGAAGTGGACATTTGGAGCGCTTTGATGCCTTTGGTGAAAAGGAAACGTCTTCCAATAAAAGCCAGACAGAAGCATTCTCAGAAACTTGTTCGTGATGTGTGTACTCAACTAAAAGAGTTGAACCTTTCTATTGATAGCGCAGTTTTGAAACACTCTTTTTGTGGATTCTGCAAGTGGATATTTGGATTGCTTAGAGGATTTCGTTGGAAGCGGGAATTCGTATAAACACTAGACAGCAGCATTCCCAGAAATTTCTTTCGGATATTTCCATTCAACTCATAGAGATGAACATGGCCTTTCATAGAGCAGGTTTGAAACACTCTTTTTGTAGTTTGTGGAAGTGGACATTTCGATCGCCTTGACGCCTACGCTGAAAAAGGAAATATCTTCCCATAAAAAATAGACAGAAGCATTCTCAGAAACTTGTTGGTGATATGTGTCCTCAACTAACAGAGTTGAACTTTGCCATTGATAGAGAGCAGTTTTGAAACACTCTTTTTGTGGAATCTGCAAGTGGATATTTGGATAGCTTGGAGGATTTCGTTGGAAGCGGGAATTCAAATAAAAGGTAGACAGCAGCATTCTCAGAAATTTCTTTCTGATGTCTGCATTCAACTCATAGAGTTGAAGATTCCCTTTCATAGAGCAGGTTTGAAACACTCTTTCTGGAGTATCTGGATGTGGACATTTGGAGCGCTTTGATGCCTACGGTGAAAAAGTAAATATCTTGCCATAAAAACGACACAGAAGGATTCTCAGAAAGAAGTTTGTGATGTGTGTACTCAGCTAACAGAGTGGAACCTCTCTTTTGAAGCAGCAGTTTGGAAACACTCTTTTTGTAGAAACTGTAAGTGGATATTTGGATAGCTCTAATGATTTCGTTGGAAACGGGAATATCATCATCTAAAATCTAGACAGAAAGCCCTCTCAGAAACTACTCTGTGATATCTGCATTCAAGTCACAGAGTTGAACATTCGTTTTCTTAGAGCACGTTTGAAACACTCTTTTTGTAGTGTCTGGAAGTGGACATTTGGAGCGCTTTGATGCCTTTGGTGAAAAAGGGAATGTCTTCCCATAAAAACTAGACAGAAGCATTCGCAGAAACTTGTTTGTGATGTGTGCACCCAGCTAAAGGAGTTGAACATTTATTGATAGAGCAGTTTTGAAGCACTCTTTTTGTGGAAAATGCAAGTGGATATTTGGATAGCTTGGAGGATTTCGTTGGAAGCGGGAGTTCAAATAAAAGGTAGACAGCAGCATTCTCAGAAATTTCTTTCTGATGTCTGCATTCAACTCATAGAGTTGAAGATTCCCTTTCATAGAGCAGGTTTGAAACACTCTTTCTGGAGTATCTGGATGTGGACATTTGGAGCGCTTTGATGCCTACGGTGAAAAAGTAAATATCTTCCCATAATAACGAGACAGAAGGATTCTGAGAAACAAGTTTGTGATGTGTGTACTCAGCTAACAGAGTGGAACCTTTCTTTTTACAGAGCAGCTTTGGAACTCTATTTTTGTGGATTCTGCAAATGGATATTTAGATTGCTTTAATGATATCGCTGGAAAAGGGAATATGGTCATACAAAATCTAGACAGAAGCATTCTCACAAACTTCTTTGTGATGTGTGTCCTCAACTAACAGAGTTGAACTTTTCTTTTGATGCAGCAGTTTGGAAACACTCTTTTTGTAGAAACTGTAAGTGGATATTTGGATAGCTCTAACGATTTCGTTGGAAACGGGAATATCATCATCTAAAATCTAGACAGAAGCACTATTAGAAACTACTTGGTGATATCTGCATTCAAGTCACAGAGTTGAACATTCCCTTACTTTGAGCACGTTTGAAACACTCTTTTGGAAGAATCTGGAAGTGGACATTTGGAGCGCTTTGATGCCTTTGGTGAAAAGGAAACGTCTTCCAATAAAAGCCAGACAGAAGCATTCTGAGAAACTTGTTCGTGATGTGTGTACTCAACTAAAAGAGTTGAACCTTTCTATTGATAGAGCAGTTTTGAAACACTCTTTTTGTGGATTCTGCAAGTGGATATTTGGATTGCTTTGAGGATTTCGTTGGAAGCGGGAATTCGGTATAAACACTAGACAGCAGCATTCCCAGAAATTTCTTTCGGATATTTCCATTCAACTCATAGAGATGAACATGGCCCTTCATAGAGCAGGTTTGAAACACTCTTTTTGTAGTTTGTGGAAGTGGACATTTCGATCGCCTTGACGCCTACGGTGAAAAAGGAAATATCTTCCCATAAACAATAGACAGAAGCATTCTCAGAAACTTGTTGGTGATATGTGTCCTCAACTAACAGAGTTGAACTTTGCCATTGATAGAGAGCAGTTTTGAAACACTCTTTTTGTGGAATCTGCAAGTGGATATTTGGATAGCTTGGAGGATTTCGTTGGAAGCGGGAATTCAAATTAAAGGTAGACAGCAGCATTCTCAGAAATTTTTTCTGATGTCTGCATTCAACTCATAGAGTTGAAGATTCCCTTTCATAGAGCAGGTTTGAAACACTCTTTCTGGAGTATCTGGATGTGGACATTTGGAGCGCTTTGATGCCTACGGTGAAAAAGTAAATATCTTCCCATAAAAACGAGACAGAAGGATTCTGAGAAACAAGTTTGTGATGTGTGTACTCAGCTAACAGAGTGGAACCTCTCTTTTGATGCAGCAGTTTGGAAACACTCTTTTTGTAGAAACTGTAAGTGGATATTTGGATAGCTCTAATGATTTTGTTGGAAACGGGATTATCATCATCTAAAATCTAGACAGAAGCACTCTCAGAAACTACTTTGTGATATCTGCATTCAAGTCACAGAGTTGAACATTCGCTTTCTTAGAGCACGTTGGAAACACTCTTTTTGTAGTGTCTGGAAGTGGACATTTGGAGCGCTTTGATGTCTTTGGTGAAAAAGGGAATGTCTTCCCATAAAAACTAGACAGAAGCATTCTCAGAAACTTGTTTGTGATGTGTGTACCCAGCTAAAGGAGTTGAACATTTCTATTGATAGAGCAGTTTTGAAACACTCTTTTTGTGGAAAATGCAAGTGAATATTTGGATAGCTTGGAGGATTTCGTTGGAAGAGGGAATTCAAATAAAAGGTAGACAGCCAGCATTCTCAGAAATTTCTTTCTGATGTCTGCATTCAACTCATAGAGTTGAAGATTCCCTTTCATAGAGCAGGTTTGAAACACTCTTTCTGGAGTATCTGGATGTGGACATTTGGAGCGCTTTGATGCCTACGGTGGAAAAGTAAATATCTTCCCATAAAAACGAGACAGAGGATTCTGAGAAACAAGTTTGTAATGTGTGTACTCAGCTAACAGAGTGGAACCTTTCTTTTTACAGAGCAGCTTTGAAACTCTATTTTTGTGGATTCTGCAAATTGATATTTAGATTGCTTTAACGATATCGTTGGAAAAGGGAATATCGTCATACAAAATCTAGACAGAAGCATTCTCACAAACTTCTTTGTGATGTGTGTCCTCAACTAACAGAGTTGAACCTTTCTTTTGATGCAGCAATTTGGAAACACCCTTTTGGTAGAAACTGTAACTGGATATTTGGATAGCTCTAACGATTTCGTTGGAA
This sequence comes from Homo sapiens, assembly GCF_000001405.40. NCBI lineage: Eukaryota > Metazoa > Chordata > Mammalia > Primates > Hominidae > Homo > Homo sapiens. Next base: position 14,541,329 of record NC_000022.11, read on the forward strand.
ACGGGAATATCATCATCTAATATCTAGACAGAAGCACTATTAGAAACTACTTGGTGATATCTGCATTCAAGTCACAGAGTTGAACATTCCCTTACTTTGAGCACGTTTGAAACACTCTTTTGGAAGAATCTGGAAGTGGACATTTGGAGCGCTTTGATGCCTTTGGTGAAAAGGAAACGTCTTCCAATAAAAGCCAGACAGAAGCATTCTCAGAAACTTGTTCGTGATGTGTGTACTCAACTAAAAGAGTTGAACCTTTCTATTGATAGAGCAGTTTTGAAACACTCTTTTTGTCGATTCTGCAAGTGGATATTTGGATTGTTTGAGGATTTCGTTGGAAGCGGGAATTCGTATAAAAACTAGACAGCAGCATTCCCAGAAATTTCTTTCGGATATTTCCATTCAACTCATAGAGATGAACATGGCCTTTCATAGAGCAGGTTTGAAACACTCTTTTTGTAGTTTGTGGAAGTGGACATTTCGATCGCCTTGACGCCTACGGTGAAAAAGGAAATATCTTCCCATAAAAAATAGACAGAAGCATTCTCAGAAACTTGTTGGTGATATGTGTCCTCAACTAACAGAGTTGAACTTTGCCATTGATAGAGAGCAGTTTTGAAACACTCTTTTTCCGGAATCTGCAAGTGGATATTTGGATAGCTTGGAGGATTTCGTTGGAAGCGGGAATTCAAATAAAAGGTAGACAGCAGCATTCTCAGAAATTTCTTTCTGATGTCTGCATTCAACTCATAGAGTTGAACATTCCCTTTCATAGGGCAGGTTTGAAATACTCTTTCTGTAGTATCTGGATGTGGACATTTGGAGCGCTTTGATGCCTACGGTGAAAAAGTAAATATCTTCCCATAAAAACGAGACAGAAGGATTCTCAGAAACAAGTTTGTGATGTGTGTACTCAGCTAACAGAGTGGAACCACTCTTTTGATGTCAGCAGTTTGGAAACACTCTTTTTGTAGAAACTGTAAGTGGATATTTGGATAGCTCTAATGATTTCGTTGGAAACGGGAATATCATCATGTAAAATCTAGACAGAAGCCCTCTCAGAAACTACTTTGTGATATCTGCATTCAAGTCACAGAGTTGAACATTCGCTTTCTTAGAGCACGTTGGAAACACTCTTTTTGTAGTGCCTGGAAGTGGACATTTGGAGCGCTTTGATGCCTTTGGTGAAAAAGGGAACGTCTTCCCATAAAAACTAGACAGAAGCATTCTCAGAAACTTGTTTGTGATGTGTGTACCCAGCTAAAGGAGTTGAACATTTCTATTGATAGAGCAGTTTTGAAAAACTCTTTTTGTGGAAAATGCAAGTGGATATTTGGATAGCTTGGAGGATTTCGTTGGAATCGGGAATTCAAATAAAAGGTAGACAGCAGCATTCTCAGAAATTACTTTCTGATGTCTGCATTCAACTCATAGAGTTGAAGATTCCCTTTCATAGAGCAGGTTTGAAACACTCTTTCTGTAGTATCTGGATGTGGACATTTGGAGCGCTTTGATACCTACGGTGAAAAAGTAAATATCTTCCCATAAAAACTAGACAGAAGGATTCTCAGAAACAAGTTTGTGATGTGTGTACTCAGCTAACAGAGTGGAACCTCTCTTTTGATGCAGCAGTTTGGAAACACTCTTTTTGTAGAAACTGTAAGTGGATATTTGGATAGCTCTAATGATTTCGTTGGAAACGGGAATATCATCATCTAAAATACTAGACAGAAGCCCTCTCAAAAACTACTTTGTGATATCTGCATTCAAGTCACAGAGTTGAACATTCGCTTTCTTAGAGCACGTTTGAAACACTCTTTTTGTAGTGTCTGGAAGTGGACATTTGGAGCGCTTTGATGCCTTTGGTGAAAAAGGGAATGTCTTCCCATAAAAACTAGACAGAAGCATTCTCAGAAACTTGTTTGTGATGTGTGTACCTAGCTAAAGGAGTTGAACATTTCTATTGATAGAGCAGTTTTGAAACACTCTTTTTGTGGAAAATGCAGGTGGATATTTGGATAGGTTGGAAGATTTCGTTGGAAGCGGGAATTCAAATAAATGGTAGACAGCAGCATTCTCAGAAATTTCTTTCTGATGTCTGCATTCAACTCATAGAGTTGAAGATTCCCTTTCATAGAGCAGGTTTGAAACACTCTTTCTGGAGTATCTGGATGTGGACATTTGGAGCGCTTTGATGCCTACGGTGGAAAAGTAAATATACTTCCCATAAAAACGAGACAGAAGGATTCTGAGAAACAAGTTTGTGATGTGTGTACTCAGCTAACAGAAGTGGAACCTTTCTTTTTACAGAGCAGCTTTGAAACTCTATTTTTGTGGATTCTGCAAATGGATATTTAGATTGCTTTAACGATATCGTTGGAAAAGGGAATATCGTCATACAAAATCTAGACAGAAGGATTCTCACAAACTTCTTTGTGATGTGTGTCCTCAACTAACAGAGTTGAACCTTTCTTTTGATGCAGCAGTTTGGAAACACTCTTTTTGTAGAAACTGTAAGTGGATATTTGGATAGCTCTAACGATTTCGTTGGAAACGGGAATATCATCCTGTAAAATCTGGACAGAAGCACTATTAGAAACTACTTGGTGATATCTGCATTCATGTCACAGAGTTGAACATTCCCTTACTTTGAGCACGTTTCAAACACTCTTTTGGAAGAATCTGGAAGTGGACATTTGGAGCGCTTTGATGCCTTTGGTGAAAAGGAAACGTCTTCCAATAAAAGCCAGACAGAAGCATTCTCAGAAACTTGTTTGTGATGTGTGTACTCAACTAAAAGAGTTGAACCTTTCTATTGATAGAGCAGTTTTGAAACACTCTTTTTGTGGATTCTGCAAGTGGATATTTGGATTGCTTTGAGGATTTCGTTGGAAGCGGGAATTCGTATAAAAACTAGACAGCAGCATTCCCAGAAATTTCTTTCGGATATTTCCATTCGACTCATAGAGATGAACATGGCCTTTCATAGAGCAGGTTTGAAACACTCTTTTTGTAGTTTGTGGAAGTGGACATTTCGATCGCCTTGATGCCTACGGTGAAAAAGGAAATATCTTCCCATAAAAAATAGACAGAAGCATTCTCAGAAACTTGTTGGTGATATGTGTCCTCAACTAACAGAGTTGAACTTTGCCATTGATAGAGAGCAGTTTTGAAACACTCTTTTTGTGGAATCTGCAAGTGGATATTTGGATAGCTTGGAGGATTTCGTTGGAAGCGGGAATTCAAATAAAAGGTAGACAGCAGGATTCTCAGAAACAAGTTTGTGATGTGTGTACTCAGCTAACAGAGTGGATCCTTTCTTTTTACAGAGCAGCTTTGAAACTCTATTTCTGTGGATTCTGCAAATTGATATTTGGGTTGATTTAACGATATCGATGGAAAAGGGAATATCTTCATACAAAATCTAGACAGAAGCTTTCTCAGAAACTTCTTTGTGATGTGTGTCCTCAACTCACAGAGTTGAACCTTTCTTTAGATGCAGCAGTTTGGAAACACTCTTTTTGTAGAAACTGTAAGTGGATATTTGGGTAGGTCTAACGATATCGTTGGAAACGAGAATACCTTCATCTAAAGTATACACAGAATCAGTCTCAGAAACTACTTTGTGATATCTGCATTCCAGTCACAGAGTTGAAAACTCCCTTACTTAGAGCAGGTTTGAAACACTCTTTTTGTAGAATCTGGAAGTGGACATTTGGAGCGCTTTGATGCCTTTGGTTAAAAAGGAAATGTCTTCCCTTAAGAAGTAGACAGAAGCATTCTCAGAAACATGTTTGTGATGTGTGTACCCAGCTAAAGGAGTTGAACATTTCTATTGATAGAGCAGTTTTGAAACACTCTTTTTGTGGAAAATGCAAGTGGATATTTGGATAGCTTGGAGGATTTCGTTGGAAGCGGGAATTCAAATAAAAGGTAGACAGCAGCATTCTCAGAAATTTCTTTCTGATGTCTGCATTAAACTCATAGAGTTGAAGATTCCCTTTCATAGAGCAGGTTTGAAACACTCTTTCTGGAGTATCTGGATGTGGACATTTGGAGCGCTTTGATGCCTACGGTGAAAAAGTAAATATCTTCCCATAAAAACGAGACATAAGGATTCTGAGAAACAAGTTTGTGATGTGTGTACTCAGCTAACGGAGTGGAACCTCTCTTTTGATGCAGCAGTTTGGAAACACTCTTTTTGTAGAAACTGTAAGTGGATATTTGGATAGCTCTAATGATTTCGTTGGAAACGGGAATATCATCATCTAAAATCTAGACAGAAGCACTCTCAGAAACTACTGTGTGATATCTGCATTCAAGTCACAGAGTTGAACATTCGCTTTCTTAGAGCACGTTTGAAACACTCTTTTTGTAGTGTCTGGAAGTGGACATTTGGAGCGCTTTGATTCCTTTGGTGAAAAAGGGAATGTCTACCCATAAAAACTAGACAGAAGCATTGTCAGAAACTTGTTTGTGATGTGTGTACCCAGCCAAAGGAGTTGAACATTTCTATTGATAGAGCAGGTTTGAAACACTCTTTTTGTGGAAAATGCAGGTGGATATTTGGATAGCTTGGAGGATTTCGTTGGAAGCGGGAATTCAAATAAAAGGTAGACAGCAGCATTCTCAGAAATTTCTTTCTGATGTCTGCATTCAACTCATAGAGTTGAAGATTCCCTTTCATGGAGCAGGTTTGAAACAGTCTTTCTGGAGTATCTGGATGTGGACATTTGGAGCGCTTTGATGCCTACGGTGAAAAAGTAAATATCTTCCCATAAAAACGAGACAGAAGGATTCTGAGAAACAAGTTTGTGATGTGTGTACTCAGCTAACAGAGTGGAACCTCTCTTTTGATGCAGCAGTTTGGAAACACTCTTTTTGTAGAAACTGTAAGTGGATATTTGGATAGCTCTAATGATTTCGTTGGAAACGGGAATATCATCATCTAAAATCTAGACAGAAGCCCTCTCAGAAACTACTTTGTGATATCTGCATTCAAGTCACAGAGTTGAACCTTCGCTTTCTTAGAGCACGTTTGAAACACTCTTTTTGTAGTGTCTGGAAGTGGACATTTGGAGCGCTTTGATGCCTTTGGTGAAAAAGGGAATGTCTTCCCATAAAAACTAGACAGAAGCATTCTCAGAAACTTGTTTGTGATGTGTGTACCCAGCTAAAGGAGATGAACATTTCTATTGATAGAGCAGTTTTGAAACACTCTTTTTGTGGAAAATGCAAGTGGATATTTGGATAGCTTGGAGGATTTCGTTGGAAGCGGGAATTCAAATAAAAGGTAGACAGCAGCATTCTCAGAAATTTCTTTCTGATGTCTGCATTCAACTCATAGAGTTGAAGATTCCCTTTCATAGGGCAGGTTTGAAACACTCTTTCTGGAGTATCTGGATGTGCACATTTGGAGCGCTTTGATGCCTACGGTGGAAAAGTAAATATCTTCCCATAAAAACGAGACAGAAGGATTCTCAGAAACAAGTTTGTGATGTGTGTACTCAGCTAACAGAGTGGAACCTTTCTTTTTACAGAGCAGCTTTGAAACTCTAGTTTTGTGGATTCTGCAAATTGATATTTAGATTGCTTTAACGATATCGTTGGAAAAGGGAATATCGTCATACAAAATCTAGACAGAAGCATTCTCACAAACTTCTTTGTGATGTGTGTCCTCAACTAACAGAGTTGAACCTTTCTTTTGTTGCAGCAATTTGGAAACACCCTTTTGGTAGAAACTGTAACTGGATATTTGGATAGCTCTAACGATTTCGTTGGAAAAGGGAATATCATCATCTAAAATGTAGACAGAAGCCCTCTCAGAAACTACTTTGTGATATCTGCATTCAAGTCACAGAGTTGAACATTCGCTTTCTTAGAGCACGTTTGAAACACTCTTTTGGAAGAATCTGGAAGTGGACATTTGGAGCGCTTTGATGCCTTTGGTGAAAAGGAAACGTCTTCCAATAAAAGCCAGACAGAAGCATTCTCAGAAACTTGTTTGTGATGTGTGTACTCAACTAAAAGAGTTGAACCTTTCTATTGATAGCGCAGTTTTGAAACACTCTTTTTGTGGATTCTGCAAGTGGATATTTGGATTGCTTTGAGGATTTCGTTGGAAGCGGGAATTCATATAAAAACTAGACAGCAGCATTCCCAGAAATTTCTTTCGGATATTTCCATTCAACTCATAGAGATGAACATCGCCTTTCATAGAGCAGGTTTGAAACACTCTTTTTGTAGTTTGTGGAAGTGGACATTTCGATCGCCTTGACGCCTACGGTGAAAAAGGAAATATCTTCCCATAAAAAATAGACAGAAGCATTCTCAGAAACTTGTTGGTGATATGTGTCCTCAACTAACAGAGTTGAACTTTGCCATTGATAGAGAGCAGTTTTGAAACACTCTTTTTGTGGAATCTGCAAGTGGATATTTGGATAGCTTGGAGGATTTCGTTGGAAGCGGGAATTCAAATAAAAGGTAGACAGCAGCATTCTCAGAAATTTCTTTCTGATGTCTGCATTCAACTCATAGAGTTGAAGATTCCCTTTCATAGAGCAGGTTTGAAAGACTCTTTCTGGAGTATCTGGATGTGGACATTTGGAGCGCTTTGATGCCTACGGTGGAAAAGTAAATATCTTCCCATAAAAACGAGACAGAAGGATTCTCAGAAACAAGTTTGTGATGTGTGTACTCAGCTAACAGAGTGGAACCTTTCTTTTTACAGAGCAGCTTTGAAACTCTATTGTTGTGGATTCTGCAAATTGATATTTAGATTGCTTTAACGATATCGTTGGAAAAGGGAATACCGTCATACAAAATCTGGACAGAAGCACTCTCACAAACTTCTTTGTGATGTGTGTCCTCAACTAACAGAGTTGAACCTTTCTTTTGATGCAGCAATTTGGAAACACCCTTTTGGTAGAAACTGTAACTGGATATTTGGATAGCTCTAACGATTTCGTTGGAAACGGGAATATCATCATCTAAAATCTAGACAGAAGCACTATTAGAAACTACTTAGTGATATCTGCATTCAAGTCACAGAGTTGAACATTCCCTTACTTTGAGCACGTTTGAAACACTCTTTTGGAAGAATCTGGAAGTGGACATTTGGAGCGCTTTGATGCCTTGTGTGAAAAGGAAACGTCTTCCAATAAAAGCCAGACAGAAGCATTCTCAGAAACTTGTTTGTGATGTGTGTACTCAACTAAAAGAGTTGAACCTTTCTATTGATAGAGCAGTTTTGAAACACTCTTTTTGTGGATTCTGCAAGTGGATATTTGGATTGCTTTGAGGATTTCGTTGGAAGCGGGAATTCGTATAAAAACTAGACAGCAGCATTCCCAGAAATTTCTTTCGGATATTTCCATTCAACTCATAGAGATGAACATGGCCTTTCATAGAGCATGTTTGAAACACTCTTTTTGTAGTTTGTGGAAGTGGACATTTCGATCGCCTTGACGCCTACGGTGAAAAAGGAAATATCTTCCCATAAAAAATAGACAGAAGCATTCTCAGAAACTTGTTGGTGATATGTGTCCTCAACTAACAGAGTTGAACTTTGCCATTGATAGAGAGCAGTTTTGAAACACTCTTTTTGTGGAATCTGCAAGTGGATATTTGGATAGCTTGGAGGATTTCGTTGGAAGCGGGAATTCAAATAAAAGGTAGACAGCAGCATTCTCAGAAATTTCTTTCTGATGTCTGCATTCAACTCATAGAGTTGAAGATTCCCTTTCATAGAGCAGGTTTGAAACACTCTTTCTGGAGTATCTGGATGTGGACATTTGGAGCGCTTTGATGCCCACGGTGAAAAAGTAAATATCTTCCCAGAAAAACGAGACAGAAGGATTCTGAGAAACAAGTTTGTGATGTGTGTACTCAGCTAACAGAGTGGAACCTTTCTTTTTACAGAGCAGCTTTGAAACTCTATTTTTGTGGATTCTGCAAATGGATACTTAGATTGCTTTAACGATATCGTTGGAAAAGGGAATATCGTCATACAAAATCTAGACAGAAGCATTCTCACAAACAGCTTTGTGACGTGTGTCCTCAACTAACAGAGTTGAACTTTTCTTTTGATGCAGCAGTTTGGAAACACCCTTTTGGTAGAAACTGTAAGTGGATATTTGGATAGCTCTAACGATTTCGTTGGAAACGGGAATATCATCATCTAAAATCTAGACAGAAGCACTATTAGAAACTACTTGGTGATATCTGCATTCAAGTCACAGAGTTGAACATTCCCTTACTTCGACCACGTTTGAAACACTCTTTTGGAAGAATCTGGAAGTGGACATTTGGAGCGCTTTGATGCCTTTGTTGAAAAGGAAACGTCTTCCAATAAAAGCCAGACAGAAGCATTCTCAGAAACTTGTTTGTGATGTGTGTACTCAACTAAAAGAGTTGAACCTTTCTATTGATAGAGCAGTTTTGAAACACTCTTTTTGTGGATTCTGCAAGTGGATATTTGGATTGCTTTGAGGATTTCGTTGGAAGCGGGAATTCGTATAAAAACTAGACAGCAGCATTCCCAGAAATTTCTTTCGGATATTTCCATTCGACTCATAGAGATGAACATGGCCTTTCATAGAGCAGGTTTGAAACACTCTTTTTGTAGTTTGTGGAAGTGGACATTTCGATCGCCTTGACGCCTACGGTGAAAAAGGAAATATCTTCCCATAAAAAATAGACAGAAGCATTCTCAGAAACTTGTTGGTGATATGTGTCCTCAACTAACAGAGATGAACTTTGCCATTGATAGAGAGCAGTTTTGAAACACTCTTTTTGTGGAATCTGCAAGTGGATATTTGGATAGCTTGGAGGATTTCGTTGGAAGCGGGAATTCAAATAAAAGGTAGACAGCAGGTTTCTCAGAAACAAGTTTGTGATGTGTGTACTCAGCTAACAGAGTGGAACCTTTCTTTTTAAAGAGCAGCTTTGAAACTCTATTTTTGTGGATTCTGCAAATTGATATTTAGATTGCTTTAACGATATCGTTGGAAAAGGGAATATCGTCATACAAAATCTAGACAGAAGCATTCTCACAAACTTCTTTGTGATGTGTGTCCTCAACTAACAGAGTTGAAACTTTCTTTTGATGCAGCAATTTGGAAACAGCCTTTTGGTAGAAACTGTAACTGGATATTTGGATAGCTCTAGCGATTTCGTTGGAAACGGGAATATCATCATCTAAAATCTAGACAGAAGCACTATTAGAAATTACTTGGTGATATCTGCATTCAAGTCACAGAGTTGAACATTCCCTTACTTTGAGCACGTTTCAAACACTCTTTTGGAAGAATCTGGAAGTGGACATTTGGAGCGCTTTGATGCCTTTGGTGAAAAGGAAACGTCTTCCAATAAAAGCCAGACAGAAGCATTCTCAGAAACTTGTTTGTGATGTGTGTACTCAACTAAAAGAGTTGAACCTTTCTATTGATAGAGCAGTTTTGAAACACTCTTTTTGTGGATTCTGCAAGTGGATATTTGGATTGCTTTGAGGATTTCGTTGGAAGCGGGAATTCGTATAAAAACTAGACAGCAGCATTCCCAGAAATTTCTTTCGGATATTTCCATTCGACTCATAGAGATGAACATGGCCTTTCATAGAGCAGGTTTGAAACACTCTTTTTGTAGTTTGTGGAAGTGGACATTTCGATCGCCTTGACGCCTACGGTGAAAAAGGAAATATCTTCCCATAAAAAATAGACAGAAGCATTCTCAGAAACTTGTTGGTGATATGTGTCCTCAACTAACAGAGTTGAACTTTGCCATTGATAGAGAGCAGTTTTGAAACACTCTTTTTGTGGAATCTGCAAGTGGATATTTGGATAGCTTGGAGGATTTCGTTGGAAGCGGGAATTCAAATAAAAGGTAGACAGCAGCATTCTCAGAAATTTCTTTCTGATGTCTGCATTCAACTCATAGAGTTGAAGATTCTCTTTCATAGAGCAGGTTTGAAACACTCTTTCTGGAGTATCTGGATGTGGACATTTGGAGCGCTTTGATGCCTACGGTGAAAAAGTAAATATCTTCCCAGAAAAACGAGACAGAAGGATTCTCAGAAACACGTTTGTGATGTGTGTACTCAGCTAACAGAGTGGAACCTTTCTTTTTACAGAGCAGCTTTGAAACTCTATTTTTGTGGATTCTGCAAATTGATATTTAGATTGCTTTAACGATATCGTTGGAAAAGGGAATATCGTCATACAAAATCTGGACAGAAGCATTCTCACAAACTTCTTTGTGATGTGTGTCCTCAACTAACAGAGTTGAACCTTTCTTTTGATGCAGCAGTTTGGAAACACTGTTTTTGTAGCAACTGTAAGTGGATATTTGGATAGCTCTAACGATTTCGTTGGAAACGGGAATATCATCATCTAAAATCTAGACAGAAAGCACTATTAGCAAACTACTTGGTGATATCTGCATTCAAGTCACAGAGTTGAACATTCCCTTACTTTGAGCACGTTTCAAACACTCTTTTGGAAGAATCTGGAAGTGGACATTTGGAGCGCTTTGATGCCTTTGGTGAAAAGGAAACGTCTTCCAATAAAAGCCAGACAGAAAGCATTCTCAGAAACTTGTTTGTGATGTGTGTACTCAACTAAAAGAGTTGAACCTTTCTATTGATAGAGCAGTTTTGAAACACTCTTTTTGTGGATTCTGCAAGTGGATATTTGGATTGCTTTGAGGATTTCGTTGGAAGCGGGAATTCGTATAAAAACTAGACAGCAGCATTCCCAGAAATTTCTTTCGGATATTTCCATTCGACTCATAGAGATGAACATGGCCTTTCATAGAGCAGGTTTGAAACACTCTTTTTGTAGTTTGTGGAAGTGGACATTTCGATCGCCTTGACGCCTACGGTGAAAAAGGAAATATCTTCCCATAAAAAATAGACAGAAGCATTCTCAGAAACTTGTTGGTGATATGTGTCCTCAACTAACAGAGTTGAACTTTGCCATTGATAGAGAGCAGTTTTGAAACACTCTTTTTGTGGAATCTGCAAGTGGATATTTGGATAGCTTGGAGGATTTCGTTGGAAGCGGGATTTCAAATAAAAGGTAGACAGCAGCATTCTCAGAAATTTCTTTCTGATGTCTGCATTCAACTCATAGAGTTGAAGATTCCCTTTCATAGAGCAGGTTTGAAACACTCTTTCTGGAGTATCTGGATGTGGACATTTGGAGCGCTTTGATGCCTACGGTGAAAAAGTAAATATCTTCCCATAAAAACGACACAGAAGGATTCTCAGAAACAAGTTTGTGATGTGTGTACTCAGCTAACAGAGTGGAACCTCTCTTTTGATGCAGCAGTTTGGAAACACTCTTTTTGTAGAAACTGTAAGTGGATATTTGGATAGCTCTAATGATTTCGTTGGAAACGGGAATATCATCATCTAAAATCTAGACAGAAGGACTCTCAGAAACTACTTTTTGATATCTGCATTCAAGTCACAGAGTTGAACATTCGCTTTCTTAGAGCACTTTTGAAACACTCTATTTGTCGTATCTGGAAGTGGACATTTGGAGCTCTTTGATGCCTTTGGTGAAAAAGGAAATGTCTTCCCATAAAAACTAGACAGAAGCATTCTCAGAAACTTGTTTGTGATGTGTGTACCCAGCTAAAGGAGCTGAACATTTCTATTGATAGAGCAGTTTTGAAACACTCTTTTTGTGGAAAATGCAAGTGGATATTTGGATAGCTTGGAGGATTTCGTTGGAAGCGTGAATTCAAATAAAAGGTAGACAGCAGCATTCTCAGAAATTTCTTTCTGATGTCTCCATTCAACTCATAGAGTTGAAGATTCCCTTTCATAGAGCAGGTTTGAAACACTCTTTCTGGAGTATCTGGATGTGGACATTTGGAGCGCTTTGATGCCTACGGTGAAAAAGTAAATATCTTCCCATAAAAACGAGACAGAAGGATTCTCAGAAACAAGTTTGTGATGTGTGTACTCAGCTAACAGAGTGGAACCTTTCTTTTTACAGAGCAGCTTTGAAACTCTATTTTTGTGGATTCTGCAAATTGATATTTAGATTGCTTTAACGATATCGTTGGAAAAGGGAATATCGTCATACAAAATCTGGACTGAAGCATTCTCACAAACTTCTTTGTGATGTGTGTCCTCAACTAACAGAGTTGAACTTTTCTTTTGATTCAGCAGTTTGGAAACACTGTTTTTGTAGAAACTGTAAGTGGATATTTGGATAGCTCTAACGATTTCGTTGGAAACGGGAATATCATCATCTAAAATCTAGACAGAAGCACTATTAGAAACTACTTGGTGATATCTGCATTCAAGTCACAGTGTTGAACATTCCCTTACTTTGAGCACGTTTGAAACACTCTTTTGGAAGAATCTGGAAGTGGACATTTGGAACGTTTTGATGCCTTTGGTGAAAAGGAAACGTCTTCCAATAAAAGCCAGACAGAAGCATTCTCAGAAACTTGTTTGTGATGTGTGTACTCAACTAAAAGAGTTGAACCTTTCTATTGATAGAGCAGTTTTGAAACACTCTTTTTGTGGATTCTGCAAGTGGATATTTGGATTGCTTTGAGGATTTCGTTGGAAGTGGGAATTCGCATAAAAACTAGACAGCAGCATTCCCAGAAATTTCTTTCGGATATTTCCATTCGACTCATAGAGATGAACATGGCCTTTCATAGAGCAGGTTTGAAACACTCTTTTTGTAGTTTGTGGAAGTGGACATTTCGATCGCCTTGACGCCTACGGTGAAAAAGGAAATATCTTCCCATAAAAAATAGACAGAAGCATTCTCACAAACTTGTTGGTGATATGTGTCCTCAACTAACAGAGTTGAACTTTGCCATTGATAGAGAGCAGTTTTGAAACACTCTTTTTGTGGAATCTGCAAGTGGATATTTGGATAGCTTGGAGGATTTCGTTGGAAGCGGGAATTCAAATAAAAGGTAGACAGCAGCATTCTCAGAAATTTCTTTCTGATGTCTGCATTCAACTCATAGAGTTGAAGATTCCCTTTCATAGAGCAGGTTTGAAACACTCTTTCTGGAGTATCTGGATGTGGACATTTGGAGCGCTTTGATGCTTACGGTGAAAAAGTATAATCTTCCCATAAAAACGAGACAGAAGGATTCTGAGAAACAAGTTTGTGATGTGTGTACTCAGCTAACAGATTGGAACCTCTCTTTTGATGCAGCAGTTTGGAAACACTCGTTTTGTAGAAACTGTAAGTGCATATTTGGATAGCTCTAATGATTTCGTTGGAAACGGGAATATCATCATCTAAAATCTAGACAGAAGCACTCTCAGAAACTACTTTGTGATATCTGCATTCAAGTCACAGAGTTGAACATTCGCTTTCTTAGAGCACGTTTGAAACACTCTTTTTGTAGTGTCTGGAAGTGGACATTTGGAGCGCTTTGTTTCCTTTGGTGAAAAAGGGAATGTCTACCCATAAAAACTAGACAGAAGCATTCTCAGAAACTTGTTTGTGATGTGTGTACCCAGCCAAAGGAGTTGAACATTTCTATTGATAGAGCAGTTTTGAAACACTCTTTTTGTGTAAAATGCAGGTGGATATTTGGATAGCTTGGAGGATTTCGTTGGAAGCGGGAATTCAAATAAAAGGTAGACAGCAGCATTCTCAGAAATTTCTTTCTGATGTCTGCATTCAACTCATAGAGTTGAAGATTCCCTTTCATAGAGCAGGTTTGAAACACTTGTTCTGGAGTATCTGGATGTGGACATTTGGAGCGCTTTGATGCCTACGGTGGAAAAGTAAATATCTTCCCATAAAAACGAGACAGAAGGATTCTCAGAATCAAGTTTGTGATGTGTGTACTCAGCTAACAGAGTGGAACCTTTCTTTTTACAGAGCAGCTTTGAAACTCTATTTTTGTGGATTCTGCAAATTGATATTTAGATTGCTTTAACGATATCGTTGGAAAAGGGAATATCGTCATACAAAATCTAGACAGAAGCATTCTCACAAACTTCTTTGTGATGTGTGTCCTCAACTAACAGAGTTGAACCTTTCTTTTGATGCAGCAGTTTGGAAACACCCTTTTGGTAGAAACTGTAAGTGGATATTTGGATAGCTCTAACGATTTCGTTGGAAACGGTAATATCATAATCTAAAATCTAGACAGAAGCACTATTAGAAACTACTTGGTGATATCTGCATTCAAGTCACAGAGTTGAACATTCCCTTACTTTGAGCACGTTTGAAACACTCTTTTGGAAGAATCTGGAAGTGGACATTTGGAGCGCTTTGATGCCTTTGGTGAAAAGGAAACATCTTCCAATAAAAGCCAGACAGAAGCATTCTCAGAAACTTGTTTGTGATGTGTGTACTCAACTAAAAGAGTTGAACCTTTCTATTGATAGAGCAGTTTTGAAACACTCTTTTTGTGGATTCTGCAAGTGGATATTTGGATTGCTTTGAGGATTTCGTTGGAAGCGGGAATTCGTATAAAAACTAGACAGCAGCATTCCCAGAAATTTCTTTCGGATATTTCCATTCGACTCATAGAGATGAACATGGCCTTTCATAGAGCAGGTTTGAAACACTCTTTTTGTAGTTTGTGGAAGTGGACATTTCGATCGCCTTGACGCCTACGGTGAAAAAGGAAATATCTTCCCATAAAAAATAGACAGAAGCATTCTCAGAAACTTGTTGGTGATATGTGTCCTCAACTAACAGAGTTGAACTTTGCCATTGATAGAGAGCAGTTTTGAAACACTCTTTTTGTGGAATCTGCAAGTGGATATTTGGATAGCTTGGAGGATTTCGTTGGAAGCGGGAATTCAAATAAAAGGTAGACAGCAGCATTCTCAGAAATTTCTTTCTGATGTCTGCATTCAACTCATAGAGTTGAACATTCCCTTTCATAGAGCAGGTTTGAAACACTCTTTCTGGAGTATCTGGATGTGGACATTTGGAGCGCTTTGATGCCTACGGCGAAAAAGTATAATCTTCCCATAAAAACGAGACAGAAGCTTTCTCAGAAAATTCTTTGTGATGTGTGTCCTCAACTAACAGAGTTGAACCTTTCTTTAGATGCAGCAGTTTGGAAACACTCTTTTTGTAGAAACTGTAAGTGGATATTTGGATAGGTCTAACGATATCGTTGGAAACGGGAATATCTTCATCTAAAGTATACACAGAAGCAGTCTCAGAAACTACATTGTGATATCTGCATTCCAGTCACAGAGTTGAAAACTCCCTTACTTAGAGCAGGTTTGAAACACTCTTTTTGTAGAATCTGGAAGTGGACATTTGGAACGCTTTGATGCCTTTGGTGAAAAAGGAAATGTCTTCCCTTAAAAAGTAGACAGAAGCATTCTCAGAAACTTGTTTGTGATGTGTGTACCCAGCCAAAGGAGTTGAACATTTCTATTGATAGAGCAGTTTTGAAACACTCTTGTTGTGGAAATTGCAGGTGGATATTTGGATAGCTTGGAGGATTTCGTTGGAAGCGGGAATTCAAATAAAAGGTAGACAGCAGCATTCTCAGAAATTTCTTTCTGATGTCTGCATTCAACTCATAGAGTTGAAGATTCCCTTTCATAGAGCAGGTTTGAAACACTCTTTCTGGAGTATCTGGATGTGGACATTTGGAGCGCTTTGATGCCTATGGTGAAAAAGTAAATATCTTCCCAGAAAAACGAGACAGAAGGATTCTCTGAAACAAGTTTGTGATGTGTGTACTCAGCTAACTGAGTGGAACCTTTCTTTTTACAGAGCAGCTTTGAAACTCTATTTTTGTGGATTCTGCAAATTGATATTTAGATTGCTTTAACGATATCGTTGGAAAAGGGAATATCGTCATACAAAATCTGGACAGAAGCATTCTCACAAACTTCTTTGTGATGTGTGTCCTCAACTAACAGAGTTGAACCTTTCTTTTGATGCAGCAGTTTGGAAACACTCTTTTTGTAGAAACTGTAAGTGGATATTTGGATAGCTCTAACGATTTCGCTGGAAACGGGAATATCGTCATCTAAAATCTAGACAGAAGCACTATTACAAACTACTTGGTGATATCTGCATTCAAGTCACAGAGTTGAACATTCCCTTACTTTGAGCACGTTTGAAACACTCTTTTGGAAGAATCTGGAAGTGGACATTTGGAGCGCTTTGATACCTTTGTTGAAAAGGAAACGTCTTCCAATAAAAGCCAGACAGAAGCATTCTCAGAAACTTGTTTGTGATGTGTGTACTCAACTAAAAGAGTTGAACCTTTCTATTGATAGAGCAGTTTTGAAACACTCTTTTTGTGGATTCTGCAAGTGGATATTTGGATTGCTTTGAGGATTTCGTTGGAAGCGGGAATTCGTATAAAAACTAGACAGCAGCATTCCCAGAAATTTCTTTCGGATATTTCCATTCGACTCATAGACATGAACATGGCCTTTCATAGAGCAGGTTTGAAACACTCTTTTTGTAGTTTGTGGAAGTGGACATTTCGATCGCCTTGACGCCTACGGTGAAAAAGGAAATATCTTCCCATAAAAAATAGACAGAAGCATTCTCAGAAACTTGTTGGTGATATGTGTCCTCAACTAACAGAGTTGAACTTTGCCATTGATAGAGAGCAGTTTTGAAACACTCTTTTTGTGGAATCTGCAAGTGGATATTTGGATAGCTTGGAGGATTTCGTTGGAAGCGGGAATTCAAATAAAAGGTAGACAGCAGCATTCTCAGAAATTTCTTTCTGATGTCTGCATTCAACTCATAGAGTTGAACATTCCCTTTCATAGAGCAGGTTTGAAACACTCTTTCTGGAGTATCTGGATGTGGACATTTGGAGCGCTTTGATGCCTACGGTGAGAAAGTAAATATCTTCCCATAAAAACGAGACAGAAGGATTCTGAGAAACAAGTTTGTGATGTGTGTACTCAGCTAACAGAGTGGAACCTCTCTTTTTGATGCAGCAGTTTGGAAACACTCTTTTTGTAGAAACTGTAAGTGGATATTTGGATAGCTCTAATGATTTCGTTGGAAACGGGAATATCATCATCTAAAATCTAGACAGAAGCCCTCTCAGAAACTACTTTGTGATATCTGCATTCAAGTCACAGAGTTGAACATTCGCTTTCTTAGAGCACGTTGGAAACACTCTTTTTGTAGTGTCTGGAAGTGGACATTTGGAGCGCTTTGATGCCTTTGGTGAAAAAGGGAATGTGTTCCCATAAAAACTAGACAGAAGCATTCCCAGAAACTTGTTTGTGATGTGTGTACCCAGCTAAAGGAGTTGAATTTTGCATTGATAGAGAGCAGTTTTGAAACCCTCTTTTTGTGGAAAATGCAAGTGGATATTTGTATAGCTTGGAGGATTTCGTTGGAAGCGGGAATTCAAATAAAAGGTAGACAGCAGCATTCTCAGAAATTTCTTTCTGATGTCTGCATTCAACTCATAGAGTTGAAGATTCCCTTTCATAGAGCAGGTTTGAAACAGTCTTTCTGGAGTATCTGGATGTGGACATTTGGAGCGCTTTGATGCCTACGGTGAAAAAGTAAATATCTTCCCATAAAAACGAGACAGAAGGATTCTCAGAAACAAGTTTGTGATGTGTGTACTCAGCTAACAGAGTGGAACCTTTCTTTTTACAGAGCAGCTTTGAAACTCTATTTTTCTGGATTCTGCAAATTGATATTTAGATTGCTTTAACGATATCGTTGGAAAAGGGAATATCGTCATACAAAATCTAGACAGAAGCATTCTCACAAACTTCTTTGTGGTGTGTGTCCTCAACTAACAGAGTTGAACCTTTTTTTTGATGCAGCAATTTGGAAACACCCTTTTTGTAGAAACTGTAACTGGATATTTGCTTAGCTCTAACGATTTCGTTGGAAACGGGAATATCATCATCTAAAATCTAGACAGAAGCACTATTAGAAACTACTTGGTGATATCTGCATTCAAGTCACAGAGTTGAACATTCCCTTACTTTGAGCACGTTTGAAACACTCTTTTGGAAGAATCTGGAAGTGGACATTTGGAGCGCTTTGATGCCTTTGGTGAAAAGGAAACGTCTTCCAATAAAAGCCAGACAGAAGCATTCTCAGAAACTTGTTTGTGATGTGTGTACTCAACTAAAAGAGTTGAACCTTTCTATTGATAGAGCAGTTTTGAAACACTCTTTTTGTGGATTCTGCAAGTGGATATTTGGATTGCTTTGAGGATTTCGTTGGAAGCGGGAATTCGTATAAACACTAGACAGCAGCATTCCCAGAATTTTCTTTCGGATATTTCCATTCAACTCATAGAGATGAACATGGCCTTTCATAGAGCAGGTTTGAAACACTCTTTTTGTAGTTTGTGGAAGTGGACATTTCGATCGCCTTGACGCCTACGGTGAAAAAGGAAATATCTTCCCATAAAAAATAGACAGAAGCATTCTCAGAAACTTGTTTGTGATGTGTGTACCTAGCTAAAGGAGTTGAACATTTCTATTGATAGAGCAGTTTTGAAACACTCTTTTTGTGGAAAATGCAGGTGGATATTTGGATAGGTTGGAAGATTTCGTTGGAAGCGGGAATTCAAATAAAAGGTAGACAGCAGCATTCTCAGAAATTTCTTTCTGATGTCTGCATTCAACTCATAGAGTTGAAGATTCCCTTTCGTAGAGCAGGTTTGAAACACTCTTTCTGGAGTATCTGGATGTGGACATTTGGAGCGCTTTGATGCCTACGGTGAAAAAGTAAATATCTTCCCATAAAAACGAGACAGAAGGATTGTGAGAAACAAGTTTGTGATGTGTGTACTCAGCTAACAGAGTGGAACCTCTCTTTTGATGCAGCAGTTTGGAAACTCTCTTTTTGTAGAAACTGTAAGTGGATATTTGGATAGCTCTAATGATTTCGTTGGAAACGGGAATATCATCATCTAAAATCTAGACAGAAGCCCTCTCAGAAACTACTTTGTGATATCTGCATTCAAGTCACAGAGTTGAACATTCTGCTTTCTTAGAGCACGTTTGAAACACTCTTTTTGTAGTGTCTGGAAGTGGACATTTGGAGCGCTTTGATGTCTTTGGTGAAAAAGGGAATGTCTTCCCATAAAAACTAGACAGAAGCATTCTCAGAAACTTGTTTGTGATGTGTGTACCCAGCCAAAGGAGTTGAACATTTCTATTGATAGAGCAGTTTTGAAACACTCTTGTTGTGGAAAATGCAAGTGGATATTTGGATAGCTTGGAGGATTTCGTTGGAAGCCGGAATTCAAATAAAAGGTAGACAGCCAGCATTCTCAGAAATTTCTTTCTGATGTCTGCATTCAACTCATAGAGTTGAAGATTCCCTTTCATTGAGCAGGTTTGAAACAGTCTTTCTGGAGTATCTGGATGTGGACATTTGGAGCGCTTTGATGCCTACGGTGAAAAAGTAAATATCTTCCCATAAAAACGAGACAGAGGAATCTCAGAAACAAGTTTGTGATGTGTGTACTCAGCTAACAGAGTGGAACCTTTCTTTTTACAGAGCAGCTTTGAAACTCTATTTTTGTGGATTCTGCAAATGGATATTTAGATTGCTTTAACGATATCGTTGGAAAAGGGAATATCATCATACAAAATCTGGACAGAAGCATTCTGACAAACTTCTTTGTGATGTGTGTCCTCAACTAACAGAGTTGAACCTTTCTTTTGATGCAGCAGTTTGGAAACACCCTTTTGGTAGAAACTGTAAGTGGATATTTGGATAGCTCTAACGATTTCGTTGGAAACGGGAATATCATCATCTAAAATCTAGACAGAAGCACTACTAGAAACTACTTGGTGATATCTGCATTCAAGTCACAGAGTTGAACATTCCCTTACTTTGAGCACGTTTCAAACACTCTTTTGGAAGAATCTGGAAGTGGACATTTGGAGCGCTTTGATGCCTTTGGTGAAAAGGAAACGTCTTCCAATAAAAGCCAGACAGAAGCATTCTCAGAAACTTGTTTGTGATGTGTGTACTCAACTAAAAGAGTTGAACCTTTCTATTGATAGAGCAGTTTTGAAACACTCTTTTTGTGGATTCTGCAAGTGGATATTTGGATTGCTTTGAGGATTTCGTTGGAAGCGGGAATTCGTATAAAAACTAGACAGCAGCATTCCCAGAAATTTCTTTCGGATATTTCCATTCGACTCATAGAGATGAACATGGCCTTTCATAGAGCAGGTTTGAAACACTCTTTTTGTAGTTTGTGGAAGTGGACATTTCGATCGCCTTGACCGCCCACGGTGAAAAAGGAAATATCTTCCCATAAAAAATAGACAGAAGCATTCTCAGAAACTTGTTGGTGATATGTGTCCTCAACTAACAGAGTTGAACTTTGCCATTGATAGAGAGCAGTTTTGAAACACTCTTTTTCCTGAATCTGCAAGTGGATATTTGGATAGTTTGGAGGATTTAGTTGGAAGCGGGAATTCAAATAAAAGGTAGACAGCAGCATTCTCAGAAATTTCTTTCTGATGTCTGCATTCAACTCATAGAGTTGAAGATTCCCTTTCATAGAGCAGGTTTGAAACACTCTTTCTGGAGTATCTGGATGTGGACATTTGGAGCGCTTTGATGCCTACGGTGAAAAAGTAAATATCTTCCCAGAAAAACGAGACAGAAGGATTCTCAGAAACAAGTTTGTGATGTGTGTACTCAGCTAACAGAGTGGAACCTTTCTTTTTACAGAGCAGCTTTGAAAGTCTATTTTTGTGGATTCTGCAAATTGATATTTAGATTGCTTTAACGATATCGTTGGAAAAGGGAATATCGTCATACAAAATCTAGACAGAAGCATTCTCACAAACTTCTTTGTGATGTGTGTCCTCAACTAACAGACTTGAACCTTTCTTTTGATGCAGCAGTTTGGAAACACCCTTTTGGTAGAAACTGTAACTGGATATTTGGATAGCTCTAACGATTTCGTTGGAAACGGGAATATCATCATCTAAAATCTAGACAGAAGCACTATTAGAAACTACTTGTGATATCTGCATGCAAGTCACAGAGTTGAACATTCCCTTACTTTGAGCACGTTTGAAACACTCTTTTGTAAGAATCTGGAAGTGGACGTTTGGAGCTCTTTGATGCCTTTGGTGAAAAGGAAACATCTTCCAATAAAAGCCAGAAAGAAGCATTCTCAGAAACTTCTTTGTGATGTGTGTACTCAACTAAAAGTGTTGAACCTTTCTATTGATAGAGCAGTTTTGCAACACTCTTTTTGTGGATTCTGCAAGTGGATATTTGGATTGCTTTGAGGATTTCGTTGGAAGCGGGAATTCGTATAAAAACTAGACAGCAGCATTTTCAGAAATTTCTTTCGGATATTTCCATTCAACTCATAGAGATGAACATGGCCTTTCATAGAGCAGGTTTGAAACACTCTTTTTGTAGTTTGTGGAAGTGGACATTTTGATCGCCTTGACGCCTATGGTGAAAAAGGGAATATCTTCCCATAAAAAATAGACAGAAGCATTCTCAGAAACTTGTTGGTGATATGTGTCCTCAACTAACAGAGTTGAACTTTGCCATTGATAGAGAGCAGTTTTGAAACACTCTTTTTGTGGAATCTGCAAGTGGATATTTGGATAGCTTGGAGGATTTCGTTGGAAGCGGGAATTCAAATAAAAGGTAGACAGCAGCATTCTCAGAAATTTCTTTCTGATGTCTGCATTCAACTCATAGAGTTGAACATTCCCTTTCATAGAGCAGGTTTGAAACACTCTTTCTGTAGTATCTGGATGTGGACATTTGGAGCGCTTTGATGCCTACGGTGAAAAAGTATAATCTTCCCATAAAAACGAGACAGAAGGATTCTCAGAAACAAGTTTGTGATGTGTGTACTCAGCTAACAGAGTGGAACCTCTCTTTTGATGCAGCAGTTTGGAAACACTCTTTTTGTAGAAACTGTAAGTGGATATTTGGATAGCTCTAATGATTTCGTTGGAAACGGGAATATCATCATGTAAAATCTAGACAGAAGCACTCTCAGAAACTACTTTGTGATATCTGCTTTCAAGTCACAGAGTTGAACATTCGTTTTCTTAGAGCACTTTTGAAACACTCTTTTTGTAGTATCTGGAAGTGGACATTTGGAGCTCTTTGATGCCTTTGGTGAAAAAGGAAATGTCTTCCCATAAAAACTAGACAGAATCATTCTCAGAAACTTGTTTGTGATGTGTGTACCCAGCCAAAGGAGTTGAACATTTCTATTGATAGAGCAGTTTTGAAACACTCTTTTTGTGGAAAATGCAAGTGGATATTTGGATAGCTTGGAGGATTTCGTTGGAAGCGGGAATTCAAATAAAAGGTAGACAGCAGGATTCTCAGAAACAAGTTTGTGATGTGTGTACTCAGCTAACAGAGTGGAACCTTTCTTTTTACAGAGCAGCTTTGTAACTCTATTTTTGTGGATTCTGCAAATTGATATTTAGATTGCTTTAACGATATCGTTGGAAAAGGGAATATCGTCATACAAAATCTAGACAGAAGCATTCTCGCAAACTTCTTTGTGATGTGTGTCCTCAACTAACAGAGTTGAACCTTTCTTTTGATGCAGCAATTTGGAAACACCCTTTTGGTAGAAACTGTAACTGGATATTTGGATAGCTCTAACGATTTCGTTGGAAACGGGAATATCATCATCTAAAATGTAGACAGAAGCACTATTAGAAACTACTTGGTGATATCTGCATTCAAGTCACAGAGTAGAACATTCCCTTACTTCGAGCACGTTTGAAACACTCTTTTGGAAGAATCTGGAAGTGGACATTTGGAGCGCTTTGATGCCTTTGGTGAAAAGGAAACGTCTTCCAATAAAAGCCAGACAGAAGCATTCTCAGAAACTTGGTTGTGATGTGTGTACTCAACTAAAAGAGTTGAACCTTTCTATTGATAGAGCAGTTTTGAAACACTCTTTTTGTGGATTCTGCAAGTGGATATTTGGATTGCTTTGAGGATTTCGTTGGAAGCGGGAATTCATATAAAAACTAGACAGCAGCATTCCCAGAAATTTCTTTCGGATATTTCCATTCAACTCATAGAGATGAACATCGCCTTTCATAGAGCAGGTTTGAAACACTCTTTTTGTAGTTTGTGGAAGTGGACATTTCGATCGCCTTGACGCCTACGGTGAAAAAGGAAATATCTTCCCATAAAAAATAGACAGAAGCATTCTCAGAAACTTGTTGGTGATATGTGTCCTCAACTAACAGAGTTGAACTTTGCCATTGATAGAGAGCAGTTTTGAAACACTCTTTTTGTGGAATCTGCAAGTGGATATTTGGATAGCTTGGAGGATTTCGTTGGAAGCGGGAATTCAAATAAAAGGTAGACAGCAGCATTCTCAGAAATTTCTTTCTGATGTCTGCATTCAACTCATAGAGTTGAAGATTCCCTTTCATAGAGCAGGTTTGAAACACTCTTTCTGGAGTATCTGGATGTGGACATTTGGAGCGCTTTGATGCCTACGGTGAAAAAGTAAATATCTTCCCATAAAAACGCGACAGAAGGATTCTCAGAAACAACTTTGTGATGTGTGTACTCAGCTAACAGAGTGGAACCTCTCTTTTGATGCAGCAGTTTGGAAACACTCTTTTTGTAGAAACTGTAAGTGGATATTTGGATAGCTCTAATGATTTCGTTGGAAACGGGAATATCATCATCTAAAATCTAGACAGAAGCCCTCTCAGAAACTACGTTGTGATATCTGCATTCAAGTCACAGAGTTGAATATTCGCTTTCTTAGAGCACGTTTGAAACACTCTTTTTGTAGTGTCTGGAAGTGGACATTTGGAGCGCTTTGATGCCTTTGGTGAAAAAGGGAATGTCTTCCCATAAAAACTAGACAGAAGCATTCTCAGAAACTTGTTTGTGATGTGTGTACCCAGCTAAAGGAGTTGAACATTTCTATTGATAGAGCAGTTTTGAAACACTCTTTTTGTGGAAAATGCAAGTGGATATTTGGATAGCTTGGAGGATTTCGTTGGAAGCAGGAATTCAAATAAAAGGTAGACAGCAGCATTCTCAGAAATTTCTTTCTGATGTCTGCATTCAACTCATAGAGTTGAAGATTCCCTTTCCTAGAGCAGGTTTGAAACACTCTTTCTGGAGTATCTGGATGTGGACATTTGGAGCGCTTTGATGCCTACGGTGAAAAAGTAAATATCTTCCCATAAAAACGAGACAGAAGGATTCTGAGAGACAAGTTTGTGATGTGTGTACTCCAGCTAACAGAGTGGAACCTTTCTTTTTACAGAGCAGCTTTGAAACTCTATTTTTGTGGATTCTGCAAATGGATATTTAGATTGCTTTAACGATATCGTTGGAAAAGGGAATATCGTCATACAAAATCTGGACAGAAGCATTCTCACAAACTTCTTTGTGATGTGTGTCCTCAACTAACAGAGTTGAACCTTTCTTTTGATGCAGCAGTTTGGAAACACTGTTTTTGTAGCAACTGTAAGGGGATATTTGGATAGCTCTAACGATTTCGTTGGAAACGGGAATATCATCATCTAAAATCTAGACAGAAGCACTATTAGCAAACTACTTGGTGATATCTGCATTCAAGTCACAGAGTTGAACATTCCCTTACTTTGAGCACGTTTCAAACACTCTTTTGGAAGAATCTGGAAGTGGACATTTGGAGCGCTTTGATGCCTTTGGTGAAAAGGAAACGTCTTCCAATAAAAGCCAGACAGAAGCATTCTCAGAAACTTGTTTGTGATGTGTGTACTCAACTAAAAGAGTTGAACCTTTCTATTGATAGAGCAGTTTTGAAACACTCTTTTTGTGGATTCTGCAAGTGGATATTTGGATTGCTTTGAGGATTTCGTTGGAAGCGGGAATTCGTATAAAAACTAGACAGCCAGCATTCCCAGGAAATTTCTTTCGGATATTTCCATTCAACTCATAGAGATGAACATGGCCTTTCATAGAGCAGGTTTGAAACACTCTTTTTGTAGTTTGTGGAAGTGGACATTTCGATCGCCTTGACGCCTACGGTGAAAAAGGAAATATCTTCCCATAAAAAATAGACAGAAGCATTCTCAGAAACTTGTTGGTGATATGTGTCCTCAACTAACAGAGTTGAACTTTGCCATTGATAGAGAGCAGTTTTGAAACACTCTTTTTGTGGAATCTGCAAGTGGATATTTGGATAGCTTGGAGGATTTCGTTGGAAGCGGGAATTCAAATAAAAGGTAGACAGCAGCATTCTCAGAAATTACTTTCTGATGTCTGCATTCAACTCATAGAGTTGAAGATTCCCTTTCATAGAGCAGGTTTGAAACACTCTTTCTGGAGTATCTGGATGTGGACATTTGGAGCGCTTTGATGCCTACGGTGAAAAAGTAAATATCTTCCCATAAAAACGAGACAGAAGCATTCTCACAAACTTCTTTGTGATGTGTGTCCTCAACTAACAGAGTTGAACTTTTCTTTTGATGCAGCAGTTTGGAAACACTCTTTTTGTAGAAACTGTAAGTGGATATTTGGATAGCTCTAATGATTTCGTTGGAAACGGGAATATCATCATCTAAAATCTAGACAGAAGCCCTCTCAGAAACTACTTTGTGATATCTGCATTCAAGTCACAGAGTTGAACATTCGCTTTCTTAGAGCACGTTGGAAACACTCTTTTTGTAGTGTCTGGAAGTGGACATTTGGAGCGCTTTGATGCCTTTGGTGAAAAAGGGAATATCTTCCCATAAAAACTAGACAGAAGCATTCTCAGAAACTTGTTTGTGATGTGTGTACCCAGCCAAAGGAGTTGAACATTTCTATTAATAGAGCAGTTTTGAAACGCTCTTTTTGTGGAAAATGCAGGTGGATATTTGGATAGCTTGGAGGATTTCGTTGGAAGCGGGAATTCAAATAAAAGGTAGACAGCCAGCATTCTCAGAAAATTTCCTTCTGATGTCTGCATTCAACTCATAGAGTTGAAGACTCCCTTTCATAGAGCAGGTTTGAAACACTCTTTCTGGAGTATCTGGATGTGGACATTTGGAGCGCTTTGATGCCTACGGTGAAAAAGTAAATATCTTCCCATAAAAACGAGACAGAGGATTCTGAGAAACAAGTTTGTGATGTGTGTACTCAGCTAACAGAGTGGAACCTTTCTTTTTACAGAGCAGCTTTGAAACTCTATTTTTGTGGATTCTGCAAATGGATATTTAGATTGCTTTAATGATATCGCTGGAAAAGGGAATATGGTCATACAAAATCTAGACAGGAAGCATTCTCACAAACTTCTTTGTGATGTGTGTCCTCAACTAACAGAGTTGAACTTTTCTTTTGATGCAGCAGTTTGGAAACACTCTTTTTATAGAAACTGTAAGTGGATATTTGGATAGCTCTAACGATTTCGTTGGAAACGGGAATATCATCATCTAAAATCTAGACAGAAGCACTATTAGAAACTACTTGGTGATATCTGCATTCAAGTCAAAGAGTTGAACATTCCCTTACTTTGAGCACGTTTGAAACACTCTTTTGGAAGAATCTGGAAGTGGACATTTGGAGCGCTTTGATGCCTTTGGTGAAAAGGAAACGTCTTCTAATAAAAGCCAGACAGAAGCATTCTCAGAAACTTGTTTGTGATGTGTGTACTCAACTAAAAGAGTTGAACCTTTCTATTGATAGAGCAGTTTTGAAACACTCTTTTTGTGGATTCTGCAAGTGGATATTTGGATTGCTTTGAGGATTTCGTTGGAAGCGGGAATTCGTATAAAAACTAGACAGCAGCATTCCCAGAAATTTCTTTCGGATATTTCCATTCGACTCATAGAGATGAACATGGCCTTTCGTAGAGCAGGTTTGAAACACTCTTTTTGTAGTTTGTGGAAGTGGACATTTCGATCGCCTTGACGCCTACGGTGAAAAAGGAAATATCTTCCCATAAAAAATAGACAGAAGCATTCTCAGAAACTTGTTGGTGATATGTGTCCTCAACTAACAGAGTTGAACTTTGCCATTGATAGAGAGCAGTTTTGAAACACTCTTTTTGTGGAATCTGCAAGTGGATATTTGGATAGCTTGGAGGATTTCGTTGGAAGCGGGAATTCAAATAAAAGGTAGACAGCAGGATTCTCAGAAACAAGTTTGTGATGTGTGTACTCAGCTAACAGAGTGGAACCTCTCTTTTTACAGAGCAGCTTTGAAACTCTATTTTTGTGGATTCTGCAAATTGATATTTAGATTGCTTTAACGATATCGTTGGAAAAGGGAATATCGTCATACAAAATCTAGACAGAAAGCATTCTCACAAACTTCTTTGTGATGTGTGTCCTCAACTAACAGAGTTGAACCTTTCTTTTGATGCAGCAGTTTGGAAACACTCTTTTTGTAGCAACTGTAAGTGGATATTTGGATAGCTCTAACGATTTCGTTGGAAACGGGAATATCATCATCTAAAATCTAGACAGAAGCACTATTAGAAACTACTTGGTGATATCTGCATTCAAGTCACAGAGTTGAACATTCCCTTACTTTGAGCACGTTTCAAACACTCTTTTGGAAGAATCTGGAAGTGGACATTTGGAGCGCTTTGATGCCTTTGGTGAAAAGGAAACGTCTTCCAATAAAAGCCAGACAGAAGCATTCTCAGAAACTTGTTTGTGATGTGTGTACTCAACTAAAAGAGTTGAACCTTTCTATTGATAGAGCAGTTTTGAAACACTCTTTTTGTGGATTCTGCAAGTGGATATTTGGATTGCTTTGAGGATTTCGTTGGAAGCGGGAATTCGTATAAAAACTAGACAGCAGCATTCCCAGAAATTTCTTTCGGATATTTCCATTCGACTCATAGAGATGAACATGGCCTTTCATAGAGCAGGTTTGAAACACTCTTTTTGTAGTTTGTGGAAGTGGACATTTCGATCGCCTTGACGCCTACGGTGAAAAAGGAAATATCTTCCCATAAAAAATAGACAGAAGCATTCCCAGAAATTTCTTTCGGATATTTCCATTCGACTCATAGAGATGAACATGGCCTTTCATAGAGCAGGTTTGAAACACTCTTTTTGTAGTTTGTGGAAGTGGACATTTCGATCGCCTTGACGCCTACGGTGAAAAAGGAAATATCTTCCCATAAACTAACAGAGCATTCTCAGAAATTTCTTTCTGATGTCTCCATTCAACTCATAGAGTTGAAGATTCCCTTTCATAGAGCAGGTTTGAAACACTCTTTCTGGAGTATCTGGATGTGGACATTTGGAGCGCTTTGATGCCTACGGTGAAAAAGTAAATATCTTCCCATAAAAACGAGACAGAAGGATTCTCAGAAACAAGTTTGTGATGTGTGTACTCAGCTAACAGAGTGGAACCTTTCTTTTTACAGAGCAGCTTTCAAACTCTATTTTTGTGGATTCTGCAAATTGATATTTAGATTGCTTTAACGATATCGTTGGAAAAGGGAATATTGTCATACAAACTCTGGACAGAAGCATTCTCACAAAACTTCTTTGTGATGTGTGTCCTCAACTAACAGAGTTGAACCTTTCTTTTGATGCAGCAGTTTGGAAACACTCTTTTTGTAGAAACTGTAAGTGGATATTTGGATAGCTCTAACGATTTCGTTGGAAACGGGAATATCATCATCTAAAATCTAGACAGAAGCACTATTAGAAACTACTTGGTGATATCTGCATTCAAGTCACAGAGTTGAACATTCCCTTACTTTGAGCACGTTTCAAACACTCTTTTGGAAGAATCTGGAAGTGGACATTTGGAGCGCTTTGATGCCTTTGGTGAAAAGGAAACGTCTTCCAATAAAAGCCAGACAGAAGCATTCTCAGAAACTTGTTTGTGATGTGTGTACTCAACTAAAAGAGTTGAACCTTTCTATTGATAGAGCAGTTTTGAAACACTCTTTTTGTGGATTCTGCAAGTGGATATTTGGATTGCTTTGAGGATTTCGTTGGAAGCGGGAATTCGTATAAAAACTAGACAGCAGCATTCCCAGAAATTTCTTTCGGATATTTCCATTCAACTCATAGAGATGAACATGGCCTTTCATATTGAAACACTCTTTTTGTAGTTTGTGGAAGTGGACATTTCGATCGCCTTGACGCCTGTGGTGAAAAAGGAAATATCTTCCCATAAAAAATAGACAGAAGCATTCTCAGAAACTTGTTGGTGATATGTGTCCTCAACTAACAGAGTTGAACTTTGCCATTGATAGAGAGCAGTTTTGAAACACTCTTTTTGTGGAATCTGCAAGTGGATATTTGGATAGCTTGGAGGATTTCGTTGGAAGCGGGAATTCAAATAAAAGGTAGACAGCAGCATTCTCAGGAAATTTCTTTCTGATGTCTGCATTCAACTCATAGAGTTGAAGATTCCCTTTCATAGAGCAGGTTTGAAACACTCTTTCTGGAGTATCTGGATGTGGACATTTGGAGCGCTTTGATGCCTACGGTGGAAAAGTAAATATCTTCCCATAAAAACGAGACAGAAGGATTCTGAGAAACAAGTTTGTGATGTGTGTACTCGGCTAACAGAGTGGAACCTCTCTTTTGATGCAGCAGTTTGGAAACACTCTTTTTATAGAAACTGTAAGTGGATATTTGGATAGCTCTAATGATTTCGTTGGAAACGGGAATATCATCATCTAAAATCTAGACAGAAGCCCTCTCAGAAACTACTTTGTGATATCTGCATTCAAGTCACAGAGTTTAACATTCGCTTTCTTAGAGCACGTTTGAAACACTCTTTTTGTAGTGTCTGGAAGTGGACATTTGGAGCGCTTTGATGCCTTTGGTGAAAAAGGGAATGTCTTCCCATAAAAACTAGACAGAAGCATTCTCAGAAACTTGTTTGTGATGTGTGTACCCAGCCAAAGGAGTTGAACATTTCTATTGATAGAGCAGTTTTGAAACACTCTTTTTGTGGAAAATGCAGGTGGATATTTGGATAGCTTGGAGGATTTCGTTGGAAGCAGGAATTCAAATAAAAGGTAGACAGCAGCATTCTCAGAAATTTCTTTCTGATGTCTGCATTCAACTCATAGAGTTGAAGATTCCCTTTCATAGAGCAGGTTTGAAACACTCGTTCTGGAGTATCTGGATGTGGACATTTGGAGCGCTTTGATGCCTACGGTGGAAAATTATATATCTTCCCATAAAAACGAGACAGAAGGATTCTCAGAAACAAGTTTGTGATGTGTGTACTCAGCTAACAGAGTGGATCCTTTCTTTTTACAGAGCAGCTTTGAAATTCTATTTCTGTGGATTCTGCAAATTGATATTTGGGTTGATTTAACGACATCGTTGGAAAAGGGAATATCTTCATACAAAATCTAGACAGAAGTATTCTCACAAACTTCTTTGTGATGTGTGTCCTCAACTAACAGAGTTGAACCTTTCTTTTGATGCAGCAGTTTGGAAACACCCTTTTGGTAGAAACTGTAAGTGGATATTTGGATAGCTCTAACGATTTCGTTGGAAACGGGAATATCATCATCTAAAATCTAGACAGAAGCACTATTAGAAACTACTTGGTGATATCTGCATTCAAGTCACAGAGTTGAACATTCCCTTACTTCGAGCACGTTTGAAACACTCTTTTGGAAGTATCTGGAAGTGGACATTTGGAGCGCTTTGATGCCTTTGGTGAAAAGGAAACGTCTTCCAATAAAAGCCAGACAGAAGCATTCTCAGAAACTTGTTCGTGATGTGTGTACTCAACTAAAAGAGTTGAACCTTTCTATTGATAGAGCAGTTTTGAAACACTCTTTTTGTGGATTCTGCAAGTGGATATTTGGATTGCTTTGAGGATTTCTTTGGAAGCGGGAATTCGTATAAACACTAGACAGCAGCATTCCCAGAAATTTCTTTCGGATATTTCCATTCAACTCATAGAGATGAACATGGCCTTTCATAGAGCAGGTTTGAAACACTCTTTTTGTAGTTTGTGGAAGTGGACATTTCGATCGCCTTGACGCCTACGGTGAAAAAGGAAATATCTTCCCATAAAAAATAGACAGAAGCATTCTCAGAAACTTGTTGGTGATATGTGTCCTCAACTAACAGAGTTGAACTTTGCCATTGATAGAGAGCAGTTTTGAAACACTCTTTTTGTGGAATCTGCAAGTGGATATTTGGATAGCTTGGAGGATTTCGTTGGAAGCGGGAATTCAAATAAAAGGTAGACAGCAGCATTCTCAGAAATTTCTTTCTGATGTCTGCATTCAACTCATAGAGTTGAAGATTCCCTTTCATAGAGCAGGTTTGAAACACTCTTTCTGGAGTATCTGGATGTGGACATTTGGAGCGCTTTGATGCCTACGATGAAAAAGTAAATATCTTCCCAGAAAAACGAGACAGAAGGATTCTGAGAAACAAGTTTGTGATGTGTGTACTCAGATAACAGAGTGGAACCTCTCTTTTGATGCAGCAGTTTGGAAACACTCTTTTTGCAGAAACTGTAAGTGGATATTTGGATAGCTCTAATGATTTCGTTGGAAACGGGAATATCATCATCTAAAATCTAGACAGAAGCACTCTCAGAAACTACTTTGTGATATCTGCATTCAAGTCACAGAGTTGAACATTCGCTTTCTTAGAGCACGTTTGAAACACTCTTTTTGTAGTGTCTGGAAGTGGACATTTGGAGCGCTTTGATGGCTTTGGTGAAAAAGGGAACGTCTTCCCATAAAAACTAGACAGAAGCATTCTCAGAAACTTGTTTGTGATGTGTGTACCCAGCCAAAGGAGTTGAACGTTTCTATTGATAGAGCAGTTTTGAAACACTCTTGTTGTGGAAAATGCAAGTGGATATTTGGATAGTTTGGAGGATTTCGTTGGAAGCGGGAATTCAAATAAAAGGTAGACAGCAGCATTCTCAGAAATTTCTTTCTGATGTCTGCATTCAACTCATAGAGTTGAAGATTCCCTTTCATAGAGTAGGTTTGAAACACTCGTTCTGGAGTATCTGGATGTGGACATTTGGAGAGCTTTGATGCCTACGGTGAAAAAGTAAATATCTTCCCATAAAAACGAGACAGAAAGGATTCTGAGAAACAAGTTTGTGATGTGTGTACTCAGCTAACAGAGTGGAACCTTTCTTTTTACAGAGCAGCTTTGAAACTCTATTTTTGTGGATTCTGCAAATGGATATTTAGATTGCTTTAACGATATCGTTGGAAAAGGGAATATCGTCATACAAAATCTAGACAGAGCATTCTCACAAACTTCTTTGTGATGTGTGTCCTCAACTAACAGAGTTGAACCTTTCTTTTGATGCAGCAATTTGGAAACACCCTTTTGGTAGAAACTGTAACTGGATATTTGCTTAGCTCTAACGATTCCGTTGGAAACGGGAATATCATCATCTAAAATCTAGACAGAAGCACTATTAGAAACTACTTGGTGATATCTGCATTCAAGTGACAGAGTTGAACATTCCCTTACTTTGAGCACGTTTGAAACACTCTTTTGGAAGAATCTGGAAGTGGACATTTGGAGCGCTTTGATGCCTTTGTTGAAAAGGAAACGTCTTCCAATAAAAGCCAGACAGAAGCATTCTCAGAAACTTGTTCGTGAAGTGTGTACTCAACTAAAAGAGTTGAACCTTTCTATTGATAGAGCAGTTTTGAAACACTCTTTTTGTGGATTCTGCAAGTGGATATTTGGATTGCTTTGAGGATTTCGTTGGAAGCGGGAATTCGTATAAACACTAGACAGCAGCATTCCCAGATATTTCTTTCGGATATTTCCATTCAACTCATAGAGATGAACATGGCCTTTCATAGAGCAGGTTTGAAACACTCTTTTTGTAGTTTGTGGCAGTGGACATTTCGATCTCCTTGACGCCTACGGTGAAAAAGGAAATATCTTCCCATAAAAAATAGACAGAAGCATTCTCAGAAACTTGTTGGTGATATGTGTCCTCAACTAACAGAGTTGAACTTTGCCATTGATAGAGAGCAGTTTTGAAACACTCTTTTTGTGGAATCTGCAAGTGGATATTTGGATAGCTTGGAGGATTTCGTTGGAAGCGGGAATTCAAATAAAAGGTAGACAGCAGCATTCTCAGAAATTTCTTTCTGATGTCTGCATTCAACTCATAGAGTTGAAGATTCCCTTTCATAGAGCAGGTTTGAAACACTCGTTCTGGAGTATCTGGATGTGGACATTTGGAGCGCTTTGATGCCTACGGTGCAAAAGTAAATATCTTCCCATAAAAACGAGACAGAAGGATTCTGAGAAACAAGTTTGTGATGTGTGTACTCAGCTAACAGAGTGGAACCTCTCTTTTGATGCAGCAGTTTGGAAACACTCTTTTTGTAGAAAGTGTAAGTGGATATTTGGATAGCTCTAATGATTTCGTTGGAAACGGGAATATCATCATCTAAAATCTAGACAGAAGCACTCTCAGAAACTACTTTGTGATATCTGCATTCAAGTCACAGAGTTGAACATTCGCTTTCTTAGAGCACGTTTGAAACACTCTTTTTGTAGTCTCTGGAAGTGGACATTTGGAGCGCTTTGATGCCTTTGGTGAAAAAGGGAATGTCTTCCCATAAAAACTAGACAGAAGCATTCTCAGAAACTTGTTTGTGATGTGTGTACCCAGCCAAAGGAGTTGAACATTTCTATTGATAGAGCAGTTTTGAAACACTCTTGTTGTGGAAAATGCAAGTGGATATTTTGATAGCTTGGAGGATTTCGTTGGAAGCGGGAATTCAAATAAAAGGTAGACAGCAGCATTCTCAGAAATTACTTTCTGATGTCTGCATTCAACTCATAGAGTTGAAGATTCCCTTTCATAGAGCAGGTTTGAAACACTCTTTCTGTAGTATCTGGATGTGGACTTTTGGAGCGCTTTGATACCTACGGTGAAAAAGTAAATATCTTCCCATAAAAAGTAGACAGAAGGATATTCAGAAACAAGTTTGTGATATGTGTACTCAGCTAACAGAGTGTATCCTTTCTTTTTACAGAGCAGCTTTGAGACTCTATTTCTGTGGATTCTGCAAATTGATATTTGGGTTGATTTAACGATATCGTTGGAAAAGGGAATATCTTCATACAAAATCTAGACAGATAAGCATTCTCACAAACTTCTTTGTGATGTGTGTCCTCAACTAACAGAGTTGAACCTTTCTTTTGATGCAGCAATTTGGAAGCACCCTTTTGGTAGAAACTGTAACTGGATATTTGGATAGCTCTAACGATTTCGTTGGAAACGGGAATATCATCATCTAAAATGTAGACAGAAGCACTATTAGAAACTACTTGGTGATATTTGCATTCAAGTCACAGAGTTGAACATTCCCTTACTTCGACCACGTTTGAAACACTCTTTTGGAAGAATCTGGAAGTGGACATTTGGAGCGCTTTGATGCCTTTGGTGAAAAGGAAACGTCTTCCAATAAAAGCCAGACAGAAGCATTCTCAGAAACTTGTTCGTGATGTGTGTACTCAACTAAAAGAGTTGAACCTTTCTATTGATAGAGCAGTTTTGAAACACTCTTTTTGTGGATTCTGCAAGTGGATATTTGGATTGCTTTGAGGATTTCGTTGGAAGCGGGAATTCGTATAAACACTAGACAGCAGCATTCCCAGAAATTTCTTTCGGATATTTCCATTCAACTCATAGAGATGAACATGGCCTTTCATAGAGCAGGTTTGAAACACTCTTTTTGTAGTTTGTGGAAGTGGACATTTCGATCGCGTTGACGCCTACGCTGAAAAAGGAAATATCTTCCCATAAAAAATAGACAGAAGCATTCTCAGAAACTTGTTGGTGATATGTGTCCTCAACTAACAGAGTTGAACTTTGCCATTGATAGAGAGCAGTTTTGAAACACTCTTTTTGTGGAATCTGCAAGTGGATATTTGGATAGCTTGGAGGATTTCGTTGGAAGCGGTAATTCAAATAAAAGGTAGACAGCAGCATTCTCAGAAATTTCTTTCTGATGTCTGCATTCAACTCATAGAGTTGAAGATTCCCTTTCATAGAGCAGGTTTGAAACACTCTTTCTGGAGTATCTGGATGTGGACATTTGAAGCGCTTTGATGCCTACGGTGAGAAAGTAAATATCTTCCCATAAAAACGAGACAGAAGGATTCTGAGAAGCAAGTTTGTGATGTGTGTACTCAGCTAACAGAGTGGAACCTCTCTTTTGATGCAGCAGTTTGGAAACACTCTTTTTGTAGAAACTGTAAGTGGATATTTGGATAGCTCTAACGATTTCGTTGGAAACGGGAATATCATCATCTAAAATCTAGACAGAAGCCCTCTCAGAAACTACTTTGTGATATCTGCATTCAAGTCACAGAGTTGAACATTCGCTTTCTTAGAGCACGTTTGAAACACTCTTTTTGTAGTGTCTGGAAGTGGACATTTGGAGCGCTTTGATTCCTTTGGTGAAAAAGGGAACGTCTTCCCATAAAAACTAGACAGAAGCTTTCTCAGAAACTTGTTTGTGATGTGTGTACCCAGCGAAAGGATTTGAACATTTCTATTGATAGAGCAGTTTTGAAACACTCTTTTTGTGGAATCTGCAAGTGGATATTTGGATAGCTTGGAGGTTTTCGTTGGAAGCGGGAATTCAAATAAAAGGTAGACAGCAGCATTCTCAGAAATTTCTTTCTGATGTCTGCATTCAACTCATAGTAGTTGAAGATTCCCTTTCATAGAGCAGGTTTGAAACACTCTTTCTGGAGTATCTGGATGTGGACATTTGGAGCGCTTTGATGCCTACGGTGAAAAAGTAAATATCTTCCCATAAAAACGACACAGAAGGATTCTCAGAAACAAGTTTGTGATGTGTGTACTCAGCTAACAGAGTGGAACCTCTCTTTTGATGCAGCAGTTTGGAAACACTCTTTTTGTAGAAACTGTAAGTGGATATTTGGATAGCTCTAATGATTTCGTTGGAAACGGGAATATCATCATCTAAAATCTAGACAGAAGCAGTCTCAGAAACTACTTTGTGATATCTGCATTCCAGTCACAGAGTTGAAAACTCCCTTACTTAGAGCAGGTTTGAAACACACTTTTTGTAGAATCTGGAAGTGGATATTTGGAGTGCTTTGATGCCTTTGGTGAAAAAGGAAATGTCTTCCCTTAAAAAGTAGACAGAAGCTTTCTCAGAAACTTGTATGTGATGTGTGTACTCAACTAAAAGAGTTGAACCTTTCTATTGATAGAGCAGTTTTGAAACACTCTTTTTGTGGAATCTGCAAGTGGATATTTGGATTGCTTTGAGGACTTCGTTGGAAGCGGGAATTCATAAAAAAGTAGACAGCAGCATTCTCAGAAATTTCTTTCTGATGTCTGCATTCAACTCATAGAGTTGAAGATTCCCTTTCATAGAGCAGGTTTGAAACAGTCTTTCTGGTGTATCTGGATGTGGACATTTGGAGCGCTTTGATGCCTACGGTGAAAAAGTAAATATCTTCCCATAAAAACGAGACAGAAGGATTCTGAGAAACAAGTTTGTGATGTGTGTACTCAGCTAACAGAGTGGAACCTTTCTTTTTACAGAGCAGCTTTGAAACTCTATTTTTGTGGATTCTACAAATTGATATTTAGATTGCTTTAACGATATCGTTGGAAAAGGGAATATGGTCATACAAAATCTAGACAGAAGCATTCTCACAAACTTCTTTGTGATGTGTGTCCTCAACTAACAGAGTTGAACCTTTCTTTTGATGCAGCAGTTTGGAAACACTCTTTTTGTAGAAACTGTAAGTGGATATTTGGATAGCTCTAACGATTTCGCTGGAAACGGGAATATCGTCATCTAAAATCTAGACAGAAGCACTATTAGAAACTACTTGGTGATATCTGCATTCAAGTCAAAGAGTTGAACATTCCCTTACTTTGAGCACGTTTGAAACACTCTTTTGGAAGAATCTGGAAGTGGACATTTGGAGCGCTTTGATGCCTTTGGTGAAAAGGAAACGTCTTCCAATAAAAGCCAGACAGAAGCATTCTCAGAAACTTGTTTGTGATGTGTGTACTCAACTAAAAGAGTTGAACCTTTCTATTGATAGAGCAGTTTTGAAACACTCTTTTTGTGGATTCTGCAAGTGGATATTTGGATTGCTTTGAGGATTTCGTTGGAAGCGGGAATTCGTATAACAACTAGACAGCAGCATTCCCAGAAATTTCTTTCGGATATTTCCATTCAACTCATAGAGATGAACATGGCCTTTCATAGAGCAGGTTTGAAACACTCTTTTTGTAGTTTGTGGAAGTGGACATTTCGATCGCCTTGACGCCTACGGTGAAAAAGGAAATATCTTCCCATAAAAAATAGACAGAAGCATTTTCAGAAACTCGTTGGTGATATGTGTCCTCAACTAACAGAGTTGAACTTTGCCATTGATAGAGAGCAGTTTTGAAACACTCTTTTTGTGGAATCTGCAAGTGGATATTTTGATAGCTTGGAGGATTTCGTTGGAAGCGGAAATTCAAATAAAAGGTAGACAGCCAGCATTCTCAGAAATTTCTTTCTGATGTCTGCATTCAACTCATAGAGTTGAACATTCCCTTTCATAGAGCAGGTTTGAAATACTCTTTCTGTGGTATCTGGATGTGGACATTTGGAGCGCTTTGAGGCCTACGGTGAAAAAGTAAATATCTTCCCATAAAAACGAGACAGAGGATTCTGAGAAACAAGTTTGTGATGTGTGTACTCAGCTAACAGAGTGGAACCTCTCTTTTGATGCAGCAGTTTGGAAACACTCTTTTTGTAGAA
Organism: Homo sapiens; assembly: GCF_000001405.40. Taxonomy (NCBI): domain Eukaryota; kingdom Metazoa; phylum Chordata; class Mammalia; order Primates; family Hominidae; genus Homo; species Homo sapiens. The sequence continues at coordinate 14,579,027 of NC_000022.11, forward strand.
ACTGTAAGTAGATATTTGGATAGCTCTAACGATTTCGTTGGAAACGGGAATATCATCATCTAAAATCTAGACAGAAGCCCTCTCAGAAACTACTTTGTGATATCTGCATTCAACTCACAGAGTTGAACATTCGGTTTCTTAGAGCACGTTTGAAACACTCTTTTTGTAGTGTCTGGAAGTCGACATTTGGAGCGCTTTGATGCCTTTGGTGAAAAAGGGAATGTCTTCCCATAAAAACTAGACAGAAGCATTCTCAGAAACTTGTTTGTGATGTGTGTACCCAGAAAAAAGGAGTTGAACATTTCTATTGATAGAGCAGTTTTGAAACACTCTTTTTGTGGAAAATGCAGGTGGATATTTGGATAGCTTGGAGGATTTCGTTGGAAGCGGGAATTCAAATAAAAGGTAGACAGCAGCATTCTCAGAAATTTCTTTCTGATGTCTGCATTCAACTCATAGAGTTGAAGATTCCCTTTCATAGAGCAGGTTTGAAAAACTCTTTCTGGAGTATCTGGATGTGGACATTTGGAGCGCTTTGATGCCTACGGTGAAAAAGTAAATATCTTCCCATAAAAACGAGACAGAAGGATTCTCAGAAACAAGTTTGTGATGTGTGTACTCAGCTAACTGAGTGGAACCTTTCTTTTTACAGAGCAGCTTTGAAACTCTATTTTTGTGGATTCTGCAAATGGATATTTAGATTGCTTTAACGATATCGTTGGAAAAGGGAATATCGTCATACAAAATCTGGACAGAAGCATTCTCACAAACTTCTTTGTGATGTGTGTCCTCAACTATCAGAGTTGAACCTTTCTTTTGATGCAGCGGTTTGGAAACACTCTTTTTGTAGAAACTGTAAGTGGATATTTGGATAGCTCTAATGATTTCGTTGGAAACGGGAATATCATCATCTAAAATCTAGACAGAAGCACTATTAGAAACTACTTGGTGATACCTGCATTCAAGTCACAGAGTTGAACATTCCCTTACTTCGACCACGTTTGAAACACTCTTTTGGAAGAATCTGGAAGTGGACATTTGGAGCGCTTTGATGCCTTTGGTGAAAAGGAAACGTCTTCCAATAAAAGCCAGACAGAAGCATTCTCAGAAACTTGTTTGTGATGTGTGTACTCAATTAAAAGAGTTGAACCTTTCTATTAATAGTGTAGTTTTGAAACACTCTTTTTGTGGATTCTGCAAGTGGATATTTGGATTGCTTTGAGGATTTCGTTGGAAGCGGGAATTCGTATAAAAACTAGACAGCAGCATTCCCAGAAATTTCTTTCGGATATTTCCATTCAACTCATAGAGATGAACATGGCCTTTCATAGAGCAGGTTTGAAACACTCTTTTTGTAGTTTGTGGAAGTGGACATTTCGATCGCCTTGACGCCTACGCTGAAAAAGGAAATATCTTCCCATAAAAAATAGACAGAAGCATTCTCAGAAACTTGTTGGTGATATGTGTCCTCAACTAACAGAGTTGAACTTTGCCATTGATAGAGAGCAGTTTTGAAACACTCTTTTTGTGGAATCTGCGAGTGGATATTTGGATAGTTTGGAGGATTTCGTTGGAAGCGGGAATTCAAATAAAAGGTAGACAGCAGCATTCTCAGAAATTTCTTTCTGATGTTTGCATTCAACTCATAGAGTTGAACATTCCCTTTAATAGAGCAGGTTTGAAACACTCTTTCTGTACTATCTGGATGTGGACATTTGGAGCGCTTTGACGCCTACGGTGAAAAAGGAAATGTCTTCCCATAAAAAATTGAAGAAGGATTCTGAGAAACAAGTTTGTGATGTGTGTACTCAGCTAAGAGTGTGGAACCTCTCTTTTGATGCAGCAGTTTGGAAACACTCTTTTTGTAGAAACTATAAGTGGATATTTGGATAGCTGTAATGATTTCGTTGGAAACGGGAATATCATCATCTAAAATCTAGACAGAAGCCCTCTCAGAAACTACTTTGTGATATCTGCATTCAAGTCACAGAGTTGAACATTCGCTTTCTTAGAGCACGTTTGAAACACTCTTTTTGTAGTGTCTGGAAGTGGACATTTGGAGCGCTTTGATGCCTTTGGTGAAAAAGTGAATGTCTTCCCATAAAAACTAGACAGAAGCATTCTCAGAAACTTGTTTGTGATGTGTGTACCCAGCCAAAGGAGTTGAACATTTCTATTGATAGAGCAGTTTTGAAACACTCTTTTTGTGGAAAATGCAAGTGGATATTTGGATAGCTTGGAGGATATCGTTGGAAGCGGGAATTCAAATAAAAGGTAGACAGCAGCATTCTCAGAAATTTCTTTCTGATGTCTGCATTCAACTCGTAGAGTTGAAGATTCCCTTTCATAGAGCAGGTTTGAAACACTCTTTCTGGAGTATCTGGATGTGGACATTTGGAGCGCTTTGATGCCTACGGTGAAAAAGTAAATATCTTCCCATAAAAACGAGACAGAAGGATTCTCAGAAACAAGTTTTTGATGTGTGTACTCAGCCAAAAGAGTGGAACCTTTCTTTTTACAGAGCAGCTTTGAAACTGTATTTTTGTGGATTCTGCAAATTTATATTTAGATTGTTTTAACGATATCGTTGGAAAAGGGAATATCGTCATACAAAATCTAGACAGAAGCATTCTCACAAACTTCTTTGTGATGTGGGTCCTCAACTAACAGAGTTGAACCTTTCTTTTGATGCAGCAATTTGGAAACACCCTTTTGGTAGAAACTGTAACTGGATATTTGGATAGCTCTAACGATTTCGTTGGAAACGGGAATATGATCATCTAAAATCTAGACAGAAAGCACTATTAGAAACTACTTGGTGATATCTGCATTCAAGTCACAGAGTTGAACATTCCCTTACTTTGAGCACGTTTGAAACACTCTTTTGGAAGAATCTGGAAGTGGACATTTGGAGCGCTTTGATGCCTTTGGTGAAAAGGAAACGTCTTCCAATAAAAGCCAGACAGAAGCATTCTCAGAAACTTGTTTGTGATGTGTGTACTCAACTAAAAGAGTTGAACCTTTCTATTGATAGAGCAGTTTTGAAACACTCTTTTTGTGGATTCTGCAAGTGGATATTTGGATTGCTTTGAGGATTTCGTTGGAAGCGGGAATTCGTATAAAAACTAGACAGCAGCATTCCCAGAAATTTCTTTCGGATATTTCCATTCGACTCATAGAGATGAACATGGCCTTTCATAGAGCAGGTTTGAAACACTCTTTTTGTAGTTTGTGGAAGTGGACATTTTGATCGCCTTGACGCCTACGGTGAAAAAGGAAATATCTTCCCATAAAAAATAGACAGAAGCATTCTCAGAAACTTGTTGGTGATATGTGTCCTCAACTAACAGAGTTGAACTTTGCCATTGATAGAGAGCAGTTTTAAAACACTCTTTGTGTGGAATCTGCAAGTGGATATTTGGATAGCTTGGAGGATTTCGTTGGAAGCGGGAATTCAAATAAAAGGTAGACAGCAGCATTCTCAGAAATATCTTTCTGATGTCTGCATTCAACTCATAGAGTTGAAGATTCCCTTTCATAGAGCAGGTTTGAAACACTCTTTCTGGAGTATCTGGATGTGGACATTTGGAGCGCTTTGATGCCTACGGTGAAAAAGTAAATATCTTCCCATAAAAAGGAGACAGAAGGATTCTGAGAAACAAGTTTGTGATGTGTGTACTCAGCTAACAGAGTGGAACCTCTCTTTTGATGCAGCAGTTTGGAAACACTCTTTTTGTAGAAACTGTAAGTGGATATTTGGATAGCTCTAATCATTTCGTTGGAAACGGGAATATCATCATCTAAAATCTAGACAGAAGCACTCTCAGAAACTACTTTGTGATATGTGCATTCAAGTCACAGAGTTGAACATTCGCTTTCTTAGAGCACGTTGGAAACACTCTTTTTGTAGTGTCTGGAAGTGGACATTTGGAGCGCTTTGATGCCTTTGGTGAAAAAGGGAACGTCTTCCCATAAAAACTAGACAGAAGCATTCTCAGAAACTTGTTTGTGATGTGTGTACCCAGCCAAAGGAGTTGAACATTTCTATTGATAGAGCAGTTTTGAAACACTCGTTTTGTGGAAAATGCAGGTGGATATTTGGATAGCTTGGAGGATTTCGTTGGAAGCGGGAATTCAAATAAAAGGTAGACAGCAGCATTCTCAGAAATTACTTTCTGATGTCTGCATTCAACTCATAGAGTTGAAGATTCCCTTTCATAGAGCAGGTTTGAAACACTCTTTCTGTAGTATCTGGATGTGGACATTTGGAGCGCTTTGATATCTACGGTGAAAAAGTAAATATCTTCCCATAAAAACTAGACAGAAGGATTCTCAGAAACAAGTTTGTGATGTGTGTACTCAGCTAACAGAGTGGAACCTTTCTTTTTACAGAGCAGCTTTCAAACTCTATTTTTGTGGATTCTGCAAATTGATATTTAGATTGCTTTAACGATATCGTTGGAAAAGGGAATATTGTCATACAAAATCTGGACAGAAGCTTTCTCAGAAACTTCGTTGTGATGTGTGTCCTCAAGTAACAGAGTTGAACCTTTCTTTAGATGCAGCAGTTTGGAAACACTCTTTTTGTAGAAACTGTAAGTGGATATTTGGGTAGGTCTAACGATATCGTTGGAAACGGGAATATCTTCATCTAAAGTATACACAGAAGCACTATTAGAAACTACTTGGTGATATCTGCATTAAAGTCAAAGAGTTGAACATTCCCTTACTTTGAGCACGTTTGAAACACTCTTTTGGAAGAATCTGGAAGTGGACATTTGGAGCGCTTTGATGCCTTTGGTGAAAAGGAAACGTCTTCCAATAAAAGCCAGACAGAAGCATTCTCAGAAACTTGTTTGTGATGTGTGTACTCAACTAAAAGAGTTGAACCTTTCTATTGATAGAGCAGTTTTGAAACACTCTTTTTGTGGATTCTGCAAGTGGATATTTGGATTGCTTTGAGGATTTCGTTGGAAGCGGGAATTCGTATAAAAACTAGACAGCAGCATTCCCAGAAATTTCTTTCGGATATTTCCATTCGACTCATAGAAATGAACATGGCCTTTCATAGAGCAAGTTTGAAACACTCTTTTTGTAGTTTGTGGAAGTGGACATTTCGATCGCCTTGACGCCTACGGTGAAAAAGGAAATATCTTCCCATAAAAAATAGACAGAAGCATTCTCAGAAACTTGTTGGTGATATGTGTCCTCAACTAACAGAGTTGAACTTTGCCATTGATAGAGAGCAGTTTTGAAACACTCTTTTTGTGGAATCTGCAAGTGGATATTTGGATAGCTTGGAGGATTTCGTTGGAAGCGGGAATTCAAATAAAAGGTAGACAGCAGCATTCTGAGAAATTTCTTTCTGATGTCTGCATTCAACTCATAGAGTTGAAGATTCCCTTTCATAGAGCAGGTTTGAAACACTCTTTCTGTAGTATCTGGATGTGGACATTTGGAGCGCTTTGATGCCTACGGTGAAAAAGTATAATCTTCCCATAAAAACGAGACAGAAGGATTCTCAGAAACAAGTTTGTGATGTGTGTACTCAGCTAACAGAGTGGAACCTCTCTTTTGATGCAGCAGTTTGGAAACACTCTTTTTGTAGAAACTGTAAGTGGATATTTGGATAGCTCTAATGATTTCGTTGGAAACGGGAATATCATCTAAAATCGAGACAGAAGCAGTCTCAGAAACTACTTTGTGATATCTGCATTCCAGTCACATAGTTGAAAACTCTCTTACTTAGAGCAGGTTTGAAACACTCTTTTTGTAGAATCTGGAAGTGGACATTTGGAGCGCTTTGATGCCTTTGGTGAAAAAGGAAATGTCTTCCCTTAAAAAGTAGACAGAAGCATTCTCAGAAACTTGTTTGTGATGTGTGCACCCAGCTAAAGGAGTTGAACATTTCTATTGATAGAGCAGTTTTGAAGCACTCTTTTTGTGGAAAATGCAAGTGGATATTTGGATAGCTTGGAGGATTTCGTTGGAAGCGGGAGTTCAAATAAAAGGTAGACAGCAGCATTCTCAGAAATTTCTTTCTGATGTCTGCATTCAACTCATAGAGTTGAAGATTCCCTTTCATAGAGCAGGTTTGAAACACTCTTTCTGGAGTATCTGTATGTGGACATTTGGAGCGCTTTGATGCCTACGGTGAAAAAGTAAATATCTTCCCATAAAAACGAGACAGAAGGATTCTCAGAAACAAGTTTGTGATGTGTGTACTCAGCTAACAGAGTGGAACCTTTCTTTTTACAGAGCAGCTTTGAAACTCTATTGTTGTGGATTCTGCAAATTGATATTTAGATTGCTTTAACGATATCGTTGGAAAAGGGAATACCGTCATACAAAATCTAGACAGAAGCATTCTCACAAACTTCTTTGTGATGTGTGTCCTCAACTAACAGAGTTGAACCTTTCTTTTGATGCAGCAATTTGGAAGCACCCTTTTGATAGAAACTGTAACTGGATATTTGGATAGCTCTAACGATTTCGTTGGAAACGGGAATATCATCATCTAAAATCTAGACAGAAGCACTATTAGAAACTACTTGGTGATATCTGCATTCAAGTCACAGAGTTGAACATTCCCTTACTTCGAGCACGTTTGAAACACTCTTTTGGAAGAATCTGGAAGTGGACATTTGGAGCGCTTTGATGCCTTTGGTGAAAAGGAAACGTCTTCCAATAAAAGCCAGACAGAAGCATTCTCAGAAACTTGTTTGTGATGTGTGTACTCAACTAAAAGAGTTGAACCTTTCTATTGATAGAGCAGTTTTGAAACACTCTTTTTGTGGATTCTGCAAGTGGATATTTGGATTGCGTTGAGGATTTCGTTGGAAGCGGGAATTCGTATAAAAACTAGACAGCAGCATTCCCAGAAATTTCTTTCGGATATTTCCATTCAACTCATAGAGATGAACATGGCCTTTCATAGAGCAGGTTTGAAACACTCTTTTTGTAGTTTGTGGAAGTGGACATTTCGATCGCCTTGACGCCTACGCTGAAAAAGGAAATATCTTCCCATAAAAAATAGACAGAAGCATTCTCAGAAACTTGTTGGTGATATGTGTCCTCAACTAACAGAGTTGAACTTTGCCATTGATAGAGAGCAGTTTTGAAACACTCTTTTTGTGGAATCTGCAAGTGGATATTTGGATAGCTTGGAGGATTTCGTTGGAAGCGGGAATTCAAATAAAAGATAGACAGCAGCATTCTCAGAAATTTCTTTCTGATGTCTGCATTCAACTCATAGAGTTGAAGATTCCCTTTCATAGAGCAGGTTTGAAACACTCTTTCTGGAGTATCTGGATGTGGACATTTGGAGCGCTTTGATGCCTACGGTGGAAAAGTAAATATCTTCCCATAAAAACGAGACAGAAGGATTCTGAGAAACAAGTTTGTGATGTGTGTACTCGGCTAACAGAGTGGAACCTCTCTTTTGATGCAGCAGTTTGGAAACACTCTTTTTGTAGAAACTGTAAGTGGATATTTGGATAGCTCTAATGATTTCTTTGGAAACGGGAATATCATCATCTAAAATCTAGACAGAAGCACTCTCAGAAACTACTTTGTGATATCTGCATTCAAGTCACAGAGTTGAACATTCGCTTTCTTAGAGCACGTTTGAAACACTCTTTTTGTAGTGTCTGGAAGTGGACATTTGGAGCGCTTTGATGCCTTTGGTGAAAAAGGGAACGTCTTCCCATAAAAACTAGACAGAAGCATTCTCAGAAACTTGTTTGTGATGTGTGTACCCAGCCAAAGGAGTTGAACATTTCTATTGATAGAGCAGTTTTGGAACACTCTTGTTGTGGAAAATGCAGGTGGATATTTGGATAGCTTGGAGGATTTCGTTGGAAGCGGGAATTCAAATAAAAGGTAGACAGCAGCATTCTCAGAAATTTCTTTCTGATGTCTGCATTCAACTCATAGAGTTGAAGATTCCCTTTCATAGAGCAGGTTTGAAACACTCGTTCTGGGGTATCTGGATGTGGACATTTGGAGCGCTTTGATGCCTACGGTGGAAAAGTAAATATCTTCCCATAAAAACGAGACAGAAGGATTCTCAGAAACAAGTTTGTGATGTGTGTACTCAGCTAACAGAGTGGAACCTTTATTTTTACAGAGCAGCTTTGAAACTCTATTTTTGTGGATTCTGCAAATTGATATTTAGATTGCTTTAACGATATTGTTGGAAAAGGGAATATCGTCATACAAAATCTAGACAGAAGCATTCTCACAAACTTCTTTGTGATGTGTGTCCTCAACTAACAGAGTTGAACCTTTCTTTTGATGCAGCAATTTGGAAACACCCTTTTGGTAGAAACTGTAACTGGATATTTGCTTAGCTCTAACGATTTCGTTGGAAACGGGAATATCATCATCTGAAATCTAGACAGAAGCACTATTAGAAACTACTTGGTGATATCTGCATTCAAGTCACAGAGTTGAACATTCCCTTACTTTGAGCACGTTTGAAACACTCTTTTGGAAGAATCTGGAAGTGGACATTTGGAGCGCTTTGATGCCTTTGGTGAAAAGGAAACGTCTTCCAATAAAAGCCAGACAGAAGCATTCTCAGAAACTTGTTCGTGATGTGTGTACTCAACTAAAAGAGTTGAACCTTTCTATTGATAGAGCAGTTTTGAAACACTCTTTTTGTGGATTCTGCAAGTGGATATTTGGATTGCTTTGAGGATTTCGTTGGAAGCGGGAATTCGTATAAACACTAGACAACAGCATTCCCAGAAATTTCTTTCGGATATTTCCATTCAACTCATAGAGATGAACATGGCCTTTCATAGAGCAGGTTTGAAACACTCTTTTTGTAGTTTGTGGAAGTGGACATTTCGATCGCCTTGACGCCTACGGTGAAAAAGGAAATATCTTCCCATAAAAAATAGACAGAAGCATTCTCAGAAACTTGTTGGTGATATGTGTCCTCAACTAACAGAGTTGAACTTTGCCATTGATAGAGAGCAGTTTTGAAACACTCTTTTTGTGGAATCTGCAAGTGGATATTTGGATAGCTTGGAGGATTTCGTAGGAAGCGGGAATTCAAATAAAAGGTAGACAGCAGCATTCTCAGAAATTTCTTTCTGATGTCTGCATTCAACTCATAGAGTTGAAGATTTCCTTTCATAGAGCAGGTTTGAAACACTCTTTCTGGAGTATCTGGATGTGGACATTTGGAGCGCTTTGATGCCTACGGTGAAAAAGTAAATATCTTCCCATAAAAACGAGACAGAAGGATTCTCAGAAACAAGTTTGTGATGTGTGTACTCAGCTAACAGAGTGGAACCTCTCTTTTGATGCAGCAGTTTGGAAACACTCTTTTTGTAAAAACTGTAAGTGGATATTTGGATAGCTCTAATGATTTCGTTGGAAACGGGAATATCATCATCTAAAATCTAGACAGAAGCCCTCTCAGAAACTACTTTGTGATATCTGCATTCAAGTCACAGAGTTGAACATTCGCTTTCTTAGAGCACGTTTGAAACACTCTTTTTGTAGTGTCTGGAAGTGGACATTTGGAGCGCTTTGATGTCTTTGGTGAAAAAGGGAATGTCTTCCCATAAAAACTAGACAGAAGCATTCTCAGAAACTTGTTTGTGATGTGTGTACCCAGCCAAAGGAGTTGAACATTTCTATTGATAGAGCAGTTTTGAAACACTCTTGTTGTGGAAAATGCAGGTGGATATTTGAATAGCTTGGAGGATTTCGTTGGAAGCGGGAATTCAAATAAAAGGTAGACAGCAGCATTCTCAGAAATTTCTTTCTGATGTCTGCATTCAACTCATAGAGTTGAAGATTCCCTTTCATAGAGCAGGTTTGAAACACTCTTTCTGGAGTATCTGGATGTGGACATTTCGAGCGCTTTGATGCCTACGGTGAAAAAGTAAATATCTTCCCATAAAAACGAGACAGAGAAGGATTCTGAGAAACAAGTTTGTGATGTGTGTACTCAGCTAACAGAGTGGAACCTTTCTTTTTACAGAGCAGCTTTGAAACTCTATTTTTGTGGATTCTGCAAATGGATATTTAGATTGCTTTAACGATATCGTTGGAAAAGGGAATATCGTCATACAAAATCTAGACAGAAGCTTTCTCAGAAACTTCTTTGTGATGTGTGTCCTCAACTCACAGATTTGAACCTTTCTTTAGATGCAGCACTTTGGAAACACTCTTTTTGTAGAAACTGTAAGTGGATATTTGGGTAGGTCTAACGATATCGTTGGAAACGGGAATATCTTCATCTGAAGTATACACAGAAGCACTATTAGAAACTACTTGGTGATATCTGCATTCAAGTCACAGAGTTGAACATTCCCTTACTTTGAGCACGTTTCAAACACTCTTTTGGAAGAATCTGGAAGTGGACATTTGGAGCGCTTTGATGCCTTTGGTGAAAAGGAAACGTCTTCCCATAAAAGCCAGACAGAAGCATTCTCAGAAACTTGTTTGTGATGTGTGTACTCAACTAAAAGAGTTGAACCTTTCTATTGATAGAGCAGTTTTGAAACACTCTTTTTGTGGATTCTGCAAGTGGATATTTGGATTGCTTTGAGGATTTCGTTGGAAGCGGGAATTCGTATAAAAACTAGACAGCAGCATTCCCAGAAATTTCTTTCGGATATTTCCATTCGACTCACAGAGATGAACATGGCCTTTCATAGAGCAGGTTTGAAACACTCTTTTTGTAGTTTGTGGAAGTGGACATTTCGATCGCCTTGACGCCTACGGTGAAAAAGGAAATATCTTCCCATAAAAAATAGACAGAAGCATTCTCAGAAACTTGTTGGTGATATGTGTCCTCAACTAACAGAGTTGAACTTTGCCATTGATAGAGAGCAGTTTTGAAACACTCTTTTTGTGGAATCTGCAAGTGGATATTTGGATAGCTTGGAGGATTTCGTTGGAAGCGGGAATTCAAATAAAAGGTAGACAGCAGGATTCTGAGAAACAAATTTGTGATGTGTGTACTCAGCTAACAGAGTGGAACCTCTCTTTTGATGCAGCAGTTTGGAAACACTCTTTTTGTAGAAACTGTAAGTGGATATTTGGAAGCCCTAATGATTTTGTTGGAAACGGGATTATCATCATCTAAAATCTAGACAGAAGCCCTCTCAGAAACTACTTTGTGATATCTGCATTCAAGTCACAGAGTTGAACATTCACTTTCTTAGAGCACGTTGGAAACACTCTTTTTGTAGTGTCTGGAAGTGGACATTTGGAGTGCTTTGATGCCTTTGGTGAAAAAGGGAATGTCTTCCCATAAAAACTAGACAGAAGCATTCTCAGAAACTTGTTTGTGATGTGTGTACCCAGACAAAGGAGTTGAACATTTCTATTGATAGAGCAGTTTTGAAACACTCTTGTTGTGGAAAATGCAGGTGGATATTTGGATAGCTTGGAGGATTTCGTTGGAAGCGGGAATTCAAATAAAAGGTAGACAGCAGTATTCTCAGAAATTTCTTTCTGATGTCTGCATTCAACTCATAGAGTTGAAGATTCCCTTTCATAGAGCAGGTTTGAAACACTCTTTCTGGAGTATCTGGATGTGGACATTTGGAGCGCTTTGATGCCTACGGTGAAAAAGTAAATATCTTCCCATAAAAACGAGACAGAAGGATTCTGAGAGACAAGTTTGTGATGTGTGTACTCAGCTAACAGAGTGGAACCTTTCTTTTTACAGAGCAGCTTTGAAACTCTATTTTTGTGGATTCTGCAAATGGATATTTAGATTGCTTTAACGATATCGTTGGAAAAGGGAATATCGTCATACAAAAACGGACAGAAGCATTCTCACAAACTTCTTTGTGACGTGTGTCCTCAACTAACAGAGTTGAACCTTTCTTTTGATGCAGCAGTTTGGAAACACTGTTTTTGTAGCAACTGTAAGTGGATATTTGGATAGCTCTAACGATTTCGTTGGAAACGGGAATATCATCATCTAAATTCTAGACAGAAGCACTATTAGAAACTACTTGGTGATATCTGCATTCAAGTCACAGAGTTGAACATTCCCTTACTTTGAGCACGTTTCAAACACTCTTTTAGAAGAATCTGGAAGTGGACATTTGGAGCGCTTTGATGCCTTTGGTGAAAAGGAAACGTCTTCCAATAAAAGCCAGACAGAAGCATTCTCAGAAACTTGTTTGTGATGTGTGTACTCAACTAAAAGAGTTGAACCTTTCTATTGATAGAGCAGTTTTGAAACACTCTTTTTGTGGATTCTGCAAGTGGATATTTGGATTGCTTTGAGGATTTCGTTGGAAGCGGGAATTCGTATAAAAACTAGACAGCAGCATTCCCAGAAATTTCTTTCGGATATTTCCATTCGACTCATAGAGATGAACATGGCCTTTCATAGAGCAGGTTTGAAACACTCTTTTTGTAGTTTGTGGAAGTGGACATTTCGATCGCCTTGACGCCTACGGTGAAAAAGGAAATGTCTTCCCATAAAAAATTGAAGAAGCATTCTCAGAAACTTGTTGGTGATATGTGTCCTCAACTAACAGAGTTGAACTTTGCCATTGATAGAGAGCAGTTTTGAAACACTCTTTTTGTGGAATCTGCAAGTGGATATTTGGATAGCTTGGAGGATTTCGTTGGAAGCGGGAATTCAAATAAAAGGTAGACAGCAGCATTCTCAGAAATTTCTTTCTGATGTCTGCATTCAACTCATAGAGTTGAAGATTCCCTTTCATAGAGCAGGTTTGAAACACTCTTTCTGGAGTTTCTGGATGTGGACATTTGGAGCGCTTTGATGCCTACGGTGAAAAAGTAAATATCTTCCCAGAAAAACGAGACAGAGAAGGATTCTGAGAAACAAGTTTGTGATGTGTGTACTCAGCTAACAGAGTGGAACCTTTCTTTTTACAGAGCAGCTTTGAAACTCTATTTTTGTGGATTCTGCAAATGGATATTTAGATTGCTTTAATGATATCGCTGGAAAAGGGAATATGGTCATACAAAATCTAGACAGAAGCATTCTCACAAACTTCTTTGTGATGTGTGTCCTCAACTAACAGAGTTGAACCTTTCTTTTGATGCAGCAGTTTGGAAACACTGTTTTTGTAGCAACTGTAAGTGGATATTTGGATAGCTCTAACGATTTCGTTGGAAACGGGAATATCATCATCTAAAATCTAGACAGAAGCACTATTAGAAACTACTTGGTGATATCTGCATTCAAGTCACAGAGTTGAACATTCCCTTACTTTGAGCACGTTTCAAACACTCTTTTGGAAGAATCTGGAAGTGGACATTTGGAGCGCTTTGATGCCTTTGGTGAAAAGGAAACGTCTTCCAAAAAAAGCCAGACAGAAGCATTCTCAGAAACTTGTTCGTGATGTGTGTACTCAACTAAAAGAGTTGAACCTTTCTATTGATAGTGCAGTTTTGAAACACTCTTTTTGTGAATTCTGCAAGTGGATATTTGGATTGCTTTGAGGATTTCGTTGGAAGCGGGAATTCGTATAAACACTAGACAGCAGCATTCCCAGAAATTTCTTTCGGATATTTCCATTCGACTCATAGAGATGAACATGGCCTTTCATAGAGCAGGTTTGAAACACTCTTTTTGTAGTTTGTGGAAGTGGACATTTCGATCGCCTTGACGCCTACGGTGAAAAAGGAAATATCTTCCCATAAAAAATAGACAGAAGCATTCTCAGAAACTTGTTGGTGATATGTGTCCTCAACTAACAGAGTTGAACTTTGCCATTGACAGAGAGCAGTTTTGAAACACTCTTTTTGTGGAATCTGCAAGTGGATATTTGGATAGCTTGGAGGATTTCGTTGGAAGCGGGAATTCAAATAAAAGGTAGACAGCAGCATTCTCAGAAATTTCTTTCTGATGTCTGCATTCAACTCATAGAGTTGAAGATTCCCTTTCATAGAGCACGTTTGAAACACTCTTTCTGGAGTATCTGGATGTGGACATTTGGAGCGCTTTGATGCCTACGGTGAAAAAGTAAATATCTTCCCATAAAAACGAGACAGAAGGATTCTGAGAAACAAGTTTGTGATGTGTGTACTCAGCTAACAGACTGGAACCTCTCTTTTGATGCAGCAGTTTGGAAACACTCTTTTTGTAGAAACTGTAAGTGGATATTTGGATAGCTCTAATGATTCCGTTGGAAACGGGAATATCATCATCTAAAATCTAGACAGAAGCCCTCTCAGAAACTACTTTGTGATATCTGCATTCAAGTCACAGAGTTGAACATTCGCTTTCTTAGAGCACGTTTGAAACACTCTTTTTGTAGTGTCTGGAAGTGGAGATTTGGAGCGCTTTGATGCCTTTGGTGAAAAAGGGAACGTCTTCCCATAAAAACTAGACAGAAGCATTCTCAGAAACTTGTTTGTGATGTGTGTACCCAGCCAAAGGAGTTGAACATTTCTATTGATAGAGCAGTTTTGAAACACTCTTGTTGTGGAAAATGCAAGTGGATATTTGGATAGCTTGGAGGATTTCGTTGGAAGCGGGAATTCAAATAAAAGGTAGACAGCAGCATTCTCAGAAATTTCTTTCTGATGTCTGCATTCAACTCATAGAGTTGAAGATTCCCTTTCATAGAGTAGGTTTGAAACACTCGTTCTGGAGTATCTGGATGTGGACATTTGGAGCGCTTTGATGCCTACGGTGGAAAAGTAAATATCTTCCCATAAAAACGAGACAGAAAGGATTCTGAGAAACAAGTTTGTGATGTGTGTACTCAGCTAACAGAAGTGGAACCTTTCTTTTTACAGAGCAGCTTTGAAACTCTATTTTTGTGGATTCTGCAAATTGATATTTAGATTGCTTTAACGATATCGTTGGAAAAGGGAATATCGTCATACAAAACCTAGACAGAAGCATTCTCACAAACTTCTTTGTGATGTGTGTCCTCAACTAACAGAGTTGAACCTTTCTTTTGATGCAGCAATTTGGAAACACCCTTTTGGTAGAAACTGTAACTGGATATTTGGATAGCTCTAACGATTTCGTTGGAAACGGGAATATCATCATCTAAAATGTAGGCAGAAGCACTATTAGAAACTACTTGGTGATATCTGCATTCAAGTCACAGAGTTGAACATTCCCTTACTTGGAGCACGTTTGAAACACTCTTTTGGAAGAATCTGGAAGTGGACATTTGGAGCGCTTTGATGCCTTTGGTGAAAAGGAAACGTCTTCCAATAAAAGCCAGACAGAAGCATTCTGAGAAACTTGTTCGTGATGTGTGTACTCAACTAAAAGAGTTGAACCTTTCTATTGATAGAGCAGTTTTGAAACACTCTTTTTGTGGATTCTGCAAGTGGATATTTGGATTGCTTTGAGGATTTCGTTGGAAGCGGGAATTCGTATAAACACTAGACAGCAGCATTCCCAGAAATTTCTTTCGGATATTTCCATTCAACTCATAGAGATGAACATGGCCTTTCATAGAGCAGGTTTGAAACACTCTTTTTGTAGTTTGTGGAAGTGGACATTTCGATCGCCTTGACGCCTACGGTGAAAAAGGAAATATCTTCCCATAAAAAATAGACAGAAGCATTCTCAGAAACTTGTTGGTGATATGTGTCCTCAACTAACAGAGTTGAACTTTGCCATTGATAGAGAGCAGTTTTGAAACACTCTTTTTGTGGAATCTGCAAGTGGATATTTGGATAGCTTGGAGGATTTCGTTGGAAGCGGGAATTCAAATAAAAGACAGCAGCATTCTCAGAAATTTCTTTCTGATGTCTGCATTCAACTCATAGAGTTGAACATTCCCTTTCATAGAGCAGGTTTGAAACACTCTTTCTGGAGTATCTGGATGTGGACATTTGGAGCGCTTTTATGCCTACGGTGAAAAAGTAAATATCTTCCCATAAAAACGAGACAGAAGGATTCTGAGAAACAAGTTTGTGATGTGTGTACTCAGCTAACAGAGTGGAACCTCTCTTTTGATGCAGCAGTTTGGAAACACTCTTTTTGTAGAAACTGTAAGTGGATATTTGGATAGCTCTAATGATTTCTTTGGAAACGGTAATATCATCATCTAAAATCTAGACAGAAGCCCTCTCAGAAACTACTTTGTGATATCTGCATTGAAGTCACAGAGTTGAACATTCGCTTTCTTAGAGCACGTTGGAAACACTCTTTTTGTAGTGTCTGGAAGTGGACATTTGGAGCGCTTTGATGCCTTTGGTGAAAAAGGGAATGTCTTCCCATAAAAACTAGACAGAAGCATTCTCAGAAACTTGTTTGTGATGTGTGTACCCAGCTAAAGGAGTTGAACATTTCTATTGATAGAGCAGTTTCGAAACACTCTTTTTGTGGAAAATGCAGGTGGATATTTGGATAGCTTGGAGGATTTCGTTGGAAGCGGGAATTCAAATAAAAGGTAGACAGCAGCATTCTCAGAAATTTCTTTCTGATGTCTGCATTCAACTCATAGAGTTGAACATTCCCTTTCATAGAGCAGGTTTGAAACACTCTTTCTGGAGTATCTGGATGTGGACATTTGGAGCGCTTTGATTCCTACGGTGAAAAAGTAAATATCTTCCCATAAAAACGAGACAGAAGGATTCTGAGAGACAAGTTTGTGATGTGTGTACTCAGCTAACAGAGTGGAACCTTTCTTTTTACAGAGCAGCTTTGAAACTCTATTTTTGTGGATTCTGCAAATGGATATTTAGATTGCTTTAATGATATCGTTGGAAAAGGGAATATCGTCATACAAAATCTGGACAGAAGCATTCTCACAAACTTCTTTGTGATGTGTGTCCTCAACTAACAGAGTTGAACCTTTCTTTTGATGCAGCAGTTTGGAAACACTCTTTTTGTAGAAACTGTAAGTGGATAATTGGATAGCTGTAACGATTTCGTTGGAAACGGGAATATCGTCATCTAAAATTTAGACAGAAGCACTATTAGAAACTACTTGGTGATATCTGCATTCAAGTCAAAGAGTTGAACATTCCCTTACTTTGAGCACGTTTGAAACACTCTTTTGGAAGAATCTGGAAGTGGACATTTGGAGCGCTTTGATGCCTTTGGTGAAAAGGAAACGTCTTCCAATAAAAGCCAGACAGAAGCATTCTCAGAAACTTGTTCTTGACGTGTGTACTCAACTAAAAGAGTTGAACCTTTCTATTGATAGAGCAGTTTTGAAACACTCTTTTTGTGGATTCTGCAAGTGGATATTTGGATTGCTTTGAGGATTTCGTTGGAAGCGGGAATTCGTATAACAACTAGACAGCAGCATTCCCAGAAATTTCTTTCGGATATTTCCATTCGACTCATAGAGATGAACATGGCCTTTCATAGAGCAGGTTTGAAACACTCTTTTTGTAGTTTGTGGAAGTGGACATTTCGATCGCCTTGACGCCTACGGCGAAAAAGGAAATATCTTCCCATAAAAAATAGACAGAAGAATTCTCAGAAACTTGTTTGTGATGTGAATCCTCAACTGACAGAGGTGAACCTTGCCATTGATAGAGCAGTTTAGAAACACTCTTTTTGTGGAATCTGCATGTGGATATTTGGATAGCCTGGAGGATTTCGTTGGAAGCGGGAATTCAAATGAAAGGTAGACAGCAGCATTCTCAGAAATTTCTTTGTGATGTTTGCATTCAACTCATAGAGTTGAACATTCCCTTTCATAGAGCAGGTTTGAAACACTCTTTCTGTACTATCTGGATGTGGACATTGGGAACGCTTTGATGCCTATGGTGAAAAAGAAAATATCTTCCCATAAAAGCTAGACAGAAGGATTCTCAGAAACATGTTTGTGATGTGTGTCCTCAGCTAACAGAGTGGAACCTCTCTTTTGATGCAGCACTTTGGAAACTCTCTTTTTGTAGAAACTGTAAGTGGATATTTGGATAGCTCTAATGATTTCATTGGAAACGGGAATATCATCATCTAAAATCTAGACAGAAGCCCTCTCAGAAACTACTTTGTGATATCTGCATTCAAGTCACAGAGTTGAACATTCGCTTTCTTAGAGCACGTTTGAAACACTCTTTTTGTAGTGTCTGAAAGTGGACCTTTGGAGCGCTCTGATGCCTTTGGTGAAAAAGGGAATGTCTTCCCATAAAAACTAGACAGAAGCATTCTCAGGAAACTTGTTTGTGATGTGTGTACCCAGCTAATGGAGTTGAACATTTCTATTGATAGAGCAGTTTTGAAACACTCTTTTTGTGGAAAATGCAAGTGGATATTTGGATAGCTTGGAGGATTTCGTTGGAAGCGGGAATTCAAATAAAAGGTAGACAGCAGCATTCTCAGAAATTTCTTTCTGATGTCTGCATTCAACTCATAGAGTTGAAGATTCCCTTTCATTGAGTAGGTTTGAAACACTCGTTCTGGAGTATATGGATGTGGACATTTGGAGCGCTTTGATGCCTACGGTGGAAAAGTAAATATCTTCCCATAAAAACGAGACAGAAGGTATTCTGAGCAAACAAGTTTGTGATGTGTGTACTCAGCTAACAGAGTGGAACCTTTCTTTTTACAGAGCAGCTTTGAAACTCTATTTTTGTGGATTCTGCAAATGGATATTTAGATTGCTTTAATGATATCGCTGGAAAAGGGAATATGGTCATACAAAATCTAGACAGAAGCATTCTCACAAACTTCTTTGTGATGTGTGTCCTCAACTAACAGAGTTGAACCTTTCTTTTGATGCAGCAATTTGGAAACACCCTTTTGGTAGAAACTGTAACTGGATATTTGGATAGCTCTAACGATTTCCTTGGAAACGGGAATATCATCATCTAAAATCTAGACAGAAGCACTATTAGAAACTACTTGGTGATATCTGCATTCAAGTCACAGAGTTGAACATTCCCTTACTTTGAGCACGTTTGAAACACTCTTTTGGAAGAATCTGGAAGTGGACATTTGGAGCGCTTTGATGCCTTTGGTGAAAAGGAAACGTCTTCCAATAAAAGCCAGACAGAAGCATTCTCAGAAACTTGTTGGTGATGTGTGTACTCAACTAAAAGAGTTGAACCTTTCTATTGATAGAGCAGTTTTGAAACACTCTTTTTGTGGATTCTGCAAGTGGATATTTGGATTGCTTTGAGGATTTCGTTGGAAGCGGGAATTCGTATAAACACTAGACAGCAGCATTCCCAGAAATTTCTTTCGGATATTTCCATTCAACTCATAGAGATGAACATGGCCTTTCATAGAGCAGGTTTGAAACACTCTTTTTGTAGTTTGTGGAAGTGGACATTTCGATCGCCTTGACGCCTACGGTGAAAAAGGAAATATCTTCCCATGAAAAATAGACAGAAGCATTCTCAGAAACTTGTTGGTGATATGTGTCCTCAACTAACAGAGTTGAACTTTGCCATTGATAGAGAGCAGTTTTGAAACACTCTTTTTGTGGAATCTGCAAGTGGATATTTGGATAGCTTGGAGGATTTCGTTGGAAGCGGGAATTCAAATAAAAGGTAGACAGCAGCATTCTCAGAAATTTCTTTCTGATGTCTGCATTCAACTCATAGAGTTGAAGATTCCCTTTCATAGAGCAGGTTTGAAACACTCTTTCTGGAGTATCTGGATGTGGACATTTGGAGCGCTTTGATGCCTACGGTGAAAAAGTATAATCTTCCCATAAAAACGAGACAGAAGGATTCTGAGAAAAAAGTTTGTGATGTGTGTACTCAGCTAACAGAGTGGAACCTCTCTTTTGATGCAGCAGTTTGGAAACACTCTTTTTGTAGAAACTGTAAGTGGATATTTGGATAGCTGTAATGATTTCGTTGGAAACGGGAATATCATCATCTAAAATCTAGACAGAAGCCCTCTCAGAAACTACTTTGTGATATCTGCATTCAAGTCACAGAGTTGAACATTCGGTTTCTTAGAGCACGTTTGAAACACTCTTTTTGTAGTGTCTGGAAGTGGACATTTGGAGCGCTTTGATGCCTTTGGTGAAAAAGGGAATGTCTTCCCATAAAAACTAGACAGAAGCATTCTCAGAAACTTGTTTGTGATGTGTGTACCCAGCTAATGGAGTTGAACATTTCTATTGATAGAGCAGTTTTGAAACACTCTTTTTGTGGAAAATGCAAGTGGATATTTGGATAGCTTGGAGGATTTCGTTGGAAGCGGGAATTCAAATAAAAGGTAGACAGCAGCATTCTCAGAAATTTCTTTCTGATGTCTGCATTCAACTCATAGAGTTGAAGATTCCCTTTCATAGAGCAGGTTTGAAACACTCTTTCTGGAGTATCTGGATGTGTACATTTGGAGCGCTTTGATGCCTACGGTGAAAAAGTAAATATCTTCCCAGAAAAACGAGACAGAAGGATTCTGAGAAACAAGTTTGTGATGTGTGTACTCAGCTAACAGAGTGGAACCTTTCTTTTTACAGAGCAGCTTTGAAACTCTATTTTTGTGGATTCTGCAAATTGATATTTAGATTGCTTTAACGATATCGTTGGAAAAGGGAATATTGTCATACAAAATCTGGACAGAAGCATTCTCACAAACTTCTTTGTGACGTGTGTCCTCAACTAACAGAGTTGAACCTTTCTTTTGATGCAGCAGTTTGGAAACACTCTTTTTGTAGAAACTGTAAGTGGATATTTGGATAGCTCTAACGATTTCGTTGGAAACGGGAATATCATCATCTAAAATGCTAGACAGAAGCACTATTAGAAACTACTTTGTGATATCTGCATTCAAGTCACAGAGTTGAAGATTCGCTTTCTTAGAGCACGTTGGAAACACTCTTTTTGTAGTGTCTGGAAGTGGACATTTGGAGCGCTTTGATGCCTTTGGTGAAAAAGGGAATGTCTTCCCATAAAAACTAGACAGAAAGCATTCTCAGCAAACTTGTTTGTGATGTGTGTACCCAGCCAAAGGAGTTGAACATTTCTATTGATAGAGCAGTTTTGAAACGCTCTTTTTGTGGAAAATGCAGGTGGATATTTGGATAGCTTGGAGGATTTCGTTGGAAGCGGGAATTCAAATAAAAGGTAGACAGCAGCATTCCCAGAAATTTCTTTCGGATATTTCCATTCAACTCATAGAGATGAACATGGCCTTTCATATTGAAACACTCTTTTTGTAGTTTGTGGAAGTGGACATTTCGATCGCCTTGACGCCTACGGTGAAAAAGGAAATATCTTCCCATGAAAAATAGACAGAAGCATTCTCAGAAACTTGTTGGTGATATGTGTCCTCAACTAACAGAGTTGAACTTTGCCATTGATAGAGAGCAGTTTTGAAACACTCTTTTTGTGGAATCTGCAAGTGGATATTTGGATAGCTTGGAGGATTTCGTTGGAAGCGGGAATTCAAATAAAAGGTAGACAGCAGCATTCTCAGAAATTTCTTTCTGATGTCTGCATTCAACTCATAGAGTTGAAGATTCCCTTTCATAGAGCAGGTTTGAAACACTCTTTCTGGAGTATCTGGATGTGGACATTTGGAGCGCTTTGATACCTATGGTGAAAAAGTAAATATCTTCCCATAAAAACGAGACAGAAGGATTCTGAGAAACTAGTTTGTGATGTGTGTACTCAGCTAACAGAGTGGAACCTCTGTTTTGATGCAGCAGTTTGGAAACACTCTTTTTGTAGAAACTGTAAGTGGATATTTGGATAGCTCTGATGATTTCGTTGGAAACGGGAATATCATCATCTAAAATCTAGACAGAAGCACTCTCAGAAACTACTTTTTGATATCTGCATTCAAGTCACAGAGTTGAACATTCGGTTTCTTAGAGCACTTTTGAAACACTCTTTTTGTAGTATCTGGAAGTGGACATTTGGAGCTCTTTGATGCCTTTGGTGAAAAAGGAAATGTCTTCCCATAAAAACTAGACAGAAGCATTCTCAGAAACTTGTTTGTGATGTGTGCACCCAGCTAAAGGAGTTGAACATTTATTGATAGAGCAGTTTTGAAGCACTCTTTTTGTGGAAAATGCAAGTGGATATTTGGATAGTTTGGAGGATTTCGTTGGAAGCGGGAGTTCAAATAAAAGGTAGACAGCAGCATTCTCAGAAATTTCTTTGTGATGTTTGCATTCAACTCATAGAGTTGAACATTCCCTTTCATAGAGCAGGCTTGAAACACTCTTTCTGCACTATCTGGATGTGGACATTTGGAACGCTTTGATGCCTACGGTGAAAAAGTAAATATCTTCCCATAAAAACGAGACAGAAGGATTCTGAGAAACAAGTTTGTGATGTGTGTACTCAGCTAACAGAGTGGAACCTCTCTTTTGATGCAGCAGTTTGGAAACACTCTTTTTGTAGAAACTGTAAGTGGATATTTGGATAGCTCTAATGATTTCGTTGGAAACGGGAATATCATCATCTAAAGTCTAGACAGAAGCCCTCTCAGAAACTACTTTGTGATATCTGCATTCAAGTCACAGAGTTGAACATTCGCTTTCTTAGAGCACGTTTGAAACACTCTTTTTGTAGTGTCTGGAAGTGGACATTTGGAGCGCTTTGATTCCTTTGGTGAAAAAGGGAATGTCTACCCATAAAAACTACACAGAAGCATTCTCAGAAACTTGTTTGTGATGTGTGTACCCAGCCAAAGGGAGTTGAACATTTCTATTGATAGAGCAGTTTTGAAACACTCTTGTTGTGGAAAATGCAAGTGGATATTTGGATAGCTTGGAGGATTTCGTTGGAAGCGGGAATTCAAATAAAAGGTAGACAGCAGCATTCTCAGAAATTTCTTTCTGATGTCTGCATTCAACTGATAGAGTTGAAGATTCCCTTTCATAGAGCAGGTTTGAAACACTCGTTCTGGAGTATCTGGATGTGGACATTTGGAGCGCTTTGATGCCTACGGTGGAAAAGTAAATATCTTCCCATAAAAACGAGACAGAAGGATTCTGAGAAACAAGTTTGTGATGTGTGTACTCAGCTAACAGAGTGGAACCTTTCTTTTCACAGAGCAGCTTTGAAACTCTATTTTTGTGGATTCTGCAAATTGATATTTAGATTGCTTTAACGATATCGTTGGAAAAGGGAATATCGTCATACAAAATCTAGACAGAAGCATTCTCACAAACTTCTTTGTGATGTGTGTCCTCAACTAACAGAGTTGAACCTTTCTTTTGATGCAGCAATTTGGAAACACCCTTTTGGTAGAAACTGTAACTGCATATTTGGATAGCTCTAATGATTTCGTTGGAAACGGGAATATCATCATCTAAAATCTAGACAGAAGCACTATTAGAAACTACTTGGTGATATCTGCATTCAAGTCACAGAGTTGAACATTCCCTTACTTCGAGCACGTTTGAAACACTCTTTTGGAAGAATCTGGAAGTGGACATTTGGAGCCTTTTGATGCCTTTGGTGAAAAGGAAACGTCTTCCAATAAAAGCCAGACAGAAGCATTCTCAGAAACTTGTTCGTGATGTGTGTACTCAACTAAAAGAGTTGAACCTTTCTATTGATAGAGCAGTTTTGAAACACTCTTTTTGTGGATTCTGCAAGTGGATATTTGGATTGCTTTGAGGATTTCGTTGGAAGCGGGAATTCGTATAAACACTAGACAGCAGCATTCCCAGAAATTTCTTTCGGATATTTCCATTCAACTCATAGAGATGAACATGGCCTTTAATAGAGCAGGTTTGAAACACTCTTTTTGTAGTTTGTGGAAGTGGACATTTCGATCGCCTTGACGCCTACGGTGAAAAAGGAAATATCTTCCCATAAAAAATAGACAGAAGCATTCTCAGAAACTTGTTGGTGATATGTGTCCTCAACTAACAGAGTTGAACTTTGCCATTGATAGAGAGCAGTTTTGAAACACTCTTTTTGTGGAAAATGCAAGTGGATATTTGGATAGCTTGGAGGATTTCGTTGGAAGTGAGAATTCAAATAAAAGGTAGACAGCAGCATTCTCAGAAATTTCTTTCTGATGTCTGCATTCAACTCATAGAGTTGAAGATTCCCTTTCATAGAGCAGGTTTGAAACACTCTTTCTGGGGTATCTGGATGTGGACATTTGGAGCGCTTTGATGCCTACGGTGAAAAAGTAAATATCTTCCCATAAAAACGAGACAGAAGGATTCTGAGAAACAAGTTTGTGATGTGTGTACTCAGCTAACAGAGTGGAACCTCTCTTTTGATGCAGCAGTTTGGAAACACTCTTTTTGTAGAAACTGTAAGTGGATATTTGGATAGCTCTAATGATTTCGTTGGAAACGGGAATATCATCATTTAAAGTCTAGACAGAAGCCCTCTCAGAAACTACTTTGTGATATCTGCATTCAAGTCACAGAGTTGAACATTCGCTTTCTTAGAGCACGTTTGAAACACTCTTTTTGTAGTGTCTGGAAGTGGACATTTGGAGCGCTTTGATTCCTTTTGTGAAAAAGGGAATGTCTACCCATAAAAACTAGACAGAAGCATTCTCAGAAACTTGTTTGTGATGTGTGTACCCAGCTAAAGGATTTGAACATTTCTATTGATAGAGCAGTTTTGAAACACTCTTTTGGTGGAAAATGCAAGTGGATATTTGGATAGCTTGGAGGATTTCGTTGGAAGCGGGAATTCAAATAAAAGGTAGACAGCAGCATTCTCAGAAATTTCTTTCTGATGTCTGCATTCAACTCATAGAGTTGAAGATTCCCTTTCATAGAGCAGGTTTGAAACAGTCTTTCTGGAGTATCTGGATGTGGACATTTGGAGCGATGCCTACGGTGAAAAAGTAAATATCTTCCCATAAAAACGAGACAGAAGGATTCTGAGAAACAAGTTTGTGATGTGTGTACTCAGCTAACAGAGTGGAACCTTTCTTTTTACAGAGCAGCTTTGAAACTCTATTTTTGTGGATTCTGCAAATTGATATTTAGATTGCTTTAACGATATCGTTGGAAATGGGAATATCGTCATACAAAATCTGGACAGAAGCATTCTCACAAACTTCTTTGTGACGTGTGTCCTCAACTAACAGAGTTGAACCTTTCTTTTGATGCAGCAGTTTGGAAACACTCTTTTTGTAGCAACTGTAAGTGGATATTTGGATAGCTCTAACGATTTCGTTGGAAACGGGAATATCATCATCTAAAATCTAGACAGAAGCACTATTAGAAACTACTTGGTGATATCTGCATTCAAGTCACAGAGTTGAACATTCCCTTACTTTGAGCACGTTTCAAACACTCTTTTGGAAGAATCTGGAAGTGGACATTTGGAGTGCTTTGATGCCTTTGGTGAAAAGGAAACGTCTTCCAATAAAAGCCAGACAGAAGCATTCTCAGAAACTTGTTTGTGATGTGTGTACTCAACTAAAAGAGTTGAACCTTTCTATTGATAGAGCAGTTTTGAAACACTCTTTTTGTGGATTCTGCAAGTGGATATTTGGATTGCTTTGAGGATTTCGTTGGAAGCGGGAATTCGTATAAAAACTAGACAGCAGCATTCCCAGAAATTTCTTTCCGATATATCCATTCAACTCATAGAGATGAACATGGCCTTTCATAGAGCAGGTTTGAAACACTCTTTTTGTAGTTTGTGGAAGTGGACATTTCGATCGCCTTGACGCCTACGGTGAAAAAGGAAATATCTTCCCATAAAAAATAGACAGAAGCATTCTCAGAAACTTGTTGGTGATATGTGTCCTCAACTAACAGAGTTGAACTTTGCCATTGATAGAGAGCAGTTTTGAAACACTCCTTCTGTGGAATCTGCAAGTGGATATTTGGATAGCTTGGAGGATTTCGTTGGAAGCGGGAATTCAAATAAAAGGTAGACAGCAGCATTCTCAGAAATTTCTTTCTGATGTCTGCATTCAACTCATAGAGTTGAAGATTCCCTTTCATAGAGCAGGTTTGAAACACTCTTTCTCGAGTATCTGGATGTGGACATTTGGAGCGCTTTGATGCCTACGGTGAGAAAGTAAATATCTTCCCATAAAAACGAGACAGAAGGATTCTGAGAAACAAGTTTGTGATGTGTGTACTCAGCTAACAGAGTGGAACCTCTCTTTTGATGCAGCAGTTTGGAAACACTCTTTTTGTAGAAACTGTAAGTGGATATTTGGATAGCTCTAATGATTTCGTTGGAAACGGGAATATCATCATATAAAATCTAGACAGAAGCCCTCTCAGAAACTACTTTGTGATATCTGCATTCAAGTCACAGAGTTGAACATTCGCTTTCTTAGAGCACGTTTGAAACACTCTTTTTGTGGTGTCTGGAAGTGGACATTTGGAGCGCTTTGATGTCTTTGGTGAAAAAGGGAATGTCTTCCCATAAAAACTAGACAGAAGCATTCTCAGAAAGTTGTTTGTGATGTGTGTACCCAGCCAAAGGAGTTGAACATTTCTATTGATAGAGCAGTTTTGAAACACTCTTGTTGTGGAAAATGCAGGTGGATATTTGGATAGCTTGGAGGATTTCGTTGGAAGCGGGAATTCAAATAAAAGGTAGACAGCAGGATTCTCAGAAACAAGTTTGTGATGTGTGTACTCAGCTAACAGAGTGGATCCTTTCTTTTTACAGAGCAGCTTTGAAACTCTATATCTGTGGATTCTGCAAATTGATATTTGGGTTGATTTAACGATATCGTTGGAAAAGGGAATATCTTCATACAAAATCTAGAGAGAAGCATTCTCACAAACTTCTTTGTGATGTGTGTCCTCAACTAACAGAGTTGAACCTTTCTTTTGATGCAGCAATTTGGAAACACCCTTTTGGTAGAAACTGTAACTGGATATTTGGATAGCTCTAACGATTTCGTTGGAAACGGGAATATCATCATCTAAAATCTAGACAGAAGCACTATTAGAAACTACTTGGTGATATCTGCATTCAAGTCACAGAGTAGAACATTCCCTTACTTCGAGCACGTTTGAAACACTCTTTTGGAAGAATCTGGAAGTGGACATTTGGAGCGCTTTGATGCCTTTGGTGAAAAGGAAACGTCTTCCAATAAAAGCCAGACAGAAGCATTCTCAGAAACTTATTCGTGATGTGTGTACTCAACTAAAAGAGTTGAACCTTTCTATTGATAGAGCAGTTTAGAAACACTCTTTTTGTGGATTCTGCAAGTGGATATTTGGATTGCTTTGAGGATTTCGTTGGAAGCGGGAATTCGTATAAACACTAGACAGCAGCATTCCCAGAAATTTCTTTTGGATATTTCCATTCAACTCATAGAGATGAACATGGCCTTTCATATTGAAACACTCTTTTTGTAGTTTGTGGAAGTGGACATTTCGATCGCTTTGACGCCTACGGTGAAAAAGGAAATATCTTCCCATAAAAAATAGACAGAAGCATTCTCAGAAACTTGTTGGTGATATGTGTCCTCAACTAACAGAGTTGAACTTTGCCATTGATAGAGAGCAGTTTTGAAACACTCTTTTTGTGGAATCTGCAAGTGGATATTTGGATAGCTTGGAGGATTTCGTTGGAAGCGGGAATTCAAATAAAAGGTAGACAGCAGCATTCTCAGAAATTTCTTTCTGATGTCTGCATTCAACTCATAGAGTTGAAGATTCCCTTTCATAGAGCAGGTTTGAAACACTCTTTCTGGAGTATCTGGATGTGGACATTTGGAGCGCTTTGATGCCTACGGTGAAAAAGTAAATATCTTCCCAGAAAAACGAGACAGAGGATTCTGAGAAACAAGTTTGTGATGTGTGTACTCAGCTAACAGAGTGGAACCTCTCTTTTGATGCAGCAGTTTGGAAATACTCTTTTTGTAGAAACTGTAAGTGGATATTTGGATAGCTCTAATGATTTCGTTGGAAACGGGAATATCATCATCTAAAATCTAGACAGAAGCCCTCTCAGAAACTACTTTGTGATATCTGCATTCAAGTCACAGAGTTGAACATTCGCTTTCTTAGAGCACGTTTGAAACACTCTTTTTGTAGTGTCTGGAAGTGGACATTTGGAGCGCTTTGATGGCTTTGGTGAAAAAGGGAATGTCTTCCCATAAAAACTAGACAGAAGCATTCTCAGAAACTTGTTTGTGATGTGTGTACCCAGCTAAAGGAGTTGAACATTTCTATTGATAGAGCAGTTTTTAAACACTCTTTTTGTGGAAAATGCAAGTGGATATTTGGATAGCTTGGAGGATTTCGTTGGAAGCGGGAATTCAAATAAAAGGTAGACAGCAGCATTCTCAGAAATTTCCTTCTGATGTCTGCATTCAACTCATAGAGTTGAAGACTCCCTTTCATAAAGCAGGTTTGAAACACTCTTTCTGGAGTATCTGGATGTGGACATTTGGAGCGCTTGGATGCCTACGGTGAAAAAGTAAATATCTTCCCATAAAAACGAGACAGAAGGATTCTGAGAAACAAGTTTGTGATGGGCGTACTCAGCTAACAGAGTGGAACCTCTCTTTTGATGCAGCAGTTTGGAAAAACTCTTTTTGTAGAAACTGTAAGTGGATATTTGGATAGCTCTAATGATTTCGTTGGAAACGGGAATATCATCATCTAAAATCTAGACAGAAGCCCTCTCAGAAACTACTTTGTGATATCTGCATTCAAGTCACAGAGTTGAACATTCGCTTTCTTAGAGCACGTTGGAAACACTCTTTTTGTAGTGTCTGGAAGTGGACATTTGGAGCGCTTTGATTCCTTTGGTGAAAAAGGGAATGTCTACCCATAAAAACTAGACAGAAGCATTCTCAGAAACTTGTTTGTGATGTGTGTACCCACCCAAAGGAGTTGAACATTTCTATTGATAGAGCAGTTTTGAAACACTCTTTTTGTGGAAAATGCAGGTGGATATTTGGATAGCTTGGAGGATTTCGTTGGAAGCGGGAATTCAAATAAAAGTTAGACAGCAGCATTCTCAGAAATTTCTTTCTGATGTCTGCATTCAACTCATATAGTTGAAGATTCCCTTTCATAGAGCAGGTTTGAAACACTCGTTCTGGAGTATCCGGATGTGGACATTTGGAGCGCTTTGATGCCTACGGTGGAAAAGTAAATATCTTCCCATAAAAACGAGACAGAAGGATTCTCAGAAACAAGTTTGTGATGTGTGTACTCAGCTAACAGAGTGGAACCTTTCTTTTTACAGAGCAGCTTTGAAACTCTATTGTTGTGGATTCTGCAAATTGATATTTAGATTGCTTTAACGATATCGTTGGAAAAGGGAATACCGTCATACAAAATCTAGACAGAAGCATTCTCACAAACTTCTTTGTGATGTGTGTCCTCAACTAACAGAGTTGAACCTTTCTTTTGATGCAGCAATTTGGAAACACCCTTTTGGTAGAAACTGTAACTGGATATTTGGATAGCTCTAACGATTTCGTTGGAAACGGGAATATCATCATCTAAAATGTAGACAGAAGCACTATTAGAAACTACTTGGTGATATCTGCATTCAAGTCACAGAGTTGAACATTCCCTTACTTCGAGCACGTTTGAAACACTCTTTTGGAAGAATCTGGAAGTGGACATTTGGAGCGCTTTGATGCCTTTGGTGAAAAGGAAACGTCTTCCAATAAAAGCCAGACAGAAGCATTCTCAGAAACTTGTTCGTGATGTGTGTACTCAACTAAAAGAGTTGAACCTTTCTATTGATAGAGCAGTTTTGAAACACTCTTTTTGTGGATTCTGCAAGTGGATATTTGGATTGCTTTGAGGATTTCGTTGGAAGCGGGAATTCGTATAAACACTAGACAGCAGCATTCCCAGAAATTTCTTTCGGATATTTCCATTCAACTCATAGAGATGAACATGGCCTTTCATAGAGCAGGTTTGAAACACTCTTTTTATAGTTTGTGGAAGTGGACATTTCGATCGCCTTGACGCCTACGGTGAAAAAGGAAATATCTTCCCATAAAAAATAGACAGAAGCATTCTCAGAAACTTGTTGGTGATATGTGTCCTCAACTAACAGAGTTGAACTTTGCCATTGATAGAGAGCAGTTTTGAAACACTCTTTTTGTGGAATCTGCAAGTGGATATTTGGATAGCTTGGAGGATTTCGTTGGAAGCGGGAATTCAAATAAAAGGTAGACAGCAGCATTCTCAGAAATTTCTTTCTGATGTCTGCATTCAACTCATAGAGTTGAAGATTCCCTTTCATAGAGCAGGTTTGAAACACTCTTTCTGGAGTATCTGGATGAGGACATTTGGAGCGCTTTGATGCCTACGGTGAAAAAGTAAATATCTTCCCATAAAAACGAGACAGAAGGATTCTCAGAAACAAGTTTGTGATGTGTGTACTCAGCTAACAGAGTGGAACCTCTCTTTTGATGCAGCAGTTTGGAAACACTCTTTTTGTAGAAACTGTAAGTGGATATTTGGATAGCTCTAATGATTTCGTTGGAAACGGGAATATCATCATCTAAAATCTAGACAGAAGCACTCTCAGAAACTACTTTGTGATATCTGCATTCAAGTCACAGAGTTGAACATTCGCTTTCTTAGAGCACGTTTGAAACACTCTTTTTGTAGTGTCTGGAAGTGGACATTTGGAGCGCTTTGATTGCCTTTGGTGAAAAAGGGAATGTCTACCCATAAAAACTAGACAGAAGCTTTCTCAGAAACTTGTTTGTGATGTGTGTACCCAGCGAAAGGAGTTGAACATTTCTATTGATAGAGCAGTTTTGAAACACTCTTTTTGTGGAATCTGCAAGTGGATATTTGGATAGCTTGGAGGTTTTCGTTGGAAGCGGGAATTCAAATAAAAGGTAGACAGCAGCATTCTCAGAAATTTCTTTCTGATGTCTGCATTCAACTCATAGAGTTGAAGATTCCCTTTCATAGAGCAGGTTTGAAACACTCGTTCTGGAGTATCTAGATGTGGACATTTGGAGCGCTTTGATGCCTACGGTGGAAAAGTATATATCTTCCCATAAAAACGAGACAGAAGGATTCTCAGAAACAAGTTTGTGATGTGTGTACTCAGCTAACAGAGCGGAACCTTTCTTTTTACAGAGCAGCTTTGAAACTCTATTTTTGTGGATTCTGCAAATTGATATTTAGATTTCTTTAACGATATCGTTGGAAAAGGGAATATGGTCATACAAAATCTAGACAGAAGCATTCTCACAAACATCTTTGTGATGTGTGTCCTCAACTAACAGAGTTGAACCTTCCTTTTGATGCAGCAGTTTGGAAACACTCTTTTTGTAGAAACTGTAAGTGGATATTTGGATAGATTTAACGATTTCATTGGAAACGGGAATATCATCATCTAAAATCTAGACAGAAGCACTATTAGAAACTACTTGGTGATATCTGCATTCAAGTCACAGAGTTGAACATTCCCTTACTTTGAGCACGTTTGAAACACTCTTTTGGAAGAATCTGGAAGTGGACATTTGGAGCGCTTTGATGCCTTTGGTGAAAAGGAAACGTCTTCCAATAAAAGCCAGACAGAAGCATTCTCAGAAACTTGTTCGTGATGTGTGTACTCAACTAAAAGAGTTGAACCTTTCTATTGATAGAGCAGTTTTGAAACACTCTTTTTGTGGATTCTGCAAGTGGATATTTGGATTGCTTTGAGGATTTCGTTGGAAGCGGGAATTCGTATAAACACTAGACAGCAGCATTCCCAGAAATTTCTTTCGGATATTTCCATTCAAATCATAGAGATGAACATGGCCTTTCATAGAGCAGGTTTGAAACACTCTTTTTGTAGTTTGTGGAAGTGGACATTTCGATCGCCTTGACGCCTACGGTGAAAAAGGAAATATCTTCCCATAAAAAATAGACAGAAGCATTCTCAGAAACTTCTTGGTGATATGTGTCCTCAACTAACAGAGTTGAACTTTGCCATTGATAGAGAGCAGTTTTGAAACACTCTTTTTGTGGAATCTGCAAGTGGATATTTGGATAGCTTGGAGGATTTCGTTGGAAGCGGGAATTCAAATAAAAGGTAGACAGCAGCATTCTCAGAAATTTCTTTCTGATGTCTGCATTCAACTCATAGAGTTGAACATTCCCTTTCATAGAGCAGGTTTGAAACACTCTTTCTGGAGTATCTGGATGTGGACATTTGGAGCGCTTTGATGCCTACGGTGAAAAAGTAAATATCTTCCCATAAAAACGAGACAGAAGGATTCTGAGAAACAAGTTTGTGATGTGTGTACTCAGCTAACAGAGTGGAACCTCTCTTTTGATGCAGCAGTTTGGAAACACTCTTTTTGTAGAAACTGTAAGTGGATATTTGGATAGCTCTAATGATTCCGTTGGAAACGGGAATATCATCATCTAAAATCTAGACAGAAGCCCTCTCAGAAACTACTTTGTGATATCTGCATTCAAGTCACAGAGTTGAACATTCGCTTTCTTAGAGCACGTTGGAAACACTCTTTTTGTAGTGTCTGGAAGTGGACATTTGGAGCGCTTTGATGCCTTTGGTGAAAAAGGGAACGTCTTCCCATAAAAACTAGACAGAAGCATTCTCAGAAACTTGTTTGTGATGTGTGTACCCAGCCAAAGGAGTTGAACATTTCTATTGATAGAGCAGTTTTGAAACACTCTTTTTGTGGAAAATGCAAGTGGATATTTGGATAGCTTGGAGGATTTCGTTGGACGCGGGAATTCAAATAAAAGGTAGACAGCAGCATTCTCAGAAATTTCTTTCTGATGTCTGCATTCAACTCATAGAGGTTGAAGATTCCCTTTCATAGAGCAGGTTTGAAACACTCGTTCTGGAGTATCTGGATGTGGACATTTGGAGCGCTTTGATGCCTACGGTGGAAAAGTAAATATCTTCCCATAAAAACGAGACAGAAGGATTCTGAGAAACAAGTTTGTGATGTGTGTACTCAGCTAACAGAGTGGAACCTTTCTTTTTACAGAGCAGCTTTGAAACTCTATTTTTGTGGATTCTGCAAATGGATATTTAGATTGCTTTAACGATATCGTTGGAAAAGGGAATATCGTCATACAAAATGCTAGACAGAAGCATTCTCACAAACTTCTTTGTGATGTGTGTCCTCAACTAACAGAGTTGAACCTTTCTTTTGATGCAGCAATTTGGAAACACCCTTTTGGTAGAAACTGTAACTGGATATTTGGATAGCTCTAACGATTTTGTTGGAAACGGGAATATCATCATCTAAAATCTAGACAGAAGCACTATTAGAAACTACTTGGTGATATCTGCATTCAAGTCACAGAGTAGAACATTCCCTTACTTCGAGCACGTTTGAAACACTCTTTTGGAAGAATCTGGAAGTGGACATTTGGAGCGCTTTGATGCCTTTGGTGAAAAGGAAACGTCTTCCAATAAAAGCCAGACAGAAGCATTCTCAGAAACTTGTTGGTGATGTGTGTACTCAACTAAAAGAGTTGAACCTTTCTATTGATAGAGCAGTTTTGAAACACTCTTTTTGTGGATTCTGCAAGTGGATATTTGGATTGCTTTGAGGATTTCGTTGGAAGCGGGAATTCATATAAAAACTAGACAGCAGCATTTCCAGAAATTTCTTTCGGATATTTCCATTCAACTCATAGAGATGAACATGGCCTTTCATAGAGCAGGTTTGAAACACTCTTTTTGTAGTTTGTGGAAGTGGACATTTCGATCGCCCTGATGCCTATGGTGAAAAAGGAAATATCTTCTCATAAAAAATAGACAGAAGCATTCTCAGAAACTTGTTGGTGATATGTGTCCTCAACTAACAGAGTTGATCTTTGCCATTGATAGAGAGCAGTTTTGAAACACTCTTTTTGTGGAATCTGCAAGTGGATATTTGGATAGCTTGGAGGATTTCGTTGGAAGCGGGAATTCAAATAAAAGGTAGACAGCAGCATTCTCAGAAATTTCTTTCTGATGTCTGCATTCAACTCATAGAGTTGAAGATTCCCTTTCTTAGAGCAGGTTTGAAACACTCTTTCTGGAGTATCTGGATGTGGACATTTGGAGCGCTTGGATGCCTACGGTGAAAAAGTAAATATCTTCCCATAAAAACGAGACAGAAGGATTCTGAGAAACAAGTTTGTGATGTGTGTACTCAGCTAACAGAGTGGAACCTCTCTTTTGATGCAGCAGTTTGGAAACACTCTTTTTGTAGAAACTGTAAGTGGATATTTGGATAGCTCTAATGATTTCGTTGGAAACGGGAATATCATCATCTAATATCTAGACAGAAGCCCTCTCAGAAACTACTTTGTGATATCTGCATTCAACTCACAGAGTTGAACATTCGGTTTCTTAGAGCACGTTTGAAACACTCTTTTTGTAGTGTCTGGAAGTGGACATTTGGAGCGCTTTGATGCCTTTGGTGAAAAAGGGAACGTCTTCCCATAAAAACTAGACAGAAGCTTTCTCAGAAACTTGTTTTTGATGTGTGTACCCAGCGAAAGGAGTTGAACATTTCTATTGATAGAGCAGTTTTGAAACACTCTTTTTGTGGAATCTGCAAGTGGATATTTGGATAGCTTGGAGGTTTTCGTTGGAAGCGGGAATTCAAATAAAAGGTAGACAGCAGCATTCTCAGAAATTTCTTTCTGATGTCTGCATTCAACTCATAGAGTTGAAGATTCCCTTTCATAGAGCAGGTTTGAAACACTCTTTCTGGAGTATCTGGATGTGGACATTTGCAGCGCTTTGATGCCTACGGTGAAAAAGTAAATATCTTCCCATAAAAACGAGACAGAAGGATTCTGAGAAACAAGTCTGTGATGTGTGTACTCAGCTAACAGAGTGGAACCTTTCTTTTTACAGAGCAGCTTTGAAACTCTATTTTTGTGGATTCTGCAAATTGATATTTAGATTGCTTTAACGATATCGTTGGAAAAGGGAATATCGTCATACAAAATCTAGACAGAAGCATTCTCACAAACTTCTTTGTGATGTGTGTCCTCAACTAACAGAGTTGAACCTTTCTTTTGATGCAGCAATTTGGAAACACCCTTTTGGTAGAAACTGTAAGTGGATATTTGGATAGCTCTAACGATTTCATTGGAAACGGGAATATCATCATCTAAAATCTAGACAGAAGCACTATTAGAAACTACTTGGTGATATCTGCATTCAAGTCACAGAGTTGAACATTCCCTTACTTCGACCACGTTTGAAACACTCTTTTGGAAGAATCTGGAAGTGGACATTTGGAGCGCTTTGATGCCTTTGGTGAAAAGGAAACGTCTTCCAATAAATGCCAGACAGAAGCATTCTCAGAAACTTGTTCGTGATGTGTGTACTCAACTAAAAGAGTTGAACCTTTCTATTGATAGAGCAGTTTTGAAACACTCTTTTTGTGGATTCTGCAAGTGGATATTTGGATTGCTTTGAGGATTTCGTTGGAAGCGGGAATTCGTATAAACACTAGACAGCAGCATTCCCAGAAATTTCTTTCGGATATTTCCATTCAACTCATAGAGATGAACATGGCCTTTCATATTGAAACACTCTTTTTGTAGTTTGTGGAAGTGGACATTTCGATCGCCTTGACGCCTACGGTGAAAAAGGAAATATCTTCCCATAAAAAATAGACAGAAGCATTCTCAGAAACTTGTTGGTGATATGTGTCCTCAACTAACAGAGTTGAACTTTGCCATTGATAGAGAGCAGTTTTGAAACACTCTTTTTGTGGAATCTGCAAGTGGATATTTGGATAGCTTGGAGGATTTCGTTGGAAGCGGGAATTCAAATAAAAGGTAGACAGCAGGATTCTCAGAAACAAGTTTGTGATGTGTGTACTCAGCTAGCAGAGTGGAACCTTTCTTTTTACAGAGCAGCTTTGAAACTCTATTTTTGTGGATTCTGCAAATTGATATTTAGATTGCTTTAACGATATCGTTGGAAAAGGGAATATCATCATACAAAATCTAGACAGAAGCTTTCTCAGAAACTTCTTTGTGATGTGTGTCCTCAACTAACAGAGTTGAAACTTTCTGTTGATGCAGCAGTTTGGAAACACTCTTTTTGTAGAAACTGTAAGTGGATATTTGGGTAGGTCTAACGATATCGTTGGAAACGGGAATATCTTCATCTAACGTATACACAGAAGCACTATTAGAAACTACTTGGTGATATCTGCATTCAAGTCACAGAGTAGAACATTCCCTTACTTCGAGCACGTTTGAAACACTCTTTTGGAAGAATCTGGAAGTGGACATTTGGAGCGCTTTGATGCCTTTGGTGAAAAGGAAACGTCTTCCAATAAAAGACAGACAGAAGCATTCTCAGAAACTTGTTTGTGATGTGTGTACTCAACTAAAAGAGTTGAACCTTTCTATTGATAGAGCAGTTTTGAAACACTCTTTTTGTGGATTCTGCAAGTGGATATTTGGATTGCTTTGAGGATTTCGTTGGAAGCGGGAATTCATATAAAAACTAGACAGCAGCATTCCCAGAAATTTCTTTCGGATATTTCCATTCGACTCATAGAGATGAACATGGCCTTTCATAGAGCAGGTTTGAAACACTCTTTTTGTAGTTTGTGGAAGTGGACATTTCGATCGCCTTGACGCCTACGGTGAAAAAGGAAATATCTTCCCATAAAAAATAGACAGAAGCATTCTCAGAAACTTGTTTGTGATGTGTGTACCCAGCCAAAGGAGTTGAACATTTCTATTGATAGAGCAGTTTTGAAACACTCTTTTTGTGGAAAATGCAGGTGGATATTTGGATAGCTTGGAGGATTTCGTTGGAAGCGGGAATTCATATAAAAACTAGACAGCAGCATTCCCAGAAATTTCTTTCTGATGTCTGCATTCAACTCATAGAGTTGAAGATTCCCTTTCATAGAGCAGGTTTGAAACACTCGTTCTGGAGTATCTGGATGTGGACATTTGGAGCGCTTTGATGCCTACGGTGGAAAAGTAAATATCTTCCCATAAAAACGAGACAGAAGGATTCTCAGAAACATGTTTGTGATGTGTGTACTCAGCTAACAGAGTGGATCCTTTCTTTTTACAGAGCAGCTTTGAAACTCTATTTCTGTGGATTCTGCAAATTGATATTTGGGTTGATTTAACGATATCTTTGGAAAAGGGAATATCTTCATACAAAATCTAGAGAGAAGCATTCTCACAAACTTCTTTGTGATGTGTGTCCTCAACTAACAGAGTTGAACCTTTCTTTTGATGCATCAGTTTGGAAACACTCTTTTTGTAGAAACTGTAAGTGGATATTTGGATAGCTCTAACGATTTCGTTGGAAACGGGAATATCATCATCTAAAATCTAGACAGAAGCACTATTAGAAACTACTTGGTGATATCTGCATTCAAGTCACAGAGTTGAACATTCCCTTACTTTGAGCACGTTTCAAACACTCTTTTGGAAGAATCTGGAAGTGGACATTTGGAGCGCTTTGATGCCTTTGGTGAAAAGGAAACGTCTTCCAATAAAAGCCAGACAGAAGCATTCTCAGAAACTTGTTTGTGATGTGTGTACTCAACTAAAAGAGTTGAACCTTTCTATTGATAGAGCAGTTTTGAAACACTCTTTTTGTGGATTCTGCAAGTGGATATTTGGATTGCTTTGAGGATTTCGTTGGAAGCGGGAATTCGTATAAAAACTAGACAGCCAGCATTCCCAGAAATTTCTTTCGGATATTTCCATTCAACTCATAGAGATGAACATGGCCTTTCATAGAGCAGGTTTGAAACACTCTTTTTGTAGTTTGTGGAAGTGGACATTTCGATCGCCTTGACGCCTACGGTGAAAAAGGAAATATCTTCCCATAAACAATAGACAGAGCATTCTCAGAAACTTGTTGGTGATATGTGTCCTCAACTAACAGAGTTGAACTTTGCCATTGATAGAGAGCAGTTTTGAAACACTCTTTTTGTGGAATCTGCAAGTGGATATTTGGATAGCTTGGAGGATTTCGTTGGAAGCGGGAATTCAAATAAAAGGTAGACAGCAGCATTCTCAGAAATTTCTTTCTGATGTCTGCATTCAACTCATAGAGTTGAAGATTCCCTTTCATAGAGCAGGTTTGAAACACTCTTTCTGGAGTATCTGGATGTGGACATTTGGAGCGCTTTGATGCCTACGGTGAAAAAGTAAATATCTTCCCAGAAAAACGAGACAGAAGGATTCTGAGAAACAAGTTTGTGATGTGTGTACTCAGCTAACAGAGTGGAACCTCTCTTTTGATCCAGCAGTTTGGAAACACTCTTTTTGTAGAAACTGTAAGTGGATATTTGGATAGCTCTAATGATTTCGTTGGAAACGGGAATATCATCATCTAAAATCTAGACAGAAGCCCTCTCAGAAACTACTTTGTGATATCTGCATTCAAGTCACAGAGTTGAACATTCGCTTTCGTAGAGCACGTTGGAAACACTCTTTTTGTAGTGTCTGGAAGTGGACATTTGGAGCGCTTTGATGCCTTTGGTGAAAAAGGGAATGTCTTCCCATAAAAACTAGACAGAAGCATTCTCAGAAACTTGTTTGTGATCTGTGTACCCAGCGAAAGGAGTTGAACATTTCTATTGATAGAGCAGTTTTGAAACACTCTTTTTGTGGAATCTGCAAGTGGATATTTGGATAGCTTGGAGTTTTTCGTTGGAAGCGGGAATTCAAATAAAAGCTAGACAGCAGCATTCTGAGAAATTTCTTTCTGATGTCTGCATTCAACTCATAGAGTTGAAGATTCCCTTTCATAGAGCAGGTTTGAAACACTCTTTCTGGAGTATCTGGATGTGGACATTTGGAGCGCTTTGATGCCTACGGTGAAAAAGTAAATATCTTCCCATAAAAACGAGACAGAAGGATTCTCAGAAACAAGTTTGTGATGTGTGTACTCAGCTAACAGAGTGGAACCTCTCTTTTGATGCAGCAGTTTGGAAACACTCTTTTTGTGGAAACTGTAAGTGGATATTTGGATAGCTCTAATGATTTCGTTGGAAACGGGAATATCATCATCTAAAACCTAGACAGAAGCCCTCTCAGAAACTACTTTGTGATATCTGCATTCAAGTAACAGAGTTGAACATTCGGTTTCCTAGAGCACGTTTGAAACACTCTTTTCGTAGTGTCAGGAAGTGGACATTTGGAGCGCTTTGATGCCTTTGGTGAAAAAGGGAATGTCTTCCCATAAAAACTAGACAGAAGCATTCTCAGAAACTTGTTTGTGATGTGTGTACCCAGCAAAAGGAGTTGAACATTTCTATTGATAGAGCAGTTTTGAAACACTCTTGTTGTGGAAAATGCAGGTGGATATTTGGATAGCTTGGAGGATTTCGTTGGAAGCGGGAATTCAAATAAAAGGTAGACAGCAGCATTCTCAGAAATTTCTTTCTGATGTCTGCATTCAACTCATAGAGTTGAAGATTCCCTTTCATAGAGCAGGTTTGAAACACTCGTTCTGGAGTATCTGGATGTGGACATTTGGAGCGCTTTGATGCCTACGGTGGAAAAGTAAATATCTTCCCATAAAAACGAAACAGAAGGATTCTCAGAAACAAGTTTGTGATGTGTGTACTCAGCTAACAGAGTGGAACCTTTCTTTTTACAGAGCAGCTTTGAAACTCTGTTTTTGTGGATTCTGCAAATTGATATTTAGATTGCTTTAACGATATCGTTGGAAAAGGGAATATCGTCATACAAAATCTAGACAGAAGCATTCTCACAAACTTCTTTGTGATGTGTGTCCTCAACTAACAGAGTTGAACCTTTCTTTTGATGCAGCAGTTTGGAAACACTGTTTTTGTAGCAACTGTAAGTGGATATTTGGATAGCTCTAACGATTTCGTTGGAAACGGGAATATCATCATCTAAAATCTAGACAGAAGCACTATTAGAAACTACTTGGTGATATCTGCATTCAAGTCACAGAGTTGAACATTCCCTTACTTTGAGCACGTTTCAAACACTCTTTTGGAAGAATCTGGAAGTGGACATTTGGAGCGCTTTGATGCCTTTGGTGAAAAGGGAAACGTCTTCCAAAAAAAGCCAGACAGAAGCATTCTCAGAAACTTGTTTGTGATGTGTGTACTCAACTAAAAGAGTTGAACCTTTCTATTGATAGAGCAGTTTTGAAACACTCTTTTTGTGGATTCTGCAAGTGGATATTTGGATTGCTTTGAGGATTTCGTTGGAAGCGGGAATTCGTATAAAAACTAGACAGCAGCATTCCCAGAAATTTCTTTCGGATATTTCCATTCGACTCATAGAGATGAACATGGCCTTTCATAGAGCAGGTTTGAAACACTCTTTTTGTAGTTTGTGGAAGTGGACATTTCGATCGCCTTGACGCCTACGGTGAAAAAGGAAATATCTTCCCATAAAAAATAGACAGAAGAATTCTCAGAAACTTGTTTGTGATGTGTATCCTCAACTGACAGAGTTGAACCTTGCCATTGATAGAGCAGTTTAGAAACACTGTTTTTGTGGAATCTGCAAGTGGATATTTGGATAGCCTGGAGGATTTCGTTGGAAGCGGGAATTCAAATAAAAGGTAGACAGCAGCATTCTCAGAAATTTCTTTGTGATGTTTGCATTCAACTCATAGAGTTGAACATTCCCTTTCATAGAGCAGGTTTGAAACACTCTTTCTGTACTATCTAGATGTGGACATTTGGAACGCTTTGATGCCTACGGTGGAAAAGTAAATATCTTCCCATAAAAGCTAGACAGAAGGATTCTCAGAAACAAGTTTGTGATGTGTGTTCTCAGCTAACAGAGTGGAACCTCTCTTTTCATGCAGCAGTTTGGAAACACTCTTTTTGTAGAAACTGTAAGTGGATATTTGGATAGCTCTAATGATTTCGTTGGAAACGGGAATATCATCATCTAAAATCTAGACAGAAGCCCTCTCAGAAACTACTTTGTGATATCTGCATTCAAGTCACAGAGTTGAACATTCGCTTTCTAAGAGCACGTTTGAAACACTCTTTTTGTAGTGTCTGGAAGTGGACATTTGGAGCGCTTTGATGCCTTTGGTGAAAAAGGGAACGTCTTCCCATAAAAACTAGACAGAAGCATTCTCAGAAACTTGTTTGTGATGTGTGTACCCAGCCAAAGGAGTTGAAGATTTCTATTGATAGAGCAGTTTTGAAACACTCTTGTTGTGGAAAATGCAGGTGGATATTTGGATAGCTTGGAGGATTTCGTTGGAAGCGGGAATTCAAATAAAAGGTAGACAGCAGCATTCTCAGAAATTTCTTTCTGATGTCTGCATTCAACTCATAGAGTTGAAGATTCCCTTTCATAGAGCAGGTTTGAAACACTCTTTGTGGAGTATCTGGATGTGGACATATGGAGCGCTTTGATGCCTACGGTGAAAAGGTAAATATCTTCCCATAAAAACGAGACAGAAGGATTCTCAGAAACAAGTTTGTGATGTGTGTACTCAGCTAACAGAGTGGATCCTTTCTTTTTAAAGAGCAGCTTTGAAACTCTATTTCTGTGGATTCTGCAAATTGATATTTGGGTTGATTTAACAATATCGTTGGAAAAGGGAATATCTTCATACAAAATCTAGACAGAAGCATTCTCACAAACTTCTTTGTGATGTGTGTCCTCAACTAACAGAGTTGAACCTTTCTTTTGATGCAGCAGTTTGGAAACACTCTTTTTGTAGAAACTGTAAGGGGATATTTGGATAGCTCTAACGATTTCGTTGGAAACGGGAATATCATCATCTAAAATCTAGACAGAAGCACTATTAGAAACTACTTGGTGATATCTGCATTCAAGTCACAGAGTTGAACATTCCCTTACTTTGAGCACGTTTCAAACACTCTTTTGGAAGAATCTGGAAGTGGACATTTGGAGCGCTTTGATGCCTTTGGTGAAAAGGAAACGTCTTCCAATAAAAGCCAGACAGAAGCATTCTCAGAAACTTGTTTGTGATGTGTGTACTCAACTAAAAGAGTTGAACCTTTCTATTGATAGAGCAGTTTTGAAACACTCTTTTTGTGGATTCTGCAAGTGGATATTTAGATTGCTTTGAGGATTTCGTTGGAAGCGGGAATTCGTATAAAAACTAGACAGCAGCATTCCCAGAAATTTCTTTCGGATATTTCCATTCAACTCATAGAGATGAACATGGCCTTTCATAGAGCAGGTTTGAAACACTCTTTTTGTAGTTTGTGGAAGTGGACATTTCGATCGCCTTGACGCCTACGGTGAAAAAGGAAATATCTTCCCATAAAAAATAGACAGGAGCATTCTCAGAAACTTGTTGGTGATATGTGTCCTCAACTAACAGAGTTGAACTTTGCCATTGATAGAGAGCAGTTTTGAAACACTCTTTTTGTGGAATCTGCAAGTGGATATTTGGATAGCTTGGAGGATTTCGTTGGAAGCGGGAATTCAAATAAAAGGTAGACAGCAGCATTCTCAGAAATTTCTTTCTGATGTCTGCATTCAACTCATAGAGTTGAAGATTCCCTTTCATAGAGCAGGTTTGAAACACTCTTTCTGGAGTGTCTGGATGTGGACATTTGGAGCGCTTTGATGCCTACGGTGAAAAAGTAAATATCTTCCCATAAAAACGAGACAGAAGGATTCTGAGAAACAAGTTTGTGATGTGTGTACTCAGCTAACAGAGTGGAACCTCTCTTTTGATGCAGCAGTTTGGAAACACTCTTTTTGTAGA
This sequence comes from Homo sapiens, assembly GCF_000001405.40. Classification (NCBI taxonomy): domain Eukaryota; kingdom Metazoa; phylum Chordata; class Mammalia; order Primates; family Hominidae; genus Homo; species Homo sapiens. The sequence goes on from NC_000022.11 coordinate 14,621,492, forward strand.
AACTGTAAGGGGATATTTGGATAGCTCTAATGATTTCGTTGGAAACGGGAATATCATCATCTAAAATCTAGACAGAAGCCCTCTCAGAAACTACTTTGTGATATCTGCATTCAAGTCACAGAGTTGAATATTCGCTTTCTTAGAGCACGTTTGAAACCCTCTTTTTGTAGTGTCTGGAAGTGGACATTTGGAGCGCTTTGATGCCTTTGGTGAAAAAGGGAATGTCTTCCCATAAAAACTAGACAGAAGCATTCTCAGAAACTTGTTTGTGATGTGTGTACCCAGCTAAAGGAGTTGAACATTTCTATTGATAGAGCAGTTTTGAAACACTCTTTTTGTGGAAAATGCAAGTGGATATTTGGATAGCTTGGAGGATTTCGTTGGAAGAGGGAATTCAAATAAAAGGTAGACAGCAGCATTCTCAGAAATTTCTTTCTGATGTCTGCATTCAACTCATAGAGTTGAAGATTCCCTTTCATAGAGCAGGTTTGAAACACTCTTTCTGGAGTATCTGGATGTGGACATTTGGAGCGCTTTGATGCCTACGGTTAAAAAGTAAATATCTTCCCATAAAAACGAGACAGAAGGATTCTCAGAAACAAGTTTGTAATGTGTGTACTCAGCTAACACAGTGGAACCTTTCTTTTTACAGAGCAGCTTTGAAACTCTATTGTTGTGGATTCTGCAAATTGATATTTAGATTGCTTTAACGATATCGTTGGAAAAGGGAATACCGTCATACAAAATCTAGACAGAAGCATTCTCACAAACTTCTTTGTGATGTGTGTCCTCAACTAACAGAGTTGAACCTTTCTTTTGATGCAGCAATTTGGAAACACCCTTTTGGTAGAAACTGTAACTGGATATTTGGATAGCTCTAACGATTTCGTTGGAAAAGGGAATATCATCATCTAAAATGTAGGCAGAAGCACTATTAGAAACTACTTGGTGATATCTGCATTCAAATCACAGAGTAGAACATTCCCTTACTTCGAGCACGTTTGAAACACTCTTTTGGAAGAATCTGGAAGTGGACATTTGGAGCGCTTTGATGCCTTTGGTGAAAAGGAAACGTCTTCCAATAAAAGCCAGACAGAAGCATTCTCAGAAACTTGTTCGTGATGTGTGTACTCAACTAAAAGAGTTGAACCTTTCTATTGATAGAGCAGTTTTGAAACACTCTTTTTCTGGATTCTGCAAGTGGATATTTGGATTGCTTTGAGGATTTCGTTGGAAGCGGGAATTCATATAAAAACTAGACAGCCAGCATTCCCAGAAATTTCTTTCGGATATTTCCATTCAACTCATAGAGATGAACATCGCCTTTCATAGAGCAGGTTTGAAACACTCTTTTTGTAGTTTGTGGAAGTGGACATTTCGATCGCCTTGACGCCTACGGTGAAAAAGGAAATATCTTCCCATAAACAATAGACAGAGCATTCTCAGAAACTTGTTGGTGATATGTGTCCTCAACTAACAGAGTTGAACTTTGCCATTGATAGAGAGCAGTTTTGAAACACTCTTTTTGTGGAATCTGCAAGTGGATATTTGGATAGCTTGGAGGATTTCGTTGGAAGCGGGAATTCAAATAAAAGGTAGACAGCAGGATTCTGAGAAACAAGTTTGTGATGTGTGTACTCAGCTAACAGAGTGGAACCTCTCTTTTGATCCAGCAGTTTGGAAACACTCTTTTTGTAGAAACTGTAAGTGGATATTTGGATAGCTCTAACGATTTCGTTGGAAACGGGAATATCATCATCTAAAATCTAGACAGAAGCATTCTCACAAACTTCTTTGTGATGTGTGTCCTCAACTAACAGAGTTGAACCTTTCTTTTGATGCAGCAATTTGGAAACACCCTTTTGGTAGAAACTGTAAGTGGATATTTGGATAGCTCTAACGATTTCGTTGGAAACGGGAATATCATCATCTAAAATCTAGACAGAAGCACTATTAGAAACTACTTGGTGATATCTGCATTCAAGTCACAGAGTTGAACATTCCCTTACTTTGAGCACGTTTCAAACACTCTTTTGGAAGAATCTGGAAGTGGACATTTGGAGCGCTTTGATGCCTTTGGTGAAAAGGAAACGTCTTCCAATAAAAGCCAGACAGAAGCATTCTCAGAAACTTGTTTGTGATGTGTGTACTCAACTAAAAGAGTTGAACCTTTCTATTGATAGAGCAGTTTTGCAACACTCTTTTTGTGGATTCTGCAAGTGGATATTTGGATTGCTTTGAGGATTTCGTTGGAAGCGGGAATTCATATAAAAACTAGACAGCAGCATTCCCAGAAATTTCTTTCGGATATTTCCATTCAACTCATAGAGATGAACATGGCCTTTCATAGAGCAGGTTTGAAACACTCTTTTTGTAGTTTGTGGAAGTGGACATTTCGATCGCCTTGACGCCTACGGTGAAAAAGGAAATATCTTCCCATAAAAAATAGACAGATAAGCATTCTCAGAAACTTGTTGGTGATATGTGTCCTCAACTAACAGAGTTGAACTTTGCCATTGATAGAGAGCAGTTTTGAAACACTCTTTTTGTGGAATCTGCAAGTGGATATTTGGATAGCTTGGAGGATTTCGTTGGAAGCGGGAATTCAAATTAAAGGTAGACAGCAGCATTCTCAGAAATTTCTTTCTGATGTCTGCATTCAACTCATAGAGTTGAAGATTCCCTTTCATAGAGCAGGTTTGAAACACTCTTTCTGGAGTATCTGGATGTGGACATTTGGAGCGCTTTGATGCCTACGGTAAAAAGTAAATATCTTCCCATAAAAACGAGACAGAAGGATTCTGAGAAACAAGTTTGTGATGTGTGTACTCAGCTAACAGAGTGGAACCTTTCTTTTTACAGAGCAGCTTTGAAACTCTATTTTTGTGGATTCTGCAAATGGATATTTAGATTGCTTTAATGATATCGTTGGAAAAGGGAATATCGTCATACAAAATCTAGACAGAAGCATTCTCACAAACTTCTTTGTGATGTGTGTCCTCAACTAACAGAGTTGAACCTGTCTTTTGATGCAGCAATTTGGAAGCACCCTTTTGGTAGAAACTGTAACTGGATATTTGGATAGCTCTAACGATTTCGTTGGAAACGGGAATATCATCATCTAAAATGTAGACAGAAGCACTATTAGAAACTACTTGTTGATATCTGCATTCAAGTCACAGAGTTGAGCATTCCCTTACTTTGAGCACGTTTGAAACACTCTTTTGGAAGAATCTGGAAGTGGACATTTGCAGCGCTTTGATGCCTTTGGTGAAAAGGAAACGTCTTCCAATAAAAGCCAGACAGAAGCATTCTCAGAAACTTGTTTGTGATGTGTGTACTCAACTAAAAGAGTTGAACCTTTCTATTGATAGAGCAGTTTTGAAACACTCTTTTTGTGGATTCTGCAAGTGGATATTTGGATTGCTTTGAGGATTTCGTTGGAAGCGGGAATTCGTATAAAAACTAGACAGCAGCATTCCCAGAAATTTTTTCGGATATTTCCATTCGACTCATAGAGATGAACATGGCCTTTCATAGAGCAGGTTTGAAACACTCTTTTTGTAGTTTGTGGAAGTGGACATTTCGATCGCCTTGACGCCTACGGTGAAAAAGGAAATATCTTCCCATAAAAAATAGACAGAAGCATTCTCAGAAACTTGTTGGTGATATGTGTCCTCAACTAACAGAGTTGAACTTTGCCATTGATAGAGAGCAGTTTTGAAACACTCTTTTTGTGGAATCTGCAAGTGGATATTTGGATAGCTTGGAGGATTTCGTTGGAAGCGGGAATTCAAATAAAAGGTAGACAGCAGCATTCTCAGAAATTTCTTTCTGATGTCTGCATTCAACTCATAGAGTTGAAGATTCCCTTTCATAGAGCAGGTTTGAAACACTCTGGAGTATCTGGATGTGGACATTTGGAGCGCTTTGATGCCTACGGTGAAAAAGTAAATATCTTCCCATAAAAACGAGACAGAAGGATTCTCAGAAACAAGTTTGTGATGTGTATACTCAGCTAACAGAGTGGAACCTTTCTTTTTACAGAGCAGCTTTGAAACTCTACTTTTGTGGATTCTGCAAATTGATATTTAGATTGCTTTAACGATATCGTTGGAAAAGGGAATATCGTCATACAAAATCTAGACAGAAGCATTCTCACAAACTTCTTTGTGACGTGTGTCCTCAACTAACAGAGTTGAACCTTTCTTTTGATGCAGCAGTTTGGAAACACTGTTTTTGTAGCAACTGTAAGTGGATATTTGGATAGCTCTAACGATTTCGTTGGAAACGGGAATATCGTCATCTAAAATCTAGACAGAAGCACTATTAGAAACTACTTGGTGATATCTGCATTCAAGTCACAGAGTTGAACATTCCCTTACTTTGAGCACGTTTCAAACACTCTTTTGGAAGAATCTGGAAGTGGACATTTGGAGCGCTTTGATGCCTTTGGTGAAAAGGAAACGTCTTCCAATAAAAGCCAGACAGAAGCATTCTCAGAAACTTGTTTGTGATGTGTGTACTCAACTAAAAGAGTTGAACCTTTCTATTGATAGAGCAGTTTTGAAACACTCTTTTTGTGGATTCTGCAAGTGGATATTTGGATTGCTTTGAGGATTTCGTTGGAAGCGGGAATTCGTATAAAAACTAGACAGCAGCATTCCCAGAAATTTCTTTCGGATATTTCCATTCGACTCATAGAGATGAACATGGCCTTTCATAGAGCAGGTTTGAAACACTCTTTTTGTAGTTTGTGGAAGTGGACATTTCGATCGCCTTGACGCCTACGGTGAAAAAGGAAATATCTTCCCATAAAAAATAGACAGAAGCATTCTCATAAACTTGTTGGTGATATGTGTCCTCAACTAACAGAGTTGAACTTTGCCATTGATAGAGAGCAGTTTTGAAACACTCTTTTTGTGGAATCTGCAAGTGGATATTTGGATAGCTTGGAGGATTTCGTTGGAAGCGGGAATTCAAATAAAAGGTAGACAGCAGCATTCTCAGAAATTTCTTTCTGATGTCTGCATTCAACTCATAGAGTTGAAGATTCCCTTTCATAGAGCAGGTTTGAAACACTCTTTCTGGAGTATCTGGATGTGGACATTTGGAGCGCTTTGATGCCTACGGTGAAAAAGTAAATATCTTCCCATAAAAACGAGACAGAAAGGATTCTCAGAAACAAGTTTGTGATGTGTGTACTCAGCTAACAGAGTGGAACCTCTTTTCTGATGCAGCAGTTTGGAAACACTCTTTTTGTAGAAACTGTAAGTGGATATTTGGATAGCTCTAATGATTTCGTTGGAAACGGGAATATCATCATCTAAAATCTAGACAGAAGCACTCTCAGAAACCACTGTGTGATATCTGCATTCAAGTCACAGAGTTGAACATTCGCTTTCTTAGAGCACGTTTGAAACACTCTTTTTGTAGTGTCTGGAAGTGGACATTTGGAGCGCTTTGATTCCTTTGGTGAAAAAGGGAATGTCTACCCATAAAAACTAGACAGAAGCATTCTCAGAAACTTGTTTGTGATGTGTGTACCCAGCGAAAGGAGTTGAACATTTCTATTGATAGAGCAGTTTTGAAACACTCTTTTTGTGGAATCTGCAAGTGGATATTTGGATAGCTTGGAGGTTTTTGTTGGAAGCGGGAATTCAAATAAAAGGTAGACAGCAGCATTCTCAGAAATTTCTTTCTGATGTCTGCATTCAACTCATAGAGTTGAAGATTCCGTTTCATAGAGCAGGTTTGAAACACTCTTTCTGGAGTATCTGGATGTGGACATTTGGAGCGCTTTGATGCCTACGGTGGAAAAGTAAATATCTTCCCATAAAAACGAGACAGAAGGATTCTGAGAAACAAGTTTGTGATGTGTGTACTCAGCTAACAGAGTGGAACCTTTCTTTTTACAGAGCAGCTTTGAAACTCTATTTTTGTGGATTCTGCAAATGGATATTTAGATTGCTTTAACGATATCGTTGGAAAAGGGAATATCTTCATACAAAATCTAGACAGAAGCATTCTCACAAACTTCTTTGTGATGTGTGTCCTCAACTAACAGAGTTGAACCTTTCTTTTGATGCAGCAATTTGGAAACACCCTTTTGGTAGAAACTGTAAGTGGATATTTGGATAGCTCTAACGATTTCGTTGGAAACGGGAATATCATCATCTAAAATCTAGACAGAAGCACTATTAGAAACTACTTGGTGTTATCTGCATTCAAGTCACAGAGTAGAACATTCCCTTACTTCGAGCACGTTTGAAACACTCTTTTGGAAGAATCTGGAAGTGGACATTTGGAGCGCTTTGATGCCTTTGGTGAAAAGGAAACGTCTTCCAATAAAAGCCAGACAGAAGCATTCTCAGAAACTTGTTGGTGATGTGTGTACTCAACTAAAAGAGTTGAACCTTTCTATTGATAGAGCAGTTTTGAAACACTCTTTTTGTGGATTCTGCAAGTGGATATTTGGATTGCTTTGAGGATTTCGTTGGAAGCGGGAATTCATATAAAAACTAGACAGCCAGCATTCCCAGAAATTTCTTTCGGATATTTCCATTCAACTCATAGAGATGAACATCGCCTTTCATAGAGCAGGTTTGAAACACTCTTTTTGTAGTTTGTGGAAGTGGACATTTCGATCGCCTTGACGCCTACGGTGAAAAAGGAAATATCTTCCCATAAAAAATAGACAGAAGCATTCTCAGAAACTTGTTGGTGATATGTGTCCTCAACTAACAGAGTTGAACTTTGCCATTGATAGAGAGCAGTTTTGAAACACTCTTTTTGTGGAATCTGCAAGTGGATATTTGGATAGCTTGGAGGATTTCGTTGGAAGCGGGAATTCAAATAAAAGGTAGACAGCAGCATTCTCAGAAATTTCTTTCTGATGTCTGCATTCAACTCATAGAGTTGAAGATTCCCTTTCATAGAGCAGGTTTGAAACACTCGTTCTGGAGTATCTGGATGTGGACATTTGGAGCGCTTTGATGCCTACGGTGGAAAAGTAAATATCTTCCCATAATAACGAGACAGAAGGATTCTGAGAAACAAGTTTGTGATGGGCGTACTCAGCTAACAGAGTGGAACCTCTCTTTTGATGCAGCAGTTTGGAAACACTCTTTTTGTAGAAACTGTAAGTGGATATTTGGATAGCTCTAATGATTTCGTTGGAAACGGGAATATCATCATCTAAAATCTAGACAGAAGCCCTCTCAGAAACTACTTTGTGATATCTGCATTCAAGTCACAGAGTTGAACATTCGCTTTCTTAGAGCACGTTTGAAACACTCTTTTTGTAGTGGCTGGAAGTGGACATTTGGAGCGCTTTGATTCCTTTGGTGAAAAAGGGAATGTCTACCCATAAAAACTAGACAGAAGCATTCTCAGAAACTTGTTTGTGATGTGTGTACCCAGCTAAAGGAGTTGAACGTTTCTATTGATAGAGCAGTTTTGAAACACTCTTTTTGTGGAAAATGCTAGTGGATATTTCGATAGCTTGGAGGATTTTCCTTGGAAGCGGGAATTCAAATAAAAGGTAGACAGCAGGAGTCTGAGAAACAAGTTTGTGATGTGTGTACTCAGCTAACAGAGTGGAACCTCTCTTTTGATGCAGCAGTTTGGAAACACTCTTTTTGTAGAAACTGTAAGTGGATATTTGGATAGCTCTAAAGATTTTTTTGGAAACGGGAATATCATCATCTAAAATCTAGACAGAAAGCCCTCTCAGAAACTACTTTGTGATATCTGCATTCAAGTCACAGAGTTGAACATTCGCTTTCTTAGAGCACGTTGGAAACACTCTTTTTGTAGTGTCTGGAAGTGGACATTTGGAGCGCTTTGATGCCTTTGGTGAAAAAGGGAACGTCTTCCCATAAAAACTAGACAGAAGCATTCTCAGAAACTTGTTTGTGATGTGTGTACCCAGCCAAAGGAGTTGAACATTTCTATTGATAGAGCAGTTTTGAAACACTCTTTTTGTGGAAAATGCAAGTGGATATTTGGATAGCTTGGAGGATTTCGTTGGAAGCGGGAATTCAAATAAAAGGTAGACAGCAGGATTCTGAGAAACAAGTTTGTGATGTGTGTACTCAGCTAACAGAGTGGAACCTCTCTTTTGATGCAGCAGTTTGGAAACACTCTTTTTGTAGAAACTGTAAGTGGTTATTTGGATAGCTCTAATGATTTCGTTGGAAACGGGAATATCATCATCTAAAATCTAGACAGAAGCCCTCTCAGAAACTACTTTGTGATATCTGCATTCAAGTCACAGAGTTGAACATTCGCTTTCTTAGAGCACGCTGGAAACACTCTTTTTGTAGTGTCTGGAAGTGGACATTTGGAGCGCTTTGATGCCTTTGGTGAAAAAGGGAACGTCTTCCCATAAAAACTAGACAGAAGCATTCTCAGAAACTTGTTTGTGATGTGTGCACCCAGCTAAAGGAGTTGAACATTTCTATTGATAGAGCAGTTTTGAAGCACTCTTTTTGTGGAAAATGCAAGTGGATATTTGGATAGCTTGGAGGATTTCGTTGGAAGCGGGAGTTCAAATAAAAGGTAGACAGCAGCATTCTCAGAAATTTCTTTCTGATGTCTGCATTCAACTCATAGAGTTGAAGATTCCCTTTCATAGAGCAGGTTTGAAACACTCGTTCTGGAGTATCTGGATGTGGACATTTGGAGCGCTTTGATGCCTACGGTGGAAAAGTAAGTATCTTCCCATAAAAACGAGACATAAGGATTCTCAGAAACAAGTTTGTGATGTGTGTACTCAGCTAACAGAGTGGAACCTTTCTTTTTACAGAGCAGCTTTGAAACTCTATTTTTGTGGATTCTGCAAATGGATATTTAGATTGCTTTAATGATATCGCTGGGAAAGGGAATATGGTCATACAAAATCTAGACAGAAGCATTCTCACAAACTTCTTTGTGATGTGTGTCCTCAACTAACAGAGTTGAACCTTTCTTTTGATGCAGCAGTTTGGAAACACCCTTTTGGTAGAAACTGTAAGTGGATATTTGGATAGCTCTAACGATTTCGTTGGAAACGGGAATATCGTCATCTAAAATCTAGACAGAAGCACTATTAGAAACTACTTGGTGATATCTGCATTCAAGTCACAGAGTTGAACATTCCCTTACTTTGAGCACGTTTCAAACACTCTTTTGGAAGAATCTGGAAGTGGACATTTGGAGCGCTTTGATGCCTTTGGTGAAAAGGAAACGTCTTCCAATAAAAGCCAGACAGAAGCATTCTCAGAAACTTGTTTGTGATGTGTGTACTCAACTAAAAGAGTTGAACCTTTCTATTGATAGAGCAGTTTTGAAACACTCTTTTTGTGGATTCTGCAAGTGGATATTTGGATTGCTTTGAGGATTTCGTTGGAAGCGGGAATTCGTATAAAAACTAGACAGCAGCATTCCCAGAAATTTCTTTCGGATATTTCCATTCAACTCATAGAGATGAACATGGCTTTTCATAGAGCAGGTTTGAAACACTCTTTTTGTAGTTTGTGGAAGTGGACATTTCGATCGCCTTGACGCCTACGGTGAAAAAGGAAATATCTTCCCATAAAAAATAGACAGAAGCATTCTCAGAAACTTGTTGGTGATATGTGTCCTCAACTAACAGAGTTGAACTTTGCCATTGATAGAGAGCAGTTTTGAAACACTCTTTTTGTGGAATCTGCAAGTGGATATTTGGATAGCTTGGAGGATTTCGTTGGAAGCGGGAATTCAAATAAAAGGTAGACAGCAGCATTCTCAGAAATTTCTTTCTGATGTCTGCATTCAACTCATAAAGTTGAAGATTCCCTTTCATAGAGCAGGTTTGAAACACTCTTTCTGGAGTATCTGGATGTGGACATTTGGAGCGCTTTGATGCCTACGGTGGAAAAGTAAATATCTTCCCATAAAAACGAGACAGAAGGATTCTGAGAAACAAGTTTGTGATGTGTGTACTCAGCTAACAGAGTGGAACCTCTCTTTTGATGCAGCAGTTTGGAAACACTCTTTTTGTAGAAACTGTAAGTGGATATTTGGATAGCTCTAATGATTTCGTTGGAAACGGGAATATCATCATCTAAATCTAGACAGAAGCACTCTCAGAAACTACTTTGTGATATCTGCATTCAAGTCACAGAGTTGAACATTCGCTTTCTTAGAGCACGTTGGAAACACTCTTTTTGTAGTGTCTGGAAGTGGACATTTGGAGCGCATTGATGCCTTTGGTGAAAAAGGGAACGTCTTCCCATAAAAACTAGACAGAAGCATTCTCAGAAACTTGTTTGTGATGTGTGTACCCAGCTAAAGGAGTTGAACATTTCTATTGATAGAGCAGTTTTGAAACACTCTTTTTGTGGAAAATGCTAGTGGATATTTCGATAGCTTGGAGGATTTCCTTGGAAGCGGGAATTCAAATAAAAGGTAGACAGCAGCATTCTCAGAAATTACTTTCTGATGTCTGCATTCAACTCATAGAGTTGAAGATTCCCTTTCATAGAGCAGGTTTGAAACACTCTTTCTGTAGTATCTGGATGTGGACATTTGGGGCGCTTTGATACCTACGGTGAAAAGTAAATATCTTCCCATAAAAACTAGACAGAAGGATTCTCAGAAACAAGTTTGTGATGTGTGTACTCAGCTAACAGAGTGGAACCTTTCTTTTTACAGAGCAGCTTTGAAACTCTATTTTTGTGGATTCTGCAAATTGATATTTAGATTGCTTTAACGATATCGTTGGAAAAGGGAATATGGTCATACAAAATCTAGACAGAAAGCATTCTCACAAACTTCTTTGTGATGTGTGTCCTCAACTAACAGAGTTGAACCTTTCTTTTGATGCAGCAATTTGGAAACACCCTTTTGGTAGAAACTGTAACTGGATATTTGGATAGCTCTAACGATTTCGTTGGAAACGGGAATATCATCATCTAAAATGTAGACAGAAGCACTATTAGAAACTACTTGGTGATATCTGCATTCAAGTCAAAGAGTTGAACATTCCCTTACTTTGAGCACGTTTGAAACACTCTTTTGGAAGAATCTGGAAGTGGACATTTGGAGCGCTTTGATGCCTTTGGTGAAAAGGAAACGTCTTCCAATAAAAGCCAGACAGAAGCATTCTCAGAAACTTGTTTGTGATGTGTGTACTCAACTAAAAGAGTTGAACCTTTCTATTGATAGAGCAGTTTTGAAACACTCTTTTTGTGGATTCTGCAAGTGGATATTTGGATTGCTTTGAGGATTTCGTTGGAAGCGGGAATTCGTATAAAAACTAGACAGCAGCATTCCCAGAAATTTCTTTCGGATATTTCCATTCGACTCATAGAGATGAACATGGCCTTTCATAGAGCAGGTTTGAAACACTCTTTTTGTAGTTTGTGGAAGTGGACATTTCGATCGCCTTGACGCCTACGGTGAAAAAGGAAATATCTTCCCATAAAAAATAGACAGAAGCATTCTCAGAAACTTGTTGGTGATATGTGTCCTCAACTAACAGAGTTGAACTTTGCCATTGATAGAGAGCAGTTTTGAAACACTCTTTTTCCTGAATCTGCAAGTGGATATTTGGATAGCTTGGAGGATTTCGTTGGAAGCGGGAATTCAAATAAAAGTTAGACAGCAGCATTCTCAGAAATTTCTTTCTGATGTCTGCATTCAACTCATAGAGTTGAAGATTCCCTTTCATAGAGCAGGTTTGAAACACTCTTTCTGGAGTATCTGGATGTGGACATTTGGAGCGCTTTGATGCCTACGGTGAAAAAGTAAATATCTTCCCAGAAAAACGAGACAGAAGGATTCTCAGAAACAAGTTTGTGATGTGTGTACTCAGCTAACAGAGTGGAACCTCTCTTCTGATGCAGCAGTTTGGAAACACTCTTTTTGTAGAAACTGTAAGTGGATATTTGGATAGCTCTAATGATTTCGTTGGAAATGGGAATATCATCATCTAAAATCTAGACGGAATCCCTCTCAGAAACTACTTTGTGATATCTGCATTCAAGTCACAGAGTTGAACATTCGCTTTCTTAGAGCACGTTTGAAACACTCTTTTTGTAGTGTCTGGAAGTGGACATTTGGAGCGCTTTGATGCCTTTGGTGAAAAAGGGAATGTCTTCCCATAAAAACTAGACAGAAGCATTCTCAGAAACTTGTTTGTGATGTGTGTACCCAGCTAAAGGAGTTGAACATTTCTATTGATAGAGCAGTTTTGAAACACTCTTTTTGTGGAAAATGCAAGTGGATATTTGGATAGCTTGGAGGATTTCGTTGGAAGCGGGAATTCAAATAAAAGGTAGATAGCAGAATTCTCAGAAATTTCTTTCTGATGTCTGCATTCAACTCATAGAGTTGAAGATTCCCTTTCATAGAGCAGGTTTGAAACACTCGTTCTGGAGTATCTGGATGTGGACATTTGGAGCGCTTTGATGCCTACGGTGGAAAAGTAAATATCTTCCCATAAAAACGAGACAGAAGGATTCTCAGAAACAAGTTTGTGATGTGTGTACTCAGCTAACTGAGTGGAACCTTTCTTTTTACAGAGCAGCTTTGAAACTCTATTTTTGTGGATTCTGCAAATTGATATTTAGATTGCTTTAACGATATCGTTGGAAAAGGGAATGTCGTCATACAAAATCTGGACAGAAGCACTCTCAGAAACTTACTCGTGATGTGTGTCCTCAACTAAAGGAGTAGAACCTTTCTTTTCATAGAGAAGTTTTGAAACACTCTTTTTGTAGAAACTGTAAGTGGATATTTGGATAGCTCTAACGATTTCGTTGGAAACGGGAATATCATCATCTAAAATCTAGACAGAAGCACTATTAGAAACTACTTGGTGATATCTGCATTCAAGTCAAAGAGTTGAACATTCCCTTACTTTGAGCACGTTTGAAACACTCTTTTGGAAGAATCTGGAAGTGGACATTTGGAGCGCTTTGATGCCTTTGGTGAAAAGGAAACGTCTTCCAATAAAAGCCAGACAGAAGCATTCTCAGAAACTTGTTTGTGATGTGTGTACTCAACTAAAAGAGTTGAACCTTTCTAATGATAGCGCAGTTTTGAAACACTCTTTTTGTGGATTCTGCAAGTGGATATTTGGATTGCTTTGAGGATTTCGTTGGAAGCGGGAATTCATATAAAAACTAGACAGCAGCATTCCCAGAAATTTCTTTCGGATATTTCCATTCGACTCATAGAGATGAACATGGCCTTTCATAGAGCAGGTTTGAAACACTCTTTTTGTAGTTTGTGGAAGTGGACATTTTGATCGCCTTGACGCCTACGGTGAAAAAGGAATTATCTTCCCATAAAAAATAGACAGAAGCATTCTCAGAAACTTGTTGGTGATATGTGTCCTCAACTAACAGAGTTGAACTTTGCCATTGATAGAGAGCAGTTTTGAAACACTCTTTTTGTGGAATCTGCAAGTGGATATTTGGATAGCTTGGAGGATTTCGTTGGAAGCGGGAATTCAAATAAAAGGTAGACAGCAGCATTCTCAGAAATTTCTTTCTGATGTCTGCATTCAACTCACAGAGTTGAAGATTCCCTTTCATAGAGCAGGTTTGAAACACTCTTTCTGGAGTATCTGGATGTGGACATTTGGAGCGCTTTGATGCCTACGGTGAAAAAGTAAATATCTTCCCAGAAAAACGAGACAGAAGGATTCTCAGAAACAAGTTTGTGATGTGTGTACTCAGCTAACAGAGTGGAACCTTTCTTTTTACAGAGCAGCTTTGAAACTCTATTTTTGTGGATTCTGGAAATTGATATTTAGATTGCTTTAACGATATCGTTGGAAAAGGGAATATCGTCATACAAAATCTGGACAGAAGCATTCTCACAAACTTCTTTGTGATGTGTGTCCTCAACTAACAGAGTTGAACTTTTCTTTTGATGCAGCAGTTTGGAAACACTGTTTTTGTAGAAAATGTAAGTGGATATTTGGATAGCTCTAACGATTTCGTTGGAAACGGGAATATCATCATCTAAAATCTAGACAGAAGCACTATTAGAAACTACTTGGTGATATCTGCATTCAAGTCACAGAGTTGAACATTCCCTTACTTTGAGCACGTTTCAAACACTCTTTTGGAAGAATCTGGAAGTGGACATTTGGAGCGCTTTGATGCCTTTGGTGAAAAGGAAACGTCTTCCAATAAAAGCCAGACAGAAGCATTCTCAGAAACTTGTTTGTGATGTGTGTACTCAACTAAAAGGGTTGAACCTTTCTATTGATAGAGCAGTTTTGAAACACTCTTTTTGTGGATTCTGCAAGTGGATATTTGGATTGCTTTGAGGATTTCGTTGGAAGCGGGAATTCGTATAAAAACTAGACAGCAGCATTCCCAGAAATTTCTTTCGGATATTTCCATTCAACTCATAGAGATGAACATGGCCTTTCATAGAGCAGGTTTGAAACACACTTTTTGTAGTTTGTGGAAGTGGACATTTCGATCGCCTTGACGCCTACGCTGAAAAAGGAATTATCTTCCCATAAAAAATAGACAGAAGCATTCTCAGAAACTTGTTGGTGATATGTGTCCTCAACTAACAGAGTTGAACTTTGCCATTGATAGAGAGCAGTTTTGAAACACTCTTTTTGTGGAATCTGCAAGTGGATATTTGGATAGCTTGGAGGATTTCGTTGGAAGCGGGAATTCAAATAAAAGGTAGACAGCAGCATTCTCAGAAATTTCTTTCTGATGTCTGCATTCAACTCATAGAGTTGAACCTTCCCTTTCATAGAGCAGGTTTGAAATACTCTTTCTGTAGTATCTGGATGTGGACATTTGGAGCGCTTTGATGCCTACGGTGAAAAAGTAAATCTCTTCCCATAAAAACGAGACAGAAGGATTCTGAGAAACAAGTTTGTGATGTGTGTACTCAGCTAACAGAGTGGAACCACTCTTTTGATGCAGCAGTTTGGAAACACTCTTTTTGTAGAAACTGTAAGTGGATATTTGGATAGCTCTAATGATTTCGTTGGAAACGGGAATATCATCATCTAAAATCTAGACAGAAGCACTCTCAGAAACTACTTTGTGATATCTGCATTCAAGTCACAGAGTTGAACATTCGCTTTCTTAGAGCACGTTTGAAACAGTCTTTTTGTAGTGTCTGGAAGTGGACATTTGGAGCGCTTTGATGGCTTTGGTGAAAAAGGGAACGTCTTCCCATAAAAACTAGACAGAAGCATTCTCAGAAACTTGTTTGTGATGTGTGTACCCAGCCAAAGGAGTTGAACATTTCTATTGATAGAGCAGTTTTGAAACACTCTTTTTGTGGAAAATGCAAGTGGATATTTGGATAGCTTGGAGGATTTCGTTGGAAGCGTTAATTCAAATAAAAGGTAGACAGCAGGATTCTGAGAAACAAGTTTGTGATGTGTGTACTCAGCTAACAGAGTGGAACCTTTCTTTTTACAGAGCAGCTTTGAAACTCTATTTTTGTGGATTCTGCAAATGGATATTTAGATTGCATTAATGATATCGCTGGAAAAGGGAATATGGTCATACAAAATCTAGACAGAAGCATTCTCACAAACTTCTTTGTGATGTGTGTCCTCAACTAACAGAGTTGAACCTTTCTTTTGATGCAGCAGTTTGGAAACACTCTTTTTGTAGAAACTGTAAGTGGATATTTGGATAGCTCTAACGATTTCGTTGGAAACGGGAATATCATCATCTAAAATGCTAGACAGAAGCACTATTAGAAACTACTTGGTGATATCTGCATTCAAGTCACAGAGTTGAACATTCCCTTACTTTGAGCACGTTTGAAACACTCTTTTGGAAGAATCTGGAAGTGGACATTTGGAGCGCTTTGATGCCTTTGGTGAAAAGGAAACGTCTTCCAATAAAAGCCAGACAGAAAGCATTCTCAGCAAACTTGTTGGTGATGTGTGTACTCAACTAAAAGAGTTGAACCTTTCTATTGATAGAGCAGTTTTGAAACACTCTTTTTGTGGATTCTGCAAGTGGATATTTGGATTGCTTTGAGGATTTCGTTGGAAGCGGGAATTCGTATAAACACTAGACAGCAGCATTCCCAGAAATTTCTTTCGGATATTTCCATTCAACTCATAGAGATGAACATGGCCTTTCATAGAGCAGGTTTGAAACACTCTTTTTGTAGTTTGTGGAAGTGGACATTTCGATCGCCTTGACGCCTACGGTGAAAAAGGAAATATCTTCCCATAAACAATAGACAGAAGCATTCTCAGAAACTTGTTGGTGATATGTGTCCTCAACTAACAGAGTTGAACTTTGCCATTGATAGAGCGCAGTTTTGAAACACTCTTTTTGTGGAATCTGCAAGTGGATATTTGGATAGCTTGGAGGATTTCGTTGGAAGCGGTAATTCAAATAAAAGGTAGACAGCAGCATTCTCAGAAATTTCTTTCTGATGTCTGCATTCAACTCATAGAGTTGAAGATTCCCTTTCATAGAGCAGGTTTGAAACACTCTTTCTGGAGTATCTGGATGTGGACATTTGGAGCGCTTTGATGCCTACGGTGAGAAAGTAAATATCTTCCCATAAAAACGAGACAGTAAGGATTCTGAGAAACAAGTTTGTGATGTGTGTACTCAGCTAACAGAGTGGAACCTCTCTTTTGATGCAGCAGTTTGGAAACACTCTTTTTGTAGAAACTGTAAGTGGATATTTGGATAGCTCTAATGATTTCGTTGGAAACGGGAATATCATCATCTAAAATCTAGACAGAAGCCCTCTCAGAAACTACTTTGTGATATCTGCATTCAAGTCACAGAGTTGAACATTCGCTTTCTTAGAGCACGTTTGAAACACTCTTTTTGTAGTGTCTGGAAGTGGACATTTGGAGCGCTTTGATTCCTTTGGTGAAAAAGGGAATGTCTACCCATAAAAACTAGACAGAAGCATTCTCAGTAAACTTGTTTGTGATGTGTGTACCCAGCTAAAGGAGTTGAACATTTCTATTGATAGAGCAGTTTTGAAACACTCTTTTTGTGGAAAATGCAAGTGGATATTTGGATAGCTTGGAGGATTTCGTTGGAAGCGGGAATTCAAATAAAAGGTAGACAGGAGCATTCTCAGAAATTTCTTTCTGATGTCTGCATTCAACTCATAGAGTTGAAGATTCCCTTTCATAGAGCAGGTTTGAAACACTCGTTCTGGAGTATCCGGATGTGGATATTTGGAGCGCTTTGATGCCTACGGTGGAAAAGTAAATATCTTCCCATAAAAACGAGACAGAAGGATTCTCAGAAACAAGTTTGTGATGTGTGTACTCAGCTAACAGAGTGGAACCTTTCTTTTTACAGAGCAGCTTTGAAACTCTATTGTTGTGGATTCTGCAAATTGATATTTAGATTGCTTTAACGATATCGTTGGAAAAGGGAATACCGTCATACAAAATCCTAGACAGAAGTATTCTCACAAACTTCTTTGTGATGTGTGTCCTCAACTAACAGAGTTGAACCTTTCTTTTGATGCAGCAATTTGGAAACACCCTTTTGGTAGAAACTGTAACTGGATATTTGGATAGCTCTAACGATTTCGTTGGAAACGGGAATATCATCACCTAAAATCTAGACAGAAGCACTATTAGAAACTACTTGGTGATATCTGCATTCAAGTCACAGAGTAGAACATTCCCTTACTTCGAGCACGTTTGAAACACTCTTTTGGAAGAATCTGGAAGTGGACATTTGGAGCGCTTTGATGCCTTTGGTGAAAAGGAAACGTCTTCCAATAAAAGCCAGACAGAAGCATTCTCAGAAACTTGTTTGTGATGTGTGTACTCAACTAAAAGAGTTGAACCTTTCTATTGATAGAGCAGTTTTGAAACACTCTTTTTGTGGATTCTGCAAGTGGATATTTGGATTGCTTTGAGGATTTCGTTGGAAGCGGGAATTCATATAAAAACTAGACAGCAGCATTCCCAGAAATTTCTTTCGGATATTTCCATTCAACTCATAGAGATTAACATGGCCTTTCATAGAGCAGGTTTGAAACACTCTTTTTGTAGTTTGTGGAAGTGGACATTTCGATCGCCTTGACGCCTACCGTGAAAAAGGAAATATCTTCCCATAAAAAATAGACAGAAGCATTCTCAGAAACTTGTTGGTGATATGTGTCCTCAACTAACAGAGTTGAACTTTGCCATTGATAGAGAGCAGTTTTGAAACACTCTTTTTCCTGAATCTGCAAGTGGATATTTGGATAGCTTGGAGGATTTCGTTGGAAGCGGGAATTCAAATAAAAGGTAGACAGCAGCATTCTCAGAAATTTCTTTCTGATCTCTGCATTCAACTCATAGAGTTGAACATTTCCTTTCATAGGGCAGGTTTGAAATACTCTTTCTGTAGTATCTGGATGTGGACATTTGGAGCGCTTTGATGCCTACGGTGAAAAAGTAAATATCTTCCCATAAAAACGAGACAGAAGGATTCTGAGAAACAAGTTTGTGATGTGTGTACTCAGCTAACAGAGTGGAACCTCTCTTTTGATGCAGTAGTTTGGAAACACTCTTTTTGTAGAAACTGTAAGTGGATATTTGGATAGCTCTAATGATTTCGTTGGAAACGGGAATATCATCATCTAAAATCTCGACAGAATCAGTCTCAGAAACTACTTTGTGATATCTGCATTCCAGTCACAGAGTTGAAAACTCCCTTACTTAGAGCAGGTTTGAAACACTCTTTTTGTAGAATCTGGAAGTGGACATTTGGAGCGCTTTGATGCATTTGGTGAAAAAGGAAATGTCTTCCCTTAAAAAGTAGACAGAAGCATTCTCAGAAACTTGTTTGTGATGTGTGCACCCAGCTAAAGGAGTTGAACATTTATTGATAGAGCAGTTTTGAAGCACTCTTTTTGTGGAAAATGCAAGTGGATATTTGGATAGCTTGGAGGATTTCGTTGGAAGCGGGAGTTCAAATAAAAGGTAGACAGCAAGGATTCTGAGAAACAAGTTTGTGATGTGTGTACTCAGCTAACAGAGTGGAACCTTTCTTTTTACAGAGCAGCTTTGAAACTCTATTTTTGTGGATTCTGCAAATGGATATTTAGATTCCTTTAACGATATCGTTGGAAAAGGGAATATCGTCATACAAAATCTAGACAGAAGCATTCTCAGAAACTTCTTTGTGATGTGTGTCCTCAACTAACAGAGTTGAACATTTCTTTTGATGCAGCAGTTTGGAAACACTCTTTTTGTAGAAACTGTAAGTGGATATTTGGATAGCTCTAACGATTTCATTTGAAACGGGAATATCATCATCTAAAATCTAGACAGAAGCACTATTAGAAACTACTTGGTGATATCGGCATTCAAGTCACAGAGTTGAACATTCCCTTACTTTGAGCACGTTTCAAACACTCTTTTGGAAGAATCTGGAAGTGGACATTTGGAGCGCTTTGATGCCTTTGGTGAAAAGGAAACGTCTTCCAATAAAAGCCAGACAGAAGCATTCTCAGAAACTTGTTTGTGATGTGTGTACTCAACTAAAAGAGTTGAACCTTTCTATTGATAGAGCAGTTTTGAAACACTCTTTTTGTGGATTCTGCAAGTGGATATTTGGATTGCTTTGAGGATTTCGTTGGAAGCGGGAATTCGTATAAAAACTAGACAGCAGCATTCCCAGAAATTTCTTTCGGATATTTCCATTCGATTCATAGAGATGAACATGGCCTTTCATAGAGCAGGTTTGAAACACTCTTTTTGTAGTTTGTGGAAGTGGACATTTCGATCGCCTTGACGCCTACGGTGAAAAAGGAAATATCTTCCCATAAAAAATAGACAGAAGCATTCTCAGAAACTTGTTGGTGATATGTGTCCTCAACTAACAGAGTTGAACTTTGCCATTGATAGAGAGCAGTTTTGAAACACTCTTTTTGTGGAATCTGCAAGTGGATATTTGGATAGCTTGGAGGATTTCGTTGGAAGCGGGAATTCAAATAAAAGGTAGACAGCAGCATTCTCAGTAAATTTCTTTCTGATGTCTGCATTCAACTCATAGTAGTTGAAGATTCCCTTTCATAGAGCAGGTTTGAAACACTCTTTCTGGAGTATCTGGATGTGGACATTTGGAGCGCTTTGATGCCTACGGTGAAAAAGTAAATATCTTCCCAGAAAAACGAGACAGAAGGATTCTCAGAAACAAGTTTGTGATGTGTGTACTCAGCTAACAGAGTGGAAACTTTCTTTTTACAGAGCAGCTTTGAAACTCTATTTTTGTGGATTCTGCAAATTGATATTTAGATTGCTTTAACGATATCGTTGGAAAAGGGAATATCGTCATACAAAATCTAGACAGAAGCATTCTCACAAACTTCTTTGTGACGTGTGTCCTCAACTAACAGAGTTGAACCTTTCTTTTGATGCAGCAGTTTGGAAACACTGTTTCTGTAGCAACTGTAAGTGGATATTTGGATAGCTCTAACGATTTCGTTGGAAACGGGAATATCATCATCTAAAATCTAGACAGAAGCACTATTAGAAACTACTTGGTGATATCTGCATTCAAGTCACAGAGTTGAACATTCCCTTACTTTGAGCACGTTTCAAACACTCTTTTGGAAGAATCTGGAAGTGGACATTTGGAGCGCTTTGATGCCTTTGGTGAAAAGGAAACGTCTTCCAATAAAAGCCAGACAGAAGCATTCTCAGAAACTTGTTTGTGATGTGTGTACTCAACTAAAAGAGTTGAACCTTTCTATTGATAGAGCAGTTTTGAAACACTCTTTTTGTGGATTCTGCAAGTGGATATTTGGATTGCTTTGAGGATTTCGTTGGAAGCGGGAATTCGTATAAAAACTAGACAGCAGCATTCCCAGAAATTTCTTTCGGATATTTCCATTCGACTCATAGAGATGAACATGGCCTTTCATAGAGCAGGTTTGAAACACTCTTTTTGTAGTTTGTGGAAGTGGACATTTCGATCGCCTTGACGCCTACGGTGAAAAAGGAAATATCTTCCCATAAAAGATAGACAGAAGCATTCTCAGAAACTTGTTGGTGATATGTGTCCTCAACTAACAGAGTTGAACTTTGCCATTGATAGAGAGCAGTTTTGAAACACTCTTTTTGTGGAATCTGCAAGTGGATATTTGGATAGCTTGGAGGATTTCGTTGGAAGCGGGAATTCAAATAAAAGGTAGACAGCAGCATTCTCAGAAATTTCTTTCTGATGTCTGCATTCAACTCATAGAGTTGAAGATTCCCTTTCATAGAGGAGGTTTGAAACACTCTTTCTGGAGTATCTGGATGTGGACATTTGGAGCGCTTTGATGCCTACGGTGAAAAAGTAAATATCTTCCCATAAAAACGAGACAGAAGGATTCTGAGAAACAAGTTTGTGATGTGTGTACTCAGCTAACAGAGTGGAACCTCTCTTTTGATGCAGCAGTTTGGAAACACTCTTTTTGTAGA
Organism: Homo sapiens; assembly: GCF_000001405.40. Classification (NCBI taxonomy): domain Eukaryota; kingdom Metazoa; phylum Chordata; class Mammalia; order Primates; family Hominidae; genus Homo; species Homo sapiens. The sequence goes on from NC_000022.11 coordinate 14,642,913, forward strand.
AACTGTAAGTGGATATTTGGATAGCTCTAATGATTTCGTTGGAAACGGGAATATCATCATCTTAAATCTAGACAGAAGCACTCTCAGAAACTACTTTGTGATATCTGCATTCAAGTCACAGAGTTGAACATTCGGTTTCTTAGAGCACGTTGGAAACACTCTTTTTGTAGTGTCTGGAAGTGGACATTTGGAGCGCTTTGATGCCTTTGGTGAAAAAGGGAATGTCTTCCCATAAAAACTAGACAGAAGCATTCTCAGAAACTTGTTTGTGCTGTGTCTACCCAGCTAAAGGAGTTGAACATTTCTATTGATAGAGCAGTTTTGAAACACTCTTTTTGTGGAAAATGCAGGTGGATATTTGGATAGCTTGGAGGATTTCGTTGGAAGCGGGGATTCAAATAAAAAGTAGACAGCAGCATTCTCAGAAATTTCTTTCTGATGTCTGCATTCAACTCATAGAGTTGAAGATTCTCTTTCATAGAGCAGGTTTGAAACACTCGTTCTGGAGTATCTGGATGTGGACATTTGGAGCGCTTTGATGCCTACGGTGGAAAAGTAAATATCTTCCCATAAAAACGAGACAGAAGGATTCTGAGAAACAGGTTTGTGATGTGTGTACTCAGCTAACAGAGTGGAACCTTTCTTTTTACAGAGCAGCTTTGAAACTCTATTTTTGTGGATTCTGCAAATGGATATTTAGATTGCTTTAATGATATCGCTGGAAAAGGGAATATGGTCATACAAAATCTAGACAGAAGCATTCTCACAAACTTCTTTCTGATGTGTGTCCTCAACTAACAGAGTTGAACCTTTCTTTTGATGCAGCAGTTTGGAAACACTCTTTTTGTAGAAACTGTAAGTGGATATTTGGATAGCTCTAACGATTTCGTTGGAAACGGGAATATCATCATCTAAAATCTAGACAGAAGCCCTCTCAGAAACTACTTTGTGATATCTGCATTCAAGTCACAGAGTTGAACATTCGCTTTCTTAGAGCACGTTTGAAACACTCTTTTTGTAGTGTCTGGAAGTGGACATTTGGAGCGCTTTGATGCCTTTGGTGAAAAAGGGGAACGTCTTCCCATAAAAACTAGACAGAAGCATTCTCAGAAACTTGTTTGTGATGTGTGTACCCAGCCAAAGGAGTTGAACATTTCTATTGATAGAGCAGTTTTGAAACACTCTTGTTGTGGAAAATGCAAGTGGATATTTGGATAGCTTGGAGGATTTCGTTGGAAGCGGGAATTCAAATAAAAGGTAGACAGCAGCATTCTCAGAAATTTCTTTCTGATGTCTGCATTCAACTCATAGAGTTGAAGATTCCCTTTCATAGAGCAGGTTTGAAACACTCGTTCTGGAGTATCTGGATGTGGACATTTGGAGCGCTTCGATGCCTACGGTGGAAAAGTAAATATCTTCCCATAAAAACGAGACAGAAGGATTCTCAGAAACAAGTTTGTGATATGTGTACTCAGCTAACAGAGTGGAACCTTTCTTTTTACAGAGCAGCTTTGAAACTCTATTTTTGTGGATTCTGCAAATTGATATTTAGATTGCTTTAACGATATCGTTGGAAAAGGGAATATCGTCATACAAAATCTAGACAGAAGCATTCTCACAAACTTCTTTGTGATGTGTGTCCTCAACTAACAGAGTTGAACCTTTCTTTTGATGCAGCAATTTGGAAACACCCTTTTGGTAGAAACTGTAAGTGGATATTTGGATAGCTCTAACGATTTCGTTGGAAACGGGAATATCATCATCTAAAATCTAGACAGAAGCACTATTAGAAACTACTTGGTGATATCTGCATTCAAGTCACAGAGTAGAACATTCCCTTACTTCGAGCACGTTTGAAACACTCTTTTGGAAGAATCTGGAAGTGGACATTTGGAGCGTTTTGATGCCTTTGGTGAAAAGGAAACGTCTTCCAATAAAAGCCAGACAGAAGCATTCTCAGAAACTTGTTGGTGATGTGTGTACTCAACTAAAAGAGTTGAACCTTTCTATTGATAGAGCAGTTTTGAAACACTCTTTTTGTGGATTCTGCAAGTGGATATTTGGATTGCTTTGAGGATTTCGTTGGAAGCGGGAATTCATATAAAAACTAGACAGCAGCATTCCCAGAAATTTCTTTCGGATATTTCCATTCAACTCATTGAGATGAACATCGCCTTTCATAGAGCAGGTTTGAAACACTCTTTTTGTAGTTTGTGGAAGTGGACATTTCGATCGCCTTGACGCCTACGGTGAAAAAGGAAATATCTTCCCATAAAAAATAGACAGAAGCATTCTCAGAAACTTGTTGGTGATATGTGTCCTCAACTAACAGAGTTGAACTTTGCCATTGATAGAGAGCAGTTTTGAAACACTCTTTTTGTGGAATCTGCAAGTGGATATTTGGATAGCTTGGAGGATTTCGTTGGAAGCGGGAATTCAAATAAAAGGTAGACAGCAGCATTCTCAGAAATTTCTTTCTGATGTCTGCATTCAACTCATAGAGTTGAAGATTCCTTTTCATAGAGCAGGTTTGAAACACTCTTTCTGGAGTATCTGGATGTGGACATTTGGAGCGCTTTGATGCCTACGGTGAAAAAGTATAATCTTCCCATAAAAACGAGACAGAAGGATTCTGAGAAACAAGTTTGTGATGTGTGTACTCAGCTAACAGAGTGGAACCCCTCTTTTGATGCAGCAGTTTGGAAACACTCTTTTTGTAGAAACTGTAAGTGGATATTTGGATAGCTCTAATGATTTCGTTGGAAACGGGAATATCATCATCTAAAATCTAGACAGAAGCCCTCTCAGAAACTACTTTGTGATATCTGCATTCAAGTCACAGAGTTGAACATTCGGTTTCTTAGAGCACGTTGGAAACACTCTTTTTGTAGTGTCTGGAAGTGGACATTTGGAGCGCTGTGATGCCTTTGGTGAAAAAGGGAATGTCTTCCCATAAAAACTAGACAGAAAGCATTCTCAGTAAACTTGTTTGTGATGTGTGTACCCAGCTAAAGGAGTTGAACATTTCTATTGATAGAGCAGTTTTGAAACACTCTTTTTGTGGAAAATGCAAGTGGATATTTGGATAGCTTGGAGGATTTCGTTGGAAGCGGGAATTCAAATAAAAGGTAGACAGCAGCATTCTCAGAAATTTCTTTCTGATGTCTGCATTCAACTCATAGAGTTGAAGATTCCCTTTCATAGAGCAGGTTTGAAACACTCTTTCTGGAGTATCTGGATGTGGACATTTGGAGCGCTTTGATGCCTACGGTGAAAAAGTAAATATCTTCCCATAAAAACGAGACAGAAGGATTCTCAGAAACAAGTTTGTGATGTGTGTACTCAGCTAACAGAGTGGAACCTTTCTTTTTACAGAGCAGCTTTGAAACTCTATTTTTGTGGATTCTGCAAATGGATATTTAGATTGCTTTAATGATATCGCTGGGAAAGGGAATATGGTCATACAAAATACTAGACAGAAGCATTCTCACAAACTTCTTTGTGATGTGTGTCCTCAACTAACAGAGTTGAACCTTTCTTTTGATGCAGCAATTTGGAAACACCCTTTTGGTAGAAACTGTAACTGTATATTTGGATAGCTCTAACGATTCCGTTGGAAACGGGAATATCATCATCTAAAATCTAGACAGAAGCACTATTAGAAACTACTTGGTGATATCTGCATTCAAGTCACAGAGTTGAACATTCCCTTACTTTGAGCACGTTTGAAACACTCTTTTGGAAGAATCTGGAAGTGGACATTTGGAGCGCTTTGATGCCTTTGGTGAAAAGGAAACGTCTTCCAATAAAAGCCAGACAGAAGCATTCTCAGAAACTTGTTCGTGATGTGTGTACTCAACTAAAAGAGTTGAACCTTTCTATTGATAGAGCAGTTTTGAAACACTCTTTTTGTGGATTCTGCAAGTGGATATTTGGATTGCTTTGAGGATTTCGTTGTAAGCGGGAATTCGTATAAACACTAGACAGCCAGCATTCCCAGAATTTCTTTCGGATATTTCCATTCAACTCATAGAGATGAACATGGCCTTTCATAGAGCAGGTTTGAAACACTCTTTTTGTAGTTTGTGGAAGTGGACATTTCGATCGCCTTGACGCCTACGGTGAAAAAGGAAATATCTTCCCATAAAAAATAGACAGAGCATTCTCAGAAACTTGTTGGTGATATGTGTCCTCAACTAACAGAGTTGAACTTTGCCATTGATAGAGAGCAGTTTTGAAACACTCTTTTTCCTGAATCTGCAAGTGGATATTTGGATAGTTTGGAGGATTTCGTTGGAAGCGGGAATTCAAATAAAAGGTAGACAGCAGCATTCTCAGAAATTTCTTTCTGATGTCTGCATTCAACTCATAGAGTTGAACATTCCCTTTCATAGGGCAGGTTTGAAATACTCTTTCTGTAGTATCTGGATGTGGACATTTGGAGCGGTTTGATGCCTACGGTGAAAAAGTAAATATCTTCCCATAAAAACGAGACAGAAGGATTCTGAGAAACAAGTTTGTGATGTGTGTACTCAGCTAACAGAGTGGAACCTCTGTTTTGATGCAGCAGTTTGGAAACACTCTTTTTGTAGAAACTGTAAGTGGATATTTGGATAGCTCTAATGATTTCGTTGGAAACGGGAATATCATCATCTAAAATCTAGACAGAAGCAGTCTCAGAATCTACTTTGTGATATCTGCATTCCAGTCACAGAGTTGAAAACTCCCTTACTTAGAGGAGGTTTGAAACACTCTTTTTGTAGAATCTGGAAGTGGACATTTGGAGCGCTTTGATGCCTTTGGTGAAAAAGGAAACGTCTTCCCTTAAAAAGTAGACAGAAGCATTCTCAGAAACTTGTTTGTGATGTGTGCACCCAGCTAAAGGAGTTGAACATTTATTGATAGAGCAGTTTTGAAGCACTCTTTTTGTGGAAAATGCAAGTGGATATTTGGATAGCTTGGAGGATTTCGTTGGAAGCGGGAGTTCAAATAAAAGGTAGACAGCAGCATTCTCAGAAATTTCTTTCTGATGTCTGCATTCAACTCATAGAGTTGAAGATTCCCTTTCATAGAGCAGGTTTGAAACGCTCTTTCTGGAGTATCTGGATGTGGACATTTGGAGCGCTTTGATGCCTACGGTGAAAAAGTAAATATCTTCCCATAAAAACGAGACAGAAGGATTCTCAGAAACAAGTTTGTGATGTGTGTACTCAGCTAACAGAGTGGAACCTTTCTTTTTACAGAGCAGCTTTGAAACTCTATTTTTGTGGATTCTGCAAATGGATATTTAGATTGCTTTAACGATATCATTGGAAAAGGGAATATCGTCATACAAAATCTGGACAGAAGCATTCTCACAAACTTCTTTGTGATGTGTGTCCTCAACTAACAGAGTTGAACCTTTCTTTTGATGCAGCAGTTTGGAAACACCCTTTTGGTAGAAACTGTAAGTGGATATTTGGATAGCTCTAACGATTTCGTTGGAAACGGGAATATCATCATCTAAAATCTAGACAGAAGCACTATTAGAAACTACTTGGTGATATCTGCATTCAAGTCACAGAGTTGAACATTCCCTTACTTTGAGCACGTTTCAAACACTCTTTTGGAAGAATCTGGAAGTGGACATTTGGAGCGCTTTGATGATGCCTTTGGTGAAAAGGAAACGTCTTCCAATAAAAGCCAGACAGAAGCATTCTCAGAAACTTGTTTGTGATGTGTGTACTCAACTAAAAGAGTTGAACCTTTCTATTGATAGAGCAGTTTTGAAACACTCTTTTTGTGGATTCTGCAAGTGGATATTTGGATTGCTTTGAGGATTTCGTTGGAAGCAGGAATTCGTATAAAATCTAGACAGCAGCATTCCCAGAAATTTCTTTCTGATATTTCCATTGAACTCATAGAGATGAACATGGCCTTTCATAGAGCAGGTTTGAAACACTCTTTTTGTAGTTTGTGGAAGTGGACATTTCGATCGCCTTGATGACTACGGTGAAAAAGGAAATATCTTCCCATAAAAAATAGACAGAAGAATTCTCAGAAACTTTTTGTGATGTGTATCCTCAACTGACAGAGTTGAACCTTGCCATTGATAGAGCAGTTTTGAAACACTCTTTTTGTGGAATCTGCAAGTGGATATTTGGATAGCCTGGAGGATTTCGTTGGAAGCGGGAATTCAAATGAAAGGTAGACAGCAGCATTCTCAGAAATTTCTTTGTGATGTTTGCATTCAACTCATAGAGTTGAACATTCCCTTTCATAGAGCAGGTTTGAAACACTCTTTCTGTACTATCTGGATGTGGACATTTGGAACGCTTTGATGCCTACGGTGAAAAAGTAAATATCTTCCCATAAAAATTAGACAGAAGGATTCTGAGAAACAAGTTTGTGATGTGTGTACTCAGCTAACAGAGTGGAACCTTTCTTTTTACAGAGCAGCTTTGAAACTCTATTTTTGTGGATTCTGCAAATGGATATTTAGATTGCTTTAATGATATCGTTGGAAAAGGGAATATCGTCATACAAAATCTAGACAGAAAGCATTCTCACAAACTTCTTTGTGATGTGTGTCCTCAACTAACAGAGTTGAACCTTTCTTTTGATGCAGCAATTTGGAAGCACCCTTTTGGTAGAAACTGTAACTGGATATTTGGATAGCTCTAACGATTTCGTTGGAAACGGGAATATCATCATCTAAAATGTAGACAGAAGCACTATTAGAAACTACTTGGTGATATCTGCATTTAAGTCACAGAGTTGAACATTCCCTTACTTTGAGCACGTTTCAAACACTCTTTTGGAAGAATCTGGAAGTGGACATTTGGAGCGCTTTGATGCCTTTGGTGAAAAGGAAACGTCTTCCAATAAAAGCCAGACAGAAGCATTCTCAGAAACTTGTTTGTGATGTGTGTACTCAACTAAAAGAGTTGAACCTTTCTATTGATAGAGCAGTTTTGAAACACTCTTTTTGTGGATTCTGCAAGTGGATATTTGGATTGCTTTGAGGATTTCGTTGGAAGCGGGAATTCGTATAAAAACTAGACAGCAGCATTCCCAGAAATTTCTTTCGGATATTTCCATTCGACTCATAGAGATGAACATGGCCTTTCATAGAGCAGGTTTGAAACACTCTTTTTGTAGTTTGTGGAAGTGGACATTTCGATCGCCTTGACGCCTACGGTGAAAAAGGAAATATCTTCCCATAAAAAATAGACCAGAAGCATTCTCAGAAACTTGTTGGTGATATGTGTCCTCAACTAACAGAGTTGAACTTTGCCATTGATAGAGAGCAGTTTTGAAACACTCTTTTTGTGGAATCTGCAAGTGGATATTTGGATAGCTTGGAGGATTTCGTTGGAAGCGGGAATTCAAATAAAAGGTAGACAGCAGCATTCTCAGAAATTTCTTTCTGATGTCTGCATTCAACTCATAGAGTTGAACATTCCCTTTCATAGAGCAGGTTTGAAACACTCTTTCTGGAGTATCTGGATGTGTACATTTGGAGCGCTTTGATGCCTACGGTGAAAAAGTAAATATCTTCCCATAAAAACGAGACAGAAGGATTCTGAGAAACAAGTTTGTGATGTGTGTACTCAGCTAACAGAGTGGAACCTCTCTTTTGATGCAGCAGTTTGGAAACACTCTTTTTGTAGAAACTGTAAGTGGATATTTGGATACCTCTAATGATTTCGTTGGAAACGGGAATATCATCATCTAAAATCTAGACAGAAGCACTCTCAGAAACTACTTTGTGATATCTGCATTCAAGTCACACAGTTGAACATTCGCTTTCTTAGAGCACGTTTGAAACACTCTTTTTGTAGTGTCTGGAAGTGGACATTTGGAGCGCTTTGATTCCTTTGGTGAAAAAGGGAATGTCTACCCATAAAAACTAGACAGAAGCATTCTCAGAAACTTGTTTGTGATGTGTGTACCCAGCCAAAGGAGTTGAACATTTCTATTGATAGAGCAGGTTTGAAACACTCTTTTTGTGGAAAATGCAGGTGGATATTTGGATAGCTTGGAGGATTTCGTTGGAAGCGGGAATTCAAATAAAAGGTAGACAGCAGCATTCTCAGAAATTCCCTTCTGATGTCTGCATTCAACTCATAGAGTTGAAGACTCCCTTTCATAGAGCAGGTTTGAAACACTCTTTCTGGAGTATCTGGATGTGGACATTTGGAGCGCTTTGATGCCTACGGTGAAAAAGTAAATATCTTCCCATAAAAACGAGACAGAAGGATTCTCAGAAAGAAGTTTGTGATGTGTGTACTCAGCTAACAGAGTGGAACCTTTCTTTTTACAGAGCAGCTTTGAAACTCTATTTTTGTGGATTCTGCAAATTGATATTTAGATTGCTTTAACGATATCGTTGGAAAAGGGAATATCGTCATACAAAATACTAGACAGAAGCATTCTCACAAACTTCTTTGTGATGTGTGTCCTCAACTAACAGAGTTGAACCTTTCTTTTGATGCAGCAATTTGGAAACACCCTTTTGGTAGAAACTGTAACTGGATATTTGGATAGCTCTAACGATTTCGTTGGAAACGGGAATATCATCATCTAAAATGTAGACAGAAGCACTATTAGAAACTACTTGGTGATATCTGCATTCAAGTCACAGAGTTGAACATTCCCTTACTTTGAGCACGTTTGAAACACTCTTTTGGAAGAATCTGGAAGTGGACATTTGGAGCGCTTTGATGCCTTTGGTGAAAAGGAAACTTCTTCCAATAAAAGCCAGACAGAAGCATTCTCAGAAACTTGTTCGTGATGTGTGTACTCAACTAAAAGAGTTGAACCTTTCTATTGATAGAGCAGTTTTGAAACACTCTTTTTGTGGATTCTGCAAGTGGATATTTGGATTGCTTTGAGGATTTCGTTGGAAGCGGGAATTCGTATAAACACTAGACAGCAGCATTCCCAGAAATTTCTTTCGGATATTTCCATTCAACTCATAGAGATGAACATGGCCTTTCATAGAGCAGGTTTGAAACACTCTTTTTGTAGTTTGTGGAGGTGGACATTTCGATCGCCTTGACACCTACGGTGAAAAAGGAAATATCTTCCTATAAAAAATAGACAGAAGCATTCTCAGAAACTTGTTGGTGATATGTGTCCTCAACTAACAGAGTTGAACTTTGCCATTGATAGAGAGCAGTTTTGAAACACTCTTTTTGTGGAATCTGCAAGTGGATATTTGGATAGCTTGGAGGATTTCGTTGGAAGCGGGAATTCAAATAAAAGGTAGACAGCAGCATTCTCAGAAATTTCTTTCTGATGTCTGCATTCAACTCATAGAGTTGAACATTCCCTTTCATAGAGCAGGTTTGAAACACTCTTTCTGGAGTATCTGGATGTGGACATTTGGAGCGCTTTATTGCCTACGGTGAAAAAGTAAATATCTTCCCATAAAAACGAGACAGAAGGATTCTGAGAAACAAGTTTGTGATGTGTGTACTCAGCTAACAGAGTGGAACCTCTGTTTTGATGCAGCAGTTTGGAAACACTCTTTTTGTAGAAACTGTAAGTGGATATTTGGATAGCTCTAATGATTTCGTTGGAAACGGGAATATCATCATCTAAATTCTAGACAGAAGCCCTCTCAGAAACTACTTTGTGATATCTGCATTCAAGTCACAGAGTTGAACATTCGCTTTCTTAGAGCACGTTTGAAACACTCTTTTTGTAGTGTCTGGAAGTGGACATTTGGAGCGCTTTCATGCCTTTGGTGAAAAAGGGAATGTCTTCCCATAAAAACTAGACAGAAGCATTCTCAGAAACTTGTTTGTGATGTGTGTACCCAGCTAAAGAGTTGAACATTTGTATTGATAGAGCAGTTTTGAAACACTCTTTTTGTGGAAAATGCAAGTGGATATTTTGATAGCTTGGAGGATTTCGTTGGAAGCGGGAATTCAAATAAAAGGTAGACAGCAGCATTCTCAGAAATTTCTTTCTGATGTCTGCATTCAACTCATAGAGTTGAAGATTCCCTTTCCTAGAGCAGGTTTGAAACACTCTTTCTGGAGTATCTGGATGTGGACATTTGGAGCGCTTTGATGCCTACGGTGAAAAAGTAAATATCTTCCCATAAAAACGAGACAGAAGGATTCTCAGAAACAAGTTTGTGATGTGTGTACTCAGCTAACAGAGTGGAACCTTTCTTTTTACAGAGCAGCTTTGAAACTCTATTTTTGTGGATTCTGCAAATTGATATTTAGATTGCTTTAACGATATCGTTGGAAAAGGGAATATCGTCATACAAAATCCTAGACAGAAGCATTCTCACAAACTTCTTTGTGATGTGTGTCCTCAACTAACAGAGTTGAACCTTTCTTTTGATGCAGCAGTTTGGAACACCCTTTTTGTAGAAACTGTAAGTGGATATTTGGATAGCTCTAACGATTTCGTTGGAAACGGGAATATCATCATCTAAAATCTAGAGAGAAGCAGTATTAGAAACTACTTGGTGATATCTGCATTCAAGTCACAGAGTTGAACATTCCCTTACTTTGAGCACGTTTCAAACACTCTTTTGGAAGAATCTGGAAGTGGACATTTGGAGCGCTTTGATGATGCCTTTGGTGAAAAGGAAACGTCTTCTAATAAAAGCCAGACAGAAGCATTCTCAGAAACTTGTTTGTGATGTGTGTACTCAACTAAAAGAGTTGAACCTTTCTATTGATAGAGCAGTTTTGAAACACTCTTTTTGTGGATTCTGCAAGTGGATATTTGGATTGCTTTGAGGATTTCGTTGGAAGCGGGAATTCGTATAAAAACTAGACAGCAGCATTCCCAGAAATTTCTTTCGGATATTTCCATTCAACTCATAGAGATGAACATGGCCTTTCATAGAGCAGGTTTGAAACACTCTTTTTGTAGTTTGTGGAGGTGGACATTTCGATCGCCTTGACGCCTACGGTGAAAAAGGAAATATCTTCCTATAAAAAATAGACAGAAGCATTCTCAGAAACTTGTTGGTGATATGTGTCCTCAACTAACAGAGTTGAACTTTGCCATTGATAGAGAGCAGTTTTGAAACACTCTTTTTGTGGAATCTGCAAGTGGATATTTGGATAGCTTGGAGGATTTCGTTGGAAGCGGGAATTCAAATAAAAGGTAGACAGCAGCATTCTCAGAAATTTCTTTCTGATGTCTGCATTCAACTCATAGAGTTGAAGATTCCCTTTCATAGAGCAGGTTTGAAACACTCTTTCTGGAGTATATGGATGTGGACATTTGGAGCGCTTTGATGCCTGCGGTGAGAAAGTAAATATCTTCCCATAAAAACGAGACAGAAGGATTCTGAGAAACAAGTTTGTGATGTGTGTACTCAGCTAACAGAGTGGAACCTCTCTTTTGATGCAGTAGTTTGGAAACACACTTTTTGTAGAAACTGTAAGTGGATATTTGGATAGCTCTAATGATTTCGTTGGAAACGGGAATATCATCATCTAAAATCTAGACAGAAGCCCTGTCAGAAACTACTTTGTGATATCTGCATTCAAGTCACAGAGTTGAACATTCGCTTTCTTAGAGCACGTTTGAAACACTCTTTTTGTAGTGTCTGGAAGTGGACATTTGGAGTGCTTTGATGCCTTTGGTGAAAAAGGGAATGTCTTCCCATAAAAACTAGACAGAAGCATTCTCAGAAACTTGTTTGTGATGTGTGTACCCAGCCAAAGGAGTTGAACATTTCTATTGATAGAGCAGTTTTGAAACACTCTTGTTGTGGAAAATGCAGGTGGATATTTGGATAGCTTGGAGGATTTCGTTGGAAGCGGGAATTCAAATAAAGGTAGACAGCAACATTCTCAGAAATTTCTTTCTGATGTGTGCATTCAACTCATAGAGTTGAAGATTCCCTTTCATAGAGCAGGTTTGAAACACTCTTTCTGGAGTATCTGGATGTGGACATTTGGACCGCTTTGATGCCTACGGTGAAAAACTAAATATGTTCCCATAAAAACGAGACAGAAGGATTCTCAGAAACAAGTTTGTGATGTGTGTACTCAGCTAACAGAGTGGAACCTTTCTTTTTACAGAGCAGCTTTGAAACTCTATTCTTGTGGATTCTGCAAATGGATATTTAGATTGCTTTAATGATATCGCTGGAAAAGGGAATATGGTCATACAAAATCTAGACAGAAGCATTCTCACAAACTTCTTTGTGATGTGTGTCCTCAACTAACAGAGTTGAACCTTTCTTTTGATGCAGCAGTTTGGAAACACTCTTTTTGTAGAAACTGTAAGTGGATATTTGGATAGCTCTAACGATTGCGTTGGAAACGGGAATATAATCATCTAAAATCTAGACAGAAGCACTATTAGAAACTACTTGGTGATATCTGCATTCAAGTCAAAGAGTTGAACATTCCCTTACTTTGAGCACGTTTGAAACACTCTTTTGGAAGAATCTGGAAGTGGACATTTGGAGCGCTTTGATGCCTTTGGTGAAAAGGAAACGTCTTCCAATAAAAGCCAGACAGAAGCATTCTCAGAAACTTGTTCTTGATGTGTGTACTCAACTAAAAGAGTTGAACCTTTCTATTGATAGAGCAGTTTTGAAACACTCTTTTTGTGGATTCTGCAAGTGGATATTTGGATTGCTTTGAGGATTTCTTTGGAAGCGGGAATTCGTATAACAACTAGACAGCAGCATTCCCAGAAATTTCTTTCGGATATTTCCATTCAACTCATAGAGATGAACATGGCCTTTCATAGAGCAGGTTTGAAACACTCTTTTTGTAGTTTGTGGAAGTGGACATTTCGATCGCCTTGACGCCTACGGTGAAAAAGGAAATATCTTCCCATAAAAAATAGACAGAAGCATTCTCAGAAACTTGTTGGTGATATGTGCCCTCAACTAACAGAGTTGAACTTTGCCATTGATAGAGAGCAGTTTTGAAACACTCTTTTTGTGGAATCTGCAAGTGGATATTTGGATAGCTTGGAGGATTTCGTTGGAAGCGGGAATTCAAATAAAAGGTAGACAGCAGCATTCTCAGAAATTTCTTTCTGATGTCTGCATTCAACTCATAGAGTTGAACATTCCCTTTCATAGAGCAGGTTTGAAATACTCTTTCTGTAGTATCTGGATGTGGACATTTGGAGCGCTTTGATGCCTATGGTGAAAAAGTAAATATCTTCCCATTAAAACGAGACGGAAGGATTCTGAGAAACAAGTTTGTGATGTGTGTACTCAGCTAACAGAGTGGAAATCTCTTTTGATGCAGCAGTTTCGAAACACTCTTTTTGTAGAAACTGTAAGTGGATATTTGGATAGCTCTAATGATTTCGTTGGAAACGGGAATATCATCATCTAAAATCTAGACAGAAGCACTCTCAGAAACTACTGTGTGATATCTGCATTCAAGTCACAGAGTTGAACATTCGCTTTCGTAGAGCACGTTTGAAACACTCTTTTTGTATTGGCTGGAAGTGGACATTTGGAGCGCTTTGATTCCTTTGGTGAAAAAGGGAATGTCTACCCATAAAAACTAGACAGAAGCGTTCTCAGAAACTTGTTTGTGATGTGTGTACCCAGCTAAAGGAGTTGAAAGTTTCTATTGATAGAGCAGTTTTGAAACACTCTTTTTGTGGAAAATGCAAGTGGATGTTTGGATAGCTAGGAGGATTTCGTTGGAAGCGGGAATTCAAATAAAAGGTAGACAGCAGGATTCTGAGAAACAAGTTTGTGATGTGTGTACTCAGCTAACAGAGTGGAACCTTTCTTTTTACAGAGCAGCTTTGAAACTCTATTTTTGTGGATTCTGCAAATTGATATTTAGATTGCTTTAACGATATCGTTGGAAAAGGGAATATCCTCATACAAAATCTAGACAGAAGCACTCTCAGAAACTACTTTGTGATATCTGCATTCAAGTCACAGAGTTGAACATTCGCTTTCTTAGAGCACTTTTGAAACACTCTTTTTGTAGTATCTAGAAGTGGACATTTGGAGCTCTTTGATGCCTTTGGTGAAAAAGGAAATGTCTTCCCATAAAAACTAGACAGAAGCATTCTCAGAAACTTGTTTGTGATGTGTGCACCCAGCTAAAGGAGTTGAACATTTATTGATAGAGCAGTTTTGAAGCACTCTTTTTGTGGAAAATGCAAGTGGATATTTGGATAGCTTGGAGGATTTCGTTGGAAGCGGGAGTTCAAATAAAAGGTAGACAGCAGCATTCTCAGAAATTTCTTTCTGATGTCTGCATTCAACTCATAGAGTTGAAGATTCCCTTTCATAGAGCAGGTTTGAAACACTCTTTCTGGAGTATCTGGATGTGGACATTTGGAGCGCTTTGATGCCTACGGTGAAAAAGTAAATATCTTCCCATAAAAACGAGACAGAAGGATTCTCAGAAACAAGTTTGTGATGTGTGTACTCAGCTAACAGAGTGGAACCTTTCTTTTTACAGAGCAGCTTTGAAACTCTATTTTTGTGGATTCTGCAAATTGATATTTAGGTTGCTTTAACGATATCGTTGGAAAAGGGAATATCGTCATACAAAATCTAGACAGAAGCATTCTCACAAACTTCTTTGTGATGTGTGTCCTCAACTAACAGAGTTGAACCTTTCTTTTGATGCAGCAATTTGGAAACACCCTTTTGGTAGAAACTGTAACTGGATATTTGGATAGCTCTAACGATTTCGTTGGAAACGGGAATATCATCATCTAAAATCTAGACAGAAGCACTATTAGAAACTACTTGGTGATATCTGCATTCAAGTCACAGAGTTGAACATTCCCTTACTTTGAGCACGTTTGAAACACTCTTTTGGAAGAATCTGGAAGTGGACATTTGGAGCGCTTTGATGCCTTTGGTGAAAAGGAAACGTCTTCCAATAAAAGCCAGACAGAAGCATTCTCAGAAACTTGTTCGTGATGTGTGTACTCAACTAAAAGAGTTGAACCTTTCTATTGACAGAGCAGTTTTGAAACACTCTTTTTGTGGATTCTGCAAGTGGATATTTGGATTGCTTTGAGGATTTCGTTGGAAGCGGGAATTCGTATAAACACTAGACAGCAGCATTCCCAGAAATTTCTTTCGGATATTTCCATTCGACTCATAGAGATGAACATGGCCTTTCATAGAGCAGGTTTGAAACACTCTTTTTGTAGTTTGTGGAAGTGGACATTTGGAGCGCTTTGATGCCTTTGGTGAAAAAGGGAATGTCTTCCCATAAAAACTAGACAGAAGCATTCTCAGAAACTTGTTGGTGATATGTGTCCTCAACTAACAGATTTGAACTTTGCCATTGATAGAGAGCAGTTTTGAAACACTCTTTTTGTGGAATCTGCAAGTGGATATTTGGATAGCTTGGAGGATTTCGTTGGAAGCGGGAATTCAAATAAAAGGTAGACAGCAGCATTCTCAGAAATTTCTTTCTGATGTCTGCATTCAACTCATAGAGTTGAATATTCCCTTTCATAGAGCAGGTTTGAAACACTCTTTCTGGAGTATCTGGATGTGGACATTTGGAGCGCTTTGATGCCTACGGTGAAAAAGTAAATATCTTCCCATAAAAACGACACAGAAGGATTCTCAGAAACAAGTTTGTGATGTGTGTACTCAGCTAACAGAGTGGAACCTCTCTTTTGATGCAGCAGTTTGGAAACACTCTTTTTGTAGAAACTGTAAGTGGATATTTGGATAGCTCTAATGATTTCGTTGGAAACGGGAATATCATCATCTAAAATCTAGACAGAAGCCCTCTCAGAAACTACTTTGTGATATCTGCATTCAAGTCACAGAGTTGAACATTCGCTTTCTTAGAGCACGTTGGAAACACTCTTTTTGTAGTGTCTGGAAGTGGACATTTGGAGCGCTTTGATGCCTTTGGTGAAAAAGGGAATGTCTTCCCATAAAATCTAGACAG
Organism: Homo sapiens; assembly: GCF_000001405.40. Taxonomy (NCBI): domain Eukaryota; kingdom Metazoa; phylum Chordata; class Mammalia; order Primates; family Hominidae; genus Homo; species Homo sapiens. Next base: position 14,658,800 of record NC_000022.11, read on the forward strand.
AAAGCATTCTCAGAAACTTGTTTGTGATGTGTGCACCCAGCTAAAGGAGTTGAACATTTATTGATAGAGCAGTTTTGAAGCACTCTTTTTGTGGAAAATGCAAGTGGATATTTGGATAGCTTGGAGGATTTCGTTGGAAGCGGGAGTTCAAATAAAAGGTAGACAGCAGCATTCTCAGAAATTTCTTTCTGATGTCTGCATTCAACTCATAGAGTTGAAGATTCCCTTTCATAGAGCAGGTTTGAAACACTCTTTCTGGAGTATCTGGATGTGGACATTTGGAGCGCTTTGATGCCTACGGTGAAAAAGTAAATATCTTCCCATAAAAACGAGACAGAAGGATTCTGAGAGACAAGTTTGTGATGTGTGTACTCAGCTAACAGAGTGGAACCTTTCTTTTTACAGAGCAGCTTTGAAACTCTATTTTTGTGGATTCTGCAAATGGATATTTAGATTGCTTTAACGATATCGCTGGAAAAGGGAATATGGTCATACAAAATCTAGACAGAAGCATTCTCACAAACTTCTTTGTGATGTGTGTCCTCAACTAACAGAGTTGAACTTTTCTTTTGATGCAGCAGTTTGGAAACACTGTTTTTGTAGAAACTGTAAGTGGATATTTGGATAGCTCTAACGATTTCGTTGGAAACGGGAATATCATCATCTAAAATCTAGACAGAAGCACTATTAGAAACTACTTGGTGATATCTGCATTCAAGTCACAGAGTTGAACATTCCCTTACTTTGAGCACGTTTGAAACACTCTTTTGGAAGAATCTGGAAGTGGACATTTGGAGCGCTTTGATGCCTTTGGTGAAAAGGAAACGTCTTCCAATAAAAGTCAGACAGAAGCATTCTCAGAAACTTGTTCTTGATGTGTGTACTCAACTAAAAGAGTTGAACCTTTCTATTGATAGAGCAGTTTTGAAACACTCTTTTTGTGGATTCTGCAAGTGGATATTTGGATTGCTTTGAGGATTTCGTTGGAAGCGGGAATTCGTATAAAAACTAGACAGCAGCATTCCCAGAAATTTCTTTCGGATATTTCCATTCAACTCATAGAGATGAACATGGCCTTTCATAGAGCAGGTTTGAAACACTCTTTTTGTAGTTTGTGGAAGTGGACATTTCGATCGCCTTGACGCCTACGGTGAAAAAGGAAATATCTTCCCATAAAAAATAGACAGAAGCATTCTCAGAAACTTGTTGGTGATATGTGTCCTCAACTAACAGAGTTGAACTTTGCCATTGATAGAGAGCAGTTTTGAAACACTCTTTTTGTGGAATCTGCAAGTGGATATTTGGATAGCTTGGAGGATTTCGTTGGAAGCGGGAATTCAAATAAAAGGTAGACAGCAGCATTCTCAGAAATTTCTTTCTGATGTCTGCATTCAACTCATAGAGTTGAAGATTCCCTTTCATAGAGCAGGTTTGAAACACTCTTTCTGGAGTATCTGGATGTGGACATTTGGAGCGCTTTGATGTCTACGGTGGAAAAGTAAATATCTTCCCATAAAAACGAGACAGAAGGATTCTGAGAAACAAGTTTGTGATGTGTGTACTCAGCTAACAGAGTGGAACCTCTGTTTTGATGCAGCAGTTTGGAAACACTCTTTTTGTAGAAACTGTAAGTGGATATTTGGATAGCTCTAATGATTTCGTTGGAAACGGGAATATCATCATCTAAAATCTAGACAGCAGCCCTCTCAGAAACTACTTTGTGATATCTGCATTCAAGTCACAGAGTTGAACATTCGTTTTCTTAGAGCACGTTTGAAACACTCTTTTTGTAGTGTCTGGAAGTGGACATTTGGAGCGCTTTGATGCCTTTGGTGAAAAAGGGAACGTCTTCCCATAAAAACTAGACAGAAGCATTCTCAGAAACTTGTTTGTGATGTGTGTACCCAGCCAAAGGAGTTGAACATTTCTATTGATAGAGCAGTTTTAAAACACTCTTGTTGTGGAAAATGCAAGTGGATATTTGGATAGCTTGGAGGATTTCGTTGGAAGCGGGAATTCAAATAAAAGGTAGACAGCAGCATTCTCAGAAATTTCTTTCTGATGTCTGCATTCAACTCATAGAGTTGAAGATTCCCTTTCATAGAGCAGGTTTGAAACACTCGTTCTGGAGTATCTGGATGTAGACATTTGGAGCGCTTTGATGCCTACGGTGGAAAAGTAAATATCTTCCCATAAAAACGAGACAGAAGGATTCTCAGAAACAAGTTTTTTATGTGTGTACTCAGCTAATAGAGTGGATCCTTTCTTTTTACAGAGCAGCTTTGAAACTCTATTTCTGTGGATTCTGCAAATTGATATTTGGGTTGATTTAATGACATCGTTGGAAAAGGGAATATCTTCATACAAAATCTAGACAGAAGCATTTTCACAAACTTCTTTGTGATGTGTGTCCTCAACTAACAGAGTTGAACCTTTCTTTTGATGCAGCAATTTGGAAACACCCTTTTGGTAGAAACTGTAACTGGATATTTGGATAGCTCTAACGATTTCGTTGGAAACGGGAATATCATCATCTAAAATGTAGACAGAAGCACTATTAGAAACTACTTGGTGATATCTGCATTCAAGTCACAGAGTTGAACATTCCCTTACTTTGAGCACGTTTCAAACACTCTTTTGGAAGAATCTGGAAGTGGACATTTGGAGCGCTTTGATGCCTTTGGTGAAAAGGAAACGTCTTCCAATAAAAGCCAGACAGAAGCATTCTCAGAAACTTGTTTGTGATGTGTGTACTCAACTAAAAGAGTTGAACCTTTCTATTGATAGAGCAGTTTTGAAACACTCTTTTTGTGGATTCTGCAAGTGGATATTTGGATTGCTTTGAGGATTTCGTTGGAAGCGGGAATTCGTATAAACACTAGACAGCAGCATTCCCAGAAATTTCTTTCGGATATTTCCATTCAACTCATAGAGATGAACATGGCCTTTCATAGAGCAGGCTTGAAACACTCTTTTTGTAGTTTGTGGAAGTGGACATTTCGATCGCCTTGACGCCTACGGTGAAAAAGGAAATATCTTCCCATAAAAATAGACAGAAGCATTCTCAGAAACTTGTTGGTGATATGTGTCCTCATCTAACAGAGTTGAACTTTGCCATTGATAGAGAGCAGTTTTGAAACACTCTTTTTGTGGAATCTGCAAGTGGATATTTGGATAGCTTGGAGGATTTCGTTGGAAGCGGGAATTCAAATAAAAGGTAGACAGCAGCATTCTCAGAAATTTCTTTCTGATGTCTGCATTCAACTCATAGAGTTGAAGATTCCCTTTTATAGAGCAGGTTTGAAACACTCTTTCTGGAGTATCTGGATGTGGACATTTGGAGCGCTTTGATGCCTACGGTGAAAAAGTAAATATCTTCCCATAAAAACGAGACAGAAGGATTCTCAGAAACAAGTTTGTGATGTCTTTACTCAGCTAACAGAGTGGAACCTCTCTTTTGATGCAGCAGTTTGGAAACACTCTTTTTGTAGAAACTGTAAGTGGATATTTGGATAGCTCTAATGATTTCGTTGGAAACGGGAATATCATCATCTAAAATCTAGACAGAAGCCCTCTCAGAAACTACTTTGTGATATCTGCATTCAAGTCACAGAGTTGAACATTCACTTTCTTAGAGCACGTTTGAAACACTCTTTTTGTAGTGTCTGGAAGTGGACATTTGGAGCGCTTTGATGCCTTTGGTGAAAAGGGGAATGTCTTCCCATAAAAACTAGACAGAAGCATTCTCAGAAACTTGTTTGTGATGTGTGTACCCAGCTAAAGGAGTTGAACATTTCTATTGATAGAGCAGTCTTGAAACACTCTTTTTGTGGAAAATGCAAGTGGATATTTGGATAGCTTGGAGGATTTCGTTGGAAGCGGGAATTCAAATAAAAGGTAGACAGCAGCATTCTCAGAAATTTCTTTCTGATGTCTGCATTCAACTCATAGAGTTGAAGATTCTCTTTCATAGAGCAGGTTTGAAACACTCTTTCTGGAGTATCTGGATGTGGACATTTGGAGCGCTTTGATGCCTACGGTGAAAAAGTAAATATCTTCCCATAAAAACGAGACAGAAGGATTCTCAGAAACAAGTTTGTGATGTGTGTACTCAGCTAACAGAGTGGAACCTTTCTTTTTACAGAGCAGCTTTGAAACTCTATTTTTGTGGATTCTGCAAATGGATATTTAGATTGCTTTAACGATATCGTTGGAAAAGGGAATATCGTCATACAAAATCTGGACAGAAGCATTCTCACAAACTTCTTTGTGATGTGTGTCCTCAACTAACAGAGTTGAACCTTTCTTTTGATGCAGCAGTTTGGAAACACTCTTTTTGTAGAAACTGTAAGTGGATATTTGGATAGCTCTAACGATTTCGCTGGAAACGGGAATATCGTCATCTAAAATCTAGACAGAAGCACTATTAGAAACTACTTGGTGATATCTGCATTCAAGTCACAGAGTTGAACATTCCCTTACTTTGAGCACGTTTGAAACACTCTTTTGGAAGAATCTGGAAGTGGACATTTGGAGCGCTTTGATGCCTTTGGTGAAAAGGAAACGGCTTCCAATAAAAGCCAGACAGAAGCATTCTCAGCAAACTTGTTTGTGATGTGTGTACTCAACTAAAAGAGTTGAACCTTTCTATTGATAGAGCAGTTTTGAAACACTCTTTTTGTGGATTCTGCAAGTGGATATTTGGATTGCTTTGAGGATTTCGTTGGAAGCGGGAATTCGTATAAAAACTAGACAGCAGCATTCCCAGAAATTTCTTTCGGATATATCCATTCAACTCATAGAGATGAACATGGCCTTTCATAGAGCAGGTTTGAAACACTCTTTTTGTAGTTTGTGGAAGTGGACATTTCGATCGCCTTGACGCCTACGGTGAAAAAGGAAATATCTTCCCATAAAAAATAGACAGAAGCATTCTCAGAAACTTGTTGTTGATATGTGTCCTCAACTAACAGAGTTGAACTTTGCCATTGATAGAGAGCAGTTTTGAAACACTCTTTTTGTGGAATCTGCAAGTGGATATTTGGATAGCTTGGAGGATTTCGTTGGAAGCGGGAATTCAAATAAAAGGTAGACAGCAGCATTCTCAGGAATTTCTTTCTGATGTCTGCATTCAACTCATAGAGTTGAAGATTCCCTTTCATAGAGCAGGTTTGAAACACTCTTTGTGGAGTATCTGGATGTGGACATTTGGAGCGCTTTGATGCCTACGTTGAAAAAGTAAATATCTTCCCATAAAAACGAGACAGAAAGGATTCTGAGAAACAAGTTTGTGATGTGTGTACTCAGCTAACAGAGTGGAACCTCTCTTTTGATGCAGCAGTTTGGAAACACTCTTTTTGTAGAAACTGTAAGTGGATATTTGGATAGCTCTAATGATTTCGTTGGAAACGGGAATATCATCGTCTAAAATCTAGACAGAAGCCCTCTCAGAAACTACTGTGTGATATCTGCATTCAAGTCACAGAGTTGAACATTCGCTTTCTTAGAGCACGTTTGAAACACTCTTTTTGTAGTGTCTGGAAGTGGACATTTGGAGCGCTTTGATTCCTTTGGTGAAAAAGGGAATGTCTACCCATAAAAACTAGACAGAAGCATTTTCAGAAACTTGTTTGTGATGTGTGTACCCAGCCAAAGGAGTTGAACATTTCTATTGATAGAGCAGTTTTGAAACACTCTTTTTGTGGAAAATGCAGGTGGATATTTGGATAGCTTGGAGGATTTCGTTGGAAGCGGGAATTCAAATAAAAGGTAGACAGCAGCATTCTCAGAAATTTCTTTCTGATGTCTGCATTCAACTCATAGAGTTGAAGATTCCCTTTCATAGAGCAGGTTTGAAATACTCTTTCTGGAGTATCTGGATGTGGACATTTGGAGCGCTTTGATGCCTACGGTGGAAAAGTAAATATCTTCCCATAAAAACGAGACAGAAGGATTCTCAGAAACAAGTTTGTGATGTGTGTACTCAGCTAACAGAGTGGAGCCTTTCTTTTTACAGAGCAGCTTTGAAACTCTATTTTCGTGGATTCTGCAAATTGATATTTAGATTGCTTTAACGATATCGTTGGAAAAGGGAATATCGTCATACAAAATCTAGACAGAAGCATTCTCACAAACTTCTTTGTGATGTGTGTCCTCAACTAACAGAGTTGAACCTTTCTTTTGATGCAGCAATTTGGAAACACCCTTTCGGTAGAAACTGTAACTGGATATTTGGATAGCTCTAACGATTTCGTTGGAAACGGGAATATCATCACCTAAAATCTAGACAGAAGCACTATTAGAAACTACTTGGTGATATCTGCATTCAAGTCACAGAGTAGAACATTCCCTTACTTCGAGCACGTTTGAAACACTCCTTTGGAAGAATCTGGAAGTGGACATTTGGAGCGCTTTGATGCCTTTGGTGAAAAGGAAACGTCTTCCAATAAAAGCCAGACAGAAGCATTCTCAGAAACTTGTTGGTGATGTGTGTACTCAACTAAAAGAGTTGAACCTTTCTATTGATAGAGCAGTTTTGAAACACTCTTTTTGTGGATTCTGCAAGTGGATATTTGGATTGCTTTGAGGATTTCGTTGGAAGCGGGAATTCATATAAAAACTAGACAGCAGCATTCCCAGAAATTTCTTTCGGATATTTCCATTCAACTCATAGAGATGAACATCGCCTTTCATAGAGCAGGTTTGAAACACTCTTTTTGTAGTTTGTGGAAGTGGACATTTCGATCGCCTTGACGCCTACGGTGAAAAAGGAAATATCTTCCCATAAACAATAGACAGAAGCATTCTCAGAAACTTGTTGGTGATATGTGTCCTCAACTAACAGAGTTGAACTTTGCCATTGATAGAGAGCAGTTTTGAAACACTCTTTTTGTGGAATCTGCAAGTGGATATTTGGATAGCTTGGAGGATTTCGTTGGAAGCGGGAATTCAAATAAAAGGTAGACAGCAGCATTCTCAGAAATTTCTTTCTGATGTCTGCATTCAACTCATAGAGTTGAAGATTCCCTTTCATAGAGCAGGTTTGAAACACTCTTTCTGGAGTATCTGGATGTGGACATTTGGAGCGCTTTGATGCCTACGGTGAAAAAGTAAATATCTTCCCATAAAAAAGAGACAGAAGGATTCTGAGAAACAAGTTTGTGATGTGTGTACTCAGCTAACAGAGTGGAACCTTTCTTTTTACAGAGCAGCTTTGAAACTCTATTTTTGTGGATTCTGCAAATTGATATTTAGATTGCTTTAACGATATCGTTGGAAAAGGGAATATCGTCATACAAAACCTAGACAGAAGCATTCTCACAAACTTCTTTGTGACGTGTGTCCTCAACTAACAGAGTTGAACCTTTCTTTTGATGCAGCAGTTTGGAAACACTGTTTTTGTAGCAACTGTAAGTGGATATTTGGATAGCTCTAACGATTTTGTTGGAAACGGGAATATCATCATCTAAAATCTAGACAGAAGCACTATTAGAAACTACTTGGTGATATCTGCATTCAAGTCACAGAGTTGAACATTCCCTTACTTTGAGCACGTTTCAAACACTCTTTTGGAAGAATCTGGAAGTGGACATTTGGAGCGCTTTGATGCCTTTGGTGAAAAGGAAACGTCTTCCAATAAAAGCCAGACAGAAGCATTCTCAGAAACTTGTTTGTGATGTGTGTACTCAACTAAAAAGAGTTGAACCTTTCTATTGATAGAGCAGTTTTGAAACACTCTTTTTGTGGATTCTGCAAGTGGATATTTGGATTGCTTTGAGGATTTCGTTGGAAGCGGGAATTCGTATAAAAACTAGACAGCAGCATTCCCAGAAATTTCTTTCGGATATTTCCATTCGACTCATAGAGATGAACATGGCCTTTCATAGAGCAGGTTTGAAACACTCTTTTTGTAGTTTGTGGAAGTGGACATTTCGATCGCCTTGACGCCTACGGTGAAAAAGGAAATATCTTCCCATAAAAAATAGACAGAAGCATTCTCAGAAACTTGTTGGTGATATGTGTCCTCAACTAACAGAGTTCAACTTTGCCATTGATAGAGAGCAGTTTTGAAACACTCTTTTTGTGGAATCTGCAAGTGGATATTTGGATAGCTTGGAGGATTTCGTTGGAAGCGGGAATTCAAATAAAAGGTAGACAGCAGCATTCTCAGAAATTTCTTTCTGATGTCTGCATTCAACTCATAGAGTTGAAGATTCCCTTTCATAGGGCAGGTTTGAAATACTCTTTCTGTAGTATCTGGATGTGGACATTTGGAGCGCTTTGATGCCTACGGTGAAAAAGTAAATATCTTCCCATAAAAACGAGACAGAAGGATTCTGAGAAACAAGTTTGTGATGTGTGTGCTCAGCTAACAGAGTGGAACCTCTCTTTTGATGCAGCAGTTTGGAAACACTCTTTTTGTAGAAACTGTAAGTGGATATTTGGATAGCTCTAATGATTTCGTTGGAAACGGGAATATCATCATCTAAAATCTAGACAGAAGCCCTCTCAGAAACTACTTTGTGATATCTGCATTCAAGTCACAGAGTTGAACATTCGCTTTCTTAGAGCACGTTTGAAACACTCTTTTTGTAGTGTCTGGAAGTGGACATTTGGAGCGCTTTGATTCCTTTGGTGAAAAAGGGAATGTCTACCCATAAAAACTAGACAGAAGCATTCTCAGAAACTTGTTTGTGATGTGTGTACCCAGCCAAAGGAGTTGAACATTTCTATTGATAGAGCAGTTTTGAAACACTCTTTTTGTGGAAAATGCAGGTGGATATTTGGATAGCTTGGAGGATTTCGTTGGAAGCGGGAATTCAAATAAAAGTTAGACAGCAGCATTCTCAGAAATTTCTTTCTGATGTCTGCATTCAACTCATAGAGTTGAAGATTCCCTTTCATAGAGCAGGTTTGAAATACTCTTTCTGTAGTATCTGGATGTGGACATTTGGAGCGCTTTGATGCCTACGGTGAAAAAGTAAATATCTTCCCATAAAAACGAGACAGAAGGATTCTCAGAAACAAGTTTGTGATGTGTGTACTCAGCTAACAGAGTGGAACCTTTCTTTTTACAGAGCAGCTTTGAAACTCTATTTTTGTGGATTCTGCAAATTGATATTTAGATTGCTTTAACGATATCGTTGGAAAAGGGAATATGGTCATACAAAATCTAGACAGAAGCATTCTCACAAACTTCTTTGTGATGTGTGTCCTCAACTAACAGAGTTGAACCTTTCTTTTGATGCAGCAGTTTGGAAACACTGTTTTTGTAGCAACTGTAAGTGGATATTTGGATAGCTCTAACGATTTCGTTGGAAACGGGAATATCATCATCTAAAATCTAGACAGAAAGCACTATTAGAAACTACTTGGTGATATCTGCATTCAAGTCACAGAGTTGAACATTCCCTTACTTTGAGCACGTTTCAAACACTCTTTTGGAAGAATCTGGAAGTGGACATTTGGAGCGCTTTGATGCCTTTGGTGAAAAGGAAACGTCTTCCAATAAAAGCCAGACAGAAGCATTCTCAGAAACTTGTTTGTGATGTGTGTACTCAACTAAAAGAGTTGAACCTTTCTATTGATAGAGCAGTTTTGAAACACTCTTTTTGTGGATTCTGCAAGTGGATATTTGGATTGCTTTGAGGATTTCGTTGGAAGCGGGAATTCGTATAAAAACTAGACAGCAGCATTCCCAGAAATTTCTTTCGGATATTTCCATTCAACTCATAGAGATGAACATGGCCTTTCATAGAGCAGGTTTGAAACACTCTTTTTGTAGTTTGTGGAAGTGGACATTTCGATCGCCTTGACGCCTACGGTGAAAAAGGAAATATCCTCCCATAAAAAATAGACAGAAGCATTCTCAGAAAACTTGTTGGTGATATGTGTCCTCAACTAACAGAGTTGAACTTTGCCATTGATAGAGAGCAGTTTTGAAACACTCTTTTTCCTGAATCTGCAAGTGGATATTTGGATAGTTTGGAGGATTTCGTTGGAAGCGGGAATTCAAATAAAAGGTAGACAGCAGCATTCTCAGAAATTTCTTTCTGATGTCTGCATTCAACTCATAGAGTTGAACATTCCCTTTCATAGGGCAGGTTTGAAATACTCTTTCTGTAGTATCTGGATGTGGACATTTGGAGCGCTTTGATGCCTACGGTGAAAAAGTAAATATCTTCCCATAAAAACGAGACAGAAGGATTCTGAGAAACTAGTTTGTGATGTGTGTACTCAGCTAACAGAGTGGAACCTCTCTTTTGATGCAGTAGTTTGGAAACACTCTTTTTGTAGAAACTGGAAGTGGATATTTGGATAGCTCTAATGATTTCGTTGGAAACGGGAATATCATCATCTAAAATCTAGACAGAAGCCCTCTCAGAAACTACTTTGTGATATCTGCATTCAAGTCACAGAGTTGAACATTCGCTTTCTTAGAGCACGTTGGAAACACTCTTTTTGTAGTGTCTGGAAGTGGACATTTGGAGCGCTTTGATGCCTTGGTGAAAAAGGGAATGTCTTCCCATAAAAACTAGACAGAAGCATTCTCAGAAACTTGTTTGTGATGTGTGTACCCAGCCAAAGGAGTTGAACATTTCTATTGATAGAGCAGTTTTGAATCACTCTTGTTGTGGAAAATGCAGGTGGATATTTGGATAGCTTGGAGGATTTCGTTGGAAGCGGGAATTCAAATAAAAGGTAGACAGCAGCATTCTCAGAAATTTCTTTCTGATGTCTGCATTCAACTCATAGAGTTGAAGATTCCCTTTCATAGAGCAGGTTTGAAACAGTCTTTCTGGAGTATCTGGATGTGGACATTTGGAGCGCTTTGATGCCTATGGTGAAAAAGTAAATATCTTCCCATAAAAACGAGACAGAAGGATTCTGAGAAACAAGTTTGTGATGTGTGTACTCAGCTAACAGAGTGGAACCTTTCTTTTTACAGAGCAGCTTTGAAACTCTATTTTTGTGGATTCTGCAAATTGATATTTAGATTGATTTAACGATATCGTTGGAAAAGGGAATATCGTCATACAAAATCTAGACAGAAGCATTCTCACAAACTTCTTTGTGATGTGTGTCCTCAACTAACAGAGTTGAACCTTTCTTTTGATGCAGCAGTTTGGAAACACTCTTTTTGTAGAAACTGTAAGTGGATATTTGGATAGCTCTAACGATTTCGTTGGAATCGGGAATATCATCATCTAAAATCTAGACAGAAGCACTATTAGAAACTACTTGGTGATATCTGCATTCAAGTCAAAGAGTTGAACATTCCCTTACTTTGAGCACGTTTGAAACACTCTTTTGGAAGAATCTGGAAGTGGACATTTGGAGCGCTTTGATGCCTTTGGTGAAAAGGAAACGTCTTCCAATAAAAGCCAGACAGAAGCATTCTCAGAAACTTGTTTGTGATGTGTGTACTCAACTAAAAGAGTTGAACCTTTCTATTGATAGCGCAGTTTTGAAACACTCTTTTTGTGGATTCTGCAAGTGGATATTTGGATTGCTTTGAGGATTTCGTTGGAAGCGGGAATTCGTATAAACACTAGACAGCAGCATTCCCAGAAATTTCTTTCGGATATTTCCATTCAACTCATAGAGATGAACATGGCCTTTCATAGAGCAGGTTTGAAACACTCTTTTTGTAGTTTGTGGAAGTGGACATTTCGATCGCCTTGACGCCTACGCTGAAAAAGGAAATATCTTCCCATAAAAAATAGACAGAAGCATTCTCAGAAACTTGTTGGTGATATGTGTCCTCAACTAACAGAGTTGAACTTTGCCATTGATAGAGAGCAGTTTTGAAACACTCTTTTTGTGGAATCTGCAAGTGGATATTTGGATAGCTTGGAGGATTTCGTTGGAAGCGGGAATTCAAATAAAAGGTAGACAGCAGCATTCTCAGAAATTTCTTTCTGATCTCTGCATTCAACTCATAGAGTTGAACATTCCCTTTCATAGGGCAGGTTTGAAATACTCTTTCTGGAGTATCTGGATGTGGACATTTGGAGCGCTTTGATGCCTACGGTGAAAAAGTAAATATCTTCCCATAAAAACGAGACAGAAGGATTCTGAGAAACAAGTTTGTGATGTGTGTACTCAGCTAACAGAGTGGAACCTCTCTTTTGATGCAGCAGTTTGGAAACACTCTTTTTGCAGAAACTGTAAGTGGATATTTGGATAGCTCTAATGATTTCGTTGGAAACGGGAATATCATCATCTAAAATCTAGACAGAAGCCCTCTCAGAAACTACTTTGTGATATCTGCATTCAAGTCACAGAGTTGAACATTCGCTTTCTTAGAGCACGTTGGAAACACTCTTTCTGTGGTGTCTGGAAGTGGACATTTGGAGCGCTTTGATGCCTTTGGTGAAAAAGGGAATGTCTTCCCATGAAAACTAGACAGAAGCATTCTCAGAAACTTGTTTGTGATGTGTGTACCCAGCTAAAAGAGTTGAACATTTCTATTGATAGAGCAGTTTTGAAACACTCTTTTTGTGGAAAATGCAAGTGGATATTTGGATAGCTTGGAGGATTTCGTTGGAAGCGGGAATTCAAATAAAAGGTAGACAGCAGGATTCTCAGAAACAAGTTTGTGATGTGTGTACTCAGCTAACAGAGTGGAACCTTTCTTTTTACAGAGCAGCTTTGAAACTCTATTTTTGTGGATTCTGCAAATTGATATTTAGATTGCTTTAACGATATTGTTGGAAAAGGGAATATGGTCATACAACATCTAGACAGAAGCATTCTCACAAACTTCTTTGTGATGTGTGTCCTCAACTAACAGAGTTGAACCTTTCTTTTGATGCAGCAGTTTGGAAACACTCTTTTTGTAGAAACTGTAAGTGGATATTTGGATAGCTCTAACGATTTCGCTGGAAACGGGAATATCGTCATCTAAAATCTAGACAGAAGCACTATTAGAAACTACTTGGTGATATCTGCATTCAAGTCAAAGAGTTGAACATTCCCTTACTTTGAGCACGTTTGAAACACTCTTTTGGAAGAATCTGGAAGTGGACATTTGGAGCATTTTGATGCCTTTGGTGAAAAGGAAACGTCTTCCAATAAAAGCCAGACAGAAGCATTCTCAGAAACTTGTTTGTGATGTGTGTACTCAACTAAAAGAGTTGAACCTTTCTATTGATAGAGCAGTTTTGAAACACTCTTTTTGTGGATTCTGCAAGTGGATATTTGGATTGCTTTGAGGATTTCGTTGGAAGCGGGAATTCGTATAAAAACTAGACAGCAGCATTCCCAGAAATTTCTTTCGGATATTTCCATTCAAGTCATAGAGATGAACATGGCCTTTCATAGAGCAGGTTTGAAACACTCTTTTTGTAGTTTGTGGAAGTGGACATTTCGATCGCCTTGACGCCTACGGTGAAAAAGGAAATATCTTCCCATAAAAAATAGACAGAAGCATTCTCAGAAACTTGTTGGTGATATGTGTCCTCAACTAACAGAGTTGAACTTTGCCATTGATAGAGAGCAGTTTTGAAACACTCTTTTTGTGGAATCTGCAAGTGGATATTTGGATAGCTTGGAGGATTTCGTTGGAAGCGGGAATTCAAATAAAAGGCAGACAGCAGCATTCTCAGAAATTTCTTTCTGATGTCTGCATTCAACTCATAGAGTTGAAGATTCCCTTTCATAGAGCAGGTTTGAAACACTCTTTCTGGAGTATCTGGATGTGGACATTTGGAGCGCTTTGATGCCTACGGTGAGAAAGTAAATATCTTCCCATAAAAACGAGACAGAAGGATTCTGAGAAACAAGTTTGTGATGTGTGTACTCAGCTAACAGAGTGGAACCTCTCTTCTGATGCAGCAGTTTGGAAACACTTTTTTTGTAGAAACTGTAAGTGGATATTTGGATAGCTCTAATGATTTCGTTGGAAACGGGAATATCATCATCTAAAATCTAGACAGAAGCACTCTCAGAAACTACTTTGTGATATCTGCATTCAAGTCACAGAGTTGAACATTCGCTTTCTTAGAGCACGTTTGAAACACTCTTTTTGTAGTGTCTGGAAGTGGACATTTGGAGCGCTTTGATTCCTTTGGTGAAAAAGGGAATGTCTACCCATAAAAACTACACAGAAGCATTCTCAGAAACTTGTTTGTGATGTGTGCACCCAGCTAAAGGAGTTGAACATTTATTGATAGAGCAGTTTTGAAGCACTCTTTTTGTGGAAAATGCAAGTGGATATTTGGATAGCTTGGAGGATTTCGTTGGAAGCGGGAGTTCAAATAAAAGGTAGACAGCAGCATTCTCAGAAATTTCTTTCTGATGTCTGCATTCAACTCATAGAGTTGAAGATTCCCTTTCATAGAGCAGGTTTGAAACACTCTTTCTGGAGTATCTGGATGTGGACATTTGGAGCGCTTTGATGTCTACGGTGAAAAAGTAAATATCTTCCCAGAAAAACGAGACAGAAGGATTCTGAGAAACAAGTTTGTGATGTGTGTACTCAGCTAACAGAGTGGAACCTTTCTTTTTACAGAGCAGCTTTGAAACTCTATTTTTGTGGATTCTGCAAATTGATATTTAGATTGCTTTAACGATATCGTTGGAAAAGGGAATATCGTCATACAAAATCTGGACAGAAGCATTCTCACAAACTTCTTTGTGATGTGTGTCCTCAACTAACAGAGTTGAACCTTTCTTTTGATGCAGCAATTTGGAAACACCCTTTTGGTAGAAACTGTAACTGGATATTTGGATAGCTCTAATGATTTCGTTGGAAACGGGAATATCATCATCTAAAATCTAGACAGAAGCACTATTAGAAACTACTTGGTGATATCTGCATTCAAGTCACAGAGTTGAACATTCCCTTACTTTGAGCACGTTTGAAACACTCTTTTGGAAGAATCTGGAAGTGGACATTTGGAGCGCTTTGATGCCTTTGGTGAAAAGGAAACGTCTTCCAATAAAAGCCAGACAGAAGCATTCTCAGAAACTTGTTTGTGATGTGTGTACTCAACTAAAAGAGTTGAACCTTTCTATTGATAGAGCAGTTTTGAAACACTCTTTTTGTGGATTCTGCAAGTGGATATTTGGATTGCTTTGAGGATTTCGTTGGAAGCGGGAATTCGTATAACAACTAGACAGCAGCATTCCCAGAAATTTCTTTTGGATATTTCCATTCAACTCATAGAGATGAACATGGCCTTTCATAGAGCAGGTTTGAAACACTCTTTTTGTAGTTTGTGGAAGTGGACATTTCGATCGCCTTGACGCCTACGGTGAAAAAGGAAGTATCTTCCCATAAAAAATAGACAGAAGCATTCTCAGAAACTTGTTGGTGATATGTGTCCTCAACTAACAGAGTTGAACTTTGCCATTGATAGAGAGCAGTTTTGAAACACTCTTTTTGTGGAATCTGCAAGTGGATATTTGGATAGCTTGGAGGATTTCGTTGGAAGCGGGAATTCAAATAAAAGGTAGACAGCAGCATTCTCAGAAATTTCTTTCTGATGTCTGCATTCAACTCATAGAGTTGAAGATTCCCTTTCATAGAGCAGGTTTGAAACACTCTTTCTGGAGTATCTGGATGTGGACATTTGGAGCGCTTTGATGCCTACGGTGAAAAAGTATAATCTTCCCATAAAAACGAGACAGAAGGATTCTCAGAAACAAGATTTTGATGTGTGTACTCAGCTAACAGAGTGGAACCTCTCTTTAGATGCAGCAGTTTGGAAACACTCTTTTTGTAGAAACTGTAAGTGGATATTTGGATAGCTCTAATGATTTCGTTGGAAACGGGAATATCATCATCTAAAATCTAGACAGAAGCCCTCTCAGAAACTACTTTGTGATATCTGCATTCAAGTCACAGAGTTGAACATCCGGTTTCTTAGAGCACGTTTGAAACACTCTTTTTGTAGTGTCTGGAAGTGGACATTTGTAGCGCTTTGATGCCTTTGGTGAAAAAGGGAATGTCTTCCCATAAAAACTAGACAGAAGCATTCTCAGAAACTTGTTTGTGATGTGTGTACCCAGCCAAAGGAGTTGAACATTTCTATTGATAGAGCAGTTTCGAAACACTCTTGTTGTGGAAAATGCAGGTGGATATTTGGATAGCTTGGAGGATTTCGTTGGAAGCGGGAATTCAAATAAAAGGTAGACAGCAGCATTCTCAGAAATTTCTTTCTGATGTCTGCATTCAACTCATAGAGTTGAAGATTCCCTTTCATAGAGCAGGTTTGAAACACTCTTTCTGGAGTATCTGGATGTGGACATTTGGAGCGCTTTGATGCCTACGGTGAAAAAGTAAATATCTTCCCATAAAAACGAGACAGAAGGATTCTCAGAAACAAGTTTGTGATGTGTGTACTCAGCTAACAGAGTGGAACCTTTCTTTTTACAGAGCAGCTTTGAAACTCTATTTTTGTGGATTCTGCAAATGGATATTTAGATTGCTTTAACGATATCGTTGGAAAAGGGAATATCGTCATACAAAATCTAGACAGAAGCATTCTCACAAACTTCTTTGTGATGTGTGTCCTCAACTAACAGAGTTGAACCTTTATTTTGATGCAGCAGTTTGGAAACACTCTTTTTGTAGAAACTGTGAGTGGATATTTGGATAGCTCTAACGATTTCGTTGGAAACGGGAATATCATCATCTAAAATCTAGACAGAAGCACTATTAGAAACTAGTTGGTGATATCTGCATTCAAGTCACAGAGTTGAACATTCCCTTACTTTGAGCACGTTTCAAACACTCTTTTGGAAGAATCTGGAAGTGGACATTTGGAGCGCTTTGATGCCTTTGGTGAAAAGGAAACGTCTTCCAATAAAAGCCAGACAGAAGCATTCTCAGAAACTTGTTTGTGATGTGTGTACTCAACTAAAAGAGTTGAACCTTTCTATTGATAGAGCAGTTTTGAAACACTCTTTTTGTGGATTCTGCAAGTGGATATTTGGATTGCTTTGAGGATTTCGTTGGAAGCGGGAATTCGTATAAAAACTAGACAGCAGCATTCCCAGAAATTTCTTTCGGATATTTCCATTCGACTCATAGAGATGAACATGGCCTTTCATAGAGCAGGTTTGAAACACTCTTTTTGTAGTTTGTGGAAGTGGACATTTCGATCGCCTTGACGCCTACGGTGAAAAAGGAAATATCTTCCCATAAAAAACAGACAGAAGCATTCTCAGAAACTTGTTGGTGATATGTGTCCTCAACTAACAGAGTTGAACTTTGCCATTGATAGAGAGCAGTTTTGAAACACTCTTTTTGTGGAATCTGCAAGTGGATATTTGGATAGCTTGGAGGATTTCGTTGGAAGCGGGAATTCAAATAAAAGGTAGACAGCAGCATTCTCAGAAATTTCTTTCTGATGTCTGCAATCAACTCATAGAGTTGAAGATTCCCGTTCATAGAGCAGGTTTGAAACACTCTTTGTGGAGTATCTGGATGTGGACATTTGGAGCGCTTTGATGCCTACGGTGAAAAAGTAAATATCTTCCCATAAAAACGAGACAGAAGGATTCTGAGAATCAAGTTTGTGATGTGTGTACTCAGCTAACAGAGTGGAACCTCTCTTTTGATGCAGCAGTTTGGAAACACTCTTTTTGTAGAAACTGTAAGTGGATATTTGGATAGCTCTAATGATTTCGTTGGAAACGGGAATATCATCATCTAAAATCTAGACAGAAGCCCTCTCAGAAACTACTTTGTGATATCTGCATTCAAGTCACAGAGTTGAATATTCGCTTTCTTAGAGCACGTTTGAAACACTCTTTTTGTAGTGTCTGGAAGTGGACATTTGGAGCGCTTTGATGCCTTTGGTGAGAAAGGGAATGTCTTCCCATAAAAACTAGAAAGAAGCATTCTCAGGAAACTTGTTTGTGATGTGTGTACCCAGCTAAAGGAGTTGAACATTTCTATTGATAGAGCAGTTTTGAAACACTCTTTTTGTGGAAAATGCAAGTGGATATTTGGATAGCTTGGAGGATTTCGTTGGACGCGGGAATTCAAATAAAAGGTAGACAGCAGAATTCTCAGAAATTTCTTTCTGATGTCTGCATTCAACTCATAGAGTTGAAGATTCCCTTTCATAGAGCAGGTTTGAAACAGTCTTTCTGGAGTATCTGGATGTGGACATTTGGAGCGCTTTGATGCCTACGGTGGAAAAGTAAATATCTTCCCATAAAAACGAGACAGAAGGATTCTGAGAAACAAGTTTGTGATGTGTGTACTCAGCTAACAGAGTGGAACCTTTCTTTTTACAGAGCAGCTTTGAAACTCTATTTTTGTGGATTCTGCAAATGGATATTTAGATTGCTTTAACGATATCGTTGGAAAAGGGAATATGGTCATACAAAATCTAGACAGAAGCATTCTCACAAACTTGTTTGTGATGTGTGTCCTCAACTAACGGAGTTGAACCTTTCTTTTGATGCAGCAATTTGGAAACACCCTTTTGGTAGAAACTGTAACTGGATATTTGGATAGCTCTAACGATTTCGTTGGAAACGGGAATATCATCATCTAAAATGTAGACAGACAAGCACTATTAGAAACTACTTGGTGATATCTGCATTCAAGTCACAGAGTTGAACATTCCCTTACTTTGAGCACGTTTCAAACACTCTTTTGGAAGAATCTGGAAGTGGACATTTGGAGCGCTTTGATGCCTTTGGTGAAAAGGAAACGTCTTCCAATAAAAGCCAGACAGAAGCATTCTCAGAAACTTGTTTGTGATGTGTGTACTCAACTAAAAGAGTTGAACCTTTCTATTGATAGAGCAGTTTTGAAACACTCTTTTTGTGGATTCTGCAAGTGGATATTTGGATTGCTTTGAGGATTTCGTTGGAAGCGGGAATTCGTATAAAAACTAGACAGCAGCATTCCCAGAAATTTCTTTCGGATATTTCCATTCAACTCATAGAGATGAACATGGCCTTTCATAGAGCAGGTTTGAAACACGCTTTTTGTAGTTTGTGGAAGTGGACATTTCGATCGCCTTGACGCCTACGGTGAAAAAGGAAATATCTTCCCATAAAAAATAGACAGAAGCATTCTCAGAAACTTGTTGGTGATATGTGTCCTCAACTAACAGAGTTGAACTTTGCCATTGATAGAGAGCAGTTTTGAAACACTCTTTTTGTGGAATCTGCAAGTGGATATTTGGATAGCTTGGAGGATTTCGTTGGAAGCGGGAATTCAAATAAAAGGTAGACAGCAGCATTCTCAGAAATTTCTTTCTGATGTCTGCATTCAACTCATAGAGTTGAACATTCCCTTTCATAGAACAGGTTTGAAACACTCTTTCTGGAGTATCTGGATGTGGACATTTGGAGCGCTTTGATGCCTACGGTGAAAAAGTAAATATCTTCCCATAAAAACGAGACAGAAGGATTCTCAGAAACAAGTTTGTGATGTTTGTACTCAGCTAACAGAGTGGAACCTCTCTTTTGATGCAGCAGTTTGGAAACACTCTTTTTGTAGAAACTGTAAGTGGATATTTGGATAGCTCTAATGATTTCGTTGGAAACGGGAATATCATCATCTAAAATCTAGAGAGAAGCCCTCTCAGAAACCACTTTGTGATATCTGCATTCAAGTCACAGATTTGAACATTCGTTTTCTTAGAGCACGTTTGAAACACTCTTTTTGTAGTGTCTGGAAGTGGACATTTGGAGCGCTTTGATGCCTTTGGTGAAAAAGGGAATGTCTTCCCATAAAAACTAGACAGAAGCATTCTCAGAAACTTGTTTGTGATGTGTGTACCCAGCCAAAGGAGTTGAACATTTCTATTGATAGAGCAGGTTTGAAACACTCTTTTTGTGGAAAATGCAGGTGGATATTTGGATAGCTTGGAGGATTTCGTTGGAAGCGGGAATTCAAATAAAAGGTAGACAGCAGCATTCTCAGAAATTTCTTTCTGATGTCTGCATTCAACCTCATAGAGTTGAAGATTCCCTTTCATAGAGCAGGTTTGAAACACTCGTTCTGGAGTATCTGGATGTGGACATTTGGAGCGCTTTGATGCCTACAGTGGAAAAGTAAATATCTTCCCATAAAAACGAGACAGAAGGATTCTCAGAAACAAGTTTGTGATGTGTGTACTCAGCTAACAGAGTGGAACCTTTCTTTTTACAGAGCAGCTTTGAAACTCTATTTTTGTGGATTCTGCAAATTGATATTTAGATTGCTTTAATGATATCGTTGGAAAAGGGAATATCGTCATACAAAATCTAGACAGAAGCATTCTCACAAACTTCTTTGTGACGTGTGTCCTCAACTAACAGAGTTGAACCTTTCTTTTGATGCAGCAGTTTGGAAACACTGTTTTTGTAGCAACTATAAGTGGATATTTGGATAGCTCTAACGATTTCGTTGGAAACGGGAATATCATCATCTAAAATCTAGACAGAAGCACTATTAGAAACTACTTAGTGATATCTGCATTCAAGTCACAGAGTTGAACATTCCCTTACTTTGAGCACGTTTGAAACACTCTTTTGGAAGAATCTGGAAGTGGACATTTGGAGCGCTTTGATGCCTTTGGTGAAAAGGAAACGTCTTCCAATAAAAGCCAGACAGAAGCATTCTCAGAAACTTGTTTGTGATGTGTGTACTCAACTAAAAGAGTTGAACCTTTCTATTGATAGAGCAGTTTTGAAACACTCTTTTTGTGGATTCTGCAAGTGGATATTTGGATTGCTTTGAGGATTTCGTTGGAAGCGGGAATTCGTATAAAAACTAGACAGCAGCATTCCCAGAAATTTCTTTCGGATATTTCCATTCAACTCATAGAGATGAACATGGCCTTTCATAGAGCAGGTTTGAAACACTCTTTTTGTAGTTTGTGGAAGTGGACATTTCGATCGCCTTGATGCCTACGGTGAAAAAGGAAATATCTACCCATAAAAAATAGACAGAAGCATTCTCAGAAACTTGTTGGTGATATGTGTCCTCAACTAACAGAGTTGAACTTTGCCATTGATAGAGAGCAGTTTTGAAACACTCTTTTTGTGGAATCTGCAAGTGGATATTTGGATAGCTTGGAGGATTTCGTTGGAAGCGGGAATTCAAATAAAAGGTAGACAGCAGCATTCTCAGAAATTTCTTTCTGATGCCTGCATTCAACTCATAGAGTTGAAGATTCCCTTTCATAGAGCAGGTTTGAAACACTCTTTCTGGAGTATCTGGATGTGGACATTTGGAGCGCTTTGATGCCTACGGTGAGAAAGTAAATATCTTCCCATAAAAACGAGACAGAAGGATTCTGAGAAACAAGTTTGTGATGTGTGTACTCAGCTAACAGAGTGGAACCTCTCTTTTGATGCAGCAGTTTGGAAACACTCTTTTTGTGGAAACTGTAAGTGGATATTTGGATAGCTCTAATGATTTCGTTGGAAACGGGAATATCATCATCTAAAATCTAGACAGAAGCCCTCTCAGAAACTACTTTGTGATATCTGCATTCAAGTCACAGAGTTGAACATTCGCTTTCTTAGAGCACGTTTGAAACCCTCTTTTTGTAGTGTCTGGAAGTGGACATTTGGAGCGCTTTGATGCCTTTGGTGAAAAAGGGAATGTCTTCCCATAAAAACTAGACAGAAGCATTCTCAGAAACTTGTTTGTGATGTGTGTACCCAGCCAAAGGAGTTGAACATTTCTATTGATAGAGCAGTTTTGAAACACTCTTGTTGTGGAAAATGCAGGTGGATATTTGGATAGCTTGGAGGATTTCGTTGGAAGCGGGAATTCAAATAAAAGTTAGACAGCAGCATTCTCAGAAATTTCTTTCTGATGTCTGCATTCAACTCATAGAGTTGAAGATTCCCTTTCATAGAGTAGGTTTGAAACACTCTTTCTGGAGTATCTGGATGTGGACATTTGGAGCGCTTTGATGCCTACGGTGAAAAAGTAAATATCTTCCCATAAAAACGAGACAGAAGGATTCTCAGAAACAAGTTTGTGATGTGTGTACTCAGCTAACAGAGTGGAACCTTTCTTTTTACAGAGCAGCTTTGAAACTCTATTGTTGTGGATTCTGCAAATTGATATTTAGATTGCTTTAACGATATCGTTGGAAAAGGGAATACCGTCATACAAAATCTAGACAGAAGCATTCTCACAAACTTCTTTGTGATGTGTGTCCTCAACTAACAGAGTTGAACCTTTCTTTTGATGCAGCAATTTGGAAACACCCTTTTAGTAGAAACTGTAACTGGATATTTGGATAGCTCTAGCGATTTCGTTGGAAACGGGAATATCATCATCTAAAATCTAGACAGAAGCACTATTAGAAACTACTTGGTGATATCTGCATTCAAGTCACAGAGTTGAACATTCCCTTACTTTGAGCACGTTTGAAACACTCTTTTGGAAGAATCTGGAAGTGGACATTTGGAGCGCTTTGATGCCTTTGGTGAAAAGGAAACGTCTTCCAATAAAAGCCAGAGAGAAGCATTCTCAGAAACTTGTTCGTGATGTGTGTACTCAACTAAAAGAGTTGAACCTTTCTTTTGATAGCGCAGTTTTGAAACACTCTTTTTGTGGATTCTGCAAGTGGATATTTGGATTGCTTTGAGGATTTCGTTGGAAGCGGGAATTCGTATAAACACTAGACAGCCAGCATTCCCAGAAATTTCTTTCGGATATTTCCATTCAACTTATAGAGATGAACATCGCCTTTCATAGAGCAGGTTTGAAACACTCTTTTTGTAGTTTGTGGAAGTGGACATTTCGATCGCCTTGATGCCTACGGTGAAAAAGGAAATATCTTCCCATAAAAAATAGACAGAGCATTCTCAGAAACTTGTTGGTGATATGTGTCCTCAACTAACAGAGTGGATCTTTGCCATTGATAGAGAGCAGTTTTGAAACACTCTTTTTGTGGAATCTGCAAGTGGATATTTGGATAGCTTGGAGGATTTCGTTGGAAGCGGGAATTCAAATAAAAGGTAGACAGCAGCATTCTCAGAAATTTCTTTCTGATGTCTGCATTCAACTCATAGAGTTGAAGATTCCCTTTCATAGAGCAGGTTTGAAACACTCTTTCTGGAGTATCTGGATGTGGACATTTGGAGCGCTTTGATGCCTACGGTGAGAAAGTAAATATCTTCCCATAAAAACGAGACAGAAGGATTCTGAGAAACAAGTTTGTGATGTGTGTACTCAGCTAACAGAGTGGAACCTCTCTTTTGATGCAGCAGTTTGGAAACACTCTTTTTGTAGAAACTGTAAGTGGATATTTGGATAGCTCTAATGATTTCGTTGGAAACGGGAATATCATCATCTAAAATCTAGACAGAAGCCCTCTCAGAAACTACTTTGTGATATCTGCATTCAAGTCACAGAGTTGAACATTCGCTTTCTTAGAGCACGTTGGAAACAATCTTTTTGTAGTGTCTGGAAGTGGACATTTGGAGCGCTTTGATGCCTTTGGTGAAAAAGGGAACGTCTTCCCATAAAAACTAGACAGAAGCATTCTCAGAAACTTGTTTGTGATGTGTGTACCCAGCTAAAGGAGTTGAACATTTCTATTGATAGAGCAGTTTTGAAACACTCTTTTTGTGGAATCTGCAAGTGGATATTTGGATAGCTTGGAGGATTTCGTTGGAAGCGGGAATTCAAATAAAAGGTAGACAGCAGCATTTTCAGAAATTTCTTTCTGATGTCTGCATTCAACTCATAGAGTTGAAGATTCCCTTTCATAGAGCAGGTTTGAAACACTCGTTCTGGAGTATCTGGATGTGGACATTTGGAGCGCTTTGATGCCTACGGTGGAAAAGTAAATATCTTCCCATAAAAACGAGACAGAAGGATTCTGAGAAACAAGTTTGTGATGTGTGTACTCAGCTAACAGAGTGGAACCTTTCTTTTTACAGAGCAGCTTTGAAACTCTATTTTTGTGGATTCTGCAAATTGATATTTAGATTGCTTTAACGATATCGTTGGAAAAGGGAATATCGTCATACAAAATCTAGACAGAAGCATTCTCACAAACTTCTTTGTGATGTGTGTCCTCAACTAACAGAGTTGAACCTATCTTTTGATGCAGCAATTTGGAAACACCCTTTTGGTAGAAACTGTAACTGGATATTTGCTTAGCTCTAACGATTTCGTTGGAAACGGGAATATCATCATCTGAAATCTAGACAGAAGCACTATTAGAAACTACTTGGTGATATCTGCATTCAAGTCACAGAGTTGAACATTCCCTTACTTTGAGCACGTTTGAAACACTCTTTTGGAAGAATCTGGAAGTGGACATTTGGAGCGCTTTGATGCCTTTGGTGAAAAGGAAACGTCTTCCAATAAAAGCCAGACAGAAGCATTCTCAGAAACTTGTTTGTGATGTGTGTACTCAACTAAAAGAGTTGAACCTTTCTATTGATAGAGCAGTTTTGAAACACTCTTTTTGTGGATTCTGCAAGTGGATATTTGGATTGCTTTGAGGATTTCGTTGGAAGCGGGAATTCGTATAAAAACTAGACAGCAGCATTCCCAGAAATTTCTTTCGGATATTTCCATTCAACTCATAGAGATGAACATTGCCTTTCATAGAGCAGGTTTGAAACACTCTTTTTGTAGTTTGTGGAAGTGGACATTTCGATCGCCTTGACGCCTACGGTGAAAAAGGAAATATCTTCCCATAAAAAATAGACAGATAAGCATTCTCAGAAACTTGTTGGTGATATGTGTCCTCAACTAACAGCAGTTGAACTTTGCCATTGATAGAGAGCAGTTTGGAAAC
The DNA here is from genome assembly GCF_000001405.40 of Homo sapiens. Lineage (NCBI taxonomy): Eukaryota > Metazoa > Chordata > Mammalia > Primates > Hominidae > Homo > Homo sapiens. The sequence continues at coordinate 14,683,537 of NC_000022.11, forward strand.
ACTCTTTTTGTGGAATCTGCAAGTGGATATTTGGATAGCTTGGAGGATTTCGTTGGAAGCGGGAATTCAAATAAAAGGTAGACAGCAGCATTCTCAGAAATTTCTTTCTGATGTCTGCATTCAACTCATAGAGTTGAAGATTCCCTTTCATAGAGCAGGTTTGAAACACTCTTTCTGGAGTATCTGGATGTGGACATTTGGAGCGCTTTGATGCCTACGGTGAAAAAGTAAATATCTTCCCAGAAAAACGAGACAGAAGGATTCTGAGAAACAAGTTTGTGATGTGTGTACTCAGCTAACAGAGTGGAACCTCTCTTTTGATGCAGCAGTTTGGAAACACTCTTTTTGTAGAAACTGTAAGTGGATATTTGGATAGCTCTAATGATTTCGTTGGAAACGGGAATATCATCATCTAAAATCTAGACAGAAGCCCTCTCAGAAACTACTTTGTGATATCTGCATTCAAGTCACAGAGTTGAACATTTGCTTTCTTAGAGCACGTTTGAAACACCCTTTTTGTAGTGTCTGGAAGTGGACATTTGGAGCGCTTTGATGCCTTTGGTGAAAAAGGGAACGTCTTCCCATAAAAACTAGACAGAAGCATTCTCAGAAACTTGTTTGTGATGTGTGTACCCAGCCAAAGGAGTTGAACATTTCTATTGATAGAGCAGTTTTGAAACACTCTTGTTGTGGAAAATGCAGGAGGATATTTGGATAGCTTGGAGGATTTCGTTGGAAGCGGGAATTCAAATAAAAGGTAGACAGCAGCATTCTCACAAACTTCTTTGTGATGTGTGTCCTCAACTAACAGAGTTGAACCTTTCTTTTGATGCAGCAGTTTGGAAACACTCTTTTTGTAGAAACTGTAAGTGGATATTTGGATAGCTCTAATGATTTCGTTGGAAGCGGGAATATCATCATCTAAAATCTAGACAGAAGCCCTCTCAGAAACTACTTGGTGATATCTGCATTCAAGTCACAGAGTTGAACATTCGCTTTCTTAGAGCACGTTTGAAACACTCTTTTTGTAGTGTCTGGAAGTGGACATTTGGAGCGCTTTGATGCCTTTGGTGAAAAAGGGAATGTCTTCCCATAAAAACTAGACAGAAGCATTCTCAGAAACTTGTTTGTGATGTGTGTACCCAGACAAAGGAGTTGAACATTTCTATTGATAGAGCAGTTTTGAAACACTTTTTTTGTGCAAAATGCAGGTGGATATTTGGATAGCTTGGAGGATTTCGTTGGAAGCGGGAATTCAAATAAAAGGTAGACAGCAGCATTCTCAGAAATTTCTTTCTGATTCTGCATTCAACTCATAGAGTTGAAGATTCCCTTTCATAGAGCAGGTTTGAAACACTCGTTCTGGAGTATCTGGATGTGGACATTTGGAGCGCTTTGATGCCTATGGTGGAAAAGTAAATATCTTCCCATAGAAACGAGACAGAAGGATTCTGAGAAACAAGTTTGAGATGTGTGTACTCAGCTAACAGAGTGGAACCTTTCTTTTTACAGAGCAGCTTTGAAACTCTATTTTTGTGGATTCTGCAAATTGATATTTAGATTGCTTTAACGATATCGTTGGAAAAGGGAATATCGTCATACAAAATCTGGACAGAAGCATTCTCACAAACTTCTTTGTGATGTGTGTCCTCAACTAACAGAGTTGAACCTTTCTTTTGATGCAGCAGTTTGGAAACACCCTTTTGGTAGAAACTGTAAGTGGATATTTGGATAGCTCTAACGAATTCGTTGGAAACGGGAATATCATCATCTAAAATCTAGACAGAAGCACTATTAGAAACTACTTGGTGACATCTGCATTCAAGTCACAGAGTTGAACATTCCCTTACTTCGAGCACGTTTGAAACACTCTTTTGGAAGAATCTGGAAGTGGACATTTGGAGCGCTTTGATGCCTTTGGTGAAAAGGAAACGTCTTCCAATAAAAGCCAGACAGAAGCATTCTCAGAAACTTGTTTGTGATGTGTGTACTCAACTAAAAGAGTTGAACCTTTCTATTGATAGAGCAGTTTTGAAACACTCTTTTTGTGGATTCTGCAAGTGGATATTTGGATTGCTTTGAGGATTTCATTGGAAGCGGGAATTCGTATAAACACTAGACAGCAGCATTCCCAGAAATTTCTTTCGGATATTTCCATTCAACTCATAGAGATGAACATGGCCTTTCATAGAGCAGGTTTGAAACACTCTTTTTGTAGTTTGTGGAAGTGGACATTTCGATCGCCTTGACGCCTACGCTGAAAAAGGAAATATCTTCCCATAAAAAATAGACAGAAGCATTCTCAGAAACTTGTTGGTGATATGTGTCCTCAACTAACAGAGTTGAACTTTGCCATTGATAGAGAGCAGTTTTGAAACACTCTTTTTGTGGAATCTGCAAGTGGATATTTGGATAGCTTGGAGGATTTCGTTGGAAGCGGGAATTCAAATAAAAGGTAGACAGCAGCATTCTCAGAAATTTCTTTCTGATGTCTGCATTCAACTCATAGAGTTGAAGATTCCCTTTCATAGAGCAGGTTTGAAATACTCTTTCTGGAGTATCTGGATGTGGACATTTGGAGCGATTTGAGGCCTACGATGAAAAAGTAAATATCTTCCCATAAAAACGAGACAGAAGGATTCTGAGAAACAAGTTTGTGATGTGTGTACTCAGCTAACAGAGTGGAACCTCTCTTTGGATGCAGCAGTTTGGAAACACTCTTTTTGTAGAAACTGTATGTGGATATTTGGATAGCTCTAATGATTTCGTTGGAAACGGGAATATCATCATCTAAAATCTAGACAGAAGCCCTCTCAGAAACTACTTTGTGATATCTGCATTCAAGTCACAGAGTTGAACATTCGCTTTCTTAGAGCACGTTTGAAACACTCTTTTTGTAGTGTCTGGAAGTGGACATTTGGAGCGCTTTGATGCCTTTGGTGAAAAAGGGAACGTCTTCCCATAAAAACTAGACAGAAGCATTCTCAGAAACTTGTTTGTGATGTGTGTACCCAGCCAAAGGAGTTGAACATTTCTATTGCTAGAGCAGTTTTGAAACACTCTTTTTGTGGAAAATGCAGGTGGATATTTGGATAGCTTGGAGGATTTCGTTGGAAGCGGGAATTCAAATAAAAGGTAGACAGCAGCATTCTCAGAAATTTCTTTCTGATGTCTGCATTCAACTCATAGAGTTGAAGATTCCCTTTCATAGAGCAGGTTTGAAACAGTCTTTCTGGAGTATCTGGATGTGGACATTTGGAGTGCTTTGATGCCTACGGTGAAAAAGTAAATATCTTCCCATAAAAACGAGACAGAAGGATTCTCAGAAACAAGTTTGTGATGTGTGTACTCAGCTAACAGAGTGGAACCTTTCTTTTTACAGAGCAGCTTTGAAACTCTATTTTTGTGGATTCTGCAAATTGATATTTAGATTGCTTTAACGATATCGTTGGAAAAGGGAATATCGTCATACAAAATCCAGACAGAAGAATTCTCACAAACTTCTTTGTGATGTGTGTCCTCAACTAACAGAGTTGAACGTTTCTTTTGATGCAGCAGTTTGGAAACACTCTTTTTGTAGAAACTGTAAGTGGATATTTGGATAGCTCTAACGATTTCGTTGGAAACGGGAATATCATCATCTAAAATCTAGACAGAAGCACTATTAGAAACTACTTGGTGATATCTGCATTCAAGTCACAGAGTTGAACATTCCCTTACTTTGAGCACGTTTCAAACACTCTTTTGGAAGAATCTGGAAGTGGACATTTGGAGCGCTTTGATGCCTTTGGTGAAAAGGAAACGTCTTCCAATAAAAGCCAGACAGAAGCATTCTCAGAAACTTGTTTGTGATGTGTGTACTCAACTAAAAGAGTTGAACCTTTCTATTGATAGAGCAGTTTTGAAACACTCTTTTTGTGGATTCTGCAAGTGGATATTTGGATTGCTTTGAGGATTTCGTTGGAAGCGGGAATTCGTATAAAAACTAGACAGCAGCATTCCCAGAAATTTCTTTTGGATATTTCCATTCGACTCATAGAGATGAACATGGCCTTTCATAGAGCAGGTTTGAAACACTCTTTTTGTAGTTTGTGGAAGTGGACATTTCGATCGCCTTGACGCCTACGGTGAAAAAGGAAATATCTTCCCATAAAAAATAGACAGAAGCATTCTCAGAAACTTGTTGGTGATATGTGTCCTCAACTAACAGAGTTGAACTTTGCCATTGATAGAGAGCAGTTTTGAAACACTCTTTTTGTGGAATCTGCAAGTGGATATTTGGATAGCTTGGAGGATTTCGTTGGAAGCGGGAATTCAAATAAAAGGTAGACAGCAGCATTCTCAGAAATTTCTTTCTGATGTCTGCATTCAACTCATAGAGTTGAGCATTCCCTTTCATAGAGCAGGTTTGAAACACTCGTTCTGGAGTATCTGGATGTGGACATTTGGAGCGCTTTGATGCCTACGGTGGAAAAGTAAATATCTTCCCATAAAAACGAGACAGAAGGATTCTGAGAAACAAGTTTGTGATGTGTGTACTCAGCTAACAGAGTGGAACCTCTCTTTTGATGCAGCAGTTTGGAAACACTCTTTTTGTAGAAACTGTAAGTGGATATTTGGATAGCTCTAATGATTTCGTTGGAAACGGGAATATCATCATCTAAAATCTAGACAGAAGCACTCTCAGAAACTACTTTGTGATATCTGCATTCAAGTCACAGAGTTGAACATTCGGTTTCTTAGAGCACGTTTGAAACACTCTTTTTGTAGTGTCTGGAAGTGGACATTTGGAGCGCTTTGATGCCTTTGGTGAAAAAGGGAATGTCTTCCCATAAAAACTAGACAGAAGCATTCTCAGAGACTTGTTTGTGATGTGTGTACCCAGCCAAAGGAGTTGAACATTTCTATTGATAGAGCAGTTTTGAAACACTCTTGTTGTGGAAAATGCAGGTGGATATTTGGATAGTTTGGAGGATTTCGTTGGAAGCGGGAATACAAATAAAAGGTAGACAGCAGCATTCTCAGAAATTTCTTTCTGATGTCTGCATTCAACTCATAGAGTTGAACATTCCCTTTCATAGAGCAGGTTTGAAACACTCTTTCTGGAGTATCTGGATGTGGACATTTGGAGCGCTTTGATGCCTACGGTGAAAAAGTAAATATCTTCCCAGAAAAACGAGACAGAAGGATTCTCAGAAACAAGTTTGTGATGTGTGTACTCAGCTAACAGAGTGGAACCTTTCTTTTTACAGAGCAGCTTTGAAACTCTATTTTTGTGGATTCTGCAAATTGATATTTAGATTGCTTTAACAATATCGTTGGAAAAGGGAATATCGTCATACAAAATCTAGACAGAAAGCATTCTCACAAACTTCTTTGTGATGTGTGTCCTCAACTAACAGAGTTGAACCTTTCTTTTGATGCAGCAGTTTGGAAACACTCTTTTTGTAGAAACTGTAAGTGGATATTTGGATAGCTCTAACGATTTCGTTGGAAACGGGAATATCATCATCTAAAATCTAGACAGAGCACTATTAGAACCTACTTTGTGATATCTGCATTCAAGTCAAAGAGTTGAACATTCCCTTACTTTGAGCACGTTTGAAACACTCTTTTGGAAGAATCTGGAAGTGGACATTTGGAGCGCTTTGATGCCTTTGGTGAAAATGAAACGTCTTCCAATAAAAGCCAGACAGAAGCATTCTCAGAAACTTGTTTGTGATGTGTGTACTCAACTAAAAGAGTTGAACCTTTCTATTGATAGAGCAGTTTTGAAACACTCTTTTTGTGGATTCTGCAAGTGGATATTTGGATTGCTTTGAGGATTTCGTTGGAAGCGGGAATTCGTATAAAAACTAGACAGCAGCATTCCCAGAAATTTCTTTCGGATATTTCCATTCAACTCATACAGATGAACATCGCCTTTCATAGAGCAGGTTTGAAACACTCTTTTTGTAGTTTGTGGAAGTGGACATTTCGATCGCCTTGACGCCTACGGTGAAAAAGGAAATATCTTCCCATAAAAAATAGACAGAAGCATTCTCAGAAACTTGTTGGTGATATGTGTCCTCAACTAACAGAGTTGAACTTTGCCATTGATAGAGAGCAGTTTTGAAACACTCTTTTTGTGGAATCTGCAAGTGGATATTTGGATAGCTTGGAGGATTTCGTTGGAAGCGGGAATTCAAATAAAAGGTAGACAGCAGCATTCTCAGAAATTTCTTTCTGATGTCTGCATTCAACTCATAGTAGTTGAAGATTCCCTTTCATAGAGCAGGTTTGAAACACTCGTTCTGGAGTATCTGGATGTGGACATTTGGAGCGCTTTGATGCCTACGGTGGAAAAGTAAATATCTTCCCATAAAAACGAGACAGAAGGATTCTGAGAAACAAGTTTGTGATGTGTGTACTCAGCTAACAGAGTGGAACCTCTCTTTTGATGCAGCAGTTTGGAAACACTCTTTTTGTAGAAACTGTAAGTGGATATTTGGATAGCTCTAATGATTTCGTTGGAAACGGGAATATCATCATCTAAAATCTAGACAGAAGCCCTCTCAGAAACTACTTTGTGATATCTGCATTCAAGTCACAGAGTTGAACATTAGCTTTCTTAGAGCACGTTGGAAACACTCTTTTTGTAGTGTCTGGAAGTGGACATTTGGAGCGCTTTGATTCCTTTGGTGAAAAAGGGAATGTCTACCCATAAAAACTAGACAGAAGCATTCTCAGAAACTTGTTTGTGATGTGTGTACCCAGCCAAAGGAGTTGAACATTTCTATTGATAGAGCAGGTTTGAAACACTCTTTTTGTGGAAAATGCAGGTGGATATTTGGATAGCTTGGAGGATTTCGTTGGAAGCGGGAATTCAAATAAAAGGTAGACAGCAGCATTCTCAGAAATTTCTTTCTGATGTCTGCATTCAACTCATAGAGTTGAAGATTCCCTTTCATAGAGCAGGTTTGAAACACTCTTTCTGGAGTATCTGGATGTGGACATTTGGAGCACTTTGATGCCTACGGTGAAAAAGGAAATATCTTCCCATAAAAACGAGACAGAAGGATTCTCAGAAACAAGTTTGTGATGTGTGTACTCAGCTAACAGAGTGGAACCTTTCTTTTTACAGAGCAGCTTTCAAACTCTATTTTTGTGGATTCTGCAAATTGATATTTAGATTGCTTTAACGATATCGTTGGAAAAGGGAATATCGTCATACAAAATCTGGACAGAAGCATTCTCACAAACTTCTTTGTGATGTGTGTCCTCAACTAACAGAGTTGAACCTTTCTTTTGATGCAGCAGTTTGGAAACACTCTTTTTGTAGAAAGTGTAAGTGGATATTTGGATAGCTCTAACGATTTCGTTGGAAACGGGAATATCATCATCTAAAATCTAGACAGAAGCACTATTAGAAACTACTTGGTGATATCTGCATTCAAGTCACAGAGTTGAACATTCCCTTACTTTGAGCACGTTTGAAACACTCTTTTGGAAGAATCTGGAAGTGGACATTTGGAGCGCTTTGATGCCTTTGGTGAAAAGGAAACGTCTTCCAATAAAAGCCAGACAGAAGCATTCTCAGAAACTTGTTCGTGATGTGTGTACTCAACTAAAAGAGTTGAACCTTTCTATTGATAGAGCAGTTTTGAAACACTCTTTTTGTGGATTCTGCAAGTGGATATTTGGATTGCTTTGAGGATTTCGTTGGAAGCGGGAATTCGTATAAACTACTAGACAGCAGCATTCCCAGAAATTTCTTTCGGATATTTCCATTCAACTCATAGAGATGAACATGGCCTTTCATAGAGCAGGTTTGAAACACTCTTTTTGTAGTTTATGGAAGTGGACATTTCGATCGCCTTGACGCCTACGGTGAAAAAGGAAATATCTTCCCATAAAAAATAGACAGAAGCATTCTCAGAAACTTGTTGGTGATATGTGTCCTCAACTAACAGAGTTGAACTTTGCCATTGATAGAGAGCAGTTTTGAAACACTCTTTTTGTGGAATCTGCAAGTGGATATTTGGATAGCTTGGAGGATTTCGTTGGAAGCGGGAATTCAAATAAAAGGTAGACAGCAGCATTCTCAGAAATTTCTTTCTGATGTCTGCATTCAACTCATAGAGTTGAAGATTACCTTTCATAGAGCAGGTTTGAAACACTCTTTCTGGAGTATCTGGATGTGGACATTTGGAGCGCTTTGATGCCTACGGTGAAAAAGTAAATATCTTCCCATAAAAACGAGACAGAAGGATTCTGAGAAACAAGTTTGTGATGTGTGTACTCGGCTAACAGAGTGGAACCTCTCTTTTGATGCAGCAGTTTGGAAACACTCTTTTTGTAGAAACTGTAAGTGGATATTTGGATAGCTCTAATGATTTCGTTGGAAACGGGAATATCATCATCTAAAATCTAGACAGAAGCACTCTCAGAAACTACTGTGTGATATCTGCATTCAAGTCACAGAGTTGAACATTCGCTTTCTTAGAGCACGTTTGAAACACTCTTTTTGTAGTGTCTGGAAGTGGACATTTGGAGCGCTTTGATTCCTTTGGTGAAAAAGGGAATGTCTACCCATAAAAACTAGACAGAAGCATCCTCAGAAACTTGTTTGTGATGTGTGTACCCAGCCAAAGGAGTTGAACATTTCTATTGATAGAGCAGTTTTGAAACACTCTTTTTGTGGAAAAGTGCAAGGTGGATATTTGGAGTAGCTTGGAGGATTTCGTTGGAAGCGGGAATTCAAATAAAAGGTAGACAGCAGCATTCTCAGAAATTTCTTTCTGATGTCTGCATTCAACTCATAGAGTTGAAGATTCCCTTTCATAGAGCAGGTTTGAAACACTCTTTCTGGAGTATCTGGATGTGGACATTTGGAGTGCTTTGATGCCCACGGTGAAAAAGTAAATATCTTCCCATAAAAACGAGACAGAAGGATTCTGAGAAACAAGTTTGTGATGTGTGTACTCAGCTAACAGAGTGGAACCTTTCTTTTTACAGAGCAGCTTTGAAACTCTATTTTTGTGGATTCTGCAAATTGATATTTAGATTGCTTTAACGATATCGTTGGAAAAGGGAATATCGTCATACAAAATCTAGACAGAAGCATTCTCACAAACTTCTTTGTGATGTGTGTCCTCAACTAACAGAGTTGAACCTTTCTTTTGATGCAGCAATTTGGAAACACCCTTTTGGTAGAAACTGTAACTGGATATTTGGATAGCTCTAACGATTTCGTTTGAAACGGGAATATCATCATCTAAAATGTAGACAGAAGCACTATTAGAAACTACTTGGTGATATCTGCATTCAAGTCACAGAGTTGAACATTCCCTTACTTTGAGCACGTTTGAAACACTCTTTTGGAAGAATCTGGAAGTGGACATTTGGAGCGCTTTGATGCCTTTGGTGAAAAGGAAACGTCTTCCAATAAAAGCCAGAGAGAAGCATTCTCAGAAACTTGTTCGTGATGTGTGTACTCAACTAAAAGAGTTGAACCTTTCTATTGATAGAGCAGTTTTGAAACACTCTTTTTGTGTATTCTGCAAGTGGATATTTGGATTGCTTTGAGGATTTCGTTGGAAGCGGGAATTCGTATAAACACTAGACAGCAGCATTCCCAGAAATTTCTTTCGGATATTTCCATTCGACTCATAGAGATGAACATGGCCTTTCATAGAGCAGGTTTGAAACACTCTTTTTGTAGTTTGTGGAAGTGGACATTTCGATCGCCTTGACGCCTACGGTGAAAAAGGAAATATCTTCCCATAAAAAAAGACAGAAGCATTCTCAGAAACTTGTTGGTGATATGTGTCCTCAACTAACAGAGTTGAACTTTGCCATTGATAGAGAGCAGTTTTGAAACACTCTTTTTGTGGAATCTGCAAGTGGATATTTGGATAGCTTGGAGGATTTCGTTGGAAGCGGGAATTCAAATAAAAGGTAGACAGCAGCATTCTCAGAAATTTCTTTCTGATGTCTGCATTCAACTCATAGAGTTGAAGATTCCCTTTCATAGAGCAGGTTTGAAACACTCTTTCTGGAGTATCTGGATGTGGACATTTGGAGCGCTTTGATGCCTACGGTGAAAAAGTAAATATCTTCCCATAAAAACGAGTCAGAAGGATTCTCAGAAACAAGTTTGTGATGTGTGTACTCAGCTAACAGAGTGGAACCTCTCTTTTGATGCAGCAGTTTGGAAACACTCTTTTTGTAGAAACTGTAAGTGGATATTTGGATAGCTCTAATGATTTCGTTGGAAACGGGAATATCATCATCTAAAATCTAGAGAGAAGCCCTCTCAGAAACTACTTTGTGATATCTGCATTCAAGCCACAGAGTTGAACATTCGCTTTCTTAGAGCACGTTTGAAACACTCTTTTTGTAGTGTCTGGAAGTGGACATTTGGAGCTGCTTTGATGCCTTTGGTGAAAAAGGGAATGTCTTCCCATAAAAACTAGACAGAAAGCATTCTCAGAAACTTGTTTGTGATGTGTGTACCCAGCCAAAGGAGTTGAACATTTCTATTGATAGAGCAGTTTTGAAACACTCTTGTTGTGGAAAATGCAGGTGGATATTTGGATAGCTTGGAGGATTTCGTTGGAAGCGGGAATTCAAATAAAAGGTAGACAGAGCATTCTCAGAAATTTCTTTCTGATTCTGCATTCAACTCATAGAGTTGAAGATTCCCTTTCATAGAGCAGGTTTGAAACACTCGTTCTGGAGTATCTGGATGTGGACATTTGGAGCGCTTTGATGCCTACAGTGGAAAAGTAAATATCTTCCCATAAAAACGAGACAGAAGGATTCTCAGAAACAAGTTTGGGATGTGTGTACTCAGCTAACAGAGTGGAACCTTTCTTTTTACAGAGCAGCTTTGAAACTCTGTTTTTGTGGATTCTGCAAATTGATATTTAGATTGCTTTAACGATATCGTTGGAAAAGGGAATATCGTCATACAAAATCTAGACAGGAAAGCATTCTCACAAACTTCTTTGTGATGTGTGTCCTCAACTAACAGAGTTGAACCTTTCTTTTGATGCAGCAATTTGGAAACACCCTTTTGGTAGAAACTGTAACTGGATATTTGGATAGCTCTAACGATTTCGTTGGAAACGGGAATATCATCATCTAAAATGTAGACAGAAGCACTATTAGAAACTACTTGGTGATATCTGCATTCAAGTCACAGAGTTGAACATTCCCTTACTTTGAGCACGTTTGAAACACTCTTTTGGAAGAATCTGGAAGTGGACATTTGGAGCGCTTTGATGCATTTGGTGAAAAGGAAACGTCTTCCAATAAAAGCCAGACAGAAGCATTCTCAGAAACTTGTTCGTGATGTGTGTACTCAACTAAAAGAGTTGAACCTTTCTATTGATAGAGCAGTTTTGAAACACTCTTTTTGTGGATTCTGCAAGTGGATATTTGGATTGCTTTGAGGATTTCGTTGGAAGCGGGAATTCGTATAAAAACTAGACAGCAGCATTCCCAGAAATTTCTTTCGGATATTTCCATTCAACTCATAGAGATGAACATGGCCTTTTATAGAGCAGGTTTGAAACACTCTTTTTGTAGTTTGTGGAAGTGGACATTTCGATCGCCTTGACGCCTACGGTGAAAAAGGAAATATCTTCCCATAAAAAATAGACAGAAGCATTCTCAGAAACTTGTTGGTGATATGTGTCCTCAACTAACAGAGTTGAACTTTGCCATTGATAGAGAGCAGTTTTGAAACACTCTTTTTCCTGAATCTGCAAGTGGATATTTGGATAGTTTGGAGGATTTCGTTGGAAGCGGGAATTCAAATAAAAGGTAGACAGCAGCATTCTCAGAAATTTCTTTCTGATGTCTGCATTCAACTCATAGAGTTGAAGATTCCCTTTCATAGAGCAGGTTTGAAACACTCTTTCTGGAGTATCTGGATGTGGACATTTGGAGCGCTTGGATGCCTACGGTTAAAAAGTAAATATCTTCACATAAAAACGACACAGAAGGATTCTGAGAAACAAGTTTGTGATGTGTGTACTCAGCTAACAGAGTGGAACCTCTCTTTTGATGCAGCAGTTTGGAAACACTCTTTTTCTAGAAACTGTAAGTGGATATTTGGATAGCTGTAATGATTTCGTTGGAAACGGGAATATCATCATCTAAAATCTAGACAGAAGCCCTCTCAGAAACTACTTTGTGATATCTGCATTCAAGTCACAGAGTTGAACATTCGCTTTCTTAGAGCACGTTTGAAACACTCTTTTTGTAGTGTCTGGAAGTGGACATTTGGATCGCTTTGATGGCTTTGGTGAAAAAGGGAATGTCTTCCCATAAAAACTAGACAGAAGCATTCTCAGAAACTTGTTTGTGATGTGTGTACCCAGCTAAAGGAGTTGAACGTTTCTATTGATAGAGCAGTTTTGAAACACTCTTTTTGTGGAAAATGCAAGTGGATATTTGGATAGCTTGGAGGATTTCGTTGTAAGCGGGAATTCAAATAAAAGGTAGACAGCAGCATTCTCAGAAGTTTCTTTCTGATGTCTGCATTCAACTCATAGAGTTGAAGATTCCCTTTCATAGAGCAGGTTTGAAACACTCTTTCTGGAGTATCTGGATGTGGACATTTGGAGCGCTTTGATGCCTACGGTGAAAAAGTAAATATCTTCCCATAAAAACGAGACAGAAGGATTCTCAGAAACAAGTTTGTGATGTGTGTACTCAGCTAACAGAGTGGAACCTTTCTTTTTACAGAGCAGCTTTGAAACTCTATTTTTGTGGATTCTGCAAATTGATATTTAGATTGCTTTAACGATATCGTTGGAAAAGGGAATATCGTCATACAAAATATAGACAGAAGCATTCTCACAAACTTCTTTGTGATGTGTGTCCTCAACTAACAGAGTTGAACCTTTCTTTTGATGCAGCAATTTGGAAACACCCTTTTGGTAGAAACTGTAACTGGATATTTGGATAGCTCTAGCGATTTCGTTGGAAACGGGAATATCATCATCTAAAATGTAGACAGAAGCACTATTAGAAACTACTTGGTGATATCTGCATTCAAGTCACAGAGTTGAACATTCCCTTACTTTGAGCACGTTTGAAACACTCTTTTGGAAGAATCTGGAAGTGGACATTTGGAGCGCTTTGATGCCTTTGGTGAAAAGGAAACGTCTTCCAATAAAAGCCAGACAGAAAGCATTCTCAGGAAACTTGTTTGTGATGTGTGTACTCAACTAAAAGAGTTGAACCTTTCTATTGATAGAGCAGTTTTGAAACACTCTTTTTGTGGATTCTGCAAGTGGATATTTGGATTGCTTTGAGGATTTCGTTGGAAGCGGGAATTCATATAAAAACTAGACAGCAGCATTCCCAGAAATTTCTTTCGGATATTTCCATTCAACTCATAGAGATGAACATGGCCTTTCATAGAGCAGGTTTGAAACACTCTTTTTGTAGTTTGTGGAAGTGGACATTTCGATCGCCTTGGCGCCTACGCTGAAAAAGGAAATATCTTCCCATAAAAAATAGACAGAAGCATTCTCAGAAACTTGTTGGTGATATGTGTCCTCAACTAACAGAGTTGAACTTTGCCATTGATAGAGAGCAGTTTTGAAACACTCTTTTTGTGGAATCTGCAAGTGGATATTTGGATAGCTTGGAGGATTTCGTTGGAAGCGGGAATTCAAATAAAAGGTAGACAGCAGGATTCTGAGAAACAAGTTTGTGATGTGTGTACTCAGCTAACAGAGTGCAACCTTTCTTTTTACAGAGCAGCTTTGAAACTCTATTTTTGTGGATTCTGCAAATGGATATTTAGATTGCTTTAACGATATCGTTGGAAAAGGGAATATCGTCATACAAAATCTAGACAGAAGCATTCTCACAAACTTCTTTGTGATGTGTGTCCTCAACTAACAGAGTTGAACCTTTCTTTTGATGCAGCAGTTTGGAAACACTCTTTTTGTAGCAACTGTAAGTGGATATTTGGATAGCTCTAACGATTTCGTTGGAAACGGGAATATCATCATCTAAAATACTAGACAGAAGCACTATTAGAAACTACTTGGTGATATCTGTATTCAAGTCACAGTAGTTGAACATTCCCTTACTTTGAGCACGTTTGAAACACTCTTTTGGAAGAATCTGGAAGTGGACATTTGGAGCGCTTTGATGCCTTTGGTGAAAAGGAAACGTCTTCCAATAAAAGCCAGAGAGAAGCATTCTCAGAAACTTGTTTGTGATGTGTGTACTCAACTAAAAGAGTTGAACCTTTCTATTGATAGAGCAGTTTAGAAACACTCTTTTTGTGGATTCTGCAAGTGGATATTTGGATTGCTTTGAGGATTTCGTTGGAAGCGGGAATTCGTATAAACACTAGACAGCAGCATTCCCAGAAATTTCTTTCGGATATTTCCATTCAACTCATAGAGATGAACATGGCCTTTCATAGAGCAGGTTTGAAACACTCTTTTTGTAGTTTGTGGAAGTGGACATTTCGATCGCCTTGACGCCTACGGTGAAAAAGGAAATATCTTCCCATAAAAAATAGACAGAAGCATTCTCAGAAACTTGTTGGTGATATGTGTCCTCAACTAACAGAGTTGAACTTTGCCATTGATAGAGAGCAGTTTTGAAACACTCTTTTTGTGGAATATGCAAGTGGATATTTGGATAGCTTGGAGGATTTCGTTGGAAGCGGGAATTCAAATAAAAGGTAGACAGCAGCATTCTCAGTAAATTTCTTTCTGATGTCTGCATTCAACTCATAGCAGTTGAAGATTCCCTTTCATAGAGCAGGTTTGAAACACTCGTTCTGGAGTATCTGGATGTGGACATTTGGAGCGCTTTGATGCCTACGGTGGAAAAGTAAATATCTTCCCATAAAAACGAGACAGAAGGATTCTGAGAAACAAGTTTGTGATGTGTGTACTCAGCTAACAGAGTGGAACCTCTCTTTTGATGCAGCAGTTTGGAAACACTCTTTTTGTAGAAACTGTAAGTGGATATTTGGATAGCTCTAATGATTTCGTTGGAAACGGGAATATCATCATCTAAAATCTAGACAGAAGCCCTCTCAGAAACTACTTTGTGATATCTGCATTCAAGTCACAGAGTTGAACATTCGCTTTCTTAGGGCACGTTGGAAACACTCTTTTTGTAGTGTCTGGAAGTGGACATTTGGAGCGCTTTGATGCCTTTGGTGAAAAAGGGAACGTCTTCCCATAAAAACTAGACAGAAGCATTCTCAGAAACTTGTTTGTGATGTGTGTACCCAGCCAAAGGAGTTGAACGTTTCTATTGATACAGCAGTTTTGAAACACTCTTGTTGTGGAAAATGCAGGTGGATATTTGGATAGCTTGGAGGATTTCGTTGGAAGCGGGAATTCAAATAAAAGGTAGACAGCAGGATTCTCAGAAACAAGTTTGTGATGTGTGTACTCAGCTAACAGAGTGGAACCTTTCTTTTTACAGAGCAGCTTTGAAACTCTATTTTTGTGGATTCTGCAAATTGATATTTAGATTGCTTTAACGATATCGTTGGAAAAGGGAATACGGTCATACAAAATCTAGACAGAAGCATTCTCACAAACTTCTTTGTGATGTGTGTCCTCAACTAACAGAGTTGAACTTTTCTTTTGATGCAGCAATTTGGAAACACCCTTTTGGTAGAAACTGTAACTGGATATTTGGATAGCTCTAGCGATTTCGTTGGAAACGGGAATATCATCATCTAAAATGTAGACAGAAGCACTATTAGAAACTACTTGGTGATATCTGCATTCAAGTCACAGAGTAGAACATTCCCTTACTTCGAGCACGTTTGAAACACTCTTTTGGAAGAATCTGGAAGTGGACATTTGGAGCGCTTTGATGCCTTTGGTGAAAAGGAAACGTCTTCCAATAAAAGCCAGACAGAAGCATTCTGAGAAACTTGTTCGTGATGTGTGTACTCAACTAAAAGAGTTGAACCTTTCTATTGATATAGCAGTTTTGAAACACTCTTTTTGTGGATTCTGCAAGTGGATATTTGGATTGCTTTGAGGATTTCGTTGGAAGCAGGAATTCATATAAACACTAGACAGCAGCATTCCCAGAAATTTCTTTCGGATATTTCCATTCAACTCATAGAGATGAACATGGCCTTTCATAGAGCAGGTTTGAAACACTCTTTTTGTAGTTTGTGGAAGTGGACATTTCGATCGCCTTGACGCCTACGGTGAAAAAGGAAATATCTTCCCATAAAAAATAGACAGAAGCATTCTCAGAAACTTGTTGGTGATATGTGTCCTCAACTAACAGAGTTGAACTTTGCCATTGATAGAGAGCAGTTTTGAAACACTCTTTTTGTGGAATCTGCAAGTGGATATTTGGATAGCTGGAGGATTTCGTTGGAAGCGGGAATTCAAATAAAAGGTAGACAGCCAGCATTCTCAGAATTTCTTTCTGATGTCTGCATTCAACTCATAGAGTTGAAGATTCCCTTTCATAGAGCAGGTTTGAAACACTCTTTCTGGAGTATCTGGATGTGGACATTTGGAGCGCTTTGATGCCTACGGTGAAAAAGTAAATATCTTCCCATAAAAACGAGACAGAGGATTCTGAGAAACTAGTTTGTGATGTGTGTACTCAGCTAACAGAGTGGAACCTCTGTTTTGATGCAGCAGTTTGGAAACACTCTTTTTGTAGAAACTGTAAGTGGATATTTGGATAGCTCTAATGA
Source organism: Homo sapiens (assembly GCF_000001405.40). Classification (NCBI taxonomy): domain Eukaryota; kingdom Metazoa; phylum Chordata; class Mammalia; order Primates; family Hominidae; genus Homo; species Homo sapiens. Next base: position 14,700,248 of record NC_000022.11, read on the forward strand.
TTTCGTTGGAAACGGGAATATCATCATCTAAAATACTAGACAGAAGCCCTCTCAGAAACTACTTTGTGATATCTGCATTCAAGTCACAGAGTTGAACATGCGCTTTCTTAGAGCACGTTTGAAACACTCTTTTTGTAGTGTCTGGAAGTGGACATTTGGAGCGCTTTGATGCCTTTGGTGAAAAAGGGAACGTCTTCCCATAAAAACTAGACAGAAGCATTCTCAGAAACTTGTTTGTGATGTGTGTACCCAGCCAAAGGAGTTGAACATTTCTATTGATAGAGCAGTTTTGAAACACTCTTTTTGTGGAAAATGCAGGTGGATATTTGGATACCTTGGAGGATTTCGTTGGAAGCGGGAATTCAAATAAAAGGTAGACAGCAGGATTCTCAGAAACAAGATTGTGATGTGTGTACTCAGCTAACAGAGTGGAACCTTTCTTTTTACAGAGCAGCTTTGAAACTCTATTTTTGTGGATTCTGCAAATTGATATTTAGATTGCTTTAACGATATCGATGGAAAAGGGAATATCATCATACAAAATCTAGACAGAAGCATTCTCACAAACTTCTTTGTGATGTGTGTCCTCAACTAACAGAGTTGAACCTTTCTTTTGATGCAGCAGTTTGGAAACACTCTTTTTGTAGAAACTGTAAGTGGATATTTGGATAGCTCTAACGATTTCATTGGAAACGGGAATATCATCATCTAAAATGTAGACAGAAGCACTATTAGAAACTACTTGGTGATATCTGCATTCAAGTCACAGAGTTGAACATTCCCTTACTTTGAGCACGTTTGAAACACTCTTTTGGAAGAATCTGGAAGTGGACATTTGGAGCGCTTTGATGCCTTTGGTGAAAAGGAAACGTCTTCCAATAAAAGCCAGACAGAAGCATTCTCAGAAACTTGTTTGTGATGAGTGTACTCAACTAAAAGAGTTGAACCTTTCTATTGATAGAGCAGTTTTGAAACACTCTTTTTGTGGATTCTGCAAGTGGATATTTGGATTGCTTTGAGGATTTCGTTGGAAGCGGGAATTCGTATAAACACTAGACAGCAGCATTCCCAGAAATTTCTTTCGGATATTTCCATTCAACTCATAAAGATGAACATGGCCTTTCATAGAGCAGGTTTGAAACACTCTTTTTGTAGTTTGTGGAAGTGGACATTTCGATCGCCTTGACGCCTACGGTGAAAAAGGAAATATCTTCCCATAAAAAATAGACAGAAGCATTCTCAGAAACTTGTTGGTGATATGTGTCCTCAACTAACAGAGTTGAACTTTGCCATTGATAGAGAGCAGTTTTGAAACACTCTTTTTGTGGAATCTGCAAGTGGATATTTGGATAGCTTGGAGGATTTCGTTGGAAGCGGGAATTCAAATAAAAGGTAGACAGCAGCATTCTCAGAAATTTCTTTCTGATGTCTGCATTCAACTCATAGAGTTGAAGATTCCCTTTCATAGAGCAGGTTTGAAACACTCTTTCTGGAGTATCTGGATGTGGATATTTGGAGCGCTTTGATGCCTACGGTGAGAAAGTAAATATCTTCCCATAAAAACGAGACAGAAGGATTCTGAGAAACAAGTTTGTGATGTGTGTACTCAGCTAACAGAGTGGAACCTCTCTTTTGATGCAGCAGTTTGGAAACACTCTTTTTGTAGAAACTGTAAGTGGATATTTGGATAGCTCTAATGATTTCGTTGGAAACGGGAATATCATCATCTAAAATCTAGACAGAAGCACTCTCAGAAACTACTTTGTGATATCTGCATTCAAGTCACAGAGTTGAACATTCGCTTTCTTAGAGCACGTTGGAAACACTCTTTTTGTAGTGTCTGGAAGTGGACATTTGGAGCGCTTTGATTCCTTTGGTGAAAAAGGGAATGTCTACCCATAAAAACTAGACAGAAGCATTCTCAGAAACTTGTTTGTGATGTGTGTACCCAGCCAAAGGAGTTGAACATTTCTATTGATAGAGCAGGTTTGAAACACTCTTTTTGTGGAAAATGCAGGTGGATATTTGGATAGCTTGGAGGATTTCGTTGGAAGCGGGAATTCAAATAAAAGGTAGACAGCAGCATTCTCAGAAATTTCTTTCTGATGTCTGCATTCAACTCATAGAGTTGAAGATTCCCTTTCATAGAGCAGGTTTGAAACACTCGTTCTGGAGTATATGGATGTGGACATTTGGAGCGCTTTGATGCCTACGGTGGAAAAGTAAATATCTTCCCATAAAAACGAGACAGAAGGATTCTCAGAAACAAGTTTGTGATGTGTGTACTCAGCTAACAGAGTGGAACCTTTCTTTTTACAGAGCAGCTTTGAAACTCTATTTTTGTGGATTCTGCAAATTGATATTTAGATTGCTTTAACGATATCGTTGGAAAAGGGAATATGGTCATACAAAATCTAGACAGAAGCATTCTCACAAACTTCTTTGTGATGTGTGTCCTCAACTAACAGAGTTGAACCTTTCTTTTGATGCAGCAATTTGGAAACACCCTTTTGGTAGAAACTGTAACTGGATATTTGGATAGCTCTAGCGATTTCGTTGGAAACGGGAATATCATCATCTAAAATGTAGACAGAAGCACTGTTAGAAACTACTTGGTGATATCTGCATTCAAGTCACAGAGTTGAACATTCCCTTACTTCGACCACGTTTGAAACACTCTTTTGGAAGAATCTGGAAGTGGACATTTGGAGCGCTTTGATGCCTTTGGTGAAAAGGAAACGTCTTCCAATAAAAGCCAGACAGAAAGCATTCTCAGAAACTTGTTCGTGATGTGTGTACTCAACTAAAAGTAGTTGAACCTTTCTATTGATAGAGCAGTTTTGAAACACTCTTTTTGTGGATTCTGCAAGTGGATATTTGGATTGCTTTGAGGATTTCGTTGGAAGCGGGAATTCGTATAAACACTAGACAGCAGCATTCCCAGAAATTTCTTTCGGATATTTCCATTCAACTCATAGAGATGAACATGGCCTTTCATAGAGCAGGTTTGAAACACTCTTTTTGTAGTTTGTGGAAGTGGACATTTCGATTGCCTTGACGCCTACGGTGAAAAAGGAAATATCTTCCCATAAAAAATAGACAGAAGCATTCTCAGAAACTTGTTGGTGATATGTGTCCTCAACTAACAGAGTTGAACTTTGCCATTGATAGAGAGCAGTTTTGAAACACTCTTTTTGTGGAATCTGCAAGTGGATATTTGGATAGCTTGGAGGATTTCGTTGGAAGCGGGAATTCAAATAAAAGGTAGACAGCAGCATTCTCAGAAATTTCTTTCTGATGTCTGCATTCAACTCATAGAGTTGAAGATTCCCTTTCATAGAGCAGGTTTGAAACACTCTTTCTGGAGTATCTGGATGTGGACATTTGGAGCGCTTTGATGCCTACGGTGAAAAAGTAAATATCTTCCCAAAAAAACGAGACAGAAGGATTCTGAGAAACAAGTTTGTGATGTGTGTACTCAGCTAACAGAGTGGAACCTCTCTTTTGATGCAGCAGTTTGGAAACACTCTTTTTGTAGAAACAGTAAGTGGATATTTGGATAGCTCTAATGATTTCGTTGGAAACGGGAATATCATCATCTAAAATCTAGACAGAAGCACTCTCAGAAACTACTTTGTGATATCTGCATTCAAGTCACAGAGTTGAACATTCGCTTTCTTAGAGCACGTTTGAAACACTCTTTTTGTAGTGTCTGGAAGTGGACATTTGGAGCGCTTTGATGCCTTTGGTGAAAAAGGGAATGTCTTCCCATAAAAACTAGACAGAAGCATTCTCAGAGTCTTGTTTGTGATGGGTGTACCCAGCCAAAGGAGTTGAACATTTCTATTGATAGAGCAGTTTTGAAACACTCTTGTTGTGGAAAATGCAGGTGGATATTTGGATAGCTTGGAGGATTTCGTTGGAAGCGGGAATTCAAATAAAAGGTAGACAGCAGGATTCTCAGAAACAAGTTTGTGATGTGTGTACTCAGCTAACAGAGTGGAACCTTTCTTTTTACAGAGCAGCTTTGAAACTCTATTTTTGTGGATTCTGCAAATGGATATTTAGATTGCTTTAACGATATCGTTGGAAAAGGGAATATCGTCATACAAAATCTGGACAGAAGCATTCTCACAAACAGCTTTGTGACGTGTGTCCTCAACTAACACAGTTGAACCTTTCTTTTGATGCAGCAGTTTGGAAACACCCTTTTGGTAGAAACTGTAAGTGGATATTTGGATAGCTCTAACGATTTCGTTGGAAACGGGAATATCATCATCTAAAATCTAGACAGAAGCACTATTAGAAACTACTTGGTGATATCTGCATTCAAGTCACAGAGTTGAACATTCCCTTACTTTGAGCACGTTTCAAACACTCTTTTGGAAGAATCTGGAAGTGGACATTTGGAGCGCTTTGATGCCTTTGGTGAAAAGGAAACGTCTTCCAATAAAAGCCAGACAGAAGCATTCTCAGAAACTTGTTTGTGATGTGTGTACTCAACTAAAAGAGTTGAACCTTTCTATTGATAGAGCAGTTTTGAAACACTCTTTTTGTGGATTCTGCAAGTGGATATTTGGATTGCTTTGAGGATTTCGTTGGAAGCGGGAATTCGTATAAAAACTAGACAGCAGCATTCCCAGAAATTTCTTTCGGATATTTCCATTCAACTCATAGAGATGAACATGGCCTTTCATAGAGCAGGTTTGAAACACTCTTTTTGTAGTTTGTGGAACTGGACATTTCGATCGCCTTGACGCCTACGGTGAAAAAGGAAATATCTTCCCATAAAAAATAGACAGAAGCATTCTCAGAAACTTGTTGGTGATATGTGTCCTCAACTAACAGAGTTGAACTTTGCCATTGATAGAGAGCAGTTTTGAAACACTCTTTTTGTGGAATCTGCAAGTGGATATTTGGATAGCTTGGAGGATTTCGTTGGAAGCGGGAATTCAAATAAAAGGTAGACAGCAGCATTCTCAGAAATTTCTTTCTGATGTCTGCATTCAACTCATAGAGTTGAAGATTCCCTTTCATAGAGCAGGTTTGAAACACTCTTTCTGGAGTATCTGGATGTGGACATTTGGAGCGCTTTGATACCTACGGTGTAAAAGTAAATATCTTCCCATAAAAACGAGACAGAAGGATTCTGAGAAACAAGTTTGTGATGTGTGTACTCAGCTAACAGAGTGGAACCTCTCTTTTGATGCAGCAGTTTGGAAACACTCTTTTTGTAGAAACTGTAAGTGGATATTTGGATAGCTCTAATGATTTCATTGGAAACGGGAATATCATCATCTAAAATCTAGACAGAAGCCCTCTCAGTAAACTACTTTGTGATATCTGCATTCAAGTCACAGAGTTGAACATTCGCTTTCTTAGAGCACGTTTGAAACACTCTTTTTGTAGTGTCTGGAAGTGGACATTTGGAGCGCTTTGATGCCTTTGGTGAAAAAGGGAACGTCTTCCCATAAAAACTAGACAGAAGCATTCTCAGCAAACTTGTTTGTGATGTGTGTACCCAGCCAAAGGAGTTGAACATTTCTATTGATAGAGCAGTTTTGAAACACTCTTGTTGTGGAAAATGCAGGTGGATATTTGGATAGCTTGGAGGATTTCGTTGGAAGCGGGAATTCAAATAAAAGGTAGACAGCAGCATTCTCAGAAATTTCTTTCTGATGTCTGCATTCAACTCATAGAGTTGAAGATTCCCTTTCATAGAGCAGGTTTGAAACACTCGTTCTGGAGTATCCGGATGTGGACATTTGGAGCGCTTTGATGCCTACGGTGGAAAAGTAAATATCTTCCCATAAAAACGAGACAGAAGGATTCTGAGAGACAAGTTTGTGATGTGTGTACTCAGCTAACAGAGTGGAACCTTTCTTTTTACAGAGCAGCTTTGAAACTCTATTTTTGTGGATTCTGCAAATGGATATTTAGATTGCTTTAACGATATCGTTGGGAAAAGGGAATATGGTCATACAAAATCTAGACAGAAGCATTCTCACAAACTTCTTTGTGATGTGTCTCCTCAACTGACAGAGTTGAACCTTTCTTTTGATGCAGCAGTTTGGAAACACTCTTTTTGTAGAAACTGTAAGTGGATATTTGGATAGCTCTAACGATTTCGTTGGAAACGGGAATATCATCATCTAAAATCTAGACAGAAGCACTATTAGAAACTACTTGGTGATATCTGCATTCAAGTCACAGAGTTGAACATTCCCTTACTTTGAGCACGTTTGAAACACTCTTTTGGAAGAATCTGGAAGTGGACATTTGGAGCGCTTTGATGCCTTTGGTGAAAAGGAAACGTCTTCCAATAAAAGCCAGACAGAAGCATTCTCAGAAACTTGTTTGTGATGTGTGTACTCAACTAAAAGAGTTGAACCTTTCTATTGATGGAGCAGTTTTGAAACACTCTTTTTGTGGATTCTGCAAGTGGATATGTGGATTGCTTTGAGGATTTCGTTGGAAGCGGGAATTCGTATAACAACTAGACAGCAGCATTCCCAGAAATTTCTTTCGGATATTTCCATTCAACTCATAGAGATGAACATGGCCTTTCATAGAGCAGGTTTGAAACACTCTTTTTGTAGTTTGTGGAAGTGGACATTTCGATCGCCTTGACGCCTACGCTGAAAAAGGAAATATCTTCCCATAAAAAATAGACAGAAGCATTCTCAGAAACTTGTTGGTGATATGTGTCCTCAACTAACAGAGTTGAACTTTGCCATTGATAGAGAGCAGTTTTGAAACACTCTTTTTCCTGAATCTGCAAGTGGATATTTGGATAGTTTGGAGGATTTCGTTGGAAGCGGGAATTCAAATAAAAGGTAGACAGCAGCATTCTCAGAAATTACTTTCTGATGTCTGCATTCAACTCATAGAGTTGAAGATTCCCTTTCATAGAGCAGGTTTGAAACACTCTTTCTGTACTATCTGGAAGTGGACATTGGGATCGCTTTGATGCCTACGGTGAAAAAGGAAATATCTTCCCATAAAAGCTAGACAGAAGGATTCTGAGAAACAAGTTTGTGATGTGTGTACTCAGCTAACAGAGTGGAACCTCTCTTTTGATGCAGCAGTTTGGAAACACTCTTTTTGTAGAAACTGTAAGTGGATATTTGGATAGCTCTAATGATTTCGTTGGAAACGGGAATATCATCATCTAAAATCTAGACAGAAGCCCTCTCAGAAACTACTTTGTGATATCTGCATTCAAGTCACAGAGTTGAATATTCGCTTTCTTAGAGCACGTTTGAAACACTCTTTTTGTAGTGTCTGGAAGTGGACATTTGGAGCGCTTTGATGCCTTTGGTGAAAAAGGGAATGTCTTCCCATAAAAACTAGACAGAAGCATTCTCAGAAACTTGTTTGTGATGTGTGTACCCAGCTAAAGGAGTTGAACATTTCTATTGATAGAGCAGTTTTGAAACACTCTTTTTGTGGAATCTGCAGGTGGATATTTGGATAGCTTGGAGGATTTCGTTGGAAGCGGGAATTCAAATAAAAGGTAGACAGCAGCATTCTCAGAAATTTCTTTCTGATGTCTGCATTCAACTCATAGAGTTGAAGATTCCCTTTCATAGAGCAGGTTTGAAACACTCTTTCTGGAGTATCTGGATGTGGACATTTGGAGCGCTTTGATGCCTACGGTGAAAAAGTAAATATCTTCCCATAAAAACGAGACAGAAGGATTCTGAGAGACAAGTTTGTGATGTGTGTACTCAGCTAACAGAGTGGAACCTTTCTTTTTACAGAGCAGCTTTGAAACTCTATTTTTGTGGATTCTGCAAATGGATATTTAGATTGCTTTAATGATATCGTTGGAAAAGGGAATATCGTCATACAAAATCTGGACAGAAGCATTCTCACAAACTTCTTTGTGATGTGTGTCCTCAACTAACAGAGTTGAACCTTTCTTTTGATGCAGCAATTTGGAAACACCCTTTTGGTAGAAACTGTAACTGGATATTTGGATAGCTCTAACGATTTCGTTGGAAACGGGAATATCCTCACCTAAAATCTAGACAGAAGCACTATTAGAAACTACTTGGTGATATCTGCATTCAAGTCACAGAGTTGAACATTCCCTTACTTTGAGCACGTTTCAAACACTCTTTTGGAAGAATCTGGAAGTGGACATTTGGAGCGCTTTGATGCCTTTGGTGAAAAGGAAACGTCTTCCAATAAAAGCCAGACAGATAAGCATTCTCAGCAAACTTGTTTGTGATGTGTGTACTCAACTAAAAGAGTTGAACCTTTCTATTGATAGAGCAGTTTTGAAACACTCTTTTTGTGGATTCTGCAAGTGGATATTTGGATTGCTTTGAGGATTTCGTTGGAAGCGGGAATTCATATAAAAACTAGACAGCAGCATTCCCAGAAATTTCTTTCGGATATTTCCATTCAACTCATAGAGATGAACATGGCCTTTCATAGAGCAGGTTTGAAACACTCTTTTTGTAGTTTGTGGAAGTGGACATTTCGATCGCCTTGACGCCTACGGTGAAAAAGGAAATATCTACCCATAAAAAATAGACAGAAGCATTCTCAGAAACTTGTTGGTGATATGTGTCCTCAACTAACAGAGTTGAACTTTGCCATTGATAGAGAGCAGTTTTGAAACACTCTTTTTGTGGAATCTGCAAGTGGATATTTGGATAGCTTGGAGGATTTCGTTGGAAGCGGGAATTCAAATAAAAGGTAGACAGCAGCATTCTCAGAAATTTCTTTCTGATGTCTGCATTCAACTCATAGAGTTGAAGATTCCCTTTCATAGAGCAGGTTTGAAACACTCGTTCAGAGTATCTGGATGTGGACATTTGGAGCGCTTTGATGCCTACGGTGAAAAAGTAAATATCTTCCCATAAAAACGAGACAGAAAGGATTCTGAGAAACAAGTTTGTGATGTGTGTACTCAGCTAACAGAGTGGAACCTCTCTTTTGATGCAGCAGTTTGGAAACACTCTTTTTGTAGAAACTGTAAGTGGATATTTGGATAGCTCTAATGATTTCTTTGGAAACGGGAATATCATCATCTAAAATCTAGACAGAAGCACTATTAGAAACTACTTTGTGATATCTGCATTCAAGTCACAGAGTTGAACATTCGCTTTCTTAGAGCACGTTGGAAACACTCTTTTTGTAGTGTCTGGAAGTGGACATTTGGAGCGCTTTGATGCCTTTGGTGAAAAAGGGAATGTCTTCCCATAAAAACTAGACAGAAGCATTCTCAGAAACTTGTTTGTGATGTGTCTACCCAGCTAAAGGAGTTGAACATTTCTATTGATAGAGCAGTTTTGAAACACTCTTTTTGTGGAAAATGCAGGTGGATATTTGGATAGCTTGGAGGATTTCGTGGGAAGCGGGAATTCAAATAAAAAGTAGACAGCAGCATTCTCAGAAATTTCTTTCTGATGTCTGCATTCAACTCATAGAGTTGAAGATTCCCTTTCATAGAGCAGGTTTGAAACAGTCTTTCTGGAATATCTGGATGTGGACATTTGGAGCGCTTTGATGCCTACGGTGAAAAAGTAAATATCTTCCCATAAAAACGAGACAGAAGGATTCTGAGAAACAAGTTTGTGATGTGTGTACTCAGCTAACAGAGTGGAACCTTTCTTTTTACAGAGCAGCTTTGAAACTCTATTTTTGTGGATTCTGCAAATTGATATTTAGATTGCTTTAACGATATCGTTGGAAAAGGGAATATCGTCATACAAAATCTAGACAGAAGCATTCTCACAAACTTCTTTGTGATGTGTGTCCTCAACTAACAGACTTGAACCTTTCTTTTGATGCAGCAGTTTGGAAACACCCTTTTGGTAGAAACTGTAAGTGGATATTTGGATAGCTCTAACGATTTCGTTGGAAACGGGAATATCATCATCTAAAATCTAGACAGAAGCACTATTAGAAACTACTTGGTGATATCTGCATTCAAGTCACAGAGTTGAACATTCCCTTACTTTGAGCACGTTTGAAACACTCTTTGGGAAGAATCTGGAAGTGGACATTTGGAGCGCTTTGATGCCTTTGGTGAAAAGGAAACGTCTTCCAATAAAAGCCAGACAGAAGCATTCTCAGAAACTTGTTTGTGATGTGTGTACTCAACTAAAGGAGTTGAACCTTTCTATTGATAGAGCAGTTTTGAAACACTCTTTTTGTGGATTCTGCAAGTGGATATTTGGATTGCTTTGAGGATTTCGTTGGAAGCGGGAATTCATATAAAAACTAGACAGCAGCATTCCCAGAAATTTCTTTCGGATATTTCCATTCAACTCATAGAGATGAACATGGCCTTTCATAGAGCAGGTTTGAAACACTCTTTTTGTAGTTTGTGGAAGTGGACATTTCGATCGCCTTGACGCCTACGGTGAAAAAGGAAATATCTTCCCATAAAAAATAGACAGAAGCATTCTCAGAAACTTGTTGGTGATATGTGTCCTCAACTAACAGAGTTGAACTTTGCCATTGATAGAGAGCAGTTTTGAAACACTCTTTTGCCTGAATCTGCAAGTGGATATTTGGATAGCTTGGAGGATTTCGTTGGAAGCGGGAATTCAAATAAAAGGTAGACAGCAGCATTCTCAGAAATTTCTTTCTGATGTCTGCATTCAACTCATAGAGTTGAAGATTCCCTTTCATAGAGCAGGTTTGAAAAACTCTTTCTGTACTATCTGGATGTAGACATTTGGAGCGCTTTGATGCCTACGGTGAAAAAGTAAATATCTTCCCATAAAAACGAGACAGAAGGATTCTGAGAAACAAGTTTGTGATGTGTGTACTCGGCTAACAGAGTGGAACCTCTCTTTTGATGCAGCAGTTTGGAAACACTCTTTTTGTAGAAACTGTAAGTGGATATTTGGATAGCTCTAATGATTTCGTTGGAAACGGGAATATCATCATCTAAAATCTAGACAGAAGCCGTCTCAGAAACTACTTTGTGATATCTGCATTCAAGTCACAGAGTTGAACATTCGCTTTCTTAGAGCACGTTGGAAACACTCTTTTTGTAGTGTCTGGAAGTGGACATTTGGAGCGCTTTGATGCCTTTGGTGAAAAAGGGAATGTCTTCCCATAAAAACTAGACAGAAGCATTCTCAGAAACTTGTTTGTGATGTGTGTACCCAGCTAAAGGAGTTGAACATTTCTATTGATAGAGCAGTTTTGAAACACTCTTTTTGTGGAAAATGCAAGTGGATATTTGGATAGCTTGGAGGATTTCGTTGGAAGCGGGAATTCAAATAAAAGGTAGACAGCAGCATTCTCAGAAATTTCTTTCTGATGTCTGCATTCAACTCATAGAGTTGAAGATTCCCTTTCATAGAGGAGGTTTGAAACACTCTTTCTGGAGTATCTGGACGTGGACATTTGGAGCGCTTTGATGCCTATGGTGAAAAAGTAAATATCTTCCCATAAAAACGAGACAGAAGCTTTCTCAGAAACTTCTTTGTGATGTGTGTCCTCAACTAACAGAGTTGAACCTTTCTTTTGATGCAGCAGTTTGGAAACACACTTTCTGTAGAAACTGTAAGTGGATATTTGGGTAGGTCTAACGATATCGTTGGAAACGGGAATATCTTCATCTAAAGTATACACAGAAGCAGTCTCAGAAACTACTTTGTGATATCTGCATTCCAGTCACAGGGTTGAAAACTCCCTTACTTAGAGCAGGTTTGAAACACTCTTTTTGTAGAATCTGGAAGTGGACATTTGGAGCGCTTTGATGCCTTTGGTGAAAAAGGAAATGTCTTCCCTTAAAAAGTAGACAGAAGCATTTTCAGAAACTTGTTTGTGATGTGTGTACCCAGCCAAAGGAGTTGAACATTTCTATTGATAGAGCAGTTTTGAAACACTCTTTTTGTGGAAAATGCAGGTGGATATTTGGATAGCTTGGAGGATTTCGTTGGAAGCGGGAATTCAAATAAAAGGTAGACAGCAGCAGCATTCTCAGAAATTTCCTTCTGATGTCTGCATTCAACTCATAGAGTTGAAGACTCCCTTTCATAAAGCAGGTTTGAAACACTCTTTCTGGAGTATCTGGATGTGGACATTTGGAGCGCTTGGATGCCTACGGTGAAAAAGTAAATATCTTCCCATAAAAACGAGACAGAAGGATTCTGAGAAACAAGTTTGTGATGTGTGTACTCAGCTAACAGAGTGGAACCTTTCTTTTTACAGAGCAGCTTTGAAACTCTATTTTTGTGGATTCTGCAAATTGATATTTAGATTGCTTTAACGATATCGTTGGAAAAGGGAATATCCTCATACAAAATATAGACAGAAGCATTCTCACAAACTTCTTTGTGATGTGTGTCCTCAACTAACAGAGTTGAACCTTTCTTTTGATGCAGCAATTTGGAAACACCCTTTTGGTAGAAACTGTAACTGGATATTTGGATAGCTGCTAACGATTTCGTTGGAAAAGGGAATATCATCATCTAAAATGTAGGCAGAAAGCACTATTAGAAACTACTTGGTGATATCTGCATTCAAGTCAAAGAGTTGAACATTCCCTTACTTTGAGCACGTTTGAAACACTCTTTTGGAAGAATCTGGAAGTGGACATTTGGAGCGCTTTGATGCCTTTGGTGAAAAGGAAACGTCTTCCAATAAAAGCCAGACAGAAGCATTCTCAGAAACATGTTCGTGGTGTGTGTACTCAACTAAAAGAGTTGAACCTTTCTATTGATAGAGCAGTTTTGAAACACTCTTTTTGTGGATTCTGCAAGTGGATATTTGGATTGCTTTGAGGATTTCGTTGGAAGCGGGAATTCGTATAAACACTAGACAGCAGCATTCCCAGAAATTTCTTTCGGATATTTCCATTCAACTCATAGAGATGAACATGGCCTTTCATAGAGCAGGTTTGAAACACTCTTTTTGTAGTTTGTGGAAGTGGACATTTCGATCGCCTTGACCGCCTACGGTGAAAAAGGAAATATCTTCCCATAAAAAATAGACAGAAGCATTCTCAGAAACTTGTTGGTGATATGTGTCCTCAACTAACACAGTTGAACTTTGCCATTGATAGAGAGCAGTTTTGAAACACTCTTTTTGTGGAATCTGCAAGTGGATATTTGGATAGCTTGGAGGATTTCGTTGGAAGCGGGAATTCAAATAAAAGGTAGACAGCAGGATTCTGAGAAACAAGTTTGTGATGTGTGTACTCAGCTAACAGAGTGGAACCTCTCTTTTGATGCAGCAGTTTGGAAACACTCTTTTTGTAGAAACTGTAAGTGGATATTTGGATAGCTCTAATGATTTCGTTGGAAACGGGAATATCATCATCTAAAATCTAGACAGAAGCCCTCTCAGAAACTACTTTGTGATATCTGCATTCAAGTCACAGAGTTGAACATTCGGTTTCTTAGAGCACGTTTGAAACACACTTTTTGTAGTGTCTGGAAGTGGACATTTGGAGCGCTTTGATGCCTTTGGTGAAAAAGGGAATGTCTTCCCATAAAAACTAGACAGAAGCATTCTCAGAAACTTGTTTGTGATGTGTGCACCCAGCTAAAGGAGTTGAACATTTCTATTGATAGAGCAGTTTTGAAGCACTCTTTTTGTGGAAAATGCAAGTGGATATTTGGATAGCTTGGAGGATTTCGTTGGAAGCGGGAGTTCAAATAAAAGGTAGACAGCAAGCATTCTCAGAAATTTCTTTCTGATGTCTGCATTCAACTCATAGAGTTGAAGATTCCCTTTCATAGAGCAGGTTTGAAACACTCTTTCTGGAGTATCTGGATGTGGACATTTGGAGCGCTTTGATGCCTACGGTGAAAAAGTAAATATCTTCCCATAAAAACGAGACAGAAGGATTCTCAGAAGCAAGTTTGTGATGTGTGTACTCAGCTAACAGAGTGGAACCTTTCTTTTTACAGAGCAGCTTTGAAACTGTTTTTGTGGATCCTGCAAATTGATATTTGTGTTGATTTAAAGATATCATTGGAAAAGGGAATATCTTCATACAAAATCTAGACAGAAGCATTCTCACAAACTTCTTTGTGACGTGTGTCCTCAACTAACAGAGTTGAACCTTTCTTTTGATGCAGCAGTTTGGAAACACTGTTTTTGTAGAAACTGTAAGTGGATATTTGGATAGCTCTAACGATTTCGTTGGAAACGGGAATATCATCATCTAAAATCTAGACAGAAGCACTATTAGAAACTACTTGGTGATATCTGCATTCAAGTCACAGAGTTGAACATTCCCTTACTTTGAGCACGTTTCAAACACTCTTTTGGAAGAATCTGGAAGTGGACATTTGGAGCGCTTTGATGCCTTTGGTGAAAAGGAAACGTCTTCCAATAAAAGCCAGACAGAAGCATTCTCAGAAACTTGTTTGTGATGTGTGTACTCAACTAAAAGAGTTGAACCTTTCTATTGATAGAGCAGTTTTGAAACACTCTTTTTGTGGATTCTGCAAGTGGATATTAGGATTGCTTTGAGGATTTCGTTGGAAGCGGGAATTCGTATAAAAACTAGACAGCAGCATTCCCAGAAATTTCTTTCGGATATTTCCATTCGACTCATAGAGATGAACATGGCCTTTCATAGAGCAGGTTTGAAACACTCTTTTTGTAGTTTGTGGAAGTGGACATTTCGATCGCCTTGACGCCTACGGTGAAAAAGGAAATATCTTCCCATAAAAAATAGACAGAAGCATTCTCAGAAACTTGTTGGTGATATGTGTCCTCAACTAACAGAGTTGAACTTTGCCATTGATAGAGAGCAGTTTTGAAACACTCTTTTTGTGGAATCTGCAAGTGGATATTTGGATAGCTTGGAGGATTTCGTTGGAAGCGGGAATTCAAATAAAAGGTAGACAGCAGCATTCTCAGAAATTTCTTTCTGATGTCTGCATTCAACTCATAGAGTTGAAGATTCCCTTTCATAGAGCAGGTTTGAAACACTCTTTCTGGAGTATCTGGACGTGGACATTTGGAGCGCTTTGATGCCTACGGTGAAAAAGTAAATATCTTCCCATAAAAACGAGACAGAAGGATTCTGAGAAACAAGTTTGTGATGTGTGTACTCAGCTAACAGAGTGGAACCTTTCTTTTTACAGAGCAGCTTTGAAACTCTATTTTTGTGGATTCTGCAAATTGATATTTAGATTGCTTTAACGATATCGTTGGAAAAGGGAATATCGTCATACAAAATCTAGACACAAGCACTCTCAGAAACTACTTTGTGATATCTGCATTCAAGTCACAGAGTTGAACATTCGCTTTCTTAGAGCACGTTTGAAACACTCTTTTTGTAGTGTCTGGAAGTGGACATTTGGAGCACTTTGATGCCTTTGGTGAAAAAGGGAACGTCTTCCCATAAAAACTAGACAGAAGCATTCTCAGAAACTTGTTTGTGATGTGTGTACCCAGCCAAAGGAGTTGAACATTTCTATTGATAGAGCAGTTTTGAAACACTCTTTTTGTGGAAAATGCAGGTGGATATTTGGATAGCTTGAAGGATTTCGTTGGAAGCGGGAATTCAAATAAAAGGTAGACAGCCAGCATTCTCAGAAATTTCTTTCTGATGTCTGCATTCAACTCATAGAGTTGAAGATTCCCTTTCATAGAGCAGGTTTGAAACACTCTTTCTGGAGTATCTGGATGTGGACATTTGGAGCGCTTTGATGCCTACGGTGAAAAAGTAAATATCTTCCCAGAAAAACGAGACAGAAAGGATTCTCAGAAACAAGTTTGTGATGTGTGTACTCAGCTAACAGAGTGGAACCTTTCTTTTTACAGAGCAGCTTTGAAACTCTATTGTTGTGGATTCTGCAAATTGATATTTAGATTGCTTTAACGATATCGTTGGAAAAGGGAATACCGTCATACAAAATCTAGACAGAAGCATTCTCACAAACTTCTTTGTGATGTGTGTCCTCAACTAACAGAGTTGAACCTTTCTTTTGATGCAGCAATTTGGAAGCACCCTTTTGGTAGAAACTGTAACTGGATATTTGGATAGCTCTAACGATTTCGTTGGAAACGGGAATATCATCATCTAAAATGTAGACAGAAGCACTATTAGAAACTACTTGGTGATATCTGCATTCAAGTCACAGAGTTGAACATTCCCTTACTTTGAGCACGTTTGAAACACTCTTTTGGAAGAATCTGGAAGTGGACATTTGGAGCGCTTTGATGCCTTTGGTGAAAAGGAAACGTCTTCCAATAAAAGCCACACAGAAGCATTCTCAGAAACTTGTTCGTGATGTGTGTACTCAACTAAAAGAGTTGAACCTTTCTATTGATAGAGCAGTTTTGAAACACTCTTTTTGTGGATTCTGCAAGTGGATATTTGGATTGCTTTGAGGATTTCGTTGGAAGCGGGAATTCGTATAAACACTAGACAGCAACATTCCCAGAAATTTCTTTCGGATATTTCCATTCAACTCATAGAGATGAACATGGCCTTTCATATTGAAACACTCTTTTTGTAGTTTGTGTAAGTGGACATTTCGATCGCCTTGATGCCTACGGTGAAAAAGGAAATATCTTCCCATAAAAAATTGACAGAAGCATTCTCAGAAAATTGTTGGTGATATGTGTCCTCAACTAACAGAGTTGAACTTTGCCATTGATAGAGAGCAGTTTTGAAACACTCTTTTTGTGGAATCTGCAAGTGGATATTTGGATAGCTTGGAGGATTTCGTTGGAAGCGGGAATTCAAATTAAAGGTAGACAGCAGCATTCTCAGAAATTTCTTTCTGATGTCTGCATTCAACTCATAGAGTTGAAGATTCCCTTTCATAGAGCAGGTTTGAAACACTCTTTCTGGAGTATCTGGATGTGGACATTTGGAGCGCTTTGATGCCTACGGTGAAAAAGTATAATCTTCCCATAAAAACGAGACAGAAGGATTCTGAGAAACAAGTTTGTGATGTGTGTACTCAGCTAACAGAGTGGAACCTCTCTTTTGATGCAGCAGTTTGGAAACACTCTTTTTGTAGAAACCGTAAGTGGATATTTGGATAGCTCTAATGATTTCGTTGGAAACGGGAATATCATCATCTAAAATCTAGACAGAAGCCCTCTCAGAAACTACTTTGTGATATCTGCATTCAAGTCAGAGAGTTGAACATTCGCTTTCTTAGAGCACGTTTGAAACACTCTTTTTGTAGTGTCAGGAAGTGGACATTTGGAGCGCTTTGATGCCTTTGGTGAAACAGGGAATGTCTTCCCATAAAAACTAGACAGAAGCATTCTCAGAAACTTGTTTGTGATGTGTGTACCCAGCTAAAGGAGTTGAACATTTCCATTGATAGAGCAGTTTTGAAACACTCTTTTTGTGGAAAATGCAAGTGGATATTTGGATAGCTTGGAGGATTTCATTGGAAGCGGGAATTCAAATAAAAGGTAGACAGGAGCATTCTCAGAAATTTCTTTCTGATGTCTGCATTCAACTCATAGAGTTGAAGATTCCCTTTCATAGAGCAGGTTTGAAACACTCGTTCTGGAGTATCTGGATGTGGACATTTGGAGCGCTTTGATGCCTACGGTGGAAAAGAAAATATCTTCCCATAAAAACGAGACAGAAGGATTCTCAGAAACAAGTTTGTGATGTGTGTACTCAGCTAACAGAGTGGATCCTTCCTTTTTACAGAGCAGCTTTGAAACTCTATTTCTGTGGATTCTGCAAATTGATATTTGGGTTGATTTAACGACATCGTTGGAAAAGGGAATATCTTCATACAAAATCTAGACAGAAGCATTCTCACAAACTTCTTTGTGACGTGTGTCCTCAACTAACAGAGTTGAACCTTTCTTTTGATGCAGCAGTTTGGAAACACTCTTTTTGTAGAAACTGTAAGTGGATATTTGGATAGCTCTAACGATTTCGTTGGAAACGGGAATATCATCATCTAAAATCTAGACAGAAGCACTATTAGAAACTACTTGGTGATATCTGCATTCAAGTCACAGAGTTGAACATTCCCTTACTTTGAGCACGTTTCAAACACTCTTTTGGAAGAATCTGGAAGTGGACATTTGGAGCGCTTTGATGCCTTTGGTGAAAAGGAAACGTCTTACAATAAAAGCCAGACAGAAGCATTCTGAGAAACTTGTTCGTGATGTGTGTACTCAACTAAAAGAGTTGAACCTTTCTATTGATAGGGCAGTTTTGAAACACTCTTTTTGTGGATTCTGCAAGTGGATATTTGGATTGCTTTGAGGATTTCGTTGGAAGCGGGAATTCGTATAAACACTAGACAGCAGCATTCCCAGAAATTTCTTTCGGATATTTCCATTCAACTCATAGAGATGAACATGGCCTTTCATAGAGCAGGTTTGAAACACTCTTTTTGTAGTTTGTGGAAGTGGACATTTCGATCGCCTTGACGCCTACGGTGAAAAAGGAAATATCTTCCCATAAAAAATAGACAGAAGCATTCTCAGAAACTTGTTGGTGATATGTGTCCTCAACTAACAGAGTTGAACTTTGCCATTGATAGAGAGCAGTTTTTGAAACACTCTTTTTGTGGAATCTGCAAGTGGATATTTGGATAGCTTGGAGGATTTCGTTGGAAGCGGGAATTCAAATAAAAGGTAGACAGCAGCATTCTCAGAAATTTCTTTCTGATGTCTGCATTCAACTCATAGAGTTGAAGATTCCCTTTCATAGAGCAGGTTTGAAACACTCCTTCTGGAGTATCTGGATGTGGACATTTGGAGCGCTTTGATGCCTACGGTGAAAAAGTAAATATCTTCCCAGAAAAACGAGACAGAAGGATTCTGAGAAACAAGTTTGTGATGTGTGTACTCAGCTAACAGAGTGGAACCTCTCTTTTGATGCAGCAGTTTGGAAACACTCTTTTTGTAGAAACTGTAAGTGGATATTTGGATAGATCTAATGATTTCGTTGGAAACGGGAATATCATCATCTAAAATCTAGACAGAAGCCCTCTCAGAAACTACTTTGTGATATCTGCATTCAAGTCACAGAGTTGAACATTCGGTTTCTTAGAGCACGTTGGAAACACTCCTTTTGTAGTGTCTGGAAGTGGACATTTGGAGCGCTTTGATGCCTTTGGTGAAAAAGGGAATGTCTTCCCATAAAAACTAGACAGAAGCATTCTCAGAAACTTGTTTGTGATGTGTGTACCCAGCTAAAGGAGTTGAACATTTCTATTGATAGAGCAGTTTTGAAACACTCTTTTTGTGGAAAATGCAAGTGGATATTTGGATAGCTTGGAGGATATCGTTGGAAGCGGGAATTCAATAAAAGGTAGACAGCAGCATTCTCAGAAATTTCTTTCTGATGTCTGCATTCAACTCATAGAGTTGAACATTCCCTTTCATAGAGCAGGTTTGAAACACTGTTTCTGGAGTATCTGGATGTGGACATTTGGAGCGCTTTGATGCCTACGGTGAAAAAGTAAATATCTTCCCATAAAAACGAGACAGAAGGATTCTGAGAGACAAGTTTGTGATGTGTGTACTCAGCTAACAGAGTGGAACCTTTCTTTTTACAGAGCAGCTTTGAAACTCTATTTTTGTGGATTCTGCAAATGCATATTTAGATTGCTTTAATGATATCGCTGGAAAAGGGAATATGGTCATACAAAATCTAGACAGAAGCTTTCTCACAAACTTCTTTGTGATGTGTGTCCTCAACTAACAGAGTTGAACCTTTCTTTTGATGCAGCAGTTTGGAAACACTCTTTTTGTAGAAACTGTAAGTGGATATTTGGATAGCTATAACGATTTCGTTGGAAACGGGAATATCATCATCTAAAATCTAGACAGAAGCACTATTAGAAACTACCTGGTGATATCTGCATTCAAGTCACAGAGTAGAACATTCCCTTACTTCGAGCACGTTTGAAACACTCTTTTGGAAGAATCTGGAAGTGGACATTTGGAGCGCTTTGATGCCTTTGGTGAAAAGGAAACGTCTTCCAATAAAAGCCAGACAGAAGCATTCTCAGAAACTTGTTGGTGATGTGTGTACTCAACTAAAAGAGTTGAACCTTTCTATTGATAGAGCAGTTTTGAAACACTCTTTTTGTGGATTCTGCAAGTGGATATTTGGATTGCTTTGAGGATTTCGTTGGAAGCGGGAATTCGTATAAACACTAGACAGCAGCATTCCCAGAAATTTCTTTCGGATATTTCCATTCAACTCATAGAGATGAACATGGCCTTTCATAGAGCAGGTTTGAAACACTCTTTTTGTAGTTTGTGGAAGTGGACATTTCGATCGCCTTGACGCCTACGGTGAAAAAGGAAATATCTTCCCATAAAAAATAGACAGAAGCATTCTCAGAAACTTGTTGGTGATATGTGTCCTCAACTAACAGACTTGAACTTTGCCATTGATAGAGAGCAGTTTTGAAACACTCTTTTTGTGGAATCTGCAAGTGGATATTTGGATAGCTTGGAGGATTTCGTTGGAAGCGGGAATTCAAATAAAAGGTAGACAGCAGCATTCTCAGAAATTTCCTTCTGATGTTTGCATTCAACTCATAGAGTTGAACATTCCCTTTCATAGAGCAGGTTTGAGACACTCTTTCTGTATTATCTGGAAGTGGACATTTGGAAAGCTTTGATGCCTACGGTGAAAAAGTAAATATCTTCCCATAAAAGCTAGACAGAAGGATTCTGAGAAACAAGTTTGTGATGTGTGTACTCAGCTAACAGAGTGGAACCTCTGTTTTGATGCAGCAGTTTGGAAACACTCTTTTTGTAGAAACTGTAAGTGGATATTTGGATAGCTGCTAATGATTTCGTTGGAAACGGGAATATCATCATCTAAAATCTAGACAGAAGCCCTCTCAGAAACTACTTTGTGATATCTGCATTCAAGTCACAGAGTTGAACATTCGCTTTCTTAGAGCACGTTGGAAACACTCTTTTTGTAGTGTCTGGAAGTGGACATTTGGAGCGCTTTGATGCCTTTGGTGAAAAAGGGAATGTCTACCCATAAAAACTAGACAGAAGCATTCTCAGAAACTTGTTTGTGATGTGTCTACCCAGCTAAAGGAGTTGAACATTTCTATTGATAGAGCAGTTTTGAAACACTCTTTTTGTGGAAAATGCAAGTGGATATTTGGATAGCTTGGAGGATTTCGTTGGAAGAGGGAATTCAAATAAAAGGTAGACAGCAGCATTCTCAGAAATTTCTTTCTGATGTCTGCATTCAACTCATAGAGTTGAAGATTCCCTTTCATAGAGCAGGTTTGAAACACTCTTTCTGGAGTATCTGGATGTGGACATTTGGAGCGCTTTGATGCCTACGGTGAAAAAGTAAATATCTTCCCATAAAAACGAGACAGAAGGATTCTCAGAAACAAGTTTGTGATGTGTGTACTCAGCTAACAGAGTGGAACCTTTATTTTTACAGAGCAGCTTTGAAACTCTATTTTTGTGGATTCTGCAAATTGATATTTAGATTGCTTTAACGATATCGTTGGAAAAGGGAATATCGTCATACAAAATCTAGACAGAAGCATTCTCACAAACTTCTTTGTGATGTGTGTCCTCAACTAACAGAGTTGAACCTTTCTTTTGATGCAGCAATTTGGAAACACCCTTTTGGTAGAAACTGTAACTGGATATTTGGATAGCTCTAACGATTTCGTTGGAAACGGGAATATCATCATCTAAAATGTAGACAGAAGCACTATTAGAAACTACTTGGTGATATCTGCATTCAAGTCACAGAGTTGAACATTCCCTTACTTTGAGCACGTTTCAAACACTCTTTTGGAAGAATCTGGAAGTGGACATTTGGAGCGCTTTGATGCCTTTGGTGAAAAGGAAACGTCTTCCAATAAAAGCCAGACAGAAGCATTCTCAGAAACTTGTTTGTGATGTGTGTACTCAACTAAAAGAGTTGAACCTTTCTATTGATAGAGCAGTTTTGAAACACTCTTTTTGTGGATTCTGCAAGTGGATATTTGGATTGCTTTGAGGATTTCGTTGGAAGCGGGAATTCGTATAAAAACTAGACAGCAGCATTCCCAGAAATTTCTTTCGGATATTTCCATTCAACTCATAGAGATGAACATGGCCTTTCATAGAGCAGGTTTGAAACACTCTTTTTGTAGTTTGTGGAAGTGGACATTTCGATCGCCTTGACGCCTACGGTGAAAACGGAAATATCTTCCCATAAAAAATAGACAGAAAGCATTCTCAGAAAACTTGTTGGTGATATGTGTCCTCAACTAACAGAGTTGAACTTTGCCATTGATAGAGAGCAGTTTTGAAACACTCTTTTTGTGGAATCTGCAAGTGGATATTTGGATAGCTTGGAGGATTTCGTTGGAAGCGGGAATTCAAATAAAAGGTAGACAGCAGCATTCTCAGAAATTTCTTTCTGATGTCTGAATTTAACTCATAGAGTTGAAGATTCCCTTTCATAGAGCAGGTTTGAAACACTCTTTCTGGAGTATCTGGATGTGGACATTTGGAGCGCTTTGATGCCTACGGTGAAAAAGTAAATATCTTCCCATAAAAAAGAGACAGAAGGATTCTGAGAAACAAGTTTGTGATGTGTGTACTCAGCTAACAGAGTGGAACCTCTCTTTTGATGCAGCAGTTTGGAAACACTCTTTTTGTAGAAACTGTAAGTGGATATTTGGATAGCTCTAATGATTTCGTTGGAAACGGGAATATCATCATCTAAAATCTAGACAGAAGCCCTCTCAGAAACTACTTTGTGATATCTGCATTCAAGTCACAGAGTTGAACATTCGCTTTCTTAGGGCACGTTGGAAACACTCTTTTTGTAGTGTCTGGAAGTGGACATTTGGAGCGCTTTGATGCCTTTGGTGAAAAAGGGAATGTCTTCCCATAAAAACTAGACAGAAGCATTCTCAGAAACTTGTTTGTGATGTGTGTACCCAGCTAAAGGAGTTGAACATTTCCATTGATAGAGCAGTTTTGAAACACTCTTTTTGTGGAAAATGCAAGTGGATATTTGGATAGCTTGGAGGATTTCGTTGGAAGCGGGAATTCAAATAAAAGGTAGACAGCAGCATTCTCAGAAATTTCTTTCTGATGTCTGCATTCAACTCATAGAGTTGAAGATTCCCTTTCATAGAGCAGGTTTGAAACACTCTTTCTGGAGTATCTGGATGTGGACATTTGGAGCGCTTTGATGCCTACGGTGGAAAAAGTAAATATCTTCCCATAAAAACGAGACAGAAGGATTCTGAGAAACAAGTTTGTGATGTGTGTACTCAGCTAACAGAGTGGAACCTCTCTTTTGATGCAGCAGTTTGGAAACACTCTTTTTGTAGAAACTGTAAGTGGATATTTGGATAGCTCTAATGATTTCGTTGGAAACGGGAATATCATCATCTAAAATCTAGACAGAAGCACTCTCAGAAACTACTTTTTGATATCTGCATTCAAGTCACAGAGTTGAACATTCGCTTTCTTAGAGCACTTTTGAAACACTCTTTTTGTAGTATCTGGAAGTGGACATTTGGAGCTCTTTGATGCCTTTGGTGAAAAAGGAAATGTCTTCCCATAAAAACTAGACAGAAGCTTTCTCAGAAACTTGTTTGTGATGTGTGTACCCAGCGAAAGGAGTTGAACATTTCTATTGATAGAGAAGTTTTGAAACACTCTTTTTGTGGAATCTGCAAGTGGATATTTGGATAGCTTGGAGGTTTTCGTTGGAAGCGGGAATTCAAATAAAAGGTAGACAGCAGCATTCTCAGAAATTTCTTTCTGATGTCTGCATTCAACTCATAGAGTTGAAGATTCCCTTTCATAGAGCAGGTTTGAAACACTCGTTCTGGAGTATCTGGATGTGGACATTTGGAGCGCTTTGATGCCTACAGTGGAAAAGTAAATATCTTCCCATAAAAACGAGACAGAAGGATTCTCAGAATCAAGTTTGTGATGTGTGTACTCAGCTAACAGAGTGGAACCTTTCTTTTTACAGAGCAGCTTTGAAACTCTATTTTTGTGGATTCTGCAAATTGATATTTAGATTGCTTTAACGATATCGTTGGAAAAGGGAATATCGTCATACAAAATCTAGACAGAAGCATTCTCACAAACTTCTTTGTGATGTGTGTCCTCAACTAACAGAGTTGAACCTTTCTTTTGATGCAGCAATTTGGAAACACCCTTTTGGTAGAAACTGTAACTGGATATTTGGATAGCTCTAACGATTTCGTTGGAAACGGGAATATCATCATCTAAAATCTAGACAGAAGCACTATTAGAAACTACCTGGTGATATCTGCATTCAAGTCACAGAGTAGAACATTCCCTTACTTCGAGCACGTTTGAAACACTCTTTTGGAAGAATCTGGAAGTGGACATTTGGAGCGCTTTGATGCCTTTGGTGAAAAAGGAAACGTCTTCTAATAAAAACCAGACAGAAGCATTCTCAGAAACTTGTTTGTGATGTGTGTACTCAACTAAAAGAGTTGAACCTTTCTATTGATAGAGCAGTTTTGAAACACTCTTTTTGTGGATTCTGCAAGTGGATATTTGGATTGCTTTGAGGATTTCGTTGGAAGCGGGAATTCGTATAAACACTAGACAGCAGAATTCCCAGAAATTTCTTTCGGATATTTCCATTCAACTCATAGAGATGAACATGGCCTTTCATAGAGCAGGTTTGAAACACTCTTTTTGTAGTTTGTGGAAGTGGACATTTCGATCGCCTTGACACCTACGCTGAAAAAGGAAATATCTTCCCATAAAAAATAGACAGAAGCATTCTCAGAAACTTGTTGGTGATATGTGTCCTCAACTAACAGAGTTGAACTTTGCCATTGATAGAGAGCAGTTTTCAAACACTCTTTTTGTGGAATCTGCAAGTGGATATTTGGATAGCTTGGAGGATTTCGTTGGAAGCGGGAATTCAAATAAAAGGTAGACAGCAGCATTCTCAGAAATTTCTTTCTGATGTCTGCATTCAACTCATAGAGTTGAAGATTCCCTTTCATAGAGCAGGTTTGAAACACTCTTTCTGGAGTATCTGGATGTGGACATTTGGAGCGCTTTGATGCCTACGGTGGAAAAGTAAATATCTTCCCATAAAAACGAGACAGAAGGATTCTGAGAAACAAGTTTGTGATGTGTGTACTCAGCTAACAGAGTGGAACCTCTCTTTTGATGCAGCAGTTTGGAAACATTCTTTTTGTAGAAACTGTAAGTGGATATTTGGATAGCTCTAATGATTTCGTTGGAAACGGGAATATCATCATCTAAAATCTAGACAGAAGCACTCTCAGAAACTACTTTGTGATATCTGCATTCAAGTCACAGAGTTGAACATTCGCTTTCTTAGAGCACGTTGGAAACACTCTTTTTGTAGTGTCTGGAAGTGGACATTTGGAGCGCTTTGATGCCTTTGGTGAAAAAGGGAACGTCTTCCCATAAAAACTAGACAGAAGCATTCTCAGAAACTTGTTTGTGATGTGTGTACCCAGCCAAAGGAGTTGAACATTTCTATTGATAGAGCAGTTTTGAAACACTCTTTTTGTGGAAAATGCAAGTGGATATTTGGATAGCTTGGAGGATTTCGTTGGAAGCGGGAATTCAAATAAAAGGTAGACAGCAGCATTCTCAGAAATTTCTTTCTGATGTCTGCATTCAACTCATAGAGTTGAAGATTCCCTTTCATAGAGCAGGTTTGAAACACTCGTTCTCGAGTATCCGGATGTGGACATTTGGAGCGCTTTGATGCCTACGGTGGAAAAGTAAATATCTTCCCATAAAAACGAGACAGAAGGATTCTCAGAAACAAGTTTGTGATGTGTGTACTCAGCTAACAGAGTGGAACCTTTCTTTTTACAGAGCAGCTTTGAAACTCTATTTTTGTGGATTCTGCAAATTGATATTTAGATTGCTTTAACGATATCGTTGGAAAAGGGAATATTGTCATACAAAATCTGGACAGAAGCATTCTCACAAACTTCTTTGTGATGTGTGTCCTCAACTAACAGAGTTGAACCTTTCTTTTGATGCAGCAATTTGGAAACACCCTTTTGGTAGAAACTGTAACTGGATATTTGGATAGCTCTAACGATTTCGTTGGAAACGGGAATATCATCATCTAAAATGTAGACAGAAGCACTATTAGAAACTACTTGGTGATATCTGCATTCAAGTCACAGAGTTGAACATTCCCTTACTTCGACCACGTTTGAAACACTCTTTTGGAAGAATCTGGAAGTGGACATTTGGAGCGCTTTGATGCCTTTGGTGAAAAGGAAACGTCTTCCAATAAAAGCCAGACAGAAGCATTCTCAGAAACTTGTTCGTGTTGTGTGTACTCAACTAAAAGAGTTGAACCTTTCTATTGATAGAGCAGTTTTGAAACCCTCTTTTTGTGGATTCTGCAAGTGGATATTTGGATTGCTTTGAGGATTTCGTTGGAAGCGGGAATTCGTATAAACACTAGACAGCAGCATTCCCAGAAATTTCTTTCGGATATTTCCATTCAACTCATAGAGATGAACATGGCCTTTCATAGAGCAGGTTTGAAACACTCTTTTTGTAGTTTGTGGAAGTGGACATTTCGATCGCCTTGACGCCTACGGTGAAAAAGGAAATATCTTCCCATAAAAAATAGACAGAAGCATTCTCAGAAACTTGTTGGTGATATGTGTCCTCAACTAACAGAGTTGAACTTTGCCATTGATAGAGAGCAGTTTTGAAACACTCTTTTTGTGGAATCTGCAAGTGGATATTTGGATAGCTTGGAGGAGTTCGTTGGAAGCGGAAATTCAAATAAAAGGTAGACAGCAGGATTCTCAGAAACAAGTTTGTGATGTGTGTACTCAGCTAAC
This sequence comes from Homo sapiens, assembly GCF_000001405.40. Classification (NCBI taxonomy): domain Eukaryota; kingdom Metazoa; phylum Chordata; class Mammalia; order Primates; family Hominidae; genus Homo; species Homo sapiens. The sequence continues at coordinate 14,727,031 of NC_000022.11, forward strand.
AGAGTGGAACCTCTCTTTTGATCCAGCAGTTTGGAAACACTCTTTTTGTAGAAACTGTAAGTGGATATTTGGATAGCTCTAATGATTTCGTTGGAAACGGGAATATCATCATCTAAAATCTAGACAGAAGCCCTCTCAGAAACTACTTTGTGATATCTGCATTCAAGTCACAGAGTTGAACATTCGCTTTCTTAGAGCACGTTTGAAACACTCTTTTTGTAGTGTCTGGAAGTGGACATTTGGAGCGCTTTGATTCCTTTGGTGAAAAAGGGAATGTCTTCCCATAAAAACTAGACAGAAACATTCTCAGAGACTTGTTTGTGATGTGTGTACCCAGCCAAAGGAGTTGAACATTTCTATTGATAGAGCAGTTTTGAAACACTCTTGTTGTGGAAAATGCAGGTGGATATTTGGATAGCTTGGAGGATTTCGTTGGAAGCGGGAATTCAAATAAAAGGTAGACAGCAGCATTCTCAGAAATTTCTTTCTGATGTCTGCATTCAACTCATAGAGTTGAAGATTCCCTTTCATAGAGCAGGTTTGAAACACTCTTTCTGGAGTATCTGGATGTGGACATTTGGAGCGCTTTGATGCCTACGTTGGAAAAGTAAATATCTTCCCATAAAAACGAGACAGAAGGATTCTCAGAAACAAGTTTCTGATGTGTGTACTCAGCTAACAGAGTGGAACCTTTCTTTTTACAGAGCAGCTTTGAAACTCTATTTTTGTGGATTCTGCAAATTGATATTTAGATTGCTTTAACGATATCGTTGGAAAAGGGAATATCGTCATACAAAATCTGGACAGAAGCATTCTCACAAACTTCTTTGTGATGTGTGTCCTCAACTAACAGAGTTGAAACTTTCTTTTGATGCAGCAGTTTGGAAACACTCTTTTTGTAGAAACTGTAAGTGGATATTTGGATAGCTCTAATGATTTCGTTGGAAACGGGAATATCATCATCTAAAATCTAGACAGAAGCACTATTAGAAACTACTTGGTGATATCTGCATTCAAGTCACAGAGTTGAACATTCCCTTACTTTGAGCACGTTTGAAACACTCTTTTGGAAAAATCTGGAAGTGGACATTTGGAGCGCTTTGATGCCTTTGGTGAAAAGGAAACGTCTTCCAATAAAAGCCAGACAAAAGCATTCTCAGAAACTTGTTCGTGATGTGTGTACTCAACTAAAAGAGTTGAACCTTTCTATTGATAGAGCAGTTTTGAAACACTCTTTTTGTGGATTCTGCAAGTGGATATTTGGATTGCTTTGAGGATTTCGTTGGAAGCGGGAATTCGTATAAACACTAGACAGCAGCATTCCCAGAAATTTCTTTCGGATATTTCCATTCAACTCATAGAGATGAACATGGCCTTTCATAGAGCAGGTTTGAAACACTCATTTTGTAGTTTCTGGAAGTGGACATTTCGATCGCCTTGACGCCTACGGTGAAAAAGGAAATATCTTCCCATAAAAAATAGACAGAAGCATTCTCAGAAACTTGTTGGTGATATGTGTCCTCAACTAACAGAGTTGAACTTTGCCATTGATAGAGAGCAGTTTTGAAACACTCTTTTTGTGGAATCTGCAAGTGGATATTTGGATAGCTTGGAGGATTTCGTTGGAAGCGGGAATTCAAATAAAAGGTAGACAGCAGCATTCTCAGAAATTCCTTTCTGATGTTTGCATTCAACTCATAGAGTTGAACATTCCCTTTAATAGAGCAGGTTTGAAACACTCTTTCTGTACTATCTGGATGTGGACATTTGGAGCGCTTTGATGCCTACGGTGAAAAAGGAAATGTCTTCCCATAAAAAATTGAAGAAGGATTCTCAGAAACAAGTTTGTGATGTGCGTACTCAGCTAACAGAGTGGAACCTCTCTTCTGATGCAGCAGTTTGGAAACACTCTTTTTGTAGAAACTGTAAGTGGATATTTGGATAGCTCTAATGATTTCGTTGGAAACGGGAATATCATCATCTAAAATCTAGACAGAAGCCCTCTCAGAAACTACTTTGTGATATCTGCATTCAAGTCACAGGAGTTGAACATTCGCTTTCTTAGAGCACGTTTGAAACACTCTTTTTGTAGTGTCTGGAAGTGGACATTTGGAGCGCTTTGATGCCTTTGGTGAAAAAGGGAACGTCTTCCCATAAAAACTAGACAGAAGCATTCTCAGAAACTTGTTTGTGATGTGTGCACCCAGCTAAAGGAGTTGAACATTTATTGATAGAGCAGTTTTGAAGCACTCTTTTTGTGGAAAATGCAAGTGGATATTTGGATAGCTTGGAGGATTTCGTTGGAAGTGGGAGTTCAAATAAAAGGTAGACAGCAGCATTCTCAGAAATTTCTTTCTGATGTCTGCATTCAACTCATAGAGTTGAAGATTCCCTTTCATAGAGCAGGTTTGAAACACTCTTTCTGCAGTATCTGGATGTGGACATTTGGAGCGCTTTGATGCCTACGGTGAAAAAGTAAATATCTTCCCATAAAAACGAGACAGAAGGATTCTCAGAAACAAGTTTGTGATGTGTGTACTCAGCTAACAGAGTGGAACCTTTCTTTTTACAGAGCAGCTTTGAAACTCTATTTTTGTGGATTCTGCAAATGGATATTTAGATTGCTTTAATGATATCGCTGGAAAAGGGAATATGGTCATACAAAATATAGACAGATAAGCATTCTCACAAACTTCTTTGTGATGTGTGTCCTCAACTAACAGAGTTGAACCTTTCTTTTGATGCAGCAATTTGGAAACACCCTTTTGGTAGAAACTGTAACTGGATATTTGGATAGCTCTAACGATTTCGTTGGAAACGGGAATATCATCATCTAAAATGTAGACAGAAGCACTATTAGAAACTACTTGGTGATATCTGCATTCAAGTCACAGAGTAGAACATTCCCTTACTTCGAGCACTTTTGAAACACTCTTTTGGAAGAATCTGGAAGTGGACATTTGGAGCGCTTTGATGCCTTTGGTGAAAAGGAAACGTCTTCCAATAAAAGCCAGACAGAAGCATTCTCAGAAACTTGTTTGTGATGTGTGTACTCAACTAAAAGAGTTGAACCTTTCTATTGATAGAGCAGTTTTGAAACACTCTTTTTGTGGATTCTGCAAGTGGATATTTGGATTGCTTTGAGGATTTCGTTGGAAGCGGGAATTCGTATAAACACTAGACAGCAGCATTCCCAGAAATTTCTTTCGGATATATCCATTCAACTCATAGAGATGAACATGGCCTTTCATAGAGCAGGTTTGCAACACTCTTTTTGTAGTTTGTGGAAGTGGACATTTCGATCGCCTTGACGCCTACGGTGAAAAAGGAAATATCTTCCCATAAAAAATAGACAGAAGCATTCTCAAAAACTTGTTGGTGATATGTGTCCTCAACTAACAGAGTTGAACTTTGCCATTGATAGAGAGCAGTTTTGAAACACTCTTTTTGTGGAATCTGCAAGTGGATATTTGGATAGCTTGAAGGATTTCGTTGGAAGCGGGAATTCAAATAAAAGGTAGACAGCAGCATTCTCAGTAAATTTCTTTCTGATGTCTGCATTCAACTCATAGAGTTGAAGATTCCCTTTCATAGAGCAGGTTTGAAACACTCTTTCTGGAGTATCTGGATGTGGACATTTGGAGCGCTTTGATGCCTACGGTGAAAAAGTAAATATCTTCCCAGAAAAACGAGACAGAAGGATTCTGAGAAACAAGTTTGTGATGTGTGTACTCAGCTAACAGAGTGGAACCTCTCTTTTGATGCAGCAGTTTGGAAACACTCTTTTTGTAGAAACTGTAAGTGGATATTTGGATAGCTCTAATGATTTCGTTGGAAACGGGAATATCATCATCTAAAATCTAGACAGAAGCCCTCTCAGAAACTACTTTGTGATATCTGAATTCAAGTCACAGAGTTGAACATTCGCTTTCTTAGAGCACGTTGGAAACACTCTTTTTGTAGTGTCTGGAAGTGGACATTTGGAGCGCTTTGATGCCTTTGGTGAAAAAGGGAATGTCTTCCCATAAAAACTAGACAGAAGCATTCTCAGAAACTTGTTTGTGATGTGTGTACCCAGCCAAAGGAGATGAACATTTCTATTGATAGAGCAGTTTTGAAACTCTCTTTTTGTGGAAAATGCAGGTGGATATTTGGATAGCTTGGAGGATTTCGTTGGAAGCGGGAATTCAAATAAAAGGTAGACAGCAGCATTCTCAGAAATTTCTTTCTGATTCTGCATTCAACTCATAGAGTTGAAGATTCCCTTTCATAGAGCAGGTTTGAAACACTCGTTCTGGAGTATCTGGATGTGGACATTTGGAGCGCTTTGATGCCTACAGTGGAAAAGTAAATATCTTCCCATAAAAACGAGACAGAAGGATTCTCAGAAACAAGTTTGTGATGTGTGTACTCAGCTAACAGAGTGGAACCTTTCTTTTTACAGAGCAGCTTTGAAACTCTAGTTTTGTGGATTCTGCAAATTGATATTTAGATTGCTTTAACGATATCGTTGGAAAAGGGAATATCCTCATACAAAATCTAGACAGAAGCATTCTCACAAACTTCTTTGTGATGTGTGTCCTCAACTAACAGAGTTGAACCTTTCTTTTGATGCAGCAATTTGGAAACACCCTTTTGGTAGAAACTGTAACTGGATATTTGGATAGCTCTAACGATTTCGTTGGAAACGGGAATATCATCATCTAAAATCTAGACAGAAGCACTATTAGAAACTACTTGGTGATATCTGCATTCAAATCACAGAGTAGAACATTCCCTTACTTCGAGCACGTTTGAAACACTCTTTTGGAAGAATCTGAAAGTGGACATTTGGAGCGCTTTGATGCCTTTGGTGAAAAGGAAACGTCTTCCAATAAAAGCCAGACAGAAGCATTCTCAGAAACTTGTTTGTGATGTGTGTACTCAACTAAAAGAGTTGAACCTTTCTATTGATAGAGCAGTTTTGAAACACTCTTTTTGTGGATTCTGCAAGTGGATATTTGGATTGCTTTGAGGATTTCGTTGGAAGCGGGAATTCGTATAAAAACTAGACAGCAGCATTCCCAGAAATTTCTTTCGGATATTTCCATTCGACTCATAGAGATGAACATGGCCTTTCATAGAGCAGGTTTGAAACACTCTTTTTGTAGTTTGTGGAAGTGGACATTTCGATCGCCTTGACGCCTACGGTGAAAAAGGAAATATCTTCCCATAAAAAATAGACAGAAGCATTCTCAGAAACTTGTTGGTGATAGGTGTCCTCAACTAACAGAGTTGAACTTTGCCATTGATAGAGAGCAGTTTTGAAACACTCTTTTTGTGGAATCTGCAAGTGGATATTTGGATAGCTTGGAGGATTTCGTTGGAAGCGGGAATTCAAATAAAAGGTAGACAGCAGCATTCTCAGAAATTTCTTTCTGATGTCTGCATTCAACTCATAGAGTTGAACATTCCCTTTCATAGAGCAGGTTTGAAACACTCTTTCTGGAGTATCTGGATGTGGACATTTGGAGCGCTTTGATGCCTACGGTGAAAAAGTATAATCTTCCCATAAAAACGAGACAGAAGGATTCTGAGAAACAAGTTTGTGATGTGTGTACTCAGCTAACAGAGTGGAACCTCTCTTTTGATGCAGCAGTTTGGAAACACTCTTTTTGTAGAAACTGTAAGTGGATATTTGGATAGCTCTAATGATTTCGTTGGAAACGGGAATATCATCATCTAAAATCTAGACAGAAGCCCTCTCAGAAACTACTTTGTGATATCTGCATTCAACTCACAGAGTTGAACATTCGGTTTCTTAGAGCACGTTTGAAACACTCTTTTTGTAGTGTCTGGAAGTGGACATTTGGAGCGCTTTGATGCCTTTGGTGAAAAAGGGAATGTCTTCCCATAAAAACTAGACAGAAGCATTCTCAGAAACTTGTTTGTGATGTGTGTACCCAGCCAAAGGAGTTGAACATTTCTATTGATAGAGCAGTTTTGAAACACTCTTGTTGTGGAAAATGCAGGTGGATATTTGGATAGCTTGGAGGATTTCGTTGGAAGCGGGAATTCAAATTAAAGGTAGACAGCAGCATTCTCAGAAATTTCTTTCTGATGTCTGCATTCAACTCATAGAGTTGAAGATTCCCTTTCATAGAGCAGGTTTGAAACACACTTTCTGGAGTATCTGGATGTGGACATTTGGAGCGCTTTGATGCCTACGGTGAAAAAGTAAATATCTTCCCATAAAAACGAGACAGAAGGATTCTGAGAAACAAGTTTGTGATGTGTGTACTCAGCTAACAGAGTGGAACCTCTGTTTTGATGCAGCAGTTTGGAAACACTCTTTTTGTAGAAACTGTAAGTGGATATTTGGATAGCTCTAATGATTTCGTTGGAAACGGGAATATCATCATCTAAAATCTAGACAGAAGCACTCTCAGAAACTACTTTGTGATATCTGCATTCAAGTCACAGAGTTGAACATTCGCTTTCTTAGAGCACGTTTGAAACACTGTTTTTGTAGTGTCTGGAAGTGGACATTTGGAGCGCTTTGATGCCTTTGGTGAAAAAGGGAACGTCTTCCCATAAAAACTAGACAGAAGCATTCTCAGAAACTTGTTTGTGATGTGTGCACCCAGCTAAAGGAGTTGAACATTTATTGATAGAGCAGTTTTGAAGCACTTTTTTTGTGGAAAATGCAAGTGGATATTTGGATAGCTTGGAGGATTTCGTTGGAAGCGGGAGTTCAAATAAAAGGTAGACAGCAGCATTCTCAGAAATTTCTTTCTGATGTCTGCATTCAACTCATAGAGTTGAAGATTCCCTTTCATAGAGCAGGTTTGAAACACTCTTTCTGGAGTATCTGGATGTGGACATTTGGAGCGCTTTGATGCCTACGGTGAAAAAGTAAATATCTTCCCATAAAAACGAGACAGAAGGATTCTGAGAAACAAGTTTGTGATGTGTGTACTCAGCTAACAGAGTGGAACCTTTCTTTTTACAGAGCAGCTTTGAAACTCTATTTTTGTGGATTCTGCAAATGGATATTTAGATTGCTTTAATGATATCGTTGGAAAAGGGAATATCGTCATACAAAATCTAGACAGAAGCATTCTCACAAACTTCTTTGTGATGTGTGTCCTCAACTAACAGAGTTGAACCTTTCTTTTGATGCAGCAGTTTGGAAACACTCTTTTTGTAGCAACTGTAAGTGGATATTTGGATAGCTCTAACGATTTCGTTGGAAACGGGAATATCATCATCTAAAATCTAGACAGAAGCACTATTAGAAACTACTTGGTGATATCTGCATTCAAGTCACAGAGTTGAACATTCCCTTACTTTGAGCACGTTTGAAACACTCTTTTGGAAGAATCTGGAAGTGGACATTTGGAGCGCTTTGATGCCTTTGGTGAAAAGGAAACGTCTCCCAACAAAAGCCAGACAGAAGCATTCTCAGAAACTTGTTTGTGATGTGTGTACTCAACTAAAAGAGTTGAACCTTTCTATTGATAGAGCAGTTTTGAAACACTCTTTTTGTGGATTCTGCAAGTGGATATTTGGATTGCTTTGAGGATTTCGTTGGAAGCGGGAATTCATATAACAACTAGACAGCAGCATTCCCAGAAATTTCTTTCGGATATTTCCATTCAACTCATAGAGATGAACATGGCCTTTCATAGAGCAGGTTTGAAACACTCTTTTTGTAGTTTGTGGAAGTGGACATTTCGATCGCCTTGACGCCTACGGTGAAAAAGGAAGTATCTTCCCATAAAAAATAGACAGAAGAATTCTCAGAAACTTGTTTGTGATGTGTATCCTCAACTGACAGAGTTGAACCTTGCCATTGATAGATCAGTTTTGAAACACTCTTTTTGTGGAATCTGCAAGTGGATATTTGGATAGCCTGGAGGATTTCGTTGGAAGCGGGAATTCAAATAAAAGGTAGACAGCAGCATTCTCAGAAATTTCTTTGTGATGTTTGCATTCAACTCATAGAGTTGAACATTCCCTTTCATATAGCAGGTTTGAAACACTCTTTCTGTACTATCTGGATGTGGACATTTGGAAAGCTTTGATGCCTACGGTGAAAAAGTAAATATCTTCCCATAAAAGCTAGACAGAAGGATTCTCGGAAACAAGTTTGTGATGTGTGTACTCAGCTAACAGAGTGGAACCTCTCTTCTGATGCAGCAGTTTGGAAACACTCTTTTTGTAGAAACTGTAAGTGGATATTTGGATAGCTCTAATGATTTCGTTGGAAACGGGAATATCATCATCTAAAATCTAGACAGAAGCCCTCTCAGAAACTACTTTGTGATATCTGCATTCAAGTCACAGAGTTGAACATTCGCTTTCTTAGAGCACGTTTGAAACACTCTTTTTGTAGTGTCTGGAAGTGGACATTTGGAGCGCTTTGATGCCTTTGGTGAAAAAGGCAATGTCTTCCCATAAAAACTAGACAGAAGCATTCTCAGAAACTTGTTTGTGATGTGTGTACCCAGCCAAAGGAGTTGAACATTTCTATTGATAGAGCAGTTTTGAAACACTCTTGTTGTGGAAAATGCAGGTGGATATTTGGATAGCTTGGAGGATTTCGTTGGAAGTGGGAATTCAAATAAAAGGTAGACAGCAGGATTCTGAGAGACAAGTTTGTGATGTGTGTACTCAGCTAACAGAGTGGAACCTTTCTTTTTACAGAGCAGCTTTGAAACTCTATTTTTGTGGATTCTGCAAATGGATATTTAGATTGCTTTAATGATATCGCTGGAAAAGGGAATATGGTCATACAAAATCTAGACAGAAGCATTCTCACAAACTTCTTTGTGATGTGTGTCCTCAACTAACAGAGTTGAACCTTTCTTTTGATGCAGCAATTTGGAAACACCCTTTTGGTAGAAACTGTAACTGGATATTTGGATAGCTCTAGCGATTTCGTTGGAAACGGGAATATCATCATCTAAAATCTAGACATAAGCACTATTAGAAACTACTTGGTGATATCTGCATTCAAGTCACAGAGTTGAACATTCCCTTACTTTGAGCACGTTTCAAACACTCTTTTGGAAGAATCTGGAAGTGGACATTTGGAGCGCTTTGATGCCTTTGGTGAAAAGGAAACATCTTCCAATAAAAGCCAGACAGAAGCATTCTCAGAAACTTGTTTGTGATGTGTGTACTCAACTAAAAGAGTTGAACCTTTCTATTGATAGAGCAGTTTTGAAACACTCTTTTTGTGGATTCTGCAAGTGGATATTTGGATTGCTTTGAGGATTTCGTTGGAAGCGGGAATTCGTATAAAAACTAGACAGCAGCATTCCCAGAAATTTCTTTCGGATATTTCCATTCAACTCATAGAGATGAACATGGCCTTTCATAGAGCAGGTTTGAAACACTCTTTTTGTAGTTTGTGGAAGTGGACATTTCGATCGCCTTGATGCCTACAGTGAAAAAGGAAATATCTTCCCATAAAAAATAGACAGAAGCATTCTCAGAAACTTGTTGGTGATATGTGTCCTCAACTAACAGAGTTGAACTTTGCCATTGATAGAGAGCAGTTTTGAAACACTCTTTTTGTGGAATCTGCAAGTGGATATTTGGATAGCTTGGAGGATTTCGTTGGAAGCGGGAATTCAAATAAAAGGTAGACAGCAGCATTCTCAGAAATTTCTTTCTGATGTCTGCATTCAACTCATAGAGTTGAAGATTCCCTTTCATAGAGCAGGTTTGAAACACTCTTTCTGGAGTATCTGGATGTGGACATTTGGAGCGCTTTGATGCCTACGGTGCAAAAGTAAATATCTTCCCATAAAAACGAGACAGAAGGATTCTGAGAAACAAGTTTGTGATGTGTGTACTCAGCTAACAGATTGGAACCTCTCCTTTGATGCAGCAGTTTGGAAACACTCTTTTTGTAGAAACTGTAAGTGGATATTTGGATAGCTCTAATGATTTCGTTGGAAACGAGAATATCATCATCTAAAATCTAGACAGAAGCCCTCTCAGAAACTACTTTGTGATATCTGCATTCAAGTCACAGAGTTGAACATTCGCTTTCTTAGAGCACGTTTGAAACACTCTTTTTGTAGTGTCTGGAAGTGGACATTTGGAGCGCTTTGATGCCTTTGGTGAAAAAGGGAATGTCTTCCCATAAAAACTAGACAGAAGCATTCTCAGAAACTTGTTTGTGATGTGTGCACCCAGCTAAAGGAGTTGAACATTTATTGATAGAGCAGTTTTGAAGCACTCTTTTTGTGGAAAATGCAAGTGGATATTTGGATAGCTTGGAGGATTTCGTTGGAAGCGGGAGTTCAAATAAAAGGTAGACAGCAAGCATTCTCAGAAATTTCTTTCTGATGTCTGCATTCAACTCATAGAGTTGAAGATTCCCTTTCATAGAGCAGGTTTGAAACACTCTTTCTGGAGTATCTGGATGTGGACATTTGGAGCGCTTTGATTCCTACGGTGAAAAAGTAAAATATCTTCCCATAAAAACGAGACAGAAGGATTCTGAGAGACAAGTTTGTGATGTGTGTACTCAGCTAACAGAGTGGAACCTTTCTTTTTACAGAGCAGCTTTGAAACTCTATTTTTGTGGATTCTGCAAATGGATATTTAGATTGCTTTAATGATATCGTTGGAAAAGGGAATATCGTCATACAAAATCTGGACAGAAGCTTTCTCAGAAACTTCTTTGTGATGTGTGTCCTCAACTAACAGAGTTGAACCTTTCTTTTGATGCAGCAGTTTGGAAACACTCTTTTTGTAGAAACTGTAAGTGGATATTTGGATAGGTCTAACGATATCGTTGGAAACGGGAATATCTTCATCTAAAGTATACACAGAAGCACTATTAGAAACTACTTGGTGATATCTGCATTCAAGTCACAGAGTTGAACATTCCCTTACTTTGAGCACGTTTGAAACACTCTTTTGGAAGAATCTGGAAGTGGACATTTGGAGCGCTTTGATGCCTTTGGTGAAAAGGAAACGTCTTCCAATAAAAGCCAGACAGAAGCATTCTCAGAAACTTGTTCGTGATGTGTGTACTCAACTAAAAGAGTTGAACCTTTCTATTGATAGAGCAGTTTTGAAACACTCTTTTTGTGGATTCTGCAAGTGGATTTTTGGATTGCTTTGAGGATTTCATTGGAAGCGGGAATTCGTATAAACACTAGACAGCAGCATTCCCAGAAATTTCTTTCGGATATTTCCATTCAACTCATAGAGATGAACATGGCCTTTCATAGAGCAGGTTTGAAAAACTCTTTTTGTAGTTTGTGGAAGTGGACATTTCGATCGCCTTGACGCCTACGGTGAAAAAGGAAATATCTTCCCATAAAAAATAGACAGAAGCATTCTCAGAAACTTGTTGGTGATATGTGTCCTCAACTAACAGAGTTGAACTTTGACATTGATAGAGAGCCGTTTTGAAACACTCTTTTTGTGGAAAATGCAAGTGGATATTTGGATAGCTTGGAGGATTTCGTTGGAAGCGGGAATTCAAATAAAAGGTAGACAGCAGGATTCTCAGAAACAAGTTTGTGATGTGTGTACTCAGCTAACAGAGTGGAACCTCTCTTTTGATGCAGCAGTTTGGAAACACTCTTTTTGTAGAAACTGTAAGTGGATATTTGGATAGCTCTAATGATTTCGTTGGAAACGGGAATATCATCATCTAAAATCTAGACAGAAGCCCTCTCAGAAACTACTTTGTGATATCTGCATTCAAGTCACAGAGTTGAACATTCGGTTTCTTAGAGCACGTTTGAAACACTCTTTTTGTAGTGTCTGGAAGTGGACACTTGGAGCGCTTTGATGCCTTTGGTGAAAAAGGGAACGTCTTCCCATAAAAACTAGACAGAAGCATTCTCAGAAACTTGTTTGTGATGTGTGTACCCCGCTAAAGGAGTGAACATTTCTATTGATAGAGCAGTTTTGAAACACTCTTTTTGTGGACAATGCAGGTGGATATTTGGATAGCTTGGAGGATTTCGTTGGAAGCGGGAATTCAAATAAAAGGTAGACAGCAGCATTCTCAGTAAATTTCTTTCTGATGTCTGCATTCAACTCATAGAGTTGAAGATTCCCTTTCATAGAGCAGGTTTGAAACACTCGTTCTGGAGTATCTGGATGTGGACATTTGGAGCGCTTTGATGCCTACGGTGGAAAAGTAAATATCTTCCCATAAAAACGAGACAGAAGGATTCTCAGAAACAAGTTTGTGATGTGTGTACTCAGCTAACAGAGTGGAACCTTTCTTTTTACAGAGCAGCTTTGAAACTCTATTTTTGTGGATTTTGCAAATTGATATTTAGATTGCTTTAGCGATATCGTTGGAAAAGGGAATATCGTCATACAAAATCTAGACAGAAGCATTCTCACAAACTTCTTTGTGATGTGTGTCCTCAACTAACAGAGTTGAACCTTTCTTTTGATGCAGCAGTTTGGAAACACTCTTTTTGTAGCAACTGTAAGTGGATATTTGGATAGCTCTAACGATTTCGTTGGAAACGGGAATATCATCATCTAAAATCTAGACAGAAGCACTATTAGAAACTACTTGGTGATATCTGCATTCAAGTCACAGAGTTGAACATTCCCTTACTTTGAGCACGTTTGAAACACTCTTTTGGAAGAATCTGGAAGTGGACATTTGGAGCGCTTTGATGCCTTTCGTGAAAAGGAAACGTCTTCCAATAAAAGCCAGACAGAAGCATTCTCAGAAACTTGTTTGTGATGTGTGTACTCAACTAAAAGAGTTGAACCTTTCTATTGATAGAGCAGTTTTGAAACACTCTTTTTGTGGATTCTGCAAGTGGATATTTGGATTGCTTTGAGGATTTCGTTGGAAGCGGGAATTCGTATAAAAACTAGACAGCCAGCATTCCCAGCAAATTTCTTTCGGATATTTCCATTCGACTCATAGAGATGAACATGGCCTTTCATAGAGCAGGTTTGAAACACTCTTTTTGTAGTTTGTGGAAGTGGACATTTCGATCGCCTTGACGCCTACGGTGAAAAAGGAAATATCTTCCCATAAAAAATAGACAGAAGCATTCTCAGAAACTTGTTGGTGATATGTGTCCTCAACTAACAGAGTTGAACTTTGCCATTGATAGAGAGCAGTTTTGAAACACTCTTTTTGTGGAATCTGCAAGTGGATATTTGGATAGCTTGGAGGATTTCGTTGGAAGCGGGAATTCAAATAAAAGGTAGACAGCAGCATTCCCAGAAATTTCTTTCTGATGTCTGCATTCAACTCATAGAGTTGAAGATTCCCTTTCATAGAGCAGGTTTGAAACACTCTTTCTGAAGTATCTGGATGTGGACATTTGGAGCGCTTTGATGCCTACGGTGAGAAAGTAAATATCTTCCCATAAAAACGAGACAGAAGGATTCTGAGAAACAAGTTTGTGATGTGTGTACTCAGCTAACAGAGTGGAACCTCTCTTTTGATGCAGCAGTTTGGAAACACTCTTTTTCTAGAAACTGTAAGTGGATATTTGGATAGCTCTAATGATTTCGTTGGAAACGGGAATATCATCATCTAAAATCTAGACAGAAGCCCTCTCAGAAACTACTTTGTGATATCTGCATTCAAGTCACAGATTTGAACATTCGTTTTCTTAGAGCACGTTTGAAACACACTTTTTGTAGTGTCTGGAAGTGGACATTTGTAGCGCTTTGATGCCTTTGGTGAAAAAGGGAATGTCTTCCCATAAAAACTAGACAGAAAGCATTCTCAGCAAACTTGTTTGTGATGTGTGTACCCAGCCAAAGGAGTTGAACATTTCTATTGATAGAGCAGTTTTGAAACACTCTTTTTGTGGAAAATGCAGGTGGATATTTGGATAGCTTGGAGGATTTCGTTGGAAGCGGGAATTCAAATAAAAGGTAGACAGCAGCATTCTCAGAAATTTCTTTCTGATGTCTGCATTCAACTCATAGAGTTGAAGATTCCCTTTCATAGAGCAGGTTTGAAACAGTCTTTCTGGAGTATCTGCATGTGGACATTTGGAGCGCTTTGATGCCTACGGTGAAAAAGTAAATATCTTCCCATAAAAACGAGACAGAAGGATTCTCAGAAACAAGTTTGTGATGTGTATACTCAGCTAACAGAGTGGAACCTTTCTTTTTACAGAGCAGCTTTGAAACTCTATTTTTGTGGATTCTACAAATTGATATTTAGATTGCTTTAACGATATCGTTGGAAAAGGGAATATCGTCATACAAAATCTAGACAGAAGCATTCTCACAAACTTCTTTGTGATGTGTGTCCTCAACTAACAGAGTTGAACCTTTCTTTTGATGCAGCAATTTGGAGGCACCCTTTTGGTAGAAACTGTAACTGGATATTTGGATAGCTCTAACGATTTCGTTGGAAACGGGAATATCATCATCTAAAATGTAGACAGAAGCACTATTAGAAACTACTTGGTGATATCTGCATTCAAGTCACAGAGTTGAACATTCCCTTACTTCGAGCACGTTTGAAACACTCTTTTGGAAGAATCTGGAAGTGGACATTTGGAGCGCTTTGATGCCTTTGGTGAAAAGGAAACGTCTTCCAATAAAAGCCAGACAGAAGCATTCTCAGAAACTTGTTCGTGATGTGTGCACTCAACTAAAAGAGTTGAACCTTTCTATTGATAGAGCAGTTTTGAAACACTCTTTTTGTGGATTCTGCAAGTGGATATTTGGATTGCTTTGAGGATTTCGTTGGAAGCGGGAATTCGTATAAACACTAGACAGCAGCATTCCCAGAAATTTCTTTCGGATATTTCCATTCAACTCATAGAGATGAACATGGCCTTTCATAGAGCAGGTTTGAAACACTCTTTTTGTAGTTTGTGGAAGTGGACATTTCGATCGCCTTGACGCCTACGGTGAAAAAGGAAATATCTTCCCATAAAAAATAGACAGAAGCATTCTCAGAAACTTGTTGGTGATATGTGTCCTCAACTAACAGAGTTGAACTTTGCCATTGATAGAGAGCAGTTTTGAAACACTCTTTTTGTGGAATCTGCAAGTGGATATTTGGATAGCTTGGAGGATTTCGTTGGAAGCGGGAATTCAAATAAAAGGTAGACAGCAGCATTCTCAGAAATTTCTTTCTGATGTCTGCATTCAACTCATAGAGTTGAAGATTCCCTTTCATAGAGCAGGTTTGAAACACTCTTTCTGGAGTATCTGGATGTGGACATTTGGAGCGCTTTGATGCCTACGGTGAAAAAGTAAATATCTTCCCGTAAAAACGAGACAGACGGATTCTGAGAAACAAGTTTGTGATGTGTGTACTCAGCTAACAGAGTGGAACCTCTCTTTTCATGCAGCAGTTTGGAAACACTCTTTTTGTAGAAACTGTAAGTGGATATTTGGATAGCTCTAATGATTTCGTTGGAAACGGGAATATCATCATCTAAAGTCTAGACAGAAGCACTCTCAGAAACTACTTTGTGATATCTGCATTCAAGTCACAGAGTTGAACATTCGCTTTCTTAGAGCACGTTTGAAACACTCTTTTTGTAGTGTCTGGAAGTGGACATTT
This sequence comes from Homo sapiens, assembly GCF_000001405.40. Taxonomy (NCBI): domain Eukaryota; kingdom Metazoa; phylum Chordata; class Mammalia; order Primates; family Hominidae; genus Homo; species Homo sapiens. The sequence goes on from NC_000022.11 coordinate 14,742,569, forward strand.
GGAGCGCTTTGATGCCTTTGGTGAAAAAGGGAATGTCTTCCCATAAAAACTAGACAGAAGCATGCTCAGAAACTTGTTTGTGATGTGTGTACCCAGCCAAAGGAGTTGAACATTTCTATTGATAGAGCAGTTTTGAAACACTCTTGTTGTGGAAAATGCAGGTGGATATTTGGATAGCTTGGAGGATTTCGTTGGAAGCGGGAATTCAAATAAAAGGTAGACAGCAGCATTCTCAGAAATTTCTTTCTGATGTCTGCATTCAACTCATAGAGTTGAAGATTCCCTTTCATAGAGCAGGTTTGAAACACTCGTTCTGGAGTATCTGGATGTGGACATTTGGAGCGCTTTGATGCCTACGGTGGAAAAGTAAATATCTTCCCATAAAAACGAGACAGAAGGATTCTCAGAAACAAGTTTGTGATGTGTGTACTCAGCTAACAGAGTGGAACATTTCTTTTTACAGAGCAGCTTTGAAACTCTATTTTTGTGGATTCTGCAAATTGATATTTAGATTGCTTTAACGATATCGTTGGAAAAGGGAATATCGTCATACAAAATCTAGACAGAAGCATTCTCACAAACTTCTTTGTGATGTGTGTCCTCAACTAACAGAGTTGAACTTTTCTTTTGATGCAGCAGTTTGGAAACACTGTTTTTGTAGAAACTGTAAGTGGATATTTTGATAGCTCTAACGATTTCGTTGGAAACGGGAATATCATCATCTAAAATCTAGACAGAAGCACTATTAGAAACTACTTGGTGATATCTGCATTCAAGTCACAGAGTTGAACATTCCCTTACTTTGAGCACGTTTGAAACACTCTTTTGGAAGAATCTGGAAGTGGACATTTGGAGCGCTTTGATGCCTTTGGTGAAAAGGAAACGTCTTCCAATAAAAGCCAGACAGAAGCATTCTCAGAAACTTGTTTGTGATGTGTGTACTCAACTAAAAGAGTTGAACCTTTCTATTGATAGAGCAGTTTTGAAACACTCTTTTTGTGGATTCTGCAAGAGGATATTTGGATTGCTTTGAGGATTTCGTTGGAAGCGGGAATTCGTATAAAAACTAGACAGCAGCATTCCCAGAAATTTCTTTCGGATATTTCCATTCGACTCATAGAGATGAACATGGCCTTTCATAGAGCAGGTTTGAAACACTCTTTTTGTAGTTTGTGGAAGTGGACATTTCGATCGCCTTGACGCCTACGGTGAAAAAGGAAATATCTTCCCATAAAAAATAGACAGAAGCATTCTCAGAAACTTGTTGGCGATACGTGTCCTCAACTAACAGAGTTGAACTTTGCCATTGATAGAGAGCAGTTTTGAAACACTCTTTTTGTGGAATCTGCAAGTGGATATTTGGATAGCTTGGAGGATTTCGTTGGAAGCGGGAATTCAAATAAAAGGTAGACAGCAGCATTCTCAGAAATTTCTTTCTGATCTCTGCATTCAACTCATAGAGTTGAAGATTCCCTTTCATAGGGCAGGTTTGAAATACTCTTTCTGTAGTATCTGGATGTGGACATTTGGAGCGCTTTGATGCCTACGGTGAAAAAGTAAATATCTTCCCATAAAAACGAGACAGAAGGATTCTGAGAAACAAGTTTGTGATGTGTGTACTCAGCTAACAGAGTGGAACCTCTCTTTTGATGCAGCAGTTTGGAAACACTCTTTTTGTAGAAACTGTAAGTGGATATTTGGATAGCTCTAATGATTTCTTTGGAAACGGGAATATCATCATCTAAAATCTAGACAGAAGCTCACTCAGAAACTACTTTGTGATATCTGCATTCAAGTCACAGAGTTGAACATTCGCTTTCTTAGAGCACGTTTGAAACACTCTTTTTGTAGTGTCTGGAAGTGGACATTTGGAGCGCTTTGATGCCTTTGGTGAAAAAGGGAACGTCTTCCCATAAAAACTAGACAGAAGCATTCTCAGAAACTTGTTTGTGATGTGTGTACCCAGCTAAAGGAGTTGAACATTTCTATTGATAGAGCAGTTTTGAAACACTCTTTTTGTGGAAAATGCAAGTGGATATTTGGATAGCTTGGAGGATTTCGTTGGAAGCGGGAATTCAAATAAAGGTAGACAGCAGCATTCTGAGAAATTAGTTTCTGATGTCTGCATTCAACTCATAGAGTTGAAGATTCCCTTTCATAGAGCAGGTTTGAAACACTGTTTCTGGAGTATCTGGATGTGGACATTTGGAGCGCTTTGATGCCTACGGTGAAAAAGTAAATATCTTCCCATAAGAACGAGACAGAAGGATTCTGAGAAACAAGTTTGTGATGTGTGTACTCAGCTAACAGAGTGGAACCTTTCTTTTTACAGAGCAGCTTTGAAACTCTATTTTTGTGGATTCTGCAAATGGATATTTAGATTGCTTTAATGATACCGCTGGAAAAGGGAATATGGTCATACAAAATCTAGACAGAAGCATTCTCACAAACTTCTTTGTGATGTGTGTCCTCAACTAACAGAGTTGAACCTTTCTTTTGATGCAGCAGTTTGGAAACACTGTTTTTGTAGCAACTGTAATGGATATTTGGATAGCTCTAACGATTTCGTTGGAAACGGGAATATCATCATCTAAAATCTAGACAGAAGCACTATTAGAAACTACTTGGTGATATCTGCATTCAAGTCACAGAGTTGAACATTCCCTTACTTTGAGCACGTTTCAAACACTCTTTTGGAAGAATCTGGAAGTGGACATTTGGAGCGCTTTGATGCCTTTGGTGAAAAGGAAACGTCTTCCAATAAAAGCCAGACAGAAGCATTCTCAGAAACTTGTTTGTGATGTGTGTACTCAACTACAAGAGTTGAACCTTTCTATTGATAGAGCAGTTTTGAAACACTCTTTTGTGGATTCTGCAAGTGGATATTTGGATTGCTTTGAGGATTTCGTTGGAAGCGGGAATTCGTATAAAACTAGACAGCCAGCATTCCCAGAAATTTCTTTCGGATATTTCCATTCAACTCATTGAGATGAACATCGCCTTTCATAGAGCAGGTTTGAAACACTCTTTTTGTAGTTTGTGGAAGTGGACATTTCGATCGCCTTGACGCCTACGGTGAAAAAGGAAATATCTTCCCATAAAAAATAGACAGAGCATTCTCAGAAACTTGTTGGTGATATGTGTCCTCAACTAACAGAGTTGAACTTTGCCATTGATAGAGAGCAGTTTTGAAACACTCTTTTTGTGGAATCTGCAAGTGGATATTTGGATAGCTTGGAGGATTTCGTTGGAAGCGGGAATTCAAATAAAAGGTAGACAGCAGCATTCTCAGAAATTTCTTTCTGATGTCTGCATTCAACTCATAGAGTTGAGCATTCCCTTTCATAGGGCAGGTTTGAAATACTCTTTCTGTAGTATCTGGATGTGGACATTTGGAGCGATTTGAGGCCTACGATGAAAAAGTAAATATCTTCCCATAAAAACGAGACAGAAGGATTCTGAGAAACAAGTTTGTGATGTGTGTACTCAGCTAACAGAGTGGAACCTCTCTTCTGATGCAGCAGTTTGGAAACACTCTTTTTGTAGAAACTGTAAGTGAATATTTGGATAGCTCTAATGATTTCGTTGGAAATGGGAATATCATCAACTAAAATCTAGACAGAAGCCCTCTCAGAAACTACTTTGTGATATCTGTATTCAAGTCACAGAGTTGAACATTCGCTTTCTTAGAGCACGTTGGAAACACTCTTTTTGTAGTGTCTGGAAGTGGACATTTGGAGCGCTTTGATGCCTTTGGTGAAAAAGGGAATGTCTTCCCATAAAAACTAGACAGAAGCATTCTCAGAAACTTGTTTGTGATGTGTGCACCCAGCTAAAGGAGTTGAACATTTATTGATAGAGCAGTTTTGAAGCACTCTTTTTGTGGAAAATGCAAGTGGATATTTGGATAGCTTGGAGGATTTCGTTGGAAGCGGGAGTTCAAATAAAAGGTAGACAGCAGCATTCTCAGAAATTTCTTTCTGATGTCTGCATTCAACTCATAGAGTTGAAGCATTCCCTTTCATAGGAGCAGGTTTGAAACACTCTTTCTGGAGTATCTGGATGTGGACATTTGGAGCGCTTTGATGCCTACGGTGAAAAAGTAAATATCTTCCCATAAAAACGAGACAGAAGGATTCTGAGAAACAAGTTTGTGATGTGTGTACTCAGCTAACAGAGTGGAACCTTTCTTTTTACAGAGCAGCTTTGAAACTCTATTTTTGTGGATTCTGCAAATGGATATTTAGATTGCTTTAACGATATCGTTGGAAAAGGGAATATCGTCATACAAAATCTAGACAGAAGCATTCTCACAAACTTCTTTGTGATGTGTGTCCTCAACTAACAGAGTTGAACCTTTCTTTTGATGCAGCAATTTGGAAACACCCTTTTGGTAGAAACTGTAATTGGATATTTGGATAGCTCTAACGATTTCGTTGGAAACGGGAATATCATCATCTAAAATCTAGACAGAAGCACTATTAGAAACTACTTGGTGATATCTGCATTCAAGACACAGAGTAGAACATTCCCTTACTTTGAGCACGTTTGAAACACTCTTTTGGAAGAATCTGGAAGTGGACATTTGGAGCGCTTTGATGCCTTTGGTGAAAAGGAAACGTCTTCCAATAAAAGCCAGACAGAAGCATTCTCAGAAACTTGTTTGTGATGTGTGTACTCAACTAAAAGAGTTGAACCTTTCTATTGATAGAGCAGTTTTGAAACACTCTTTTTGTGGATTCTGCAAGTGGATATTTGGATTGCTTTGAGGATTTCGTTGGAAGCGGGAATTCGTATAAACACTAGACAGCAGCATTCCCAGAAATTTCTTTCGGATATTTCCATTCAACTCATAGAGATGAACATGGCCTTTCATATTGAAACACACTTTTTGTAGTTTGTGGAAGTGGACATTTCGATCGCCTTGACGCCTACGGTGAAAAAGGAAATATCTTCCCATAAAAAATAGACAGAAGAATTCTCAGAAACTTGTTTGTGATGTGTATCCTCAACTGACAGAGTTGAACCTTGCCATTGATAGAGCAGTTTAGAAACACTCTTTTTGTGGAATCTGCAAGTGGATATTTGGATAGCTTGGAGGATTTCGTTGGAAGCGGGAATTCAAATGAAAGGTAGACAGCAGCATTCTCAGAAATTTCTTTCTGATGTCTGCATTCAACTCATAGCAGTTGAAGATTCCCTTTCATAGAGCAGGTTTGAAACACTCTTTCTGGAGTATCTGGATGTGGACATTTGGAGCGCTTTGATGCCTACGGTGAAAAAGTAAATATCTTCCCATAAAAACGAGACAGAAGGATTCTCAGAAACAAGTTTGTGTTGTGTGTACTCAGCTAACAGAGTGGAACCTTTCTTTTTACAGAGCAGCTTTGAAACTCTATTTTTGTGGATTCTGGAAATTGATATTTAGATTGCTTTAACGATATCGTTGGAAAAGGGAATATCGTCATACAAAATCTGGACAGAAGCCCTCTCAGAAACTACTTTGTGATATCTGCATTCAAGTCACAGAGTTGAACATTCGCTTTCTTAGAGCACGTTGGAAACACTCTTTTTGTAGTGTCTGGAAGTGGACATTTGGAGTGCTTTGATGCCTTTGGTGAAAAAGGGAACGTCTTCCCATAAAAACTAGACAGAAGCATTCTCAGAAACTTGTTTGTGATGTGTGCACCCAGCTAAAGGAGTTGAACATTTATTGATAGAGCAGTTTTGAAGCACTCTTTTTGTGGAAAATGCAAGTGGATATTTGGATAGCTTGGAGGATTTCGTTGGAAGCGGGAATTCAAATAAAAGGTAGACAGCAGGATTCTCAGAAACAAGTTTGTGATGTGTGTACTCAGCTAACAGAGTGGAACCTTTCTTTTTACAGAGCAGCTTTGAAACTCTATTTTTGTGGATTCTGCAAATTGATATTTAGATTGCTTTAACGATATCATTGGAAAAGGGAATATCGTCATACAAAATCTAGACAGAAGCCCTCTCACAAACTACTTTGTGATATCTGCATTCAAGTCACAGAGTTGAACATTCGCTTTCTTAGAGCACGTTGGAAACACTCTTTTTGTAGTGTCTGGAAGTGGACATTTGGAGCGCTTTGATGCCTTTGGTGAAAAAGGGAACGTCTTCCCATAAAAACTAGACAGAAGCATTCTCAGAAACTTGTTTGTGATGTGTGTACCTAGCTAAAGGAGTTGAACATTTCTATTGATAGAGCAGTTTTGAAACACTCTTTTTGTGGAAAATGCAGGTGGATATTTGGATAGGTTGGAAGATTTCGTTGGAAGCGGGAATTCAAATAAATGGTAGACAGCAGGATTCTGAGAAACAAGTTTGTGATATGTGTACTCAGCTAACAGAGTGGAACCTTTCTTTTTACAGAGCAGCTTTGAAACTCTATTTTTGTGGATTCTGCAAATTGATATTTAGATTGCTTTAACGATATCGTTGGAAAAGGGAATATCGTCATACAAAATCTAGACAGAAGCATTCTCACAAACTTCTTTGTGACGTGTGTCCTCATCTAACAGAGTTGAACCTTTCTTTTGATGCAGCAGTTTGGAAACACTGTTTTTGTAGCAACTGTAAGTGGATATTTGGATAGCTCTAACGATTTCGTTGGAAACGGGAATATCATCATCTAAAATCTAGACAGAAGCACTATTAGAAACTACTTGGTGATATCTGCATTCAAGTCACAGAGTTGAACATTCCCTTACTTTGAGCACGTTTCAAACACTCTTTTGGAAGAATCTGGAAGTGGACATTTGGAGCGCTTTGATGCCTTTGGTGAAAAGGAAACGTCTTCCAATAAAAGCCAGACAGAAGCATTCTCAGAAACTTGTTTGTGATGTGTGTACTCAACTAAAAGAGTTGAACCTTTCTATTGATAGAGCAGTTTTGAAACACTCTTTTTGTCGATTCTGCAAGTGGATATTTGGATTGCTTTGAGGATTTCGTTGGAAGCGGCAATTCGTATAAAAACTAGACAGCAGCATTCCCAGAAATTTCTTTCGGATATTTCCATTCAACTCATAGAGATGAACATCGCCTTTCATAGAGCAGGTTTGAAACACTCTTTTTGTAGTTTGTGGAAGTGGACATTTCGATCGCCTTGACGCCTACGGTGAAAAAGGAAATATCTTCCCATAAAAAATAGACAGAAGCATTCTCAGAAACTTGTTGGTGATATGTGTCCTCAACTAACAGAGTTGAACTTTGCCATTGATAGAGAGCAGTTTTGAAACACTCTTTTTGTGGAATCTGCAAGTGGATATTTGGATAGCTTGGAGGATTTCGTTGGAAGCGGGAATTCAAATAAAAGGTAGACAGCAAGCATTCTCAGAAATTTCTTCCTGATGTCTGCATTCAACTCATAGAGTTGAACATTCCCTTTCATAGAGCAGGTTTGAAACACTCTTTCTGGAGTATCTGGATGTGGACATTTGGAGCGCTTTGATGCCTACGGTGAAAAAGTAAATATCTTCCCATAAAAACGAGACAGAAGGATTCTGAGAAACAAGTTTGTGATGTGTGTACTCAGCTAACAGAGTGGAACCTCTCTCTTGATGCAGCAGTTTGGAAACACTCTTTTTGTAGAAACTGTAAGTGGATATTTGGATAGCTCTAATGATTTCGTTGGAAACGGGAATATCATCATCTAAAATCTAGACAGAAGCCCTCTCAGCAAACTACTTTGTGATATCTGCATTCAAGTCAGAGAGTTGAACATTCGCTTTCTTAGAGCACGTTTGAAACACTCTTTTTGTAGTGTCAGGAAGTGGACATTTGGAGCGCTTTGATGCCTTTGGTGAAACAGGGAATGTCTTCCCATAAAAACTAGACAGAAGCATTCTCAGAAACTTGTTTGTGATGTGTGTACCCAGCTAAAGGAGTTGAACGTTTCTATTGATAGAGCAGTTTTGAAACACTCTTTTTGTGGAAAATGCAAGTGGATATTTGGATAGCTTGGAGGATTTCGTTGGAAGCGGGAATTCAAATAAAAGGTAGACAGCAGGATTCTGAGAAACAAGTTTGTGATGTGTGTACTCAGCTAACAGAGTGGAACCTCTCTTTTTACAGAGCAGCTTTGAAACTCTATTTTTGTGGATTCTGCAAATGGATATTTAGATTGCTTTAATGATATCGCTGGAAAAGGGAATATGGTCATACAAAATCTAGACAGAAGCATTCTCACAAACTTCTTTGTGATGTGTGTCCTCAACTAACAGAGTTGAACCTTTCTTTTGATGCAGCAGTTTGGAAACACTCTTTTTGTAGAAACTGTAAGTGGATATTTGGATAGCTCTAACGATTTCGCTGGAAACGGGAATATCGTCATCTAAAATCTAGACAGAAGCACTATTAGAAACTACTTGGTGATATCTGCATTCAAGTCACAGAGTAGAACATTCCCTTACTTTGAGCACGTTTGAAACACTCTTTTGGAAGAATCTGGAAGTGGACATTTGGAGCGCTTTGATGCCTTTGGTGAAAAGGAAACGTCTTCCAATAAAAGCCAGACAGAAGCATTCTCAGAAACTTGTTTGTGATGTGTGTACCCAGCGAAAGGAGTTGAACATTTCTATTGATAGAGCAGTTTTGAAACACTCTTTTTGTGGAATCTGCAAGTGGATATTTGGATAGCTTGGAGGTTTTCGTTGGAAGCGGGAATTCAAATAAAAGGTAGACAGCATTCTCAGAAACTTGTTTGTGATGTGTGTCCTCAACTGACAGAGTTGTACCTTTCTATTGATAGAGTAGTTTTGAAACACTCTTTTTGTGGAATCTGCAAGTGAATATTTGGATAGCTTGGAGGATTTCGTTGGAAGCGGGAATTCAAATGAAAGGTAGACAGCAGCATTCTCAGAAATTTCTTTCTGATGTCTGCATTCAACTCATAGGAGTTGAAGATTCCCTTTCATAGAGCAGGTTTGAAACACTCTTTCTGGAGTATCTGGATGTGGACATTTGGAGCGCTTTGATGCCTACGGTGAAAAAGTAAATATCTTCCCAGAAAAACGAGACAGAAGGATTCTGAGAAACAAGTTTGTGATGTGTGTACTCACCTAACAGAGTGGAACCTCTCTTTTGATGCAGTAGTTTGGAAACACTCTTTTTGTAGAAACTGTAAGTGGATATTTGGATAGCTCTAATGATTTCGTTGGAAACGGGAATATCATCATCTAAAATCTAGACAGAAGCACTCTCAGAAACTACTTTTTGATATCTGCATTCAAGTCATAGTGTTGAACATTCGCTTTCTTAGAGCACTTTTGAAACACTCTTTTTGTAGTATCTGGAAGTGGACATTTGGAGCTCTTTGATGCCTTTGGTGAAAAAGGAAATGTCTTCCCATAAAATCTAGAAAGAAGCATTCTCAGAAACTTGTTTGTGATGTGTGTACCCAGCCAAAGGAGTTGAACATTTCTATTGATAGAGCAGTTTTGAAACACTCTTGTTGTGGAAAATGCAGGTGGATATTTGGATAGCTTGGAGGATTTCGTTGGAAGCGGGAATTCAAATAAAAAGGTAGACAGCAGCATTCTCAGAAATTTCTTTCTGATGTCTGCATTCAACTCATAGAGTTGAAGATTCCCTTTCATAGGGCAGGTTTGAAACAGTCTTTCTGGAGTATCTGGATGTGGACATTTGGAGCGCTTTGATGCCTACGGTGAAAAAGTAAATATCTTCCCATAAAAACGAGACAGAAGGATTCTCAGAAACAAGTTTGTGATGTGTGTACTCAGCTAACAGAGTGGAACCTTTCTTTTTACAGAGCAGCTTTGAAACTCTATTTCTGTGGATTCTGCAAATTGATATTTAGATTGCTTTAATGATATCGTTGGAAAAGGGAATATCGTCATACAAAATCTAGACAGAAGCATTCTCACAAACTTCTTTGTGATGTGTGTCCTCAACTAACAGAGTTGAACTTTTCTTTTGATGCAGCAGTTTGGAAACACTCTTTTTGTAGAAAGTGTAAGTGGATATTTGGATAGCTCTAACGATTTCGTTGGAAACGGGAATATCATCATCTAAAATCTAGACAGAAGCACTATTAGAAACTACTTGGTGATATCTGCATTCAAGTCACAGAGTTGAACATTCCCTTACTTTGAGCACGTTTGAAACACTCTTTTGGAAGAATCTGGAAGTGGACATTTGGAGCGCTTTGATGCCTTTGGTGAAAAGGAAACGTCTTCCAATAAAAGCCAGACAGAAGCATTCTCAGAAACTTGTTTGTGATGTGTGTACTCAACTAAAAGAGTTGAACCTTTCTATTGATAGAGCAGTTTTGAAACACTCTTTTTGTGGATTCTGCAAGTGGATATTTGGATTGCTTTGAGGATTTCGTTGGAAGCGGGAATTCATATAAAAACTAGACAGCAGCATTCCCAGAAATTTCTTTCGGATATTTCCATTCAACTCATAGAGATGAACATCGCCTTTCATAGAGCAGGTTTGAAACACTCTTTTTGTAGTTTGTGGAAGTGGACATTTCGATCGCCTTGACGCCTACAGTGAAAAAGGAAATATCTTCCCATAAAAAATAGACAGAAGCATTCTCAGAAACTTGTTGGTGATATGTGTCCTCAACTAACAGAGTTGAACTTTGCCATTGATAGAGAGCAGTTTTGAAACACTCTTTTTGTGGAATCTGCAAGTGGATATTTGGATAGCTTGGAGGATTTCGTTGGAAGCGGGAATTCAAATAAAAGGTAGACAGCAGCATTCTCAGAAATTTCTTTCTGATGTCTGCATTCAACTCATAGAGTTGAAGATTCCCTTTCATAGAGCAGGTTTGAAACACTCTTTCTGGAGTATCTAGATGTGGACATTTGGAGCGCTTTGATGCCTACGGTGAAAAAGTAAATATCTTCCCATAAAAACGAGACAGAAGGATTCTGAGAAACAAGTTTGTGATGTGTGTACTCAGCTAACAGAGTGGAACCTCTCTTTGGATGCAGCAGTTTGGAAACACTCTTTTTGTAGAAACTGTAAGTGGATATTTGGATAGCTCTAATGATTTCGTTGGAAACGGGAATATCATCATCTAAAATCTAGACAGAAGCCGTCTCAGAAAGTACTTTGTGATATCTGCATTCAAGTCACAGAGTTGAACATTCGGTTTCTTAGAGCACGTTTGAAACACTCTTTTTGTAGTGTCTGGAAGTGGACATTTGGAGCGCTTTGATGCCTTTGGTGAAAAAGGGAATGTCTTCCCATAAAAACTAGACAGAAGCATTCTCAGAAACTTGTTTGTGATGTGTGTACCCAGCTAAAGGAGTTGAACATTTCTATTGATAGAGCAGTTTTGAAACACTCTTTTTGTGGAAAATGCAAGTGGATATTTGGATAGCTTGGAGGCTTTCGTTGGAAGCGGGATTTCAAATAAAAGGTAGACAACAGCATTTCTCAGAAATTTCTTTCTGATGTCTGCATTCAACTCATAGAGTTGAAGATTCCCTTTCATAGAGCAGGTTTGAAACACTCTTTCTGGAGTATCTGGATGTGGACATTTGGAGCGCTTTGATGCCTACGGTGGAAAAGTAAATATCTTCCCATAAAAACGAGACAGAAGGATTCTGAGAAACAAGTTTGTGATGTGTGTACTCAGCTAACAGAGTGGAACCTTTCTTTTTACAGAGCAGCTTTGAAACTCTATTTTTGTGGATTCTGCAAATGGATATTTAGATTGCTTTAATGATATCGTTGGAAAAGGGAATATCGTCATACAAAATCTAGACAGAAGCATTCTCACAAACTTCTTTGTGATGTGTGTCCTCAACTAACAGAGTTGAACCTTTCTTTTGATGCAGCAGTTTGGAAACACTCTTTTTGTAGAAACTGTAAGTGGATATTTGGATAGCTCTAACGATTTCGTTGGAAACGGGAATATCATCATCTAAAATCTAGATAGAAGCACTATTAGAAACTACTTGGTGATATCTGTATTCAAGTCACAGAGTTGAACATTCCCTTACTTTGAGCACGTTTGAAACACTCTTTTGGAAGAATCTGGAAGTGGACATTTGGAGCGCTTTGATGCCTTTGGTGAAAAGGAAACGTCTTCCAATAAAAGCCAGAGAGAAGCATTCTCAGAAACTTGTTCGTGATGTGTGTACTCAACTAAAAGAGTTGAACCTTTCTATTGATAGAGCAGTTTTGAAACACTCTTTTTGTGGATTCTGCAAGTGGATATTTGGATTGCTTTGAGGATTTCGTTGGAAGCGGGAATTCATATAAAAACTAGACAGCAGCATTCCCAGAAATTTTTTTCGGATATTTCCATTCAACTCATAGAGATGAACATGGCCTTTCATAGAGCAGGTTTGAAACACTCTTTTTGTAGTTTGTGGAAGTGGACATTTCGATCGCCTTGACGCCTACGGTGAAAAAGGAAATATCTTCCCATAAAAAATAGACAGAAGCATTCTCAGAAACTTGTTGGTGATATGTGTCCTCAACTAACAGAGTTGAACTTTGCCATTGATAGAGAGCAGTTTTGAAACACTCTTTCTGTGGAATCTGCAAGTGGATATTTGGATAGCTTGGAGGATTTCGTTGGAAGCGGGAATTCAAATAAAAGGTAGACAGCAGCATTCTCAGAAATTTCTTTCTGATGTCTGCATTCAACTCATAGAGTTGAAGATTCCCTTTCATAGAGCAGGTTTGAAAAACTCTTTCTGTACTATCTGGATGTGGACATTTGGAGCGCTTTGATGCCTACGGTGAAAAAGTAAATATCTTCCCATAAAAACGAGACAGAAGGATTCTGAGAAACAAGTTTGTGATGTGTGTACTCAGCTAACAGAGTGGAACCTCTCTTTTGATGCAGCAGTTTGGAAACACTCTTTTTGTAGAAACTGTAAGTGGATATTTGGATAGCTCTAATGATTTCGTTGGAAACGGGAATATCATCGTCTAAAATCTAGACAGAAGCCCTCTCAGAAACTACTTTGTGATATCTGCATTCAAGTCACAGAGTTGAACATTCGGTTTCTTAGAGCACGTTTGAAACACTCTTTTTGTAGTGTCTGGAAGTGGACATTTGGAGCGCTTTGATGCCTTTGGTGAAAAAGGGAACGTCTTCCCATAAAAACTAGACAGAAGCATTCTCAGAAACTTGTTTGTGATGTGTGTACCCAGCTAAAGGAGTTGAATATTTCTATTGACAGAGCAGTTATGAAACACTTTTTTTGTGGAAAATGCAAGTGGATATTTGGATAGCTTGGAGGATTTCGTTGGAAGCGGGAATTCAAATAAAAGGTAGACAGCAGCATTCTCAGAAATTTCTTTCTGATGTCTGCATTCAACTCATAGAGTTGAAGATTCCCTTTCATAGAGCAGGTTTGAAACACTCGTTCTGGAGTATCTGGATGTGGACCTTTGGAGCGCTTTGATGCCTACGGTGGAAAAGTAAATATCTTCCCATAAAAACGAGACAGAAGGGATTCTCAGAAACAAGTTTGTGATGTGTGTACTCAGCTAACAGAGTGGAACCTTTCTTTTTACAGAGCAGCTTTGAAACTCTATTTTTGTGGATTCTGCAAATTGATATTTAGATTGCTTTAACGATATCGTTGGAAAAGGGAATATCGTCATACAAAATCTAGACAGAAGCATTCTCACAAACTTCTTTGTGATGTGTGTCCTCAACTAACAGAGTTGAACCTTTCTTTTGATGCAGCAATTTGGAAACACCCTTTTGGTAGAAACTGTAACTGGATATTTGGATAGCTCTAACGATTTCCTTGGAAACGGGAATATCATCATCTAAAATCTAGACAGAAGCACTATTAGAAACTACTTGGTGATATCTGCATTCAAGTCACAGAGTTGAACATTCCCTTACTTTGAGCACGTTTCAAACACTCTTTTGGAAGAATCTGGAAGTGGACATTTGGAGCGCTTTGATGCCTTTGGTGAAAAGGAAACGTCTTCCAATAAAAGCCAGACAGAAGCATTCTCAGAAACTTGTTTGTGATGTGTGTACTCAACTAAAAGAGTTGAACCTTTCTATTGATAGAGCAGTTTTGAAACACTCTTTTTGTGGATTCTGCAAGTGGATATTTGGATTGCTTTGAGGATTTCGTTGGAAGCGGGAATTCGTATAAAACTAGACAGCAGCATTCCCAGAAAATTTCTTTCGGATATTTCCATTCGACTCATAGAGATGAACATGGCCTTTCATAGAGCAGGTTTGAAACACTCTTTTTGTAGTTTGTGGAAGTGGACATTTCGATCGCCTTGACGCCTACGGTGAAGAAGGAAATATCTTCCCATAAAAAATAGACAGAAGCATTCTCAGAAACTTGTTTGTGATGTGTGTACCCAGCCAAAGGAGTTGAACATTTCTATTGATAGAGCAGTTTTGAAACACTCTTGTTGTGGAAAACGCAGGTGGATATTTGGATAGCTTGGAGGATTTCGTTGGAAGCGGGAATTCAAATAAAAGGTAGACAGCAGCATTCTCAGAAATTTCTTTGTGATGTTTGCCTTCAACTCATAGAGTTGAACATTCCCTTTCATAGAGCAGGTTTGAAACACTCTTTCTGTACTATCTGGATGTGGACATTGGGATCGCTTTGATGCCTATGGTGAAAAAGGAAATATCTTCCCATAAAAGCTAGACAGAAGGATTCTGAGAAACAAGTTTGTGATGTGTGTACTCAGCTAACAGAGTGGAACCTCTCTTTTGATGCAGCAGTTTGGAAACACTCTTTTTGTAGAAACTGTAAGTGGATATTTGGAAGCTCTAATGATTTTGTTGGAAACGGGAATATCATCATCTAAAATCTAGACAGAAGCCCTCTCAGAAACTACTTTGTGATATCTGCATTCAAGTCACAGAGTTGAACATTCGGTTTCTTAGAGCACGTTTGAAACACTCTTTTTGTAGTGTCTGGAAGTGGACATTTGGAGCGCTTTGGTGCCTTTGGTGAAAAAGGGAATGTCTTCCCATAAAAACTAGACAGAAGCATTCTCAGAAACTTGTTTGTGATGTGTGTACCCAGCTAAAGGAGTTGAACGTTTCTATTGATAGAGCAGTTTTGAAACACTCTTTTTGTGGAAAATGCAAGTGGATGTTTGGATAGCTAGGAGGATTTCGTTGGAAGCGGGAATTCAAATAAAAGGTAGACAGCAGGATGCTGAGAAACAAGTTTGTGATGTGTGTACTCAGCTAACAGAGTGGAACCTTTCTTTTTACAGAGCAGCTTTGAAACTCTATTTTTGTGGATTCTGCAAATGGATATTTAGATTGCTTTAATGATATCGCTGGAAAAGGGAATATGGTCATACAAAATCTAGACAGAAGCATTCTCACAAACTTCTTTGTGATGTGTGTCCTCAACTAACAGAGGTTGAACCTTTCTTTTGATGCAGCAATTTGGAAACACCCTTTTGGTAGAAACTGTAACTGGATATTTGGATAGCTCTAACGATTTCGTTGGAAACGGGAATATCATCATCTAAAATCTAGACAGAAGCACTATTAGAAACTACTTGGTGATATCTGCATTCAAGTCACAGAGTTGAACATTCCCTTACTTTGAGCACGTTTCAAACACTCTTTTGGAAGAATCTGGAAGTGGACATTTGGAGCGCTTTGATGCCTTTGGTGAAAAGGAAACGTCTTCCAATAAAAGCCAGACAGAAAACATTCTCAGAAACTTGTTTGTGATGTGTGTACTCAACTAAAAGAGTTGAACCTTTCTATTGATAGAGCAGTTTTGAAACACTCTTTTTGTGGATTCTGCAAGTGGATATTTGGATTGCTTTGAGGATTTCGTTGGAAGCGGGAATTCATATAAAAACTAGACAGCAGCATTCCCAGAAATTTCTTTCGGATATTTCCATTCAACTCATAGAGATGAACATCGCCTTTCATAGAGCAGGTTTGAAACACTCTTTTTGTAGTTTGTGGAAGTGGACATTTCGATCGCCTTGACGCCTACGGTGAAAAAGGAAATATCTTCCCATAAAAAATAGACAGAAGCATTCTCAGAAACTTGTTGGTGATATGTGTCCTCAACTAACAGAGTTGAACTTTGCCATTGATAGAGAGCAGTTTTGAAACACTCTTTTTGTGGAATCTGCAAGTGGATATTTGGATAGCTTGGAGGATTTCGTTGGAAGCGGGAATTCAAATAAAAGGTAGACAGCAGCATTCTCAGAAATTTCTTTCTGATGTCTGCATTCAACTCATAGAGTTGAACATTCCCTTTCATAGAGCAGGTTTGAAACACTCTTTCTGGAGTATCTGGATGTGGGCATTTGGAGCGCTTTGATGCCTACGGTGAAAAAGTAAATATCTTCCCATAAAAACGAGACAGAAGGATTCTGAGAAACAAGTTTGTGATGTGTGTACTCAGCTAACAGAGTGGAACCTCTCTTTTGATGCAGCAGTTTGGAAACACTCTTTTTGTAGAAACTGTAAGTGGATATTTGGATAGCTCTAATGATTTCGTTGGAAACGGGAATATCATCATCTAAAATCTAGACAGAAGCCCTCTCAGAAACTACTTTGTGATATCTGCATTCAAGTCACAGAGTTGAACATTCGCTTTCTTAGAGCACGTTTGCAACACTCTTTTTGTAGTGTCTGGAAGTGGACATTTGGAGCGCTTTGATGCCTTTGGTGAAAAAGGGAACGTCTTCCCATAAAAACTAGACAGAAGCATTCTCAGAAACTTGTTTGTGATGTGTGTACCCAGCTAAAGGAGTTGAACATTTCTATTGATAGAGCAGTTTTGAAACACTCTTTTTGTGGAAAATGCAGGTGGATATTTGGATAGCTTGGAGGATTTCGTTGGAAGCGGGATTTCAAATAAAAGGTAGACAACAGCATTCTCAGAAATTTCTTTCTGATGTCTGCATTCAACTCATAGAGTTGAAGATTCCCTTTCATAGAGCAGGTTTGAAACACTCTTTCTGGAGTATCTGGATGTGGACATTTGGAGCGCTTTGATGCCTATGGTGAAAAAGTAAATATCTTCCCATAAAAACGAGACAGAAAGGATTCTGAGGAAACAAGTTTGTGATGTGTGTACTCAGCTAACAGAGTGGAACCTTTCTTTTTACAGAGCAGCTTTGAAACTCTATTTTTGTGGATTCTGCAAATTGATATTTAGATTGCTTTAACGATATCGTTGGAAAAGGGAATATCGTCATACAAAATCTAGACAGAAGCATTCTCACAAACTTCTTTGTGATGTGTGTCCTCAACTAACAGAGTTGAACCTTTCTTTTGATGCAGCAATTTGGAAACACCCTTTTGGTAGAAACTGTAACTGGATATTTGGATAGCTCTAACGATTTCGTTGGAAACGGGAATATCATCATCTAAAATGTAGACAGAAGCACTATTAGAAACTACTTGGTGATATCTGCATTCAAGTCAAAGAGTTGAACATTCCCTTACTTTGAGCACGTTTGAAACACTCTTTTGGAAGAATCTGGAAGTGGACATTTGGAGCGCTTTGATGCCTTTGGTGAAAAGGAAACGTCTTCCAATAAAAGCCAGACAGAAGCATTCTGAGAAACTTGTTCGTGATGTGTGTACTCAACTAAAAGAGTTGAACCTTTCTATTGATAGAGCAGTTTTGAAACACTCTTTTTGTGGATTCTGCAAGTGGATATTTGGATTGCTTTGAGGATTTCGTTGGAAGCGGGAATTCGTACAAACACTAGACAACAGCATTCCCAGAAATTTCTTTCGGATATTTCCATTCAACTCATAGAGATGAACATGGCCTTTCATAGAGCAGGTTTGAAACACTCTTTTTGTAGTTTGTGGAAGTGGACATTTCGATCGCCTTGACGCCTACGGTGAAAAAGGAAATATCTTCCCATAAAAAATAGACAGAAGCATTCTCAGAAACTTGTTGGTGATATGTGTCCTCAACTAACAGAGTTGAACTTTGCCATTGATAGAGAGCAGTTTTGAAACACTCTTTTTCCTGAATCTGCAAGTGGATATTTGGATAGTTTGGAGGATTTCGTTGGAAGCGGGAATTCAAATAAAAGGTAGACAGCAGCATTCTCAGAAATTTCTTTCTGATGTCTGCATTCAACTCATAGAGTTGAAGATTCCCTTTCATAGAGCAGGTTTGAAACACTCTTTCTGGAGTATCTGGATGTGGACATTTGGAGCGCTTTGATGCCTACGGTGGAAAAGTAAATATCTTCCCATAAAAACGAGACAGAAGGATTCTGAGAAACAAGTTTGTGATGTGTGTACTCAGCTAACAGAGTGGAACCTCTCTTTTGATGCAGCAGTTTGGAAACACTCTTTTTGTAGAAACTGTAAGTGGATATTTGGATAGCTCTAATGATTTCGTTGGAAACGGGAATATCATCATCTAAAATCTAGCCAGAAGCACTCTCAGAAACTACTTTTTGATATCTGCATTCAAGTCACAGACTTGAACATTCGCTTTCTTAGAGCACTTTTGAAACACTCTTTTTGTAGTATCTGGAAGTGGACATTTGGAGCTCTTTGATGCCTTTGGTGAAAAAGGAAATGTCTTCCCATAAAAACTAGACAGAAGCTTTCTCAGAAACTTGTTTGTGATGTGTGTACCCAGCGAAAGGAGTTGAACATTTCTATTGATAGAGCAGTTTTGAAACACTCTTTTTGTGGAATCTGCAAGTGGATATTTGGATAGCTTGTAGGTTTTCGTTGGAAGCGGGAATTCAAATAAAAGGTAGACAGCAGGATTCTGAGAAATAAGTTTGTGATGTGTGTACTCAGCTAACAGAGTGGAACCTCTCTTTTGATGCAGCAGTTTGGAAACACTCTTTTTGTAGAAACTGTAAGTGGATATTTGGATAGCTCTAATGATTTCGTTGGAAACGGGAATATCATCATCTAAAATCTAGACAGAAGCATTCTCACAAACTTCTTTGTGATGTGTGTCCTCAACTAACAGAGTTGAACCTTTCTTTTGATGCAGCAATTTGGAAACACCCTTTTGGTAGAAACTGTAACTGGATATTTGGATAGCTCTAACGATTTCGTTGGAAAAGGGAATATCATCATCTAAAATGTAGACAGAAGCACTATTAGAAACTACTTGGTGATATCTGCATTCAAGTCACAGAGTTGAACATTCCCTTACTTTGAGCACGTTTCAAACACTCTTTTGGAAGAATCTGGAAGTGGACATTTGGAGCGCTTTGATGCCTTTGGTGAAAAGGAAACGTCTTCCAATAAAAGCCAGACAGAAGCATTCTCAGAAACTTGTTTGTGATGTGTGTACTCAACTAAAAGAGTTGAACCTTTCTATTGACAGAGCAGTTTTGAAACACTCTTTTTGTGGATTCTGCAAGTGGATATTTGGATTGCTTTGAGGATTTCGTTGGAAGCGGGAATTCGTATAAAAACTAGACAGCAGCATTCCCAGAAATTTCTTTCGGATATTTCCATTCACCTCATAGAGATGAACATGGCCTTTCAGAGAGCAGGTTTGAAACACTCTTTTTGTAGTTTGTGGAAGTGGACATTTCGATCGCCTTGACGCCTACGGTGAAAAAGGAAATATCTTCCCATAAAAAATAGACAGAAGCATTCTCAGAAACTTGTTGGTGATATGTGTCCTCAACTAACAGAGTTGAACTTTGCCATTGATAGAGAGCAGTTTTGAAACACTCTTTTTGTGGAATCTGCAAGTGGATATTTGGATAGCTTGGAGGATTTCGTTGGAAGCGGGAATTCAAATAAAAGGTAGACAGCAGCATTCTCAGAAATTTCTTTCTGATGTCTGCATTCAACTCATAGAGTTGAAGATTCCCTTTCATAGAGCAGGTTTGAAACACTCTTTCTGGAGTATCTGGATGTGGACATTTGGAGCGCTTTGATGCCTACGGTGAAAAAGTAAATATCTTCCCATAAGAACGAGACAGAAGGATTCTGAGAAACAAGTTTGTGATGTGTGTACTCAGCTAACAGAGTGGAACCTCTCTTTTGATGCAGCAGTTTGGAAACACTCTTTTTGTAGAAACTGTAAGTGGATATTTGGATAGCTCTAATGATTTCGTTGGAAACGGGAATATCATCATCTAAAATCTAGACAGAAGCACTCTCAGAAACTACTTTTTGATATCTGCATTCAAGTCACAGAGTTGAACATTCGCTTTCTTAGAGCACTTTTGAAACACTCTTTTTGTAGTATCTGGAAGTGGACATTTGGAGCTCCTTGATGCCTTTGGTGAAAAAGGAAATGTCTTCCAATAAAAACTAGACAGAAAGCATTCTCAGAAACTTGTTTGTGATGTGTGTACCCAGCCAAAGGAGTTGAACATTTCTATTGATAGAGCAGTTTTGAAACACTCTTTTTGTGGAAAATGCAGGTGGATATTTGGATAGCTTGGAGGATTTCGTTGGAAGCGGGAATTCAAATAAAAGGTAGACAGCAGGATTCTCAGAAACAAGTTTGTGATGTGTGTACTCAGCTAACAGAGTGGAACCTTTCTTTTTACAGAGCAGCTTTGAAACTCTATTTTTGTGGATTTTGCAAATTGATATTTAGATTGCTTTAACGATATCGTTGGAAAAGGGAATATTGTCATACAAAATCTGGACAGAAGCATTCTCACAAACTTCTTTGTGATGTGTGTCCTCAACTAACAGAGTTGAACCTTTCTTTTGATGCAACAGTTTGGAAACACCCTTTTGGTAGAAACTGTAAGTGGATATTTGGATAGCTCTAACGATTTCGTTGGAAACGGGAATATCATCATCTAAAATCTAGACAGAAGCACTATTAGAAACTACTTGGTGATATCTGCATTCAAGTCACAGATTTGAACATTCCCTTACTTTGAGCACGTTTGAAACACTCTTTTGGAAGAATCTGGAAGTGGACATTTGGAGCGCTTTGATGCCTTTGGTGAAAAGGAAACGTCTTCCAATAAAAGCCAGACAGAAGCATTCTCAGAAACTTGTTCGTGATGTGTGTACTCAACTAAAAGTGTTGAACCTTTCTATTGATAGTGCAGTTTTGAAACACTCTTTTTGTGGATTCTGCAAGTGGATATTTGGATTGCTTTGAGGATTTCGTTGGAAGCGGGAATTCGTATAAAAACTAGACAGCAGCATTCCCAGAAATTTCTTTCGGATATTTCCATTCAACTCATAGAGATGAACATGGCCTTTCATAGAGCAGGTTTGAAACACTCTTTTTGTAGTTTGTGGAAGTGGACATTTCGATCGCCTTGACGCCTACGGTGAAAAAGGAAATATCTTCCCATAAAAAATAGACAGAAGCATTCTCAGAAACTTGTTGGTGATATGTGTCCTCAACTAACAGAGTTGAACTTTGCCATTGATAGAGAGCAGTTTTGAAACACTCTTTTTGTGGAATCTGCAAGTGGATATTTGGATAGCTTGGAGGATTTCGTTGGAAGCGGGAATTCAAATAAAAGGTAGACAGCAGCATTCTCAGAAATTTCTTTCTGATGTCTGCATTCAACTCATAGAGTTGAACATTCCCTTTCATAGGACAGGTTTGAAATACTCTTTCTGTAGTATCTGGATGTGGACATGTGGAGCGCTTTGATGCCTACAGTGAAAAAGTAAATATCTTCCCCCATAAAAACGAGACAGAAGGATTCTGAGAAACAAGTTTGTGATGTGTGTACTCAGCTAACAGAGTGGAACCTCTGTTTTGATGCAGCAGTTTGGAAACACTCTTTTTGTAGAAACTGTAAGTGGATATTTGGATAGCTCTAATGATTTCGTTGGAAACGGGAATATCATCATCTAAAATCTAGACAGAAGCCCTCTCAGAAACTACTTTGTGATATCTGCATTCAAGTCACAGAGTTGAACATTCGCTTTCTTAGAGCACGTTTGAAACACTCTTTTTGTAGTGTCTGGAAGTGGACATTTGGAGCGCTTTGATTCCTTTTGTGAAAAAGGGAATGTCTACCCATAAAAACTAGACAGAAGCATTCTCAGAAACTTGTTTGTGATGTGTGTACCCAGCTAAAGGAGTTGAACATGTCTATTGATAGAGCAGTTTTGAAACACTCTTTTTGTGGAAAATGCAAGTGGATATTTGCATAGCTTGGAGGATTTCGTTGGAAGCGGGAGTTCAAATAAAAGGTAGACAGCAGGATTCTGAGAAACAAGTTTGTGATGTGTGTACTCAGCTAACAGAGTGGAACCTTTCTTTTTACAGAGCAGCTTTGAAACTCTATTTTTGTGGATTCTGCAAATGGATATTTAGATTGCTTTAATGATATCGCTGGAAAAGGGAATAGGTCATACAAAATATAGACAGAAGCATTCTCACAAACTTCTTTGTGATGTGTGTCCTCAACTAACAGAGTTGAACCTTTCTTTTGATGCAGCAGTTTGGAAACACTCTTTTGGTAGAAACTGTAACTGGATATTTGGATAGATCTAACGATTTCGTTGGAAACGGGAATATCATCATCTAAAATCTAGACAGAAGCACTATTAGAAACTACTTGGTGATATCTGCATTCAAGTCACAGAGTTGAACATTCCCTTACTTTGAGCACGTTTGAAACACTCTTTTGGAAGAATCTGGAAGTGGACATTTGGAGCGCTTTGATGCCTTTGGTGAAAAGGAAACGTCTTCCAATAAAAGCCAGACAGAAGCATTCTCAGAAACTTGTTCGTGATGTGTGTACTCAACTAAAAGAGTTGAACCTTTCTATTGATAGAGCAGTTTTGAAACACTCTTTTTGTGGATTCTGCAAGTGGATACTTGGATTGCTTTGAGGATTTCGTTGGAAGCGGGAATTCGTATAAACACTAGACAGCAGCATTCCCAGTAAATTTCTTTCGGATATTTCCATTCAACTCATAGAGATGAACATCGCCTTTCATAGAGCAGGTTTGAAACACTCTTTTTGTAGTTTGTGGAAGTGGACATTTCGATCGCCTTGACGCCTACGGTGAAAAAGGAAATATCTTCCCATAAACAATAGACAGAAGCATTCTCAGAAACTTGTTGGTGATATGTGTCCTCAACTAACAGAGTTGAACCTTGCCATTGATAGAGAGCAGTTTTGAAACACTCTTTTTGTGGAATCTGCAAGTGGATATTTGGATAGCTTGGAGGATTTCGTTGCAAGCGGGAATTCAAATAAAAGGTAGACAGCAGCATTCTCAGAAATTTCTTTCTGATGTCTGCATTCAACTCATAGAGTTGAAGATTCCCTTTCATAGAGCAGGTTTGAAACACTCTTTCTGGAGTATCTGGATGTGGACATTTGGAGCGCTTTGATGCCTACGGTGAAAAAGTAAATATCTTCCCAGAAAAACGAGACAGAAGGATTCTCAGAAACAAGTTTGTGATGTGTGTACTCAGCTAACAGAGTGGAACCTCTCTTTTGATGCAGCAGTTTGGAAACACTCTTTTTGTAGAAACCGTAAGTGGATATTTGGATAGCTCTAATGATTTCGTTGGAAACGGGAATATCATCATCTAAAACCTAGACAGAAAGCCCTCTCAGAAACTACTTTGTGATATCTGCATTCAAGTCACAGAGTTGAACATTCGCTTTCTTAGAGCACGTTGGAAACACTCTTTTTGTAGTGTCTGGAAGTGGACATTTGGAGCGCTTTGATTCCTTTGGTGAAAAAGGGAATGTCTACCCATAAAAACTAGACAGAGCATTCTCAGAAACTTGTTTGTGATGTGTGTACCCAGCCAAAGGAGTTGAACATTTCTATTGATAGAGCAGGTTTGAAACACTCTTTTTGTGGAAAATGCAGGTGGATATTTGGATAGCTTGGAGGATTTCGTTGGAAGCGGGAATTCAAATAAAAGGTAGACAGCAGCATTCTAAGAAATTTCTTTCTGATGTCTGCATTCAACTCATAGAGTTGAAGATTCCCTTTCATAGAGCAGGTTTGAAACACTCTTTCTGGAGTATCTGGATGTGGACATTTGGAGCGCTTTGATGCCTACGGTGAAAAAGTAAATATCTTCCCATAAAAACGAGACAGAAGGATTCTCAGAAAGAAGTTTGTGATGTGTGTACTCAGCTAACAGAGTGGAACCTTTCTTTTTACAGAGCAGCTTTGAAACTCTATTTTTGTGGATTCTGCAAATTGATATTTAGATTGCTTTAACGATATCGTTGGAAAAGGGAATATCGTCATACAAAATCTAGACAGAAGCATTCTCACAAACTTCTTTGTGATGTGTCTCCTCAACTAACAGAGTTGAACCTTTCTTTTGATGCAGCAGTTTGGAAACACTCTTTTTGTAGAAACTGTAAGTGGATATTTGGATAGCTCTAACGATTTCGTTGGAAACGGGAATATCATCATCTAAAATCTAGACAGAAGCACTATTAGAAACTACTTGGTGATATCTGCATTCAAGTCACAGAGTTGAACATTCCCTTACTTTGAGCACGTTTGAAACACTCTTTTGGAAGAATCTGGAAGTGGACATTTGGAGCGCTTTGATGCCTTTGGTGAAAAGGAAACGTCTTCCAATAAAAGACAGACAGAAGCATTCTCAGAAACTTGTTCGTGATGTGTGTACTCAACTAAAAGAGTTGAACCTTTCTATTGATAGAGCAGTTTTGAAACACTCTTTTTGTGGATTCTGCAAGTGGATATTTGGATTGCTTTGAGGATTTCGTTGGAAGCGGGAATTCGTATAAACACTAGACAGCAGCATTCCCAGAAATTTCTTTCGGATATTTCCATTCAACTCATAGAGATGAACATGGCCTTTCATAGAGCAGGTTTGAAACACTCTTTTTGTAGTTTGTAGAAGTGGACATTTCGATCGCCTTGACGCCTACCGTGAAAAAGGAAATATCTTCCCATAAAAAATAGACAGAAGCATTCTCAGAAACTTGTTGGTGATATGTGTCCTCAACTAACAGAGTTGAACTTTGCCATTGATAGAGAGCAGTTTTGAAACACTCTTTTTGTGGAATCTGCAAGTGGATATTTGGATAGCTTGGAGGATTTCGTTGGAAGCGGGAATTCAAATAAAAGGTAGACAGCAGCATTCTCAGAAATTTCTTTCTGATGTCTGCATTCAACTCATAGAGTTGAAGATTCCCTTTCATAGAGCAGGTTTGAAACACTCTTTCTGGAGTATCTGGATGTGGACATTTGAAGCGCTTTGATGCCTACGGTGAAAAAGTAAATATCTTCCCATAAAAACGAGACAGAAGGATTCTGAGAAACAAGTTTGTGATGTGTGTACTCGGGCTAACAGAGTGGAACCTCTCTTTTGATGCAGCAGTTTGGAAACACTCTTTTTGTAGAAACTGTAAGTGGATATTTGGATAGCTCTAATGATTTCGTTGGAAACGGGAATATCATCATCTAAAATCTAGACAGAAGCATTCTCAGAAATTTCTTTCTGATGTTTGCATTCAACTCATAGAGTTGAACATTCCCTTTAATAGAGCAGGTTTGAAACACTCTTTCTGTACTATCCGGATGTGGACATTTGGAGCGCTTTGACGCCTACGGTGAAAAAGGAAATGTCTTCCCATAAAAAATTGAAGAATTCTCAGAAACTTGTTTGTGATGTGTGTCCTCAACTGACAGAGTTGTACCTTTCTATTGATAGAGTAGTTTTGAAACACTCTTTTTGTGGAATCTGCAAGTGAATATTTGGATAGCTTGGAGGATTTCGTCGGAAGCGGGAATTCAAATGAAAGGTAGACAGCAGCATTCTCAGAAATTACTTTCTGTTGTCTGCATTCAACTCATAGAGTTGAAGATTCCCTTTCATAGAGCAGGTTTGAAACACTCTTTCTGTAGTATCTGGATGTGGACATTTGGAGCGCTTTGATACCTACGGTGAAAAAGTAAATATCTTCCCATAAAAACTAGACAGAAGGATTCTCAGAAACAAGTTTGTGATGTGTGTACTCAGCTAACAGAGTGGATCCTTTCTTTTTACAGAGCAGCTTTGAAACTCTATTTCTGTGGATTCTGCAAATTGACATTTGGGTTGATTTAACGACATCGTTGGAAAAGGGAATATCTTCATACAAAATCTAGACAGAAGCTTTCTCAGAAACTTCTTTGTGATGTGTGTCCTCAACTAACAGACTTGAACCTTTCTTTTGATGCAGCAGTTTGGAAACACTCTTTTTGTAGAAACTGTAAGTGGATATTTGGATAGGTCTAACGATATCGTTGGAAACGGGAATATCTTCATCTAAAGTATACACAGAAGCACTATTAGAAACTACTTGGTGATATCTGCATTCAAGTCACAGAGTTGAACATTCCCTTACTTTGAGCACGTTTCAAACACTCTTTTGGAAGAATCTGGAAGTGGACATTTGGAGCGCTTTGATGCCTTTGGTGAAAAGGAAACGTCTTCCAATAAAAGCCAGACAGAAGCATTCTCAGAAACTTGTTCGTGATGTGTGTACTCAACTAAAAGGGTTGAACCTTTCTATTGATAGAGCAGTTTTGAAACACTCTTTTTGTGGATTCTGCAAGTGGATATTTGGATTGCTTTGAGGATTTCGTTGGAAGCGGGAATTCGTATAAAAACTAGACAGCAGCATTCCCAGAAATTTCTTTCGGATATTTCCATTCAACTCATAGAGATGAACATGGCCTTTCATAGAGCAGGTTTGAAACACTCTTTTTGTAGTTTGTGGAAGTGGACATTTCGATCGCCTTGACGCCTACGGTGAAAAAGGAAATATCTTCCCATAAAAAATAGACAGAAGAATTCTCAGAAACTTGTTTGTGATGTGTATCCTCAACTGACAGAGTTGAACCTTGCCATTGATAGAGCAGTTTAGAAACCCTCTTTTTGTGGAATCTGCAAGTGGATATTTGGATAGCCTGGAGGATTTCGTTGGAAGCGGGAATTCAAATGAAAGGTAGACAGCAGCATTCTCAGAAATTTCTTTGTGATGTTTGCATTCAACTCATAGAGTTGAACATTCCCTTTCATAGAGCAGGTTTGAAACACTCTTTCTGTACTATCTGGATGTGGACATTTGGAACGCTTTGATGCCTACGGTGAAAAATTAAATATCTTCCCATAAAAGCTAGACAGAAGGATTCTCAGAAACAAGTTTGTGATGTGTGTACTCAGCTAACAGAGTGGAACCTCACTTTTGATGCAGCAGTTTGGAAACACTCTTTTTGTAGAAACTGTAAGTGGATATTTGGATAGCTCTAATGATTTCGTTGGAAACGGGAATATCATCATCTAAAATCGAGACAGAAGCCCTCTCAGAAACTACTTTGTGATATCTGCATTCAAGTCACAGAGTTGAACATTCGCTTTCTTAGAGCACGTTTGAAACACTCTTTTTGTAGTGTCTGGAAGTGGACATTTGGAGCGCTTTGATTCCTTTGGTGAAAAAGGGAATGTCTACCCATAAAAACTAGACAGAAGCATTCTCAGAAACTTGTTTGTGATGTGTGTACCCAGCCAAAGGAGTTGAACATTTCTATTGATAGAGCAGTTTTGAAACGCTCTTTTTGTGGAAAATGCAGGTGGATATTTGGATAGCTTGGAGGATTTCGTTGGAAGCGGGAATTCAAATAAAATTTAGACAGCAAGATTCTCAGAAACAAGTTTGTGATGTGTGAACTCAGCTAACAGAGTGGATCCTTTCTTTTTACAGAGCAGCTTTGAAACTCTATTTCTGTGGATTCTGCAAATTGATATTTGGGTTGATTTAACGACATCGTTGGAAAAGGGAATATCTTCATACAAAATCTAGACAGAAGCATTCTCACAAACTTCTTTGTGATGTGTGTCCTCAACTAACAGAGTTGAACCTTTCTTTTGATGCAGCAGTTTGGAAACACTCTTTTTGTAGAAACTGTAAGTGGATATTTGGATAGCTCTAACGATTTCGTTGGAAACGGGAATATCTTCATCTAAAAAGCACTATTAGAAACTACTTGGTGATATCTGCATTCAAGTCACAGAGTTGAACATTCCCTTACTTTGAGCACGTTTCAAACACTCTTTTGGAAGAATCTGGAAGTGGACATTTGGAGCGCTTTGATGATGACTTTGGTGAAAAGGAAACGTCTTCCAATAATAGCCAGACAGAAGCATTCTCAGAAACTTGTTTGTGATGTGTGTACTCAACTAAAAGAGTTGAACCTTTCTATTGATAGAGCGGTTTTGAAACACTCTTTTTGTGGATTCTGCAAGTGGATATTTGGATTGCTTTGAGGATTTCGTTGGAAGCGGGAATTCGTATAAACACTAGACAGCAGCATTCCCAGAAATTTCTTTCGGATATTTCCATTCAACTCATAGAGATGAACATGGCCTTTCATAGAGCAGGTTTGAAACACTCTTTTTGTAGTTTGTGGAAGTGGACATTTCGATCGCCTTGACGCCTACGGTGAAAAAGGAAATATCTTCCCATAAAAAATAGACAGAAGCATTCTCAGAAACTTGTTGGTGATATGTGTCCTCAACTAACAGAGTTGAACTTTGCCATTGATAGAGAGCAGTTTTGAAACACTCTTTTTGTGGAATCTGCAAGTGGATATTTGGATAGCTTGGAGGATTTCGTTGGAAGCGGGAATTCAAATAAAAGGTAGACAGCCAGCATTCTCAGAAATTTCTTTCTGATGTCTGCATTCAACTCATAGGAGTTGAAGATTCCCTTTCATAGAGCAGGTTTGAAACACTCGTTCTGGAGTATCTGGATGTGGACATTTGGAGCGCTTTGATGCCTACGGTGGAAAAGTAAATATCTTCCCATAAAAACGAGACAGAGGATTCTGAGAAACAAGTTTGTGATGTGTGTACTCAGCTAACAGAGTGGAACCTCTCTTTTGATGCAGTAGTTTGGAAACACCCTTTTTGTAGAAACTGTAAGGGGATATTTGGATAGCTCTAATGATTTCGTTGGAAACGGGAATATCATCATCTAAAATCTAGAGAGAAGCACTCTCAGAAACTACTTTTTCATATCTGCATTCAAGTCACAGAGTTGAACATTCGCTTTCTTAGAGCACTTTTGAAACACTCTTTTTGTAGTATCTGGAAGTGGACATTTGGAGCTCTTTGATGCCTTTGGTGAAAAAAGAAATGTCTTCCCATAAAAACTAGACAGAAGCATTCTCAGAAACTTGTTTGTGATGTGTGTACCCAGCCAAAGGAGTTGAACATTTCTATTGATAGAGCAGTTTTGAAACGCTCTTTTTGTGGAAAATGCAGGTGGATATTTGGATAGCTTGGAGGATTTCGTTGGAAGCAGGAATTCAAATAAAAGGTAGACAGCAGGATTCTGAGAAACAAGGTTTGTGATGTGTGTACTCAGCTAACAGAGTGGAACCTTTCTTTTTACAGAGCAGCTTTGAAACTCTATTTTTGTGGATTCTGCAAATGGATATTTAGATTGCTTTAACGATATCGTTGGAAAAGGGAATATCGTCATACAAAATCTAGACAGAAGCTTTCTCAGAAACTTCTTTGTGTTGTGTGTCCTCAACTCACAGAGTTGAACCTTTCTTTTGATGCAGCAGTTTGGAAACACACTTTTTGTAGAAACTGTAAGTGGATATTTGGATAGGTCTAACGATATCGTTGGAAACGGGAATATCTTCATCTAAAGTATACACAGAAAGCACTATTAGAAACTACTTGGTGATATCTGCATTCAAGTCACAGAGTTGAACATTCCCTTACTTCGACCACGTTTGAAACACTCTTTTGGAAGAATCTGGAAGTGGACATTTGGAGCGCTTTGATGCCTTTGGTGAAAAGGAAACGTCTTCCAATAAAAGCCAGACAGAGCATTCTCAGAAACTTGTTTGTGATGTGTGTACTCAACTAAAAGAGTTGAACCTTTCTATTGATAGCGCAGTTTTGAAACACTCTTTTTGTGGATTCTGCAAGTGGATATTTGGATTGCTTTGAGGATTTCGTTGGAAGCGGGAATTCGTATAAAAACTAGACAGCAGCATTCCCAGAAATTTCTTTCGGATATTTCCATTCAACTCATAGAGATGAACATCGCCTTTTATAGAGCAGGTTTGAAACACTCTTTTTGTAGTTTGTGGAAGTGGACATTTCGATCGCCTTGACGCCTACGGTGAAAAAGGAAATATCTTCCCATAAAAAATAGACAGAAGCATTCTCAGAAACTTGTTGGTGATATGTGTCCTCAACTAACAGAGTTGAAATTTGCCATTGATAGAGAGCAGTTTTGAAACACTCTTTTTGTGGAATCTGCAAGTGGATATTTGGATAGCTTGGAGGATTTCGTTGGAAGCGGGAATTCAAATAAAAGGTAGACAGCAGCATTCTCAGAAATTTCTTTCTGATGTCTGCATTCAACTCATAGAGTTGAAGATTCCCTTTCATAGAGCAGGTTTGAAACACTCTTTCTGGAGTATCTGGATGTGGACATTTGGAGCGCTTTGATGCCTACGGTGGAAAAGTAAATATCTTCCCATAAAAACGAGACAGAAGGATTCTGAGAAACAAGTTTGTGATGTGTGTACTCAGCTAACAGAGTGGAACCTCTCTTTTGATGCAGCAGTTTGGAAACACTCTTTTTGTAGAAACTGTAAGTGGATATTTGGATAGCTCTAATGATTTCGTTGGAAACGGGAATATCATCATCTAAAATCTAGACAGAAGCCCTCTCAGAAACTACTTTGTGATATCTGCATTCAAGCCACAGAGTTGAACATTCGCTTTCTTAGAGCACGTTTGAAACACTCTTTTTGTAGTGTCTGGAAGTGGACATTTGGAGCGCTTTGATGCCTTTGGTGAAAAAGGGAATGTCTTCCCATAAAAACTAGACAGAAGCATTCTCAGAAACTTGTTTGTGATGTGTGTACCCAGCCAAAGGAGTTGAACATTTCTATTGATAGAGCAGTTTTGAAACACTCTCTTTGTGGAAAATGCAGGTGGATATTTGGATAGCTTGGAGGATTTCGTTGGAAGCGGGAATTCAAATAAAAGGTAGACAGCAGCATTCTCAGAAATTTCTTTCTGATGTCTGCATTCAACTCATAGAGTTGAAGATTCCCTTTCATAGAGCAGGTTTGAAACACTCGTTCTGGAGTATCTGGATGTGGACATTTGGAGCGCTTTGATGCCTACGGTGGAAAAGTAAATATCTTCCCATAAAAACGAGACAGAAGGATTCTCAGAAACAAGTTTGTGATGTGTGTTCTCAGCTAACAGAGTGGAACCTTTCTTTTTACAGAGCAGCTTTGAAACGCTATTTTTGTGGATTCTGCAAATTGATATTTAGATTGCTTTAACGATATCGTTGGAAAAGGGAATATCGTCATACAAAATCTAGACAGAAGCATTCTCACAAACTTCTTTGTGATGTGTGTCCTCATCTAACAGAGTTGAACCTTTCTTTTGATGCAGCAGTTTGGAAACACTCTTTTTGTAGAAACTGTAACTGGATATTTGGATAGCTCTAACGATTT
This sequence comes from Homo sapiens, assembly GCF_000001405.40. Taxonomy (NCBI): domain Eukaryota; kingdom Metazoa; phylum Chordata; class Mammalia; order Primates; family Hominidae; genus Homo; species Homo sapiens. The sequence goes on from NC_000022.11 coordinate 14,774,007, forward strand.
CGTTGGAAACGGGAATATCATCATCTAAAATCTAGACAGAAGCACTATTAGAAACTACTTGGTGATATCTGCATTCAAGTCTCAGAGTTGAACATTCCCTTACTTGAGCACGTTTGAAACACTCTTTTGGAAGAATCTGGAAGTGGACATTTGGAGCGCTTTGATGCCTTTGGTGAAAAGGAAACGTCTTCCAATAAAAGCCAGACAGAAGCATTCTCAGAAACTTGTTCGTGATGTGTGTACTCAACTAAAAGAGTTGAACCTTTCTATTGATAGAGCAGTTTTGAAACACTCTTTTTGTGGATTCTGCAAGTGGATATTTGGATTGCTTTGAAGATTTCGTTGGAAGCGGGAATTCGTATAAACACTAGACAGCAGCATTCCCAGAAATTTCTTTCGGATATTTCCATTCAACTCATAGAGATGAACATGGCCTTTCATAGAGCAGGTTTGAAACACTCTTTTTGTAGTTTGTGGAAGTGGACATTTCGATCGCCTTGACGCCTACGGTGAAAAAGGAAATATCTTCCCATAAAAAATAGACAGAAGCATTCTCAGAAACTTGTTGGCGATATGTGTCCTCAACTAACAGAGTTTAACTTTGCCATTGATAGAGAGCAGTTTTGAAACACTCTTTTTGTGGAATCTGCAAGTGGATATTTGGATAGCTTGGAGGATTTCGTTGGAAGCGGGAATTCAAATAAAAGGTAGACAGCAGCATTCTCAGAAATTTCTTTCTGATGTCTGCATTCAACTCATAGAGTTGAACATTCCCTTTCATAGAGCAGGTTTGAAATACTCTTTCTGTAGTATCTGGATGTGGACATTTGGAGCGCTTTGATGCCTACGATGAAAAAGTAAATATCTTCCCATAAAAACGAGACAGAAGGATTCTCAGAAACAAGTTGGTGATGTGTGTACTCAGCTAACAGAGTGGAACCTCTCTTTTGATGCAGCAGTTTGGAAACACTCTTTTTGTAGAAACTGTAAGTGGATATTTGGATAGCTCTAATGATTTCGTTGGAAACGGGAATATCATCATCTAAAATCTAGACAGAAGCACTCTCAGAAACTACTTTGTGATATCTGCATTCAAGTCACAGAGTTGAACATTCGGTTTCTTAGAGCACGTTTGAAACACTCTTTTTGTAGTGTCTGGAAGTGGACATTTGGAGCGCTTTGATTCCTTTGGTGAAAAAGGGAATGTCTACCCATAAAAACTAGACAGAAGCATTCTCAGAAACTTGTTTGTGATGTGTGTACCCAGCCAAAGGAGTTGAACATTTCTATTGATAGAGCAGTTTTGAAACGCTCTTTTTGTGGAAAATGCAGGTGGATATTTGGATAGCTTGGAGGATTTCGTTGGACGCGGGAATTCAAATAAAAGGTAGACAGCAGCATTCTCAGAAATTTCTTTCTGATGTCTGCATTCAACTCATAGAGTTGAAGATTCCCTTTAATGGAGCAGGTTTGAAACACTCGTTCTGCAGTATCTGGATGTGGACATTTGGAGCGCTTTGATGCCTACGGTGGAAAAGTAAATATCTTCCCATAAAAACGAGACAGAAGGATTCTCAGAAACAAGTTTGTGATGTGTGTACTCAGCTAACAGAGTGGAACCTTTCTTTTTACAGAGCAGCTTTGAAACTCTATTTTTGTGGATTCTGCAAATGGATATTTAGATTGCTTTAACGATATCGTTGGAAAAGGGAATATCGTCATACAAAATCTGGACAGAAGCATTCTCACAAACTTCTTTGTGATGTGTGTCCTCAACTAACAGAGTTGAACCTTTCTTTTGATGCAGCAGTTTGGAAACACTCTTTTGGTAGAAACTGTAAGTGGATATTTGGATAGCTCTAACGATTTCGTTGGAAACGGGAATATCATCATCTAAAATCTAGACAGAAGCACTATTAGAAACTACTTGGTGATATCTGCATTCAAGTCACAGAGTTGAACATTCCCTTACTTTGAGCACGTTTGAAACACTCTTTTGGAAGAATCTGGAAGTGGACATTTGGAGCGCTTTGATGCCTTTGGTGAAAAGGAAACGTCTTCCAATAAAAGCCAGACAGAAGCATTCTCAGAAACTTGTTTGTGATGTGTGTACTCAACTAAAAGAGTTGAACCTTTCTATTGATAGAGCAGTTTTGAAACACTCTTTTTGTGGATTCTGCAAGTGGATATTTGGATTGCTTTGAGGATTTCGTTGGAAGCGGCAATTCGTATAAAAACTAGACAGCAGCATTCCCAGAAATTTCTTTCGGATATTTCCATTCAACTCATAGAGATGAACATGGCCTTTCATAGAGCAGGTTTGAAACACTCTTTTTGTAGTTTGTGGAAGTGGACATTTCGATCGCCTTGACGCCTACGGTGAAAAAGGAAATATCTTCCCATAAAAAATAGACAGAAGCATTCTAAGAAACTTGTTGGTGATATGTGTCCTCAACTAACAGAGTTGAACTTTGCCATTGATAGAGAGCAGTTTTGAAACACTCTTTTTGTGGAATCTGCAAGTGGATATCTGGATAGCTTGGAGGATTTCGTTGGAAGCGGGAATTCAAATAAAAGGTAGACAGCAGCATTCTCAGAAATTTCTTTCTGATCTCTGCATTCAACTCATAGAGTTGAACATTCCCTTTCATAGGGCAGGTTTGAAATACTCTTTCTGTAGTATCTGGATGAGGACATTTGGAGCGCTTTGATGCCTACAGTGAAAAAGTAAATATCTTCCCATAAAAACGAGACAGAAGGATTCTGAGAAACAAGTTTGTGATGTGTGTACTCAGCTAACAGAGTGGAACCTCTCTTTTGATGCAGCAGTTTGGAAACACTCTTTTTGTAGAAACTGTAAGTGGATATTTGGATAGCTCTAATGATTTCGTTGAAAACGGGAATATCATCATCTAAAATCTAGACAGAAGCCCTCTCAGAAACTACTTTGTGATATCTGCATTCAAGTCACAGAGTTGAACATTCGGTTTCTTAGAGCACGTTTGAAACACTCTTTTTGTAGTGTCTGGAAGTGGACATTTGGAGCGCTTTGATGCCTTTGGTGAAAAAGGGAATGTCTACCCATAAAAACTAGACAGAAGCATTCTCAGAAACTTGTTTGTGATGTGTGTACCCAGCCAAAGGAGTTGAACATTTAAATTGATAGAGCAGTTGTGAAACACTCTTGTTGTGGAAAATGCAGGTGGATATTTGGATACTTGGAGGATTTCGTTGGAAGCGGGAATTCAAATAAAAGGTAGACAGCAGCATTCTCAGAAATTTCTTTCTGATGTCTGCATTCAACTCATAGAGTTGAAGATTCCCTTTCATAGAGCAGGTTTGAAACACTCGTTCTGGAGTATCTGGATGTGGACATTTGGAGCGCTTTGATGCCTACGTTGGAAAAGTAAATATCTTCCCATAAAAACGAGACAGAAGGATTCTCAGAAACAAGTTTGTGATGTGTGTACTCAGCTAACAGAGTGGAACCTTTCTTTTTACAGAGCAGCTTTGAAACTCTATTTTTGTGGATTCTGCAAATTTATATTTAGATTGCTTTAACGATATCGTTGGAAAAGGGAATATCGTCATACAAAATCTAGACAGAAGCATTCTCACAAACTTCTTTGTGACGTGTGTCCTCAACTAACAGAGTTGAACCTTTCTTTTGATGCAGCAGTTTGGAAACACTGTTTTTGTAGCAACTGTAAGTGGATATTTGGATAGCTCTAACGATTTCGTTGGAAACGGGAATATCATCATCTAAAATCTAGACAGAAGCACTATTAGAAACTACTTGGTGATATCTGCATTCAAGTCACAGAGTTGAACATTCCCTTACTTCGACCACGTTTGAAACACTCTTTTGGAAGAATCTGGAAGTGGACATTTGGAGCGCTTTGATGCCTTTGGTGAAAAGGAAACGTCTTCCAGTAAAAGCCAGACAGAAGCATTCTCAGAAACTTGTTCGTGATGTGTGTACTCAACTAAAAGAGTTGAACCTTTCTATTGATAGAGCAGTTTTGAAACACTCTTTTTGTGGATTCTGCAAGTGGATATTTGGATTGCTTTGAGGATTTCGTTGGAAGCGGGAATTCGTATAAACACTAGACAGCAGCATTCCCAGAAATTTCTTTCGGATATTTCCATTCAACTCATAGAGATGAACATGGCCTTTCATAGAGCAGGTTTGAAACACTCTTTTTGTAGTTTGTGGAAGTGGACATTTCGAACGCCTTGACGCCTACGGTGAAAAAGGAAATATCTTCCCATAAAAAATAGACAGAAGCATTCTCAGAAACTTGTTGGTGATATGTGTCCTCAACTAACAGAGTTGAACTTTGCCATTGATAGAGAGCAGTTTTGAAACACTCTTTTTGTGGAATCTGCAAGTGGATATTTGGATAGCTTGGAGGATTTCGTTGGAAGCGGGAATTCAAATAAAAGGTAGACAGCAGCATTCTCAGAAATTTCTTTCTGATGTCTGCATTCAACTCATAGAGTTGAAGATTCCCTTTCATAGAGCAGGTTTGAAACACTCTTTCTGGAGTATCTGGATGTGGACATTTGGAGCGCTTTGATGCCTACGGTGAAAAAGTAAATATCTTCCCATAAAATCGACACAGAAGGATTCTCAGAAACAAGTTTGTGATGTGTGTACTCAGCTAACAGAGTGGAACCTCTCTTTTGATGCAGCAGTTTGGAAACACTCTTTTTGTAGAAACTGTAAGTGGATATTTGGATAGCTCTGATGATTTCGTTGGAAACGGGAATATCATCATGTAAAAACTAGACAGAAGCACTCTCAGAAACTACTTTGTGATATCTGCATTCAAGTCACAGAGTTGAACATTCGCTTTCTTAGAGCACTTTTGAAACACTCTTTTTGTAGTATCTGGAAGTGGACATTTGGAGCTCTTTGATGCCTTTGGTGAAAAAGGAAATGTCTTCCCATAAAAACTAGACAGAAGCATTCTCAGAAACTTGTTTGTGATGTGTGTACCCAGCCAAAGGAGTTGAACATTTCTATTGATAGAGCACGTTTGAAACACTCTTTTTGTGGAAAATGCAGGTGGATATTTGGATAGCTTGGAGGATTTCGTTGGAAGCGGGAATTCAAATAAAAGGTAGACAGCAGGATTCTCAGAAACAAGTTTGTGATGTGTGTACTCAGCTAACAGAGTGGAACCTTTCTTTTTACAGAGCAGCTTTGAAACTCTATTTCTGTGGATTCTGCAAATTGATATTTAGATTGCTTTAACGATATCGTTGGAAAAGGGAATATCGTCATACAAAATCTAGACAGAAGCATTCTCACAAACTTCTTTGTGATGTGTGTCCTCAACTAACAGAGTTGAACCTTTCTTTTGATGCAGCAATTTGGAAACACCCTTTTGGTAGAAACTGTAACTGGATATTTGGATAGCTCTAACGATTTCGTTGGAAACGGGAATATCATCATCTAAAATGCTAGACAGAAGCACTATTAGAAACTACTTGGTGATATCTGCATTCAAGTCAAAGAGTTGAACATTCCCTTACTTTGAGCACGTTTGAAACACTCTTTTGGAAGAATCTGGAAGTGGACATTTGTAGCGCTTTGATGATGCCTTTGGTGAAAAGAAAACGTCTTCCAATAAAAGCCAGACAGAAGCATTCTCAGAAACTTGTTCGTGATGTGTGTACTCAACTAAAAGAGTTGAACCTTTCTATTGATAGAGCAGTTTTGAAACACTCTTTTTGTGGATTCTGCAAGTGGATATTTGGATTGCTTTGAGGATTTCGTTGGAAGCGGGAATTCGTATAAACACTAGACAGCAGCATTCCCAGAAATTTCTTTCGGATATTTCCATTCAACTCATAGAGATGAACTTGGCCTTTCATAGAGCAGGTTTGAAACACTCTTTTTGTAGTTTGTGGAAGTGGACATTTCGATCGCGTTGACGCCTACGGTGAAAAAGGAAATATCTTCCCATAAAAAATAGACAGAAGCATTCTCAGAAACTTGTTGGTGATATGTGTCCTCAACTAACAGAGTTGAACTTTGCCATTGATAGAGAGCAGTTTTGAAACACTCTTTTTGTGGAATCTGCAAGTGGATATTTGGATAGCTTGGAGGATTTCGTTGGAAGCGGGAATTCAAATAAAGGGTAGACAGCAGCATTCTCAGAAATTTATTTCTGATGTCTGCATTCAACTCATAGAGTTGAACATTCCCTTTCATAGAGCAGGTTTGAAATACTCTTTCTGTAGTATCTGGATGTGGACATTTGGAGCGCTTTGAGGCCTACGATGAAAAAGTAAATATCTTCCCATAAAAACGAGACAGAAGGATTCTGAGAAACAAGTTTGTGATGTGTGTACTCAGCTAACAGAGTGGAAACTCTCTTTTGATGCAGCAGTTTGGAAACACTCTTTTTGTAGAAACTGTAAGTGGATATTTGGATAGCTCTAATGATTTCGTTGGAAACGGGAATATCATCATCTAAAATCTAGACAGAAGCACTCTCAGAAACTACTGTGTGATATCTGCATTCAAGTCACAGAGTTGAACATTCGCTTTCTTAGAGCACGTTTGAAACACTCTTTTTGTAGTGTCTGGAAGTGGACATTTGGAGCGCTTTGATTCCTTTGGTGAAAAAGGGAATGTCTACCCATAAAAACTAGACAGAAGCATTCTCAGAAACTTGTTTGTGATGTGTGCACCCAGCTAAAGGAGTTGAACATTTCTATTGATAGAGCAGTTTTGAAGCACTCTTTTTGTGGAAAATGCAAGTGGATATTTGGATAGCTTGGAGGATTTCGTTGGAAGCGGGAGTTCAAATAAAAGGTAGACAGCAGCATTCTCAGAAATTTCTTTCTGATGTCTGCATTCAACTCATAGAGTTGAAGATTCCCTTTCATAGAGCAGGTTTGAAACACTCTTTCTGGAGTATCTGGATGTGGACATTTGGAGCGCTTTGATGTCTACGGTGAAAAAGTAAATATCTTCCCATAAAAACGAGACAGAAGGATTCTCAGAAACAAGTTTGTGATGTGTGTACTCAGCTAACAGAGTGGAAACTTTCTTTTTACAGAGCAGCTTTGAAACTCTATTTTTGTGGATTCTGCAAATTGATATTTGGTTTGCATTAACGATATCGTTGGAAAAGGGAATATCGTCATACAAAATCTAAACAGAAGCATTCTCACAAACTTCTTTGTGATGTGTGTCCTCAACTAACAGAGTTGAACCTTTCTTTTGATGCAGCAATTTGGAAACACCCTTTTGGTAGAAACTGTAACTGGATATTTGGATAGCTCTAGCGATTTCGTTGGAAACGGGAATATCATCATCTAAAATGTAGACAGAAGCACTATTAGAAACTACTTGGTGATATCTGCATTCAAGTCACAGAGTTGAACATTCCCTTACTTTGAGCACGCTTGAAACACTCTTTTGGAAGAATCTGGAAGTGGACATTTGGAGCGCTTTGATGCCTTTGGTGAAAAGGAAACGTCTTCCAATAAAAGCCAGACAGAAGCATTCTCAGAAACTTGTTTGTGATGTGTGTACTCAACTAAAAGAGTTGAACCTTTCTATTGATAGAGCAGTTTTGAAACACTCTTTTTGTGGATTCTGCAAGTGGATATTTGGATTGCTTTGAGGATTTCGTTGGAAGCGGGAATTCGTATAAAAACTAGACAGCAGCATTCCCAGAAATTTCTTTCGGATATTTCCATTCGACTCATAGAGATGAACATGGCCTTTCATAGAGCAGGTTTGAAACACTCTTTTTGTAGTTTGTGGAAGTGGACATTTCGATCGCCTTGACGCCTACGGTGAAAAAGGAAATAGCTTCCCATAAAAAATAGACAGAAGCATTCTCAGAAACTTGTTGGTGATATGTGTCCTCAACTAACAGAGTTGAACTTTGCCATTGATAGAGAGCAGTTTTGAAACACTCTTTTTGTGGAATCTGCAAGTGGATATTTGGATAGCTTGGAGGATTTCGTTGGAAGCGGGAATTCAAATAAAAGGTAGACAGCAGCATTCTCAGAAATTTCTTTCTGATGTCTGCATTCAACTCATAGAGTTGAAGATTCCCTTTCATAGAGCACGTTTGAAACACTCTTTCTGTAGTATCTGGATGTGGACATTTGGAGCGCTTTGATGCCTACGGTGAAAAAGTAAATATCTTCCCATAAAAACGAGACAGAAGGATTCTGAGAAACAAGTTTGTGATGTGTGTACTCAGCTAACAGAGTGGAACCTCTCTTTTGATGCAGCAGTTTGGAAACACTCTTTTTGTAGAAACTGTAAGTGGATATTTGGATAGCTCTAATGATTTCGTTGGAAACGGGAATATCATCATCTAAAATCTAGACAGAAGCCCTCTCAGAAACTACTTTGTGATATCTGCATTCAAGTCACAGAGTTGAACATTCGCTTTCTTAGAGCACGTTGGAAACACTCGTTTTGTAGTGTCTGGAAGTGGACATTTGGAGCGCTTTGATGCCTTTGGTGAAAAAGGGAACGTCTTCCCATAAAAACTAGACAGAAGCATTCTCAGAAACTTGTTTGTGATGTGTGTACCCAGCCAAAGGAGTTGAACATTTCTATTGATAGAGCAGTTTTGAAACACTCTTTTTGTGGAAAATGCAAGTGGATATTTGGATAGCTTGGAGGATTTCGTTGGAAGCGGGAATTCAAATAAAAGGTAGACAGCAGCATTCTCAGAAATTTCTTTCTGATGTCTGCATTCAACTCATAGAGTTGAAGATTCCCTTTCATAGAGCAGGTTTGAAACACTCTTTCTGGAGTATCTGGATGTGGACATTTGGAGCGCTTTGATGCCTACGGTGAAAAAGTAAATATCTTCCCATAAAAACGAGACAGAAGGATTCTCAGAAACAAGTTTGTGATGTGTGTACTCAGCTAACAGAGTGGAACCTTTCTTTTTACAGAGCAGCTTTGAAACTCTATTTTTGTGGATTCTGCAAATGGATATTTAGATTGCTTTAACGATATCGTTGGAAAAGGGAATATCGTCATACAAAATCTGGACATAAGCATTCTCACAAACTTCTTTGTGACGTGTGTCCTCAACTAACAGAGTTGAACCTTTCTTTTGATGCAGCAATTTGGAAACACCCTTTTGGTAGAAACTGTAACTGGATATTTGGATAGCTCTAGCGATTTCGTTGGAAACGGGAATATCATCATCTATAATCTAGACAGAAGCACTATTAGAAACTACTTGGTGATATCTGCATTCAAGTCACAGAGTTGAACATTCCCTTACTTCGAGCACGTTTGAAACACTCTTTTGGAAGAATCTGGAAGTGGACATTTGGAGCGCTTTGATGCCTTTGGTGAAAAGGAAACGTCTTCCAATAAAAGCCAGACAGAAGCATTCTCAGAAACTTGTTTGTGATGCGTGTACTCAACTAAAAGAGTTGAACCTTTCTATTGATAGAGCAGTTTTGAAACACTCTTTTTGTGGATTCTGCAAGTGGATATTTGGATTGCTTTGAGGATTTCGTTGGAAGCGGGAATTCGTATAAAAACTAGACAGCAGCATTCCCAGAAATTTCTTTCGGATATTTCCATTCAACTCATAGAGATGAACATGGCCTTTCATAGAGCAGGTTTGAAACACTCTTTTTGTAGTTTGTGGAAGTGGACATTTCGATCGCCTTGACGCCTACGGTGAAAAAGGAAATATCTTCCCATAAAAAATAGAAGCATTCTCAGAAACTTGTTGGTGATATGTGTCCTCAACTAACAGAGTTGAACTTTGCCATTGATAGAGAGCAGTTTTGAAACACTCTTTTTGTGGAATCTGCAAGTGGATATTTGGATAGCTTGGAGGATTTCGTTGGAAGCGGGAATTCAAATAAAAGGTAGACAGCAGCATTCTCAGAAATTTCTTTCTGATGTCTGCATTCAACTCATAGAGTTGAACATTCTCTTTCATAGAGCAGGTTTGAAACACTCTTTCTGGAGTATCTGGATGTGGACATTTGGAGCGCTTTGATGCCTACGGTGAAAAAGTAAATATCTTCCCATAAAAACGAGACAGAAGGATTCTGAGAAACAAGTTTGTGATGTGTGTACTCAGCTAACAGAGTGGAACCTCTCTTTTGATGCAGCAGTTTGGAAACACTCTTTTTGTAGAAACTGTAAGTGGATATTTGGATAGCTCTAATGATTTCGTTGGAAACGGGAATATCATCATCTAAAATCTAGACAGAAGCACTCTCAGAAACTACTTTGTGATATCTGCATTCAAGTCACAGAGTTGAACATTCGCTTTCTTAGAGCACGTTTGAAACACTCTTTTTGTAGTGTCTGGAAGTGGACATTTGGAGCGCTTTGAATTGCCTTTGGTGAAAAAGGGAATGTCTTCCCATAAAAACTAGACAGAAGCATTCTCAGAAACTTGTTTGTGATGTGTGTACCCAGCCAAAGGAGTTGAACATTTCTATTGATAGAGCAGGTTTGAAACACTCTTTTTGTGGAAAATGCAGGTGGATATTTGGATAGCTTGGAGGATTTCGTTGGAAGCGGGAATTCAAATAAAAGGTAGACAGCAAGCATTCTCAGAAATTTCTTTCTGATGTCTGCATTCAACTCATAGAGTTGAAGATTCCCTTTCATAGAGCAGGTTTGAAACACTCGTTCTGGAGTATCTGGATGTGGACATTTGGAGCGCTTTGATGCCTACGGTGGAAAAGTAAATATCTTCCCATAAAAACGAGACAGAAGGATTCTCAGAAACAAGTTTGTGATGTGTGTACTCAGCTAACAGAGTGGAACCTTTCTTTTTACAGAGCAGCTTTGAAACTCTATTTTTGTGGATTCTGCAAATTGATATTTAGATTGCTTTAACGATATCGTTGGAAAAGAGAATATCGTCATACAAAATCTAGACAGAAGCATTCTCACAAACTTCTTTGTGATGTGTGTCCTCAACTAACAGAGTTGAACCTTTCTTTTGATGCAGCAATTTGGAAACACCCTTTTGGTAGAAACTGTAACTGGATATTTGGATAGCTCTAACGATTTCTTTGGAAACGGGAATATCATCATCTAAAATCTAGACAGAAGCACTATTAGAAACTACTTGGTGATATCTGCATTCAAGTCACAGAGTTGAACATTCCCTTACTTCGACCACGTTTGAAACACTCTTTTGGAAGAATCTGGAAGTGGACATTTGGAGCACTTTGATGCCTTTGGTGAAAAGGAAACGTCTTCCAATAAAAGCCAGACAGAAAGCATTCTCAGAAACTTGTTCGTGATGTGTGTACTCAACTAAAAGAGTTGAACCTTTCTATTGATAGAGCAGTTTTGAAACACTCTTTTTGTGGATTCTGCAAGTGGATATTTGGATTGCTTTGAGGATTTCGTTGGAAGCGGGAATTCGTATAAACACTAGACAGAGCATTCCCAGAAATTTCTTTCGGATATTTCCATTCAACTCATAGAGATGAACATGGCCTTTCATAGAGCAGGTTTGAAACACACTTTTTGTAGTTTGTGGAAGTGGACATTTCGATCGCCTTGACGCCTACGGTGAAAAAGGAAATATCTTCCCATAAAAAATAGACAGAAGCATTCTCAGAAACTTGTTTGTGATGTGTGTACTCAACTAAAAGAGTTGAACCTTTCTATTGATAGAGCAGTTTTGAAACGCTCTTTTTGTGGAATCTGCAAGTGGATATTTGGATAGCTTGGAGGATTTCGTTGGAAGCGGGAATTCAAATAAAAGGTAGACAGCAGCATTCTCAGAAATTACTTTCTGATGTCTGCATTCAACTCATAGAGTTGAAGATTCCCTTTCATAGAGCAGGTTTGAAACACTCTTTCTGTAGTATCTGGATGTGGACATTTGGAGCGCTTTGATACCTACGGTGAAAAAGTAAGTATCTTCCCATAAAAACTAGACAGAAGGATTCTGAGAAACAAGTTTGTGATGTGTGTACTCAGCTAACAGAGTGGAACCTCTCTTTTGATGCAGCAGTTTGGAAACACTCTTTTTGTAGAAACTGTAAGTGGATATTTGGATAGCTCTAATGATTTCGTTGGAAACGGGAATATCATCATCTAAAATCTAGACAGAAGCACTCTCAGAAACTACTCTGTGATATCTGCATTCAAGTCACAGAGTTGAACATTCGCTTTCATAGAGCACGTTTGAAACACTCTTTTTGTAGTGTCTGGAAGTGGACATTTGGAGCGCTTTGATGGCTTTGGTGAAAAAGGGAATGTCTTCCCATAAAAACTAGGCAGAAGCATTCTCAGAAACTTGTTTGTGATGTGTGTACCCAGCCAAAGGAGTTGAACATTTCTATTGATAGAGCAGTTTTGAAACACTCTTGTTGTGGAAAATGCAAGTGGATATTTGGATAGCTTGGAGGATTTCGTTGGAAGCGGGAATTCAAATAAAAGGTAGACAGCAGGATTCTCAGAAACAAGTTTGTGATGTGTGTACTCAGCTAACAGAGTGGATCCTACCTTTTTACAGAGCAGCTTTGAAACTCTATTTCTGTGGATTCTGCAAATTGATATTTGGGTTGATTTAATGATATCGATGGAAAAGGGAATATCTTCATACAAAATCTAGACAGAAGCATTCTCACAAACTTCTTTGTGATGTGTGTCCTCAACTAACAGAGTTGAACCTTTCTTTTGATGCAGCAGTTTGAAAACACTCTTTTTGTAGAAACTGTAACTGGATATTTGGATAGCTCTAACGATTTCGTTGGAAACGGGAATATCATCATCTAAAATCTAGACAGAAGCACTATTAGAAACTACTTGGTGATATCTGCATTCAAGTCACAGAGTTGAACATTCCCTTACTTTGAGCACGTTTGAAACACTCTTTTGGAAGAATCTGGAAGTGGACATTTGGAGCGCTTTGATGCCTTTGGTGAAAAGGAAACGTCTTCCAATAAAAGCCAGACAGAAGCATTCTCAGAAACTTGTTGGTGATGTGTGTACTCAACTAAAAGAGTTGAACCTTTCTATTGATAGAGCAGTTTTGAAACACTCTTTTTGTGGATTCTGCAAGTGGATATTTGGATTGCTTTGAGGATTTCATTGGAAGCGGGAATTCATATAAAAACTAGACAGCAGCATTCCCAGAAATTTCTTTCGGATATTTCCATTCAACTCATAGAGATGAACATGGCCTTTCATAGAGCAGGTTTGAAACACTCTTTTTGTAGTTTGTGGAAGTGGACATTTCGATCGCCTTGACGCCTACGCTGAAAAAGGAAATATCTTCCCATAAAAAATAGACAGAAGCATTCTCAGAAACTTGTTGGTGATATGTGTCCTCAACTAACAGAGTTGAACTTTGCCATTGATAGAGAGCAGTTTTGAAACACTCTTTTTGTGGAATCTGCAAGTGGATATTTGGATAGCTTGGAGGATTTCGTTGGAAGCGGGAATTCAAATAAAAGTAGACAGCAGCATTCTCAGAAATTTCTTTCTGATGTCTGCATTCAACTCATAGAGTTGAAGATCCCCTTTCATAGAGCAGGTTTGAAACACTCTTTCTGGAGTATCTGGATGTGGACATTTGGAGCGCTTTGATGCCTACGGTGAAAAAGTAAATATCTTCCCATAAAAACGAGACAGAAGGATTCTGAGAAACAAGTTTGTGATGTGTGTACTCAGCTAACAGAGTGGAACCTCTCTTTTGATGCAGCAGTTTGGAAACACTCTTTTTGTAGAAACTGTAAGTGGATATTTGGATAGCTCTAATGATTTCGTTGGAAACGGGAATATCATCATCTAAAATCTAGACAGAAGCACTCTCAGAAACTACTTTGTGATATCTGCATTCAAGTCACAGAGTTGAACATTCGCTTTCTTAGAGCACGTTTGAAACACTCTTTTTGTAGTGTCTGGAAGTGGACATTTGGAGCGCTTTGATGTCTTTGGTGAAAAAGGGAATGTCTTCCCATAAAAACTAGACAGAAAGCATTCTCAGAAACTTGTTTGTGATGTGTGTACCCAGCCAAAGGAGTTGAACATTTCTATTGATAGAGCAGTTTTGAAACGCTCTTTTTGTGGAAAATGCAGGTGGATATTTGGATAGCTTGGAGGATTTCGTTGGAAGCGGGAATTCAAATAAAAGGTAGACAGAGCATTCTCAGAAATTTCTTTCTGATGTCTGCATTCAACTCATAGAGTTGAAGATTCCCTTTCATAGAGCAGGTTTGAAACACTCTTTCTGGAGTATCTGGATGTGGACATTTGGAGCGCTTTGATGCCTACGGTGAAAAAGTAAATATCTTCCCATAAAAACGAGACAGAAGGATTCTCAGAAACAAGTTTGTGATGTGTGTACTCAGCTAACAGAGTGGAACCTTTCTTTTTACAGAGCAGCTTTGAAACTCTATTTTTGTGGATTCTGCAAATTGATATTTAGATTGCTTTAACGATAATCGTTGGAAAAGGGAATATCGTCATACAAAATCTAGACAGAAGCATTCTCACAAACTTCTTTGTGATGTGTGTCCTCAACTAACAGAGTTGAACCTTTCTTTTGATGCAGCAATTTGGAAACACCCTTTTGGTAGAAACTGTAACTGGATATTTGGATAGATCTAACGATTTCGTTGGAAACGGGAATATCATCATCTAAAATGTAGACAGAAGCACTATTAGAAACTACTTGGTGATATCTGCATTCAAGTCAAAGAGTTGAGCATTCCCTTACTTTGAGCACGTTTGAAACACTCTTTTGGAAGAATCTGGAAGTGGACATTTGGAGCGCTTTGATGCCTTTGGTGAAAAGGAAACGTCTTCCAATAAAAGCCAGACAGAAGCATTCTCAGAAACTTGTTTGTGATGTGTGTACTCAACTAAAAGAGTTGAACCTTTCTATTGATAGAGCAGTTTTGAAACACTCTTTTTGTGGATTCTGCAAGTGGATATTTGGATTGCTTTGAGGATTTCGTTGGAAGCGGGAATTCGTATAAAAACTAGACAGCAGCATTCCCAGAAATTTCTTTCGGATATTTCCATTCAACTCATAGAGATGAACATCGCCTTTCATAGAGCAGGTTTGAAACACTCTTTTTGTAGTTTGTGGAAGTGGACATTTCGATCGCCTTGACGCCTACGGTGAAAAAGAAAATATCTTCCCATAAAAAATAGACAGAAGCATTCTCAGAAACTTGTTGGTGATATGTGTCCTCAACTAACAGAGTTGAACTTTGCCATTGATAGAGAGCAGTTTTGAAACACTCTTTTTGTGGAATCTGCAAGTGGATATTTGGATAGCTTGGAGGATTTCGTTGGAAGCGGGAATTCAAATAAAAGGTAGACAGCAGCATTCTCAGAAATTTCTTTCTGATGTCTGCATTCAACTCATAGAGTTGAACATTCCCTTTCATAGGGCAGGTTTGAAATACTCTTTCTGTAGTATCTGGATGTGGACATTTGGAGCGCTTTGATGCCTACGGTGAAAACGTAAATATCTTCCCATAAAAACGAGACAGAAGGATTCTGAGAAACAAGTTTGTGATGTGTGTACTCAGCTAACAGAGTGGAACCTCTCTTTTGATGCAGCAGTTTGGAAACACTCTTTTTGTAGAAACTGTAAGTGGATATTTGGATAGCTTTAATGATTTCGTTGGAAACGGGAATATCATCATCTAAAATCTAGACAGAAGCCCTCTCAGAAACTACTTTGTGATATCTGCATTCAAGTCACAGAGTTGAACATTCGCTTTCTTAGAGCACGTTTGAAACACTCTTTTTGTAGTGTCTGGAAGTGGACATTTGGAGCGCTTTGATTCCTTTTGTGAAAAAGGGAATGTCTACCCATAAAAACTAGACAGAAGCATTCTCAGAAACTTGTTTGTGATGTGTGTACCCAGCCAAAGGAGTTGAACGTTTCTATTGATAGAGCAGTTTTGAAACACTCTTGTTGTGGAAAATGCAAGTGGATATTTGGATAGCTTGGAGGATTTCGTTGGATGCGGGAATTCAAATAAAAGGTAGACAGCAGCATTCTCAGAAATTTCTTTCTGATGTCTGCATTCAACTCATAGAGTTGAAGATTCCCTTTCATAGAGCAGGTTTGAAACACTCGTTCTGGAGTATCTGGATGTGGACATTTGGAGCGCTTTGATGCCTACGGTGGAAAAGTAAATATCTTCCCATAAAAACGAGACAGAAGGATTCTGAGCAAACAAGTTTGTGATGTGTGTACTCAGCTAACAGAGTGGAACCTTTCTTTTTACAGAGCAGCTTTGAAACTCTATTTTTGTGGATTCTGCAAATGGATATTTAGATTGCTTTAACGATATCGTTGGAAAAGGGAATATCGTCATACAAAATCTAGACAGAAGCATTCTCACAAACTTCTTTGTGATGTGTGTCCTCAACTAACAGAGTTGAACCTTTCTTTTGATGCAGCAGTTTGGAAACACTGTTTTTGTAGCAACTGTAAGTGGATATTTGGATAGCTCTAACGATTTCGTTGGAAACGGGAATATCATCATCTAAAATCTAGACAGAAGCACTATTAGAAACTACTTGGTGATATCTGCATTCAAGTCACAGAGTTGAACATTCCCTTACTTTGAGCACGTTTGAAACACTCTTTTGGAAGAATCTGGAAGTGGACATTTGGAGCGCTTTGATGCCTTTGGTGGAAAGGAAACGTCTTCCAATAAAAGCCAGACAGAAGCATTCTCAGAAACTTGTTCGTGATGTGTGTACTCAACTAAAAGAGTTGAACCTTTCTATTGATAGAGCAGTTTTGAAACACTCTTTTTGTGGATTCTGCAAGTGGATATTTGGATTGCTTTGAGGATTTCGTTGGAAGCGGGAATTCGTATAAACACTAGACAGCAGCATTCCCAGAAATTTCTTTCGGATATTTCCATTCAACTCATAGAGATGAACATGGCCTTTCATACTGAAACACTCTTTTTGTAGTTTGTGGAAGTGGACATTTCGATCGCCTTGACGCCTACGGTGAAAAAGGAAATATCTTCCCATAAAAAATAGACAGAAGCATTCTCAGAAACTTGTTGGTGATATGTGCCCTCAACTAACAGAGTTGAACTTTGCCATTGATAGAGAGCAGTTTTGAAACACTCTTTTTTTGGAATCTGCAAGTGGATATTTGGATAGCTTGGAGGATTTCGTTGGAAGCGGGAATTCAAATAAAAGGTAGACAGCAGCATTCTCAGGAAATTTCTTTCTGATCTCTGCATTCAACTCATAGAGTTGAACATTCCCTTTCATAGGGCAGGTTTGAAATACTCTTTCTGGAGTATCTGGATGTGGACATTTGGAGCGCTTTGATGCCTACGGTGAAAAAGTAAATATCTTCCCATAAAAACGAGACAGAAGGATTCTCAGAAACAAGTTTGTGATGTGTGTACTCAGCTAACAGAGTGGAACCTGTCTTTTGATGCAGCAGTTTGGAAACACTTTTTTTGTAGAAACTGTAAGTGGATATTTGGATAGCTCTAATGATTTCGTTGGAAACGGGAATATCATCATCTAAAATCTAGAGAGAAGCCCTCTCAAAAACTACTTTGTGATATCTGCATTCAAGTCACAGAGTTGAACATTCGCTTTCTTAGAGCACGTTTGAAACACTCTTTTTGTAGTGTCTGGAAGTGGAAATTTGGAGCGCTTTGATGCCTTTGGTGAAAAAGGGAATATCTTCCAATAAAAACTAGACAGAAGCATTCTCAGAAACTTGTTTGTGATGTGTGCACCCAGCTAAAGGAGTTGAACATTTATTGATAGAGCAGTTTTGAAGCACTCTTTTTGTGGAAAATGCAAGTGGATATTTGGATAGCTTGGAGGATTTCGTTGGAAGCAGGAGTTCAAATAAAAGGTAGACAGCAGCATTCTCAGAAATTTCTTTCTGATGTCTGCATTCAACTCATAGAGTTGAAGATTCCCTTTCATAGAGCAGGTTTGAAACACTCTTTCTGGAGTATCTGGATGTGGACATTTGGAGCGCTTTGATGCCTACGGTGAAAAAGTAAATATCTTCCCATAAAAACGAGACAGAAGGATTCTGAGAGACAAGTTTGTGATGTGTGTACTCAGCTAACAGAGTGGAACCTTTCTTTTTACAGAGCAGCTTTGAAACTCTATTTTTGTGGATTCTGCAAATGGATATTTAGATTGCTTTAACGATATCGTTGGAAAAGGGAATATCGTCATACAAAATCTGGACAGAAGCATTCTCACAAACTTCTTTGTGACGTGTGTCCTCAACTAACAGAGTTGAACCTTTCTTTTGATGCAGCAGTTTGGAAACACTCTTTTTGTAGAAACTGTAAGTGGATATTTGGATAGCTCTAACGATTTCGTTGGAAACGGGAATATCATCATCTAAAATCTAGACAGAAGCACTATTAGAAACTACTTGGTGATATCTGCATTCAAGTCACAGAGTTGAACATTCCCTTACTTTGAGCACGTTTCAAACACTCTTTTGGAAGAATCTGGAAGTGGACATTTGGAGCGCTTTGATGCCTTTGGTGAAAAGGAAACGTCTTCCAATAAAAGCCAGACAGAAGCAATCTCAGAATCTTCTTTGGGATATATGCACGCAGCTAACAGAGTTGAACCTTTCTATTGACAGAGCAGTTTTGAAACACTCTTTTTGTGGATTCTGCAAGTGGATATTTGGATTGCTTTGAGGATTTCGTTGGAAGCGGGAATTCGTATAACAACTAGACAGCAGCATTCCCAGAAATTTCTTTTGGATATTTCCATTCAACTCATAGAGATGAACATGGCCTTTCATATTGAAACACTCTTTTTGTAGTTTGTGGAAGTGGACATTTCAATCGCCTTGACGCCTACGGTGAAAAAGGAAATATCTTCCCATAAAAAATAGACAGAAGCATTCTCAGAAACTTGTTGGTGATATGTGTCCTCAACTAACAGAGTTGAACTTTGCCATTGATAGAGAGCAGTTTTGAAACACTCTTTTTGTGGAATCTGCAAGTGGATATTTGGATAGCTTGGAGGATTTCGTTGGAAGCGGGAATTCAAATTAAAGGTAGACAGCAGGATTCTGAGAAACAAGTTTGTGATGTGTGTACTCAGCTAACAGAGGGGAACCTCTCTTTTGATGCAGCAGTTTGGAAACACTCTTTTTGTAGAAACTGTAAGTGGATATTTGGATAGCTCTAATGATTTCGTTGGAAACGGGAATATCATCATCTAAAATCTAGACAGAAGCCCTCTCAGAAACTACTTTGTGATATCTGCATTCAAGTCACAGAGTTGAACATTCGGTTTCTTAGAGCACGTTTGAAACACTCTTTTTGTAGTGTCTGGAAGTGGACATTTGGAGCGCTTTGATGCCTTTGGTGAAAAAGGGAATGTCTTCCCATAAAAACTAGACAGAAGCATTCTCAGAAACTTGTTTGTGATGTGTGTACCCAGCCAAAGGAGTTGAACATTTCTATTGATAGAGCAGTTTTGAAACACTCTTGTTGTGGAAAATGCACGTGGATATTTGGATAGCTTGGAGGATTTCGTTGGAAGCGGGAATTCAAATAAAAGGTAGACAGCAGCATTCTCAGAAATTTCTTTCTGATGTCTGCATTCAACTCATAGAGTTGAAGATTCCCTTTCATAGAGCAGGTTTGAAACACTCTTTCTGGAGTATCTGGATGTGGACATTTGGAGCGCTTTGATGCCTACGGTGAAAAAGTAAATATCTTCCCATAAAAACGAGACAGAAGGATTCTCAGAAACAAGTTTGTGATGTGTGTACTCAGCTAACAGAGTGGAACCTTTCTTTTTACAGAGCAGCTTTGAAACTCTATTTTTGTGGATTCTGCAAATTGATATTTAGATTGCTTTAACGATATCGTTGGAAAAGGGAATATCGTCATAGAAAATCTAGACAGAAGCATTCTCACAAACTTCTTTGTGATGTGTGTCCTCAACTAACAGAGTTGAACCTTTCTTTTGATGCAGCAATTTGGAAACACCCTTTTGGTAGAAACTGTAACTGGATATTTGGATAGCTCTAGCGACTTCGTTGGAAACGGGAATATCATCATCTAAAATCTAGACAGAAGCACTATTAGAAACTACTTGGTGATATCTGCATTCAAGTCACAGAGTAGAACATTCCCTTACTTCGAGCACGTTTGAAACACTCTTTTGGAAGAATCTGGAAGTGGACATTTGGAGCGCTTTGATGCCTTTGGTGAAAAGGAAACGTCTTCCAATAAAAGCCAGACAGAAGCATTCTCAGCAAACTTGTTGGTGATGTGTGTACTCAACTAAAAGAGTTGAACCTTTCTATTGATAGAGCAGTTTTGAAACACTCTTTTTGTGGATTCTGCAAGTGGATATTTGGATTGCTTAGAGGATTTCGTTGGAAGCGGGAATTCGTATAAACACTAGACAGCAGCATTCCCAGAAATTTCTTTCGGATATTTCCATTCAACTCATAGAGATGAACATGGCCTTTCATAGAGCAGGTTTGAAACACTCTTTTTGTAGTTTGTGGAAGTGGACATTTCGATCGCCTTGACGCCTACGGTGAAAAAGGAAATATCTTCCCATAAACAATAGACAGAAGCATTCTCAGAAACTTGTTTGTGATGTGTGTACCCAGCCAAAGGAGTTGAACATTTCTATTGATAGAGCAGTTTTGAAACACTCTTGTTGTGGAAAATGCAGGTGGATATTTGGATAGCTTGGAGGATTTCGTTGGAAGCGGGAATTCTAATAAAAGGTAGACAGCAGCATTCTCAGAAATTACTTTCTGATGTGTGCATTCAACCCATAGAGTTGAAGAATCCCTTTCATAGAGCAGGTTTGAAACACTCTTTCTGTAGTATCTGGATGAGGACATTTGGAGCGCTTTGATACCTACGGTGAAAAAGTAAATATCTTCCCATAAAAACTAGACAGAAGGATTCTGAGAAACAAGTTTGTGATGTGTGTACTCAGCTAACAGAGTGGAACCTCTCTTTTGATGCAGCAGTTTGGAAACACTCTTTTTGTAGAAACTGTAAGTGGATATTTGGATAGCTCTAATGATTTCGTTGGAAACGGGAATATCATCATCTAAAATCTAGACAGAAAGCACTCTCAGAAACTACTGTGTGATATCTGCATTCAAGTCACAGAGTTGAACATTCGCTTTCTTAGAGCACGTTTGAAACACTCTTTTTGTAGTGTCTGGAAGTGGACATTTGGAGCGCTTTGATTCCTTTGGTGAAAAAGGGAATGTCTACCCATAAAAACTAGACAGAAGCATTCTCAGAAACTTGTTTGTGATGTGTGTACCCAGCCAAAGGAGTTGAACATTTCTATTGATAGAGCAGTTTTGAAACACTCTTTTTGTGGAAAATGCAGGTGGATATTTGGATAGCTTGGAGGATTTCGTTGGAAGCGGGAATTCAAATAAAAGGTAGACAGCAGCATTCTCAGAAATTTCTTTCTGATGTCTGCATTCAACTCATAGAGTTGAAGATTCCCTTTCATAGAGCAGGTTTGAAACACCCTTTCTGGAGTATCTGGATGTGGACATTTGGAGCGCTTTGATGCCTGCGGTGAAAAAGTAAATATCTTCCCATAAAAACGAGACAGAAGGATTCTCAGAAACAAGTTTGTGATGTGTGTACTCAGCTAAAAGAGTGGAACCTTTCTTTTTACAGAGCAGCTTTGAAAGTCTATTTTTGTGGATTCTGCAAATTGATATTTAGATTGCTTTAACGATATCGTTGGAAAAGGGAATATCGTCATACAAAATCTAGACAGAAGCATTCTCACAAACTTCTTTGTGATGTGTGTCCTCAACTAACAGAGTTGAACCTTTCTTTTGATGCAGCAATTTGGAAACACCCTTTTGGTAGAAACTGTAACTGGATATTTGGATAGCTCTAACGATTTCGTTGTAAACGGGAATATCATCATCTAAAATCTAGACAGAAGCACTATTAGAAACTACTTGGTGATATCTGCATTCAAGTCACAGAGTTGAACATTCCCTTACTTCGAGCACGTTTGAAACACTCTTTTGGAAGAATCTGGAAGTGGACATTTGGAGCGCTTTGATGCCTTTGTTGAAAAGGAAACGTCTTCCAATAAAAGCCAGACAGAAGCATTCTCAGAAACTTGTTCGTGATGTGTGTACTCAACTAAAAGAGTTGAACCTTTCTATTGATAGAGCAGTTTTGAAACACTCTTTTTGTGGATTCTGCAAGTGGATATTTGGATTGCTTTGAGGATTTCGTTGGAAGCGGGAATTCGTATAAACACTAGACAGCAGCATTCCCAGAAATTTCTTTCGGATATTTCCATTCAACTCATAGAGATGAACATGGCCTTTCATAGAGCAGGTTTGAAACACTCTTTATGTAGTTTGTGGAAGTGGACATTTCGATCGCCTTGACGCCTACGGTGAAAAAGGAAATATCTTCCCATAAAAAATAGACAGAAGCATTCTCAGAAACTTGTTGGTGATATGTGTCCTCAACTAACAGAGTTGAACTTTGCCATTGATAGAGAGCAGTTTTGAAACACTCTTTTTCCTGAATCTGCAAGTGGATATTTGGATAGTTGGGAGGATTTCGTTGGAAGCGGGAATTCAAATAAAAGGTAGACAGCAGCATTCTCAGAAATTTCTTTCTGATGTCTGCATTCAACTCATAGAGTTGAACATTCCCTTTCATAGGGCAGGTTTGAAATACTCTTTCTGTAGTATCTGGATGTGGACATTTGGAGCGCTTTGATGCCTACGGTGAAAAAGTAAATATCTTCCCATAAAAACGAGACAGAAGGATTCTGAGAAACAAGTTTGTGATGTGTGTACTCAGCTAACAGAGTGGAACCTCTCTTTTGATGCAGCAGTTTGGAAACACTCTTTTTGTAGAAACTGTAAGTGGATATTTGGATAGCTCTAATGATTTCGTTGGAAACGGGAATATCATCATCTAAAATCTAGACAGAAGCCCTCTCAGAAACTACTTTGTGATATCTGCATTCAAGTCACAGAGTTGAACATTCGCTTTCTTAGAGCACGTTGGAAACACTCTTTTTGTAGTGTCTGGAAGTGGACATTTGGAGCGCTTTGATGCCTTTGGTGAAAAAGGGAACGTCTTCCCATAAAAACTAGACAGAAGCATTCTCAGAAACTTGTTTGTGATGTGTGTACCCAGCTAAAGGAGTTGAACATTTCTATTGATACAGCAGTTTTGAAACACTCTTTTTGTGGAAAATGCAAGTGGATATTTGGATAGCTTGGAGGATTTCGTTGGAAGAGGGAATTCAAATAAAAGGTAGACAGCAGCATTCTCAGAAATTTCTTTCTGATGTCTGCATTCAAATCATAGAGTTGAAGATTCCCTTTCATAGAGCAGGTTTGAAACACTCTTTCTGGAGTATCTGGATGTGGACATTTGGAGCGCTTTGATGCCTACGGTGGAAAAGTAAATATCTTCCCATAAAAACGAGACAGAAGGATTCTCAGAAACAAGTTTGTGATGTGTGTACTCAGCTAACAGAGTGGAACCTTTCTTTTTACAGAGCAGCTTTGAAACTCTATTTTTGTGGATTCTGCAAATTGGTATTTAGATTGCTTTAACGATATCGTTGGAAAAGGGAATATCGTCATGCAAAATCTAGACAGAAGCATTCTCACAAACTTCTTTGTGATGTGTGCCCTCAACTAACAGAGTTGAACCTTTCTTTTGATGCAGCAATTTGGAAACACCCTTTTGGTAGAAACTGTAACTGGATATTTGGATAGCTCTAACGATTTCGTTGGAAACGGGAATATCATCATCTAAAATGTAGACAGAAGCACTATTAGAAACTACTTGGTGATATCTGCATTCAAGTCACAGAGTTGAACATTCCCTTACTTCGAGCACGTTTGAAACACTCTTTTGGAAGAATCTGGAAGTGGACATTTGGAGCGCTTTGATGCCTTTGGTGAAAAGGAAACGTCTTCCAATAAAAGCCAGACAGAAGCATTCTCAGAAACTTGTTTGTGATGTGTGTACTCAACTAAAAGAGTTGAACCTTTCTATTGATAGAGCAGTTTTGAAACACTCTTTTTGTGGATTCTGCAAGTGGATATTTGGATTGCTTTGAGGATTTCGTTGGAAGCGGGAATTCGTATAAAAACTAGACAGCAGCATTCCCAGAAATTTCTTTCGGATATTTCCATTCGACTCATAGAGATGAACATGGCCTTTCATAGAGCAGGTTTGAAACACTCTTTTTGTAGTTTGTGGAAGTGGACATTTCGATCGCCTTGACGCCTACGGTGAAAAAGGAAATATCTTCCCATAAAAAATAGACAGAAGCATTCTCAGAAACTAGTTTGTGATGTGTGTACCCAGCCAAAGGAGTTGAACATTTCTATTGATAGAGCAGTTTTGAAACACTCTTGTTGTGGAAAATGCAGGTGGATATTTGGATAGCTTGGAGGATTTCGTTGGAAGCGGGAATTCAAATAAAAGGTAGACAGCAGCATTCTCAGAAATTTCTTTCTGATGTCTGCATTCAACTCATAGAGTTGAAGATTCCCTTTCATAGAGCAGGTTTGAAACACTCTTTCTGGAGTATCTGGATGTGGACATTTGGAGCGCTTTGATGCCTACGGTGAAAAAGTAAATATCTTCCCATAAAAACGAGACATAAGGATTCTGAGAAACAAGTTTGTGATGTGTGTACTCAGCTAACAGAGTGGAACCTCTCTTTTGATGCAGCAGTTTGGAAACACTCTTTTTGTAGAAACTGTAAGTGGATATTTGGATAGCTCTAATGATTTCGTTGGAAACGGGAATATCATCATCTAAAATCTAGACAGAAGCCCTCTCAGAAACTACTTTGTGATATCTGCATTCAAGTCACAGAGTTGAACATTCGCTTTCTTAGAGCACGTTTGAAACACTCTTTTTCTAGTGTCTGGAAGTGGACATTTGGAGCGCTTTGATGCCTTTGGTGAAAAAGGGAATGTCTTCCCATAAAAACTAGACAGAAGCATTCTCAGAAACTTGTTTGTGATGTGTGTACCCAGCTAAAGGAGTTGAACATTTCTATTGATAGAGCAGTTTTGAAACACTCTTTTTGTGGAAAATGCAAGTGGATATTTGGATAGCTTGGAGGATTTCGTTGGAAGCGGGAATTCAAATAAAAGGTAGACAGCAGGATTCTCAGAAACAAGTTTGTGATGTGTGTACTCAGCTAACAGAGTGGAACCTTTCTTTTTACAGAGCAGCTTTGAAACTCTAGTTTTGTGGATTCTGCTAATTGATATTTAGATTGCTTTAACGATATCGTTGGAAAAGGGAATATCCTCATACAAAATCTAGACAGAAGCATTCTCACAAACTTCTTTGTGATGTGTGTCCTCAACTAACAGAGTTGAACCTTTCTTTTGATGCAGCAATTTGGAAACACCCTTTTGGTAGAAACTGTAACTGGATATTTGGATAGCTCTAACGATTTCGTTGGAAACGGGAATATCATCATCTAAAATGTAGACAGAAGCAGTATTAGAAACTACTTGGTGATATCTGCATTCAAGTCACAGAGTTGAACATTCCCTTACTTTGAGCACGTTTGAAACACTCTTTTGGAAGAATCTGGAAGTGGACATTTGGAGCGCTTTGATGCCTTTGGTGAAAAGGAAACGTCTTCCAATAAAAGCCAGACAGAAGCATTCTGAGAAACTTGTTCGTGATGTGTGTACTCAACAAAAAGAGTTGAACCTTTCTATTGATAGAGCAGTTTTGAAACACTCTTTTTGTGGATTCTGCAAGTGGATATTTGGATTGCTTTGAGGATTTCGTTGGAAGCGGGAATTCGTATAAACACTAGACAGCAGCATTCCCAGAAATTTCTTTCGGATATTTCCATTCAACTCATAGAGATGAACATGGCCTTTCATAGAGCAGGTTTGAAACACTCTTTTTGTAGTTTGTGGAAGTGGACATTTCGATCGCCTTGACGCCTACGGTGAAAAAGGAAATATCTTCCCATAAAAAATAGACAGAAGCATTCTCAGAAACTTGTTGGTGATATGTGTCCTCAACTAACAGAGTTGAACTTTGCCATTGATAGAGAGCAGTTTTGAAACACTCTTTTTGTGGAATCTGTAAGTGGATATTTGGATAGCTTGGAGGATTTCGTTGGAAGCGGGAATTCAAATAAAAGGTAGACAGCAGCATTCTCAGAAATTTCTTTGTGACGTTTGCATTCAACTCATAGAGTTGAAGATTCCCTTTCATAGAGCAGGTTTGAAACACTCTTTCTGTACTATCTGGATGTGGACATTTGGAACGCTTTGATGCCTACGGTGAAAAAGAAAATATCTTCCCATAAAAGCTAGACAGAAGGATTCTGAGAAACAAGTTTGTGATGTGTGTACTCAGCTAACAGAGTGGAACCTCTCTTTTGATGCAGCAGTTTGGAAACGCTCTTTTTGTAGAAACTGTAAGTGGATATTTGGATAGTTCTAATGATTTCGTTGGAAACGGGAATATCATCATCTAAAATCTAGACAGAAGCCCTCTCAGAAACTACTTTGTGATATCTGCATTCAACTCACAGAGTTGAACATTCGGTTTCTTAGAGCACGTTTGAAACACTCTTTTCGTAGTGTCTGGAAGTGGACATTTGGAGCGCTTTGATGCCTTCGGTGAAAAAGGGAATGTCTTCCCATAAAAACTAGACAGAAGCATTCTCAGAAACTTGTTTGTGATGTGTGTACCCAGCCAAAGGAGTTGAACATTTCTATTGATAGAGCAGTTTTGAAACACTCTTTTTGTGGAAAATGCAGGTGGATATTTGGACAGCTTGGAGGATTTCGTTGGAAGCGGGAATTCAAATAAAAGGTAGACAGCAGCATTCTCAGAAATTTCTTTCTGATGTCTGCATTCAACTCATAGAGTTGAAGATTCCCTTTCATAGAGCAGGTTTGAAACACTCTTTCTGGAGTATCTCGATGTGGACATTTGGAGCGCTTTGATGCCTACGGTGAAAAAGTAAATATCTTCCCATAAAAACGAGACAGAAGGATTCTCAGAAACAAGTTTGTGATGTGTGTACTCAGCTAACTGAGTGGAACCTTTCTTTTTACAGAGCAGCTTTGAAACTCTATTTTTGTGGATTCTGCAAATTGATATTTAGATTGCTTTAACGATATCGTTGGAAAAGGGAATATCGTCATACAAAATCTGGACAGAAGCATTCTCACAAACTTCTTTGTGATGTGTGTCCTCAACTAACAGAGTTGAACCTTTCTTTTTATGCAGCAATTTGGAAACACCCTTTTGGTAGAAACTGTAACTGGATATTTGGATAGCTCTAACGATTTCGTTGGAAACGGGAATATCATCATCTAAAATCTAGACAGAAGCACTATTAGAAACTACTTGGTGATATCTGCATTCAAGTCACAGAGTAGAACATTCCCTTACTTCGAGCACGTTTGAAACACTCTTTTGGAAGAATCTGGAAGTGGACATTTGGAGCGCTTTGATGCCTTTGGTGAAAAGGAAACGTCTTCCAATAAAAGCCAGACAGAAGCATTCTGAGAAACTTGTTGGTGATGTGTGTACTCAACTAAAAGAGTTGAACCTTTCTATTGATAGAGCAGTTTTGAAACACTCTTTTTGTGGATTCTGCAAGTGGATATTTGGATTGCTTTGAGGATTTCGTTGGAAGCGGGAATTCGTATAAACACTAGACAGCAGCATTCCCAGAAATTTCTTTCGGATATTTCCATTCAACTCATAGAGATGAACATGGCCTTTCATAGAGCAGGTTTGAAACACTCTTTTTGTAGTTTGTGGAAGTGGACATTTCGATCGCCTTGACGCCTACGGTGAAAAAGGAAATATCTTCCCATAAAAAATAGACAGAAGCATTCTCAGAAACTTGTTGGTGATATGTGTCCTCAACTAACAGAGTTGAACTTTGCCATTGATAGAGAGCAGTTTTGAAACACTCTTTTTGTGGAATCTGCAAGTGGATATTTGGATAGCTTGGAGGATTTAGTTGGAAGCGGGAATTCAAATAAAAGGTAGACAGCAGGATTCTGAGAAACTAGTTTGTGATGTGTGTACTCAGCTAACAGAGTGGAACCTCTGTTTTGATGCAGCAGTTTGGAAACACTCTTTTTGTAGAAACTGTAAGTGGATATTTGGATAGCTCTAATGATTTCTTTGGAAACGGGAATATCATCATCTAAAATCTAGACAGAAGCCCTCTCAAAAACTACTTTGTGATATCTGCATTCAAGTCACAGAGTTGAACATTCGCTTTCTTAGAGCACGTTTGAAACACTCTTTTTGTAGTGTCTGGAAGTGGACATTTGGAGCGCTTTGATGCCTTTGGTGAAAAAGGGAATGTCTTCCCATAAAAACTAGACAGAAGCATTCTCAGAAACTTGTTTGTGATGTGTGTACCCAGCTAAAGGAGTTGAACATTTCCATTGATAGAGCAGTTTTGAAACACTCTTTTTGTGGAAAATGCAAGTGGATATTTGGATAGCTTGGAGGATTTCGTTGGAAGCGGGAATTCAAATAAAAGGAAAACGCCAGGATTCTCAGAAACAAGTTTGTGATGTGTGCACTCAGCTAACAGAGTGGAACCTTTCTTTTTACAGAGCAGCTTTGAAACTCTATTTTTGTGGATTCTGCAAATGGATATTTAGATTGCTTTAACGATATCGTTGGAAAAGGGAATATCGTCATACAAAATCTAGACAGAAGCTTTCTCAGAAACTTCTTTGTGATGTGTGTCCTCAACTAACAGAGTTGAACCTTTCTTTTGATGCAGCAGTTTGGAAACACTCTTTTTGTAGAAACTGTAAGTGGATATTTGGATAGGTCTAACGATTTCGTTGGAAACGGGAATATCATCATCTAAAATCTAGACAGAAGCACTATTAGAAACTACTTGGTGATATCTGCATTCAAGTCACAGAGTTGAACATTCCCTTACTTTGAGCACGTTTCAAACACTCTTTTGGAAGAATCTGGAAGTGGACATTTGGAGCGCTTTGATGCCTTTGGTGAAAAGGAAACGTCTTCCAATAAAAGCCAGACAGAAGCATTCTCAGAAACTTGTTTGTGATGTGTGTACTCAACTAAAAGAGTTGAACCTTTCTATTGATAGAGCAGTTTTGAAACACTCTTTTTGTGGATTCTGTAAGTGGATATTTGGATTGCTTTGAGGATTTCGTTGGAAGCGGGAATTCGTATAAAAACTAGACAGCAGCATTCCCAGAAATTTCTTTCGGATATTTCCATTCAACTCATAGAGATGAACATGGCCTTTCATAGAGCAGGTTTGAAACACTCTTTTTGTAGTTTGTGGAAGTGGACATTTCGATCGCCTTGACGCCTACGGTGAAAAAGGAAATATCTTCCCATAAAAAATAGACAGAAGCATTCTCAGAAACTTGTTGGTGATATGTGTCCTCAACTAACAGAGTTGAACTTTGCCATTGATAGAGAGCAGTTTTGAAACACTCTTTTTCCTGAATCTGCAAGTGGATATTTGTATAGCTTGGAGGATTTCGTTGGAAGCGGGAATTCAAATAAATGGTAGACAGCAGCATTCTCAGAAGTTTCTTTCTGATGTCTGCATTCAACTCATAGAGTTGAACATTCCCTTTCATAGAGCAGGTTTGAAACACTCTTTCTGGAGTATCTGGATGTGGACATTTGGAGCGCTTTGATGCCTACGGTGAAAAAGTAAATATCTTCCCATAAAAACGAGACAGAAGGATTCTGAGAAACAAGTTTGTGATGTGTGTACTCAGCTAACAGAGTGGAACCTCTCTTTTGATGCAGCAGTTTGGAAACACTCTTTTTGTAGAAACTGTAAGTGGATATTTGGATAGCTCTAATGATTTCGTTGGAAACGGGAATATCATCATCTAAAATCTAGACAGAAGCCCTCTCAGAAACTACTTTGTGATATCTGCATTCAAGTCACAGAGTTGAACATTCGGTTTCTTAGAGCACGTTGGAAACACTCTTTTTGTAGTGTCTGGAAGTGGACATTTGGAGCGCTTTGATGCCTTTGGTGAAAAAGGGAATGTCTTCCCATAAAAACTAGACAGAAGCATTCTCAGAAACTTGTTTGTGATGTGTGTACCCAGCCAAAGGAGTTGAACATTTCTATTGATAGAGCAGTTTTGAAACACTCTTTTTGTGGAAAATGCAAGTGGATATTTGGATAGCTTGGAGGATTTCGTTGGAAGCGGGAATTCAAATAAAAGGTAGACAGCAGCATTC
Organism: Homo sapiens; assembly: GCF_000001405.40. Classification (NCBI taxonomy): domain Eukaryota; kingdom Metazoa; phylum Chordata; class Mammalia; order Primates; family Hominidae; genus Homo; species Homo sapiens. Next base: position 14,804,286 of record NC_000022.11, read on the forward strand.
TCAGAAATTTCTTTCTGATGTCTGCATTCAACTCATAGAGTTGAAGATTCCCTTTCATAGAGCAGGTTTGAAACACTCGTTCTGGAGTATCTGGATGTGGACATTTGGAGTGCTTTGATGCCTACGGTGGAAAAGTAAATATCTTCCCATAAAAACGAGACAGAAGGATTCTGAGAAACAAGTTTGTGATGTGTGTACTCAGCTAACAGAGTGGAACCTTTCTTTTTACAGAGCAGCTTTGAAACTCTATTTTTGTGGATTCTGCAAATTGATATTTAGATTGCTTTAACGATATCGTTGGAAAAGGGAATATGGTCATACAAAATCTAGACAGAAGCATTCTCACAAACTTCTTTGTGATGTGTGTCCTCAACTAACAGAGTTGAACCTTTCTTTTGATGCAGCAGTTTGGAAACACTGTTTTTGTAGCAACTGTAAGTGGATATTTGGATAGCTCTAACGATTTCGTTGGAAACGGGAATATCATCATCTAAAATCTAGACAGAAGCACTATTAGAAACTACTTGGTGATATCTGCATTCAAGTCACAGAGATGAACATTCCCTTACTTCGAGCACGTTTGAAACACTCTTTTGGAAGAATCTGGAAGTGGACATTTGGAGCGCTTTGATGCCTTTGGTGAAAAGGAAACGTCTTCCAATAAAAGCCAGACAGAAGCATTCTCAGAAACTTGTTCGTGATGTGTGTACTCAACTAAAAGAGTTGAACCTTTCTATTGATAGAGCAGTTTTGAAACACTCTTTTTGTGGATTCTGCAAGTGGATATTTGGATTGCTTTGAGGATTTCGTTGGAAGCGGGAATTCGTATAAACACTAGACAGCAGCATTCCCAGAAATTTCTTTCGGATATTTCCATTCGACTCATAGAGATGAACATGGCCTTTCATAGAGCAGGTTTGAAACACTCTTTTTGTAGTTTGTGGAAGTGGACATTTCAGATCGCCTTGACGCCTACGGTGAAAAAGGAAATATCTTCCCATAAAAAATAGACAGAAGCATTCTCAGAAACTTGTTGGTGATATGTGTCCTCAACTAACAGAGTTGAACTTTGCCATTGATAGAGACCAGTTTTGAAACACTCTTTTTGTGGAATCTGCAAGTGGATATTTGGATAGCTTGGAGGATTTCGTTGGAAGCGGGAATTCAAATAAAAGGTAGACAGCAGCATTCTCAGAAATTTCTTTCTGATGTCTGCATTCAACTCATAGAGTTGAACATTCCCTTTCATAGAGCAGGTTTGAAACACTCTTTCTGGAGTATCTGGATGTGGACATTTGGAGCGCTTTGATGCCTACGGTGAAAAAGTAAATATCTTCCCATAAAAACGAGACAGAAGGATTCTGAGAAACAAGTTTGTGATGTGTGTACTCAACTAACAGAGTGGAACCTCTCTTTTGATGCAGCAGTTTGGAAACACTCTTTTTGTAGAAACTGTAAGTGGATATTTGGATAGCTGTAATGATTTCGTTGGAAACGGGAATATCATCATCTAAAATCTAGACAGAAAGCCCTCTCAGAAACTACTTTGTGATATCTGCATTCAAGTCACAGAGTTGAACATTCGCTTTCTTAGAGCACGTTTGAAACACTCTTTTTGTAGTGTCTGGAAGTGGACATTTGGAGCGCTTTGATGCCTTTGGTGAAAAAGGGAATGTCTTCCCATAAAAACTAGACAGAAGCATTCTCAGAAACTTGTTTGTGATGTGTGCACCCAGCCAAAGGAGTTGAACATTTATTGATAGAGCAGTTTTGAAGCACTCTTTTTGTGGAAAATGCAAGTGGATATTTGGATAGCTTGGAGGATTTCGTTGGAAGCGGGAGTTCAAATAAAAGGTAGACAGCAGCATTCTCAGAAATTTCTTTCTGATGTCTGCATTCAACTCATAGAGTTGAAGATTCCCTTTCATAGAGCAGGTTTGAAACACTCTTTCTGGAGTATCTGGATGTGGACATTTGGAGCGCTTTGATGCCTACAGTGAAAAAGTAAATATCTTCCCAGAAAAACGAGACAGAAGGATTCTCAGAAACAAGTTTGTGATGTGTGTACTCAGCTAACAGAGTGGAACCTTTCTTTTTACAGAGCAGCTTTGAAACTCTATTTTTGTGGATTCTGCAAATGGATATTTAGATTGCTTTAATGATATCGTTGGAAAAGGGAATATCGTCATACAAAATCTGGACAGAAGCATTCTCACAAACTTCTTTGTGATGTGTGTCCTCAGCTAACAGAGTGGAACCTCTCTTTTGATGCAGCAGTTTGGAAACACTCTTTTTGTAGAAACTGTAAGTGGATATTTGGATAGCTCTAATGATTTCGTTGGAAACGGGAATATCATCATCTAAAATCTAGACAGAAGCACTATTAGAAACTACTTGGTGATATCTGCATTCAAGTCACAGAGTAGAACATTCCCTTACTTCGAGCACGTTTGAAACACTCTTTTGGAAGAATCTGGAAGTGGACATTTGGAGCGCTTTGATGCCTTTGGTGAAAAGGAAACGTCTTCCAATAAAAGCCAGACAGAAGCATTCTCAGAAACTTCTTCGTGATGTGTGTACTCAACTAAAAGAGTTGAACCTTTCTATTGATAGCGCAGTTTTGAAACACTCTTTTTGTGGATTCTGCAAGTGGATATTTGGATTGCTTTGAGGATTTCGTTGGAAGCGGGAATTCATATAAAAACTAGACAGCAGCATTCCCAGAAATTTCTTTCGGATATTTCCATTCAACTCATTGAGATGAACATCGCCTTTCATAGAGCAGGTTTGAAACACTCTTTTTGTAGTTTGTGGAAGTGGACATTTCGATCGCCTTGATGCCTACAGTGAAAAAGGAAATATCTTCCCATAAAAAATAGACAGAAGCATTCTCAGAAACTTGTTGGTGATATGTGTCCTCAACTAACAGAGTTGAACTTTGCCATTGATAGAGAGCAGTTTTGAAACACTCTTTTTGTGGAATCTGCAAGTGGATATTTGGATAGCTTGGAGGATTTCGTTGGAAGCGGGAATTCAAATAAAAGGTAGACAGCAGGATTCTGAGAAACAAGTTTGTGATGTGTGTACTCAGCTAACAGAGTGGAACCTCTCTTTTGATGCAGCAGTTTGGAAACACTCTTTTTGTAGAAACTGTAAGTGGATATTTGGATAGCTCTAATGATTTCGTTGGAAACGGGAATATCATCATCTAAAATCTAGACAGAAGCCCTCTCAGAAACTACTTTGTGATATCTGCATTCAAGTCACAGAGTTGAACATTCGCTTTCTTAGAGTACGTTGGAAACACTCTTTTTGTAGTGTCTGGAAGTGGACATTTGGAGCGCTTTGATGCCTTTGGTGAAAAAGGGAATGTCTTCCCATAAAAACTAGACAGAAGCATTCTCAGAAACTTGTTTGTGATGTGTGTACCCAGCCAAAGGAGTTGAACATTTCTATTGATAGAGCAGTTTTGAAACACTCTTTTTGTGGAAAATGCAGGTGGATATTTGGATAGCTTGGAGGATTTCCGTTGGAAGCGGGAATTCAAATAAAAGGTAGACAGCGGATTCTGAGAAACAAGTTTGTGATGTGTGTACTCAGCTAACAGAGTGGAACCTTTCTTTTTACAGAGCAGCTTTGAAACTCTATTTTTGTGGATTCTGCAAATGGATATTTAGATTGCTTTAACGATATCGTTGGAAAAGGGAATATCGTCATACAAAATCTAGACAGAAGCATTCTCACAAACTTCTTTGTGATGTGTGTCCTCAACTAACAGAGTTGAACCTTTCTTTTGATGCAGCAGTTTGGAAACACTCTTTTTGTAGAAACTGTAAGTGGATATTTGGATAGCTCTAACGATTTCGTTGGAAACGGGCATATCATCATCTAAAATCTAGACAGAAGCACTATTAGAAACTACTTGGTGATATCTGCATTCAAGTCACAGAGTTGAACATTCCCTTACTTTGAGCACGTTTGAAACACTCTTTTGGAAGAATCTGGAAGTGGACATTTGGAGCACTGTGATGCCTTTGGTGAAAAGGAAACGTCTTCCAATAAAAGCCAGACAGAAGCATTCTCAGAAACTTGTTCGTGATGTGTGTACTCAACTAAAAGAGTTGAACCTTTCTATTGATAGAGCAGTTTTGAAACACTCTTTTTGTGGATTCTGCAAGTGGATATTTGGATTGCTTTGAGGATTTCGTTGGAAGCGGGAATTCGTATAAACACTAGACAGCAGCATTCCCAGAAATTTCTTTCGGATATTTCCATTCAACTCATAGAGATGAACATGGCCTTTCATAGAGCAGGTTTGAAACACTCTTTTTGTAGTTTGTGGAAGTGGACATTTCGATCGCCTTGACGCCTACGCTGAAAAAGGAAATATCTTCCCATACAAAATAGACAGAAGCATTCTCAGAAACTTGTTGGTGATATGTGTCCTCAACTAACAGAGTTGAACTTTGCCATTGATAGAGAGCAGTTTTGAAACACTCTTTTTGTGGAATCTGCAAGTGGATATTTGGATAGCTTGGCAGGATTTCGTTGGAAGCGGGAATTCAAATAAAAGGTAGACAGCAGCATTCTCAGAAATTACTTTCTGATGTCTGCATTCAACTCGTAGAGTTGAGGATTCCCTTTCATAGAGCAGGTTTGAAACACTCTTTCTGTAGTATCTGGATGTGGACATTTGGAGCGCTTTGATACCTACAGTGAAAAAGTAAATATCTTCCCATAAAAACTAGACAGAAGGATTCTCAGAAACAAGTTTGTGATGTGTGTACTCAGCTAACAGAGTGGATCCTTTCTTTTTACAGAGCAGCTTTGAAACTCTATTTCTGTGGATTCTGCAAATTGATATTTGGGTTGATTTAACGACATCGTTGGAAAAGGGAATATCTTCATACAAAATCTAGACAGAAGCCCTCTCAGAAACTACTTTGTGATATCTGCACTCAAGTCACAGAGTTGAACATTCGCTTTCTTAGAGCACGTTGGAAACACTCTTTTTGTAGTGTCTGGAAGTGGACATTTGGAGCGCTTTGATGCCTTTGGTGAAAAAGGGAATGTCTTCCCATAAAAACTAGACAGAAAGCATTCTCAGAAACTTGTTTGTGATGTGTGTACCCAGCTAAAGGAGTTGAACATTTCTATTGATAGAGCAGTTTTGAAACACTCTTTTTGTGGAAAATGCAAGTGGATATTTGGATAGCTTGGAGGATTTCGTTGGAAGCGGGAATTCAAATAAAAGGTAGACAGAGCATTCTCAGAAATTTCTTTCTGATGTCTGCATTCAACTCATAGAGTTGAAGATTCCCTTTCATAGAGCAGGTTTGAAACACTCTTTCTGGAGTATCTGGATGTGGACATTTGGAGCACTTTGATGCCTACGGTGAAAAAGTAAATATCTTCCCATAAAAACGAGACAGAAGGATTCTCAGAAACAAGTTTGTGATGTGTGTACTCAGCTAACAGAGTGGAACCTTTCTTTTTACAGAGCAGCTTTGAAACTCTATTTTTGTGGATTCTGCAAATGGATATTTAGATTGCTTTAATGATATCGCTGGAAAAGGGAATATGGTCATACAAAATCTAGACAGAAGCATTCTCACAAACTTCTTTGTGATGTGTGTCCTCAACTAACAGAGTTGAACCTTTCTTTTGATGCAGCAATTTGGAAACACCCTTTTGGTAGAAACTGTAACTGGATATTTGGATAGCTCTAACGATTTCGTTGGAAACGGGAATATCATCATCTAAAATCTAGACAGAAGCACTATTAGAAACTACTTGGTGATATCTGCATTCAAGACACAGAGTTGAACATTCCCTTACTTTGAGCACGTTTGAAACACTCTTTTGGAAGAATCTGGAAGTGGACATTTGGAGCGCTTTGATGCCTTTGGTGAAAAGGAAACGTCTTCCAATAAAAGACAGACAGAAGCATTCTCAGAAACTTGTTTGTGATGTGTGTACTCAACTAAAAGAGTTGAACCTTTCTATTGATAGAGCAGTTTTGAAACACTCTTTTTGTGGATTCTGCAAGTGGATATTTGGATTGCTTTGAGGATTTCGTTGGAAGCGGGAATTCGTATAAAAACTAGACAGCAGCATTCCCAGAAATTTCTTTCGGATATTTCCATTTGACTCATAGAGATGAACATGGCCTTTCATAGAGCAGGTTTGAAACACTCTTTTTGTAGTTTGTGGAAGTGGACATTTCGATCGCCTTGACGCCTACGGTGAAAAAGGAAATATCTTCCCATAAAAAATAGACAGAAGCATTCTCAGAAACTTGTTGGTGATATGTGTCCTCAACTAACAGAGTTGAACTTTGCCATTGATAGAGAGCAGTTTTGAAACACTCTTTTTGTGGAATCTGCAAGTGGATATTTGGATAGCTTGGAGGATTTCGTTGGAAGCGGGAATTCAAATAAAAGGTAGACAGCAGCATTCTCAGAAATTTCTTTCTGATGTCTGCATTCAACTCATAGAGTTGAAGATTCCCTTTCATAGAGCAGGTTTGAAACACTCTTTCTGGAGTATCTGGATGTGGACATTTGGAGAGCTTTGATGCCTACTGTGAAAAAGTAAATATCTTCCCATAAAAACGAGACAGAAGGATTCTGAGAAACAAGTTTGTGATGTGTGTACTCAGCTAACAGAGTGGAACCTCTCTTTTGATGCAGCAGTTTGGAAACACTCTTTTTGTAGAAACTGTAAGTGGATATTTGGATAGCTCTAATGATTTCGTTGGAAACGGGAATATCATCATCTAAAATCTAGACAGAAGCACTCTCAGAAACTACTTTGTGATATCTGCATTCAAGTCACAGAGTTGAACATTCCCTTTCTTAGAGCACGTTTGAAACACTCTTTTTGTAGTGTCTGGAAGTGGACATTTGGAGCGCTTTGATTCCTTTGGTGAAAAAGGGAATGTCTACCCATAAAAACTAGACAGAAGCATTCTCAGAAACTTGTTGGTGATATGTGTCCTCAACTAACAGAGTTGAACTTTGCCATTGATAGAGAGCAGTTTTGAAACACTCTTTTTGTGGAATCTGCAAGTGGATATTTGGATAGCTTGGAGGATTTCGTTGTAAGCGGGAATTCAAATAAAAGGTAGACAGCAGCATTCTCAGAAATTTCTTTCTGATGTCTGCATTCAACTCATAGAGTTGAAGATTCCCTTTCATAGAGCAGGTTTGAAACACCCTTTCTGGAGTATCTGGATGTGGACATTTGGAGCGCTTTGATGCCTACGGTGAAAAAGTAAATATCTTCCCATAAAAACGAGACAGAAGGATTCTCAGAAACAAGTTTGTGATGTGTGTACTCAGCTAACAGAGTGGAACCTTTCTTTTTACAGAGCAGCTTTGAAACTCTATTTTTGTGGATTCTGCAAATGGATATTTAGATTGCTTTAACGATATCGTTGGAAAAGGGAATATCGTCATACAAAATCTAGACAGAAGCATTCTCACAAACTTCTTTGTGATGTGTGTCCTCAACTAACAGAGTTGAACCTTTCTTTTGATGCAGCAGTTTGGAAACACTCTTTTTGTAGAAACTGTAAGTGGATATTTGGATAGCTCTAACGATTTCGTTGGAAACGGGAATATCATCATCTAAAATCTAGACATAAGCACTATTAGAAACTACTTGGTGATATCTGCATTCAAGTCACAGAGTTGAACATTCCCTTACTTCGACCACGTTTGAAACACTCTTTTGGAAGAATCTGGAAGTGGACATTTGGAGCGCTTTGATGCCTTTGGTGAAAAGGAAACGTCTTCCAATAAAAGCCAGAGAGAAGCATTCTCAGAAACTTGGTCGTGATGTGTGTACTCAACTAAAAGAGTTGAACCTTTCTATTGATAGAGCAGTTTTGAAACACTCTTTTTGTGGATTCTGCAAGTGGATATTTGGATTGCTTTGAGGATTTCGTTGCAAGCGGGAATTCGTATAAACACTAGACAGCAGCATTCCCAGAAATTTCTTTCGGATATTTCCATTCGACTCATAGAGATGAACATGGCCTTTCATAGAGCAGGTTTGAAACACTCTTTTTGTAGTTTGTGGAAGTGGACATTTCGATTGCCTTGACGCCTACGGTGAAAAAGGAAATATCTTCCCATAAAAAATAGACAGAAGCATTCTCAGAAACTTGTTGGTGATATGTGTCCTCAACTAACAGAGTTGAACTTTGCCATTGATAGAGAGCAGTTTTGAAACACTCTTTTTGTGGAATCTGCAAGTGGATATTTGGATAGCTTGGAGGATTTCGTTGGAAGCGGGAATTCAAATAAAAGGTAGACAGCAGCATTCTCAGAAATTTCTTTCTGATGTCTGCATTCAACTCATAGAGTTGAAGATTCCCTTTCATAGAGCAGGTTTGAAACACTCGTTCTGGAGTATCTGGATGTGGACATTTGGAGCGCTTTGATGCCTACGGTGAAAAAGTAAATATCTTCCCATAAAAACGAGACAGAAGGATTCTGAGAAACAAGTTTGTGATGTGTGTACTCAGCTAACAGAGTGGAACCTCTCTTTTGATGCAGCAGTTTGGAAACACTCTTTTTGTAGAAACTGTAAGTGGATATTTGGATAGCTCTAATGATTTCGTTGGAAACGGGAATATCATCATCTAAAATCTAGACAGAAGGACTCTCAAGAAACTACTTTTTGATATCTGCATTCAAGTCACAGAGTTGAACATTCGCTTTCTTAGAGCACTTTTGAAACACTCTATTTGTCGTATCTGGAAGTGGACATTTGGAGCTCTTTGATGCCTTTGGTGAAAAAGGAAATGTCTTCCCATAAAAACTAGACAGAAGCATTCTCAGAAACTTGTTTGTGATGTGTGCACCCAGCTAAAGGAGTTGAACATTTATTGATAGAGCAGTTTTGAAGCACTCTTTTTGTGGAAAATGCAAGTGGATATTTGGATAGCTTGGAGGATTTCGTTGGAAGCGGGAGTTCAAATAAAAGGTAGACAGCAGCATTCTCAGAAATTTCTTTCTGATGTCTGCATTCAACTCATAGAGTTGAAGATTCCCTTTCATAGAGTAGGTTTGAAACACTCGTTCCGGAGTATCTGGATGTGGACATTTGGAGCGCTTTGATGCCTACGGTGGAAAAGTAAATATCTTCCCATAAAAACGAGACAGAAGGATTCTGAGTAAACAAGTTTGTGATGTGTGTACTCAGCTAACAGAGTGGAACCTTTCTTTTTACAGAGCAGCTTTGAAACTCTATTTTTGTGGATTCTGCAAATGGATATTTAGATTGCTTTAATGATATCGCTGGAAAAGGGAATATGGTCATACAAAATCTAGACAGAAGCATTCTCACAAACTTCTTTGTGATGTGTGTCCTCAACTAACAGAGTTGAACCTTTCTTTTGATGCAGCAGTTTGGAAACACTCTTTTTGTAGAAACTGTAACTGGATATTTGGATAGCTCTAACGATTTCGTTGGAAACGGGAATATCATCATCTAAAATCTAGACAGAAGCACTATTAGAAACTACTTGGTGATATCTGCATTCAAGTCACAGAGTTGAACATTCCCTTACTTTGAGCACGTTTGAAACACTCTTTTGGAAGAATCTGGAAGTGGACATTTGGAGCGCTTTGATGCCTTTGGTGAAAAGGAAACGTCTTCCAATAAAAGCCAGACAGAAGCATTCTCAGAAACTTGTTTGTGATGTGTGTACTCAACTAAAAGAGTTGAACCTTTCCATTGATAGAGCAGTTTTGAAACACTCTTTTTGTGGATTCTGCAAGTGGATATTTGGATTGCTTTGAGGATTTCGTTGGAAGCGGGAATTCGTATAAAAACTAGACAGCAGCATTCCCAGAAATTTCTTTCAGATATTTCCATTCAACTCATAGAGATGAACATGGCCTTTCATAGAGCAGGTTTGAAACACTCTTTTTGTAGTTTGTGGAAGTGGACATTTCGATCGCCTTGACGCCTACGGTGAAAAAGGAAATATCTTCCCATAAAAAATAGACAGAAGCATTCTCAGAAACTTGTTGGTGATATGTGTCCTCAACTAACAGAGTTGAACTTTGCCATTGATAGAGAGCAGTTTTGAAACACTCTTTTTGTGGAATCTGCAAGTGGATATTTGGATAGCTTGGAGGATTTCGTTGGAAGCGGGAATTCAAATAAAAGGTAGACAGCAGCATTCTCAGAAATTTCTTTCTGATCTCTGCATTCAACTCATAGAGTTGAACATTCCCTTTCATAGGGCAGGTTTGAAATACTCTTTCTGTAGTATCTGGATGAGGACATTTGGAGCGCTTTGATGCCTACGGTGAAAAAGTAAATATCTTCCCATAAAAACGAGACAGAAGGATTCTGAGAAACAAGTTTGTGATGTGTGTACTCAGCTAACAGAGTGGAACCTCTCTTTTGATGCAGCAGTTTGGAAACACTCTTTTTGCAGAAACTGTAAGTGGATATTTGGATAGCTCTAATGATTTCGTTGGAAACGGGAATATCATCATCTAAAATCTAGGCAGAAAGCCCTCTCAGAAACTACTTTGTGATATCTGCATTCAAGTCACAGAGTTGAACATTCGCTTTCTTAGAGCACGTTTGAAACACTCTTTTTGTAGTGTCTGGAAGTGGACATTTGGAGCGCTTTGATGCCTTTGGTGAAAAAGGGAACGTCTTCCCATAAAAACTAGACAGAAGCATTCTCAGAAACTTGTTTGTGATGTGTGTACCCAGCTAAAGGAGTTGAACATTTCTATTGATAGAGCAGTTTTGAAACACTCTTTTTGTGGAAAATGCAAGTGGATATTTGGATAGCTTGGAGGATTTCGTTGGAAGCGGGAATTCAAATAAAAGGTAGACAGCAGCATTCTCAGAAATTTCTTTCTGATGTCTGCATTCAACTCATAGAGTTGAAGATTCCCTTTCATAGAGCAGGTTTGAAACACTCGTTCTGGAGTGTCTGGATGTGGACATTTGGAGCGCTTTGATGCCTATGGTGGAAAAGTAAATATCTTCCCATAAAAACGAGACAGAAGGATTCTCAGAAACAAGTTTGTGATGTGTGTACTCAGCTACCAGAGTGGAACCTTTCTTTTTACAGAGCAGCTTTGAAACTCTATTTTTGTGGATTCTGCAAATTGATATTTAGATTGCTTTAACGATATCGTTGGAAAAGGGAATATCGTCATACAAAATCTAGACAGAAGCATTCTCACAAACTTCTTTGTGACGTGTGTCCTCAACTAACAGAGTTGAACCTTTCTTTTGATGCAGCAGTTTGGAAACACTGTTTTTGTAGCAACTGTAAGTGGATATTTGGATAGCTCTAACGATTTCGTTGGAAACGGGAATATCATCATCTAAAATCTAGACAGAAGCACTATTAGAAACTACTTGGTGATATCTGCATTCAAGTCACAGAGTTGAACATTCCCTTACTTTGAGCACGTTTGAAACACTCTTTTGGAAGAATCTGGAAGTGGACATTTGGAGCGCTTTGATGCCTTTGGTGAAAAGGAAACGTCTTCCAATAAAAGCCAGACAGAAGCATTCTCAGAAACTTGTTCGTGATGTGTGTACTCAACTAAAAGAGTTGAACCTTTCTATTGATAGAGCAGTTTAGAAACACTCTTTTTGTGGATTCTGCAAGTGGATATTTGGATTGCTTTGAGGATTTCGTTGGAAGCGGGAATTCGTATAAACACTAGACAGCAGCATTCCCAGAAATTTCTTTCGGATATTTCCATTCGACTCATAGAGATGAACATGGCCTTTCATAGAGCAGGTTTGAAACACTCTTTTTGTAGTTTGTGGAAGTGGACATTTCGATCGCCTTGACGCCTACGGTGAAAAAGGAAATATCTTCCCATAAAAAATAGACAGAAGCATTCTCAGAAACTTGTTGGTGATATGTGTCCTCAACTAACAGAGTTGAACTTTGCCATTGATAGAGAGCAGTTTTGAAACACTCTTTTTGTGGAATCTGCAAGTGGATATTTGGATAGCTTGGAGGATTTCGTTGGAATCGGGAATTCAAATAAAAGGTAGACAGCAGCATTCTCAGAAATTTCTTTGTGATGTTTGCATTCAACTCATAGAGTTGAACATTCCCTTTAATAGAGTAGGTTTGAAACACTCTTTCTGTACTATCTGGATGTGGACATTTGGAGCGCTTTGACGCCTACGGTGAAAAAGGAAATGTCTTCCCATAAAAAATTGAAGAAGGATTCTCAGAAACAGGTTTGTGATGTGTGTACTCAGCTAACAGAGTGGAACCTCTCTTTTGATGCAGCAGTTTGGAAACACTCTTTTTGTAGAAACTGTAAGTGGATATTTGGATAGCTCTAATGATTTCGTTGGAAACGGGAATATCATCATCTAAAATCTAGACAGAAGCACTCTCAGAAACTACTTTGTGATATCTGCATTCAAGTCACAGAGTTGAACATTCGCTTTCTTAGAGCACTTTTGAAACACCCTTTTTGTCGTATCTGGAAGTGGACATTTGGAGCTCTTTGATGCCTTTGGTGAAAAAGGAGATGTCTTCCCATAAAAACTAGACAGAAGCATTCTCAGAAACTTGTTTGTGATGTGTGTACCCAGCCAAAGGAGTTGAACATTTCTATTGATAGAGCAGTTTTGAAACACTCTTTTTGTGGAAAATGCAGGTGGATATTTGGATAGCTTGGAGGATTTCGTTGGAAGCGGGAATTCAAATAAAAGTTAGACAGCAGCATTCTCAGAAATTTCTTTCTGATGTCTGCATTCAACTCATAGAGTTGAACATTCCCTTTCATAGGACAGGTTTGAAATACTCTTTCTGTAGTATCTGGATGTGGACATTTGGAGCGCTTTGATGCCTACAGTGAAAAAGTAAATATCTTCCCATAAAAACGAGACAGAAGGATTCTCAGAAACAAGTTTGTGATGTGTGTACTCAGCTAACAGAGTGGAACCTTTCTTTTTACAGAGCAGCTTTGAAACTCTATTTTTGTGGATTCTGCAAATTGATATTTAGATTGCTTTAACGATATCGTTGGAAAAGGGAATATCGTCATACAAAATCTGGACAGAAGCATTCTCACAAACAGCTTTGTGAAGTGTGTCCTCAACTAACAGAGTTGAACCTTTCTTTTGATGCAGCAGTTTGGAAACACCCTTTTGGTAGAAACTGTAAGTGGATATTTGGATAGCTCTAACGATTTCGTTGGAAACGGGAATACCATCATCTAAAATCTAGACAGAAGCACTATTAGAAACTACTTGGTGATATCTGCATTCAAGTCACAGAGTTGAACATTCCCTTACTTCGAGCACGTTTGAAACACTCTTTTGGAAGAATCTGGAAGTGGACATTTGGAGCGCTTTGATGCCTTTGGTGAAAAGGAAACGTCTTCCAATAAAAGCCAGACAGAAGCATTCTCAGAAACTTGTTTGAGATGTGTGTACTCAACTAAAAGAGTTGAACCTTTCTATTGATAGAGCAGTTTTGAAACACTCTTTTTGTGGATTCTGCAAGTGGATATTTGGATTGCTTTGAGGATTTCGTTGGAAGCGGGAATTCGTATAACAACTAGACAGCAGCATTCCCAGAAATTTCTTTCGGATATTTCCATTCAACTCATAGAGATGAACATGGCCTTTCATAGAGCAGGTTTGAAACACTCTTTTTGTAGTTTGTGGAAGTGGACATTTCGATCGCCTTGACGCCTACGGTGAAAAAGGAAATATCTTCCCCATAAAAAATAGACAGAAGCATTCTCAGAAACTTGTTGGTGATATGTGTCCTCAACTAACAGAGTTGAACTTTGCCATTGATAGAGAGCAGTTTTGAAACACTCTTTTTGTGGAGTTTGCAAGTGGATATTTGGATAGCTTGGAGGATTTCGTTGGAAGCGGGAATTCAAATTAAAGGTAGACAGCAGCATTCTCAGAAATTTCTTTCTGATGTCTGCATTCAACTCATAGAGTTGAACATTCCCTTTCATAGAGCAGGTTTGAAACACTCTTTCTGGAGTATCTGGATGTGGACATTTGGAGCGCTTTGATGCCTACGGTGAAAAAGTAAATATCTTCCCATAAAAACGAGACAGAAGGATTCTGAGAAACAAGTTTGTGATGTGTGTACTCAGCTAACAGAGTGGAACCTCTCTTTTGATGCAGCAGTTTGGAAAAACTCTTTTTGTAGAAACTGTAAGTGGATATTTGGATAGCTCTAATGATTTCGTTGGAAACGGGAATATCATCATCTAAATCTAGACAGAAGCACTCTCAGAAACTACTTTGTGATATCTGCATTCAAGTCACAGAGTTGAACATTCGCTTTCTTAGAGCACGTTTGAAACACTCTTTTTGTAGTGTCTGGAAGTGGACATTTGGAGCGCTTTGATTCCTTTGGTGAAAAAGGGAATGTCTACCCATAAAAACTAGACAGAAGCATTCTCAGAAACTTGTTTGTGATGTGTGTACCCAGCCAAAGGAGTTGAACATTTCTATTGATAGAGCAGTTTTGAAACACTCTTGTTGTGGAAAATGCAGGTGGATATTTGGATAGCTTGGAGGATTTCGTTGGAAGCGGGAAATCAAATAAAAGGTAGACAGCAGCATTCTCAGAAATTTCTTTCTGATGTCTGCATTCAACTCATAGAGTTGAAGATTCCCTTTCATAGAGCAGGTTTGAAACACTCGTTCTGGAGTATCTGGATGTGGACATTTGGAGCGCTTTGATGCCTACGGTGGAAAAGTAAATATCTTCCCATAAAAACGAGACAGAAAGGATTCTCAGAAACAAGTTTGTGATGTGTGTACTCAGCTAACAGAGTGGAACCTTTCTTTTTACACAGCAGCTTTGAAACTCTATTTTTGTGGATTCTGCAAATTGATATTTAGATTGTTTTAACGATATCGTTGGAAAAGGGAATACCGTCATACAAAATCTAGACAGAAGCATTCTCACAAACTTCTTTGTGATGTGTGTCCTCAACTAACAGAGTTGAACTTTTCTTTTGATGCAGCAGTTTGGAAACACTCTTTTTGTAGAAACTGTAAGTGGATATTTGGATAGCTCTAACGATTTCGTTGGAAACGGGAATATCATCATCTAAAATCTAGACAGAAGCACTATTAGAAACTACTTTGTGATATCTGCATTCAAGTCACAGAGTTGAACATTCGCTTTCTTAGAGCACGTTTGAAACACTCTTTTGGAAGAATCTGGAAGTGGACATTTGGAGCGCTTTGATGCCTTTGGTGAAAAGGAAACGTCTTCCAATAAAAGCCAGACAGAAGCATTCTCAGAAACTTGTTCGTGATGTGTGTACTCAACTAAAAGAGTTGAACCTTTCTATTGATGGAGCAGTTTTGAAACACTCTTTTTGTGGATTCTGCAAGTGGATATGTGGATTGCTTTGAGGATTTCGTTGGAAGCGGGAATTCGTATAACAACTAGACAGCAGCATTCCCAGAAATTTCTTTCGGATATTTCCATTCAACTCATAGAGATGAACATGGCCTTTCATAGAGCAGGTTTGAAACACTCTTTTTGTAGTTTGTGGAAGTGGACATTTCGATCGCCTTGACGCCTAAGGTGAAAAAGGAAATATCTTCCCATAAAAAATAGACAGAAGCATTCTCAGAAACTTGTTGGTGATATGTGTCCTCAACTAACAGAGTTGAACTTTGCCATTGATAGAGAGCAGTTTTGAAACACTCTTTTTGTGGAATCTGCAAGTGGATATTTGGATAGCTTGGAGGATTTCGTTGGAAGCGGGAATTCAAATAAAAGGTAGACAGCAGCATTCTCAGAAATTTCTTTCTGATGTCTGCATTCAACTCATAGAGTTGAACATTCCCTTTCATAGAGCAGGTTTGAAACACTCTTTCTGGAGTTTCTGGATGTGGACATTTGGAGCGCTTTGATGCCTACGGTGAAAAAGTAAATATCTTCCCATAAAAACGAGACAGAAGGAATCTGAGAAACAAGTTTGTGATGTGTGTACTCAGCTAACAGAGTGGAACCTCTCTTTTGATGCAGCAGTTTGGCAACACTCTTTTTGTAGAAACTGTAAGTGGATATTTGGATAGCTCTAATGATTTCGTTGGAAACGGGAATATCATCATCTAAAATCTAGACAGAAGCCCTCTCAGAAACTACTTTGTGATATCTGCATTCAAGTCACAGAGTTGAACATTCGCTTTCTTAGAGCACGTTTGAAACACTCTTTTTGTAGTGTCTGGAAGTGGACATTTGGAGCGCTTTGATGCCTTTGGTGAAAAAGGGAACGTCTTCCCATAAAAACTAGACAGAAGCATTCTCAGAAAGTTGTTTGTGATGTGTGTACCCAGCTAAAGGAGTTGAACATTTCTATTGATAGAGTAGTTTTGAAACACTCTTTTTGTGGAAAATGCAAGTGGATATTTGGATAGCTTGGAGGATTTCGTTGGAAGCGGGAATTCAAATAAAAGGTAGACAGCAGCATTCTCAGAAATTTCTTTCTGATGTCTGCATTCAACTCATAGAGTTGAAGATTCCCTTTCATAGAGCAGGTTTGAAACACTCTTTCTGGAGTATCTGGATGTGTACATTTGGAGCGCTTTGATGCCTACGGTGAAAAAGTAAATATCTTCCCAGAAAAACGAGACAGACAAGGATTCTGAGAAACAAGTTTGTGATGTGTGTACTCAGCTAACAGAGTGGAACCTTTCTTTTTACAGAGCAGCTTTGAAACTCTATTTTTGTGGATTCTGCAAATGGATATTTAGATTGCTTTAATGATATCGTTGGAAAAGGGAATATCGTCATACAAAATCTAGACAGAAGCATTCTCACAAACTTCTTTGTGATGTGTGTCCTCAACTAACAGAGTTGAACCTTTCTTTTGATGCAGCAATTTGGAAACACCCTTTTGGTAGAAACTGTAACTGGATATTTGCTTAGCTCTAACGATTTCGTTGGAAACGGGAATATCATCATCTAAAATCTAGACAGAAGCACTATTAGAAACTACTTGGTGATATCTGCATTCAAGTCACATAGTAGAACATTCCCTTACTTCGAGCACGTTTGAAACACTCTTTTGGAAGAATCTGGAAGTGGACATTTGGAGCGCTTTGATGCCTTTGGTGAAAAGGAAACGTCTTCCAATAAAAGCCAGACAGAAGCATTCTCAGAAACTTGTTCGTGATGTGTGTACTCAACTAAAAGAGTTGAACCTTTCTATTGATAGAGCAGTTTTGAAACCCTCTTTTTGTGGATTCTGCAAGTGGATATTTGGATTGCTTTGAGGATTTCGTTGGAAGCGGGAATTCGTATAAACACTAGACAGCAGCATTCCCAGAAATTTCTTTCGGATATTTCCATTCAACTCATAGAGATGAACATGGCCTTTCATATTGAAACACTCTTTTTGTAGTTTGTGGAAGTGGACATTTCGATCGCCTTGACGCCTACGGTGAAAAAGGAAATATCTTCCCATAAAAAATAGACAGAAGCATTCTCAGAAACTTGTTGGTGATATGTGTCCTCAACTAACAGAGTTGAACTTTGCCATTGATAGAGAGCAGTTATGAAACACTCTTTTTGTGGAATCTGCAAGTGGATATTTGGATAGCTTGGAGGATTTCGTTGGAAGCGGGAATTCAAATAAAAGGTAGACAGCAGCATTCTCAGAAATTTCTTTCTGATGTCTGCATTCAACTCATAGAGTTGAACATTCCCTTTCATAGAGCAGGTTTGAAACACTCTTTCTGGAGTATCTGGATGTGGACATTTGGAGCGCTTTGATGCCTACGGTGAAAAAGTAAATATCTTCCCATAAAAACGAGACAGAAGGATTCTGAGAAACAAGTTTGTGATGTGTGTACTCAGCTAACAGAGTGGAACCTCTCTTTTCATGCAGCAGTTTGGAAACACTCTTTTTGTAGAAACTGTAAGTGGATATTTGGATAGCTCTAATGATTTCGTTGGAAACGGGAATATCATCATCTAAAATCTAGACAGAAGCCCTCTCAGCAAACTACTTTGTGATATCTGCATTCAAGTCACAGAGTTGAACATTCGCTTTCTTAGAGCACGTTGGAAACACTCTTTTTGTAGTGTCTGGAAGTGGACATTTGGAGCGCTTTGATGCCTTTGGTGAAAAAGGGAATGTCTTCCCATAAAAACTAGACAGAAGCATTCTCAGAAACTTGTTTGTGATGTGTGTACCCAGCTAAAGGAGTTGAACATTTCTATTGATAGAGCAGTTTTGAAACACTCTTTTTGTGGAAAATGCAAGTGGATATTTGCGTAGCTTGGAGGATTTCGTTGGAAGCGGGAGTTCAAATAAAAGGTAGACAGCAGCATTCTCAGAAATTTCTTTCTGATGTCTGCATTCAACTCATAGAGTTGAAGATTCCCTTTCATAGAGCAGGTTTGAAACACTCGTTCTGGAGTATCTGGATGTGGACATTTGGAGCGCTTTGATGCCTACGGTGGAAAAGTAAATATCTTCCCATAAAAACGAGACAGAAGGATTCTCAGAAACAAGTTTGTGATGTGTGTACTCAGCTAACAGAGTGGAACCTTTCTTTTTACAGAGCAGGTTTGAAACTCTATTTTTGTGGATTCTGCAAATTGATATTTAGATTGCTTTAACGATATCGTTGGAAAAGGGAATATCGTCATACAAAATCTAGACAGAAGCATTCTCACAAACTTCTTTGTGATGTGTGTCCTCAACTAACAGAGTTGAACCTTTCTTTTGATGCAGCAATTTGGAAACACCCTTTTGGTAGAAACTGTAACTGGATATTTGGATAGCTCTAACGATTTCGTTGGAAACGGGAATATCATCATCTAAAATGTAGACAGAAGCACTATTAGAAACTACTTGGTGATATCTGCATTCAAGACACAGAGTAGAACATTCCCTTACTTCGAGCACGTTTGAAACACTCTTTTGGAAGAATCTGGAAGTGGACATTTGGAGCGCTTTGATGCCTTTGGTGAAAAGGAAACGTCTTCCAATAAAAGCCAGACAGAAGCATTCTCAGAAACTTGTTTGTGATGTGTGTACTCAACTAAATGTGTTGAACCTTTCCATTGATAGAGCAGTTTTGAAACACTCTTTTTGTGGATTCTGCAAGTGGATATTTGGATTGCTTTGAGGATTTCGTTGGAAGCGGGAATTCGTATAAACACTAGACAGCAGCATTCCCAGCAAATTTCTTTCGGATATTTCCATTCAACTCATAGAGATGAACATGGCCTTTCATAGAGCAGGTTTGAAACACTCTTTTTGTAGTTTGTGGAAGTGGACATTTCGATCGCCTTGACGCCTACGGTGAAAAAGGAAATATCTTCCCATAAAAAATAGACAGAAGCATTCTCAGAAACTTGTTGGTGATATGTGTCCTCAACTAACAGAGTTGAACTTTGCCATTGATAGAGAGCAGTTTTGAAACACTCTTTTTGTGGAATCTGCAAGTGGATATTTGGATAGCTTGGAGGATTTCGTTGGAAGCGGGAATTCAAATAAAAGGTAGACAGCAGCATTCTCAGAAATTTCTTTCTGATGTCTGCATTCAACTCATAGAGTTGAAGATTCCCTTTCATAGAGCAGGTTTGAAACACTCTTTCTGGAGTATCTGGATGTGGACATTTGGAGCGCTTGGATGCCTTTGGTGAAAAAGGGAACGTCTTCCCATAAAAACTAGACAGAAGGATTCTGAGAAACAAGTTTGTGATGTGTGTACTCAGCTAACAGAGTGGAACCTCTCTTTTGATGCAGCAGTTTGGAAACACTCTTTTTGTAGAAACTGTAAGTGGATATTTGGATAGCTCTAATGATTTCGTTGGAAACGGGAATATCATCATCTAAAATCTAGACAGAAGCCCTCTCAGAAACTACTTTGTGATATCTGCATTCAAGTCACAGAGTTGAACATTCGCTTTCTAAGAGCACGTTTCAAACACTCTTTCTGTAGTGTCTGGAAGTGGACATTTGGAGCGCTTTGATGCCTTTGGTGAAAAAGGGAACGTCTTCCCATAAAAACTAGACAGAAGCATTCTCAGAAACTTGTTTGTGATGTGTGTACCCAGCCAAAGGAGTTGAACATTTCTATTGATAGAGCAGTTTTGAAACACTCTTTTTGTGGAAAATGCAGGTGGATATTTGGATAGCTTGGAGGATTTCGTTGGAAGCGGGAATTCAAATAAAAGGTAGACAGCAGCATTCTCAGAAATTTCTTTCTGATGTCTGCATTCAACTCATAGAGTTGAAGATTCCCTTTCCTAGAGCAGGTTTGAAACACTCTTTCTGGAGTATCTGGATGTGGACATTTGGAGCGCTTTGATGCCTACGGTGAAAAAGTAAATATCTTCCCATAAAAACGAGACAGAAGGATTCTGAGAAACAAGTTTGTGATGTGTGTACTCAGCTAACGGAGTGGAACCTTTCTTTTTACAGAGCAGGTTTGAAACTCTATTTTTGTGGATTCTGCAAATTGATATTTAGATTGCTTTAACGATATCATTGGAAAAGGGAATATCGTCATACAAAATCTAGACAGAAGCATTCTCACAAACTTCTTTGTGATGTGTGTCCTCAACTAACAGAGTTGAACCTTTCTTTTGATGCAGCAGTTTGGAAACACCCTTTTGGTAGAAACTGTAACTGGATATTTGGATAGCTCTAACGATTTCGTTGGAAACGGGAATATCATCATCTAAAATCTAGAGAGAAGCACTATTAGACACTGCTTGGTGATATCTGCATTCAAGTCACAGAGTTGAACATTCCCTTACTTTGAGCACGTTTGAAACACTCTTTTGGAAGAATCTGGAAGTGGACATTTGGAGCGCTTTGATGCCTTGGTGAAAAGGAAACGTCTTCCAATAAAAGCCAGACAGAAGCATTCTCAGAAACTTGTTTGTGATGTGTGTACTCAACTAAAAGAGTTGAACCTTTCTATTGATAGAGCAGTTTTGAAACACTCTTTTTGTGGATTCTGCAAGTGGATATTTGGATTGCTTTGAGGATTTCGTTGGAAGCGGGAATTCGTATAAAAACTAGACAGCAGCATTCCCAGAAATTTCTTTCGGATATTTCCATTCAACTCATAGAGATGAACATGGCCTTTCATAGAGCAGGTTTGAAACACTCTTTTTGTAGTTTGTGGAAGTGGACATTACGATCGCCTTGACGCCTACGGTGAAAAAGGAAATATCTTCCCATAAAAAATAGACAGAAGCATACTCAGAAACTTGTTGGTGATATGTGTCCTCAACTAACAGAGTTGAACTTTGCCATTGATAGAGAGCAGTTTTGAAACACTCTTTTTGTGGAATCTGCAAGTGGATATTTGGATAGCTTGGAGGATTTCGTTGGAAGCGGGAATTCAAATAAAAGGTAGACAGCAGCATTCTCAGAAATTTCTTTGTGATGTTTGCATTCAACTCATAGAGTTGAACATTCCCTTTCATAGAGCAGGTTTGAAACACTCTTTCTGTACTATCTAGATGTGGACATTTGGAACGCTTTGATGCCTACGGTGAAAAAGTAAATATCTTCCCATAAAAACTAGACAGAAGGATTCTCAGAAAGAAGTTTGTGATGTGTCTACTCAGCTAACAGAGTGGAACCTTTCTTTTTACAGAGCAGCTTTGAAACTCTATTTTTGTGGATTCTGCAAATTGATATTTAGATTGCTTTAACGATATCGTTGGAAAAGGGAATATCGTCATACAAAATCTAGACAGAAGCATTCTCACAAACTTCTTTGTGATGTGTGTCCTCAACTAACAGAGTTGAACCTTTATTTTGATGCAGCAGTTTGGAAACACTCTTTTTGTAGAAACTGTAAGTGGATATTTGGATAGCTCTAACGATTTCGTTGGAAACGGGAATATCATCATCTAAAATCTAGACAGAAGCATTCTCAGAAACTTGTTTGTGATGTGTGTACCCAGCTAATGGAGTTGAACATTTCTATTGATAGAGCAGTTTTGAAACACTCTTTTTGTGGAAAATGCAAGTTGATATTTGGATAGCTTGGAGGATTTCGTTGGAAGCGGGAATTCAAATAAAAGGTAGACAGCAAGGATTCTCAGAAACAAGTTTGTGATGTGTGTACTCAGCTAACAGAGTGGAACCTTTCTTTTTACAGAGCAGCTTTGAAACTCTATTTTTGTGGATTCTGCAAATTGATATTTAGATTGCTTTAACGATATCGTTGGAAAAGGGAATATCATCATACAAAATCTAGACAGAAGCATTCTCACAAACTTCTTTGTGATGTGTGTCCTCAACTAACAGAGTTGAACCTTTCTTTTGATGCAGCAATTTGGAAACACCCTTTTGGTAGAAACTGTAACTGGATATTTGGATAGCTCTAACGATTTCGTTGGAAACGGGAATATCATCATCTAAAATCTAGACAGAAGCACTATTAGAAACTACTTGGTGATATCTGCATTCAAGTCACAGAGTTGAACATTCCCTTACTTTGAGCACGTTTCAAACACTCTTTTGGAAGAATCTGGAAGTGGACATTTGGAGCGCTTTGATGCCTTTGGTGAAAAGGAAACGTCTTCCAATAAAAGCCAGACAGAAGCATTCTCAGAAACTTGTTTGTGATGTGTGTACTCAACTAAAAGAGTTGAACCTTTCTATTGATAGAGCAGTTTTGAAACACTCTTTTTGTGGATTCTGCAAGTGGATATTTGGATTGCTTTGAGGATTTCGTTGGAAGCGGGAATTCGTATAAAAACTAGACAGCAGCATTCTCAGAAACTTGTTTGTGATGTGTGTACTCAACTAAAAGAGTTGAACCTTTCTATGATAGAGCAGTTTTGAAACACTCTTTTTGTGGAATCTGCAAGTGGATATTTGGATTGCTTTGAGCATTTCGTTGGAAGCGGGATTTCATATAAAAACTAGACAGCAGCATTCTCAGAAACTTGTTGGTGATATGTGTCCTCAACTAACAGAGTTGAACTTTGCCATTGATAGAGAGCAGTTTTGAAACACTCTTTTTGTGGAATCTGCAAGTGGATATTTGGATAGCTTGGAGGATTTCGTTGGAAGCGGGAATTCAAATAAAAAGGTAGACAGCAGGATTCTCAGAAACAAGTTTGTGATGTGTGTACTCAGCTAACAGAGTGGAACCTCTCTTTTGAATGCAGCAGTTTGGAAACACTCTTTTTGTAGAAACTGTAAGTGGATATTTGGAAAGCTCTAATGATTTCATTGGAAACGGGAATATCATCATGTAAAATCTAGACAGAAAGCCCTCTCAGAAACTACTTTGTGATATCTGCATTCAAGTCACAGAGTTGAACATTCGCTTTCTTAGAGCACGTTGGAAACACTCTTTTTGTAGTGTCTGGAAGTGGACATTTGGAGCGCTTTGATGCCTTTGGTGAAAAAGGGAATGTCTTCCCATAAAAACTAGACAGAGCATTCTCAGAAACTTGTTTGTGATGTGTGTACCCAGCCAAAGGAGTTGAACATTTCTATTGATAGAGCAGTTTTGAAACACTCTTGTTGTGGATAATGCAGGTGGATATTTGGATAGCTTGGAGGATTTCGTTGGAAGCGGGAATTCAAATAAAAGGTAGACAGCAGCATTCTCAGAAATTTCTTTCTGATGTCTGCATTCAACTCATAGAGTTGAAGATTCCCTTTCATAGAGCAGGTTTGAAACACTCGTTCTGGAGTATCTGGATGTGGACATTTGGAGCGCTTTGATGCCTACGGTGGAAAAGTAAATATCTTCCCATAAAAACGAGACAGAAGGATTCTCAGAAACAAGTTTGTGATGTGTGTACTCAGCTAACAGAGTGGAACCTTTCTTTTTACAGAGCAGCTTTGAAACTCTATTTTTGTGGATTCTGCAAATTGATATTTAGATTGCTTTAACGATATCGTTGGAAAAGGGAATACCGTCATACAAAATCTAGACAGAAGCATTCTCACAAACTTCTTTGTGATGTGTGTCCTCAACTAACAGAGTTGAACCTTTCTTTTGATGCAGCAATTTGGAAGCACCCTTTTGGTAGAAACTGTAACTAGATATTTGGATAGCTCTAACGATTTCGTTGGAAACGGGAATATCATCATCTAAAATGTAGACAGAAGCACTATTAGAAACTACTTGGTGATATCTGCATTCAAGTCACAGAGTTGAACATTCCCTTACTTTGAGCACGTTTGAAACACTCTTTTGGAAGAATCTGGAAGTGGACATTTGGAGCGCTTTGATGCCTTTGGTGAAAAGGAAACGTCTTCCAATAAAAGCCAGACAGAGCATTCTCAGAAACTTGTTTGTGATGTGTGTACTCAACTAAAAGAGTTGAACCTTTCTATTGATAGAGCAGTTTTGAAACACTCTTTTTGTGGATTCTGCAAGTGGATATTTGGATTGCTTTGAGGATTTCGTTGGAAGCGGGAATTCGTATAAAAACTAGACAGCAGCATTCCCAGAAATTTCTTTCGGATATTTCCATTCAACTCATAGAGAAGAACATGGCCTTTCATAGAGCAGGTTTGAAACACTCTTTTTGTAGTTTGTGGAAGTGGACATTTCGATCGCCTTGACGCCTACGGTGAAAAAGGAAATATCTTCCCATAAAAAATAGACAGAAGCATTCTCAGAAACTTGTTGGTGATATGTGTCCTCAACTAACAGAGTTGAACTTTGCCATTGATAGAGAGCAGTTTTGAAACACTCTTTTTGTGGAATCTGCAAGTGGATATTTGGATAGCTTGGAGGATTTCGTTGGAAGCGGGAATTCAAATAAAAGGTAGACAGCAGCATTCTCAGAAATTTCTTTCTGATGTCTGCATTCAACTCATAGAGTTGAAGATTCCCTTTCATAGAGCAGGTTTGAAACACTCTTTCTGGAGTATCTGGATGTGGACATTTGGAGCGCTTTGAGGCCTACGGTGAAAAAGTAAATATCTTCCAATAAAAACGAGAGAGAAGGATTCTGAGAAACAAGTTTGTGATGTGTGTACTCAGCTAACAGAGTGGAACCTCTCTTTTGATGCAGCAGTTTGGAAACACTCTTTTTGTAGAAACTGTAAGTGGATATTTTGATAGCTCTAATGATTTCGTTGGAAACGGGAATATCATCATCTAAAATCTAGACAGAAGCACTCTCAGAAACTACTTTGTGATATCTGCATTGAAGTCACAGAGTTGAACATTCGCTTTCTTAGAGCACTTTTGAAACACTCTTTTTGTAGTATCTGGAAGTGGACATTTGGAGCTCTTTGATGCCTTTGGTGAAAAAGGAAATGTCTTCCCATAAAAACTAGACAGAAGCATTCTCAGAAACTTGTTTGTGATGTGTGCACCCAGCTAAAGGAGTTGAACATTTATTGATAGAGCAGTTTTGAAGCACTCTTTTTGTGGAAAATGCAAGTGGATATATGGATAGCTTGGAGGATTTCGTTGGAAGCGGGAATTCAAATAAAAGGTAGACAGCAGCATTCTCAGAAATTTCTTTCTGATGTCTGCATTCAACTCATAGAGTTGAAGATTCCCTTTCATAGAGCAGGTTTGAAACACTCTTTCTGGAGTATCTGGATGTGGACATTTGGAGCGCTTTGATGCTTACGGTGAAAAAGTAAATATGTTCCCATAAAAACGACACAGAAGGATTCTCAGAAACAAGTTTGTGATGTGTGTACTCAGCTAACAGAGTGGAACCTTTCTTTTTACAGAGCAGCTTGGAAACTCTATTTTTGTGGATTCTGCAAATTGATATTTAGATTGCTTTAACAATATCGTTGGAAAAGGGAATATCGTCATACAAAATCTAGACAGAAGCATTCTCACAAACATCTTTGTGATGTGTGTCCTCAACTAACAGAGTTGAACCTTTCTTTTGATGCAGCAGTTTGGAAACACCCTTTTGGTAGAAACTGTAACTGGATATTTGGATAGCTCTAACGATTTCGTTGGAAACGGGAATATCATCATCTAAAATCTAGACAGAAGCACTATTAGAAACTACTTGGTGATATCTGCATTCAAGTCACAGAGTTGAACATTCCCTTACTTTGAGCACGTTTCAAACACTCTTTTGGAAGAATCTGGAAGTGGACATTTGGAGCGCTTTGATGCCTTTGGTGAAAAGGAAACGTCTTCCAATAAAAGCCAGACAGAAGCATTCTCAGAAACTTGTTCGTGATGTGTGTACTCAACTAAAAGAGTTGAACCTTTCTATTGATAGAGCAGTTTTGAAACACTCTTTTTGTGGATTCTGCAAGTGGATATTTGGATTTCTTTGAAGATTTCGTTGGAAGCGGGAATTCGTATAAACACTAGACAGCAGCATTCCCAGAAATTTCTTTCGGATATTTCCATTCGACTCATAGAGATGAACATGGCCTTTCATAGAGCAGGTTTGAAACACTCTTTTTGTAGTTTGTGGAAGTGGACATTTCGATCGCCTTGACGCCTACGGTGAAAAAGGAAATATCTTCCCATAAAAAATAGACAGAAGCATTCTCAGAAACTTGTTGGTGATATGTGTCCTCAACTAACAGAGTTGAACTTTGCCATTGATAGAGAGCAGTTTTGAAACACTCTTTTTCCTGAATCTGCAAGTGGATATTTGGATAGTTTGGAGGATTTCGTTGGAAGCGGGAATTCAAATAAAAGGTAGACAGCAGCATTCTCAGAAATTTCTTTCTGATCTCTGCATTCAACTCATAGAGTTGAACATTCCGTTTCATAGGGCAGGTTTGAAATACTCTTTCTGTAGTATCTGGATGTGGACATTTGGAGCGCTTTGATGCCTACGGTGAAAAAGTAAATATCTTCCCATAAAAACGAGACAGAAGGATTCTGAGAAACAAGTTTGTGATGTGTGTACTCAGCTAACAGAGTGGAACCTCTCTTTTGATGCAGCAGTTTGGAAACACTCTTTTTGTAGAAACTGTAAGTGGATATTTGGATAGCTCTAATGATTTCGTTGGAAACGGGAATATCATCATCTAAAATCTAGACAGAAGCCCTCTCAGAAACTACTTTGTGATATCTGCATTCAAGTCACAGAGTTGAACATTCGCTTTCTTAGAGCACGTTGGAAACACTCTTTTTGTAGTGTCTGGAAGTGGACATTTGGAGCGCTTTGATGCCTTTGGTGAAAAAGGGAACGTCTTCCCATAAAAACTGGACAGAAGCATTCTCAGAAACTTGTTTGTGATGTGTGTACCCAGCTAAAGGAGTTGAACATTTCCATTGATAGAGCAGTTTTGAAACACTCTTTTTGTGGAAAATGCAAGTGGATATTTGGATAGCTTGGAGGATTTCGTTGGAAGCGGGAATTCAAATAAAAGGTAGACAGCAGCATTCTCAGAAATTTCTTTCTGATGTCTGCATTTAACTCATAGAGTTGAAGATTCCCTTTCATAGAGCAGGTTTGAAACACTCTTTCTGGAGTATCTGGATGTGGACATTTGGAGCGCTTTGATGCCTACGGTGAAAAAGTAAATATCTTCCCATAAAAACGAGACAGAAGGATTCTCAGAAAGAAGTTTGTGATGTGTGTACTCAGCTAACAGAGTGGAACCTTTCCTTTTACAGAGCAGCTTTGAAACTCTATTTTTGTGGATTCTGCAAATTGATATTTAGATTGCTTTAACGATATCGTTGGAAAAGGGAATATCGTCATACAAAATCTAGACAGAAGCATTCTCACAAACTTCTTTGTGATGTGTGTCCTCAACTAACAGAGTTGAACCTTTCTTTTGATGCAGCAATTTGGAAACACCCTTTTGGTAGAAACTGTAACTGGATATTTGGATAGCTCTAACGATTTCATTGGAAACGGGAATATCATCATCTAAAATCTAGACAGAAGCACTATTAGAAACTACTTGGTGATATCTGCATTCAAGTCACAGAGTTGAACATTCCCTTACTTTGAGCACGTTTCAAACACTCTTTTGGAAGAATCTGGAAGTGGACATTTGGAGCGCTTTGATGCCTTTGGTGAAAAGGAAACGTCTTCCAATAAAAGCCAGACAGAAGCATTCTCAGAAACTTGTTTGTGATGTGTGTACTCAACTAAAAGAGTTGAACCTTTCTATTGATAGAGCAGTTTTGAAACACTCTTTTTGTGGATTCTGCAAGTGGATATTTGGATTGCTTTGAGGATTTCGTTGGAAGCGGGAATTCGTATAAAAACTAGACAGCAGCATTCCCAGAAATTTCTTTCGGATATTTCCATTCGACTCATAGAGATGAACATGGCCTTTCATAGAGCAGGTTTGAAACACTCTTTTTGTAGTTTGTGGAAGTGGACATTTCGATCGCCTTGACGCCTACGGTGAAAAAGGAAATATCTTCCCATAAATAATAGACAGAAGCATTCTCAGAAACTTGTTGGTGATATGTGTCCTCAACTAACAGAGTTGAACTTTGCCATTGATAGAGAGCAGTTTTGAAACACTCTTTTTCCTGAATCTGCAAGTGGATATTTGGATAGCTTGGAGGATTTCGTTGGAAGCGGGAATTCAAATAAAAGTAGACAGCAGCATTCTCAGAAATTTCTTTCTGATCTCTGCATTCAACTCATAGAGTTGAACATTCCCTTTCATAGGGCAGGTTTGAAATACTCTTTCTGTAGTATCTGGATGTGGACATTTGGAGCGCTTTGATGCCTACGGTGAAAAAGTAAATATCTTCCCATAAAAACGAGACAGAAGGATTCTGAGAAACAAGTTTGTGATGTGTGTACTCAGCTAACAGAGTGGAACCTCTCTTTTGATGCAGTAGTTTGGAAACACTCTTTTTGTAGAAACTGTAAGTGGATATTTGGATAGCTCTAATGATTTCGTTGGAAACGGGAATATCATCATCTAAAATGCTAGACAGAAGCACTCTCAGAAACTACTGTGTGATATCTGCATTCAAGTCACAGCAGTTGAACATTCGCTTTCTTAGAGCACGTTTGAAACACTCTTTTTGTAGTGTCTGGAAGTGGACATTTGGAGCGCTTTGATGTCTTTGGTGAAAAAGGGAATGTCTTCCCATAAAAACTAGACAGAAGCATTCTCAGAAACTTATTTGTGATGTGTGTACCCAGCTAAAGGAGTTGAACATTTCTATTGATAGAGCAGTTTTGAAACACTCTTTTTGTGGAAAATGCAAGTGGATATTTGGATAGCTTGGAGGATTTCGTTGGAAGCGGGAATTCAAATAAAAGGTAGACAGCAGCATTCTCAGAAATTTCTTTCTGATGTCTGCATTCAACTCATAGAGTTGAAGATTCCCTTTCATAGAGCAGGTTTGAAACACTCTTTCTGGAGTATCTGGATGTGGACATTTGGAGCGCTTTGATGCCTACGGTGAAAAAGTAAATATCTTCCCATAAAAACGAGACAGAAAGGATTCTCAGAAACAAGTTTGTGATGTGTGTACTCAGCTAACAGAGTGGAACCTTTCTTTTTACAGAGCAGCTTTGAAACTCTATTTTTGTGGATTCTGCAAATGGATATTTAGATTGCTTTAATGATATCGCTGGAAAAGGGAATATGGTCATACAAAATCTAGACAGAAGCATTCTCACAAACTTCTTTGTGACGTGTGTCCTCAACTAACAGAGTTGAACCTTTCTTTTGATGCAGCAGTTTGGAAACACTGTTTTTGTAGCAACTGTAAGTGGATATTTGGATAGCTCTAACGATTTCGTTGGAAACGGGAATATCATCATCTAAAATCTAGACAGAAGCACTATTAGAAACTACTTGGTGATATCTGCATTCAAGTCACAGAGTTGAACATTCCCTTACTTTGAGCACGTTTCAAACACTCTTTTGGAAGAATCTGGAAGTGGACATTTGGAGCGCTTTGATGCCTTTGGTGAAAAGGAAACGTCTTCCAATAAAAGCCAGACAGAAGCATTCTCAGAAACTTGTTCGTGATGTGTGTACTCAACTAAAAGAGTTGACCCTTTCTATTGATGGAGCAGTTTTGAAACACTCTTTTTGTGGATTCTGCAAGTGGATATGTGGATTGCTTTGAGGATTTCGTTGGAAGCGGGAATTCGTATAACAACTAGACAGCAGCATTCCCAGAAATTTCTTTCGGATATTTCCATTCAACTCATAGAGATGAACATGGCCTTTCATAGAGCAGGTTTGAAACACTCTTTTTGTAGTTTGTGGAAGTGGACATTTCGATCGCCTTGACGCCTACGGTGAAAAAGGAAATATCTTCCCATAAAAAATAGACAGAAGCATTCTCAGAAACTTGTTGGTGATATGTGTCCTCAACTAACAGAGTTGAACTTTGCCATTGATAAAGAGCAGTTTTGAAACACTCTTTTTGTGGAATCTGCAAGTGGATATTTGGATAGCTTGGAGGATTTCGTTGGAAGCGGGAATTCAAATAAAAGGTAGACAGCAGCATTCTCACAAATTTCTTTCTGATCTCTGCATTCAACTCATAGAGTTGAACATTCCCTTTCATAGGGCAGGTTTGAAATACTCTTTCTGTAGTATCTGGATGTGGACATTTGGAGCGCTTTGATGCCTACGGTGAAAAAGTAAATATCTTCCCATAAAAACGAGACAGAAGGATTCTCAGAAACAAGTTTGTGATGTGTGTACTCAGCTAACAGAGTGGAACCTCTCTTTTGATGCAGCAGTTTGGAAACACTCTTTTTGTAGAAACCGTAAGTGGATATTTGGATAGCTCTAATGATTTCGTTGGAAACGGGAATATCATCATCTAAAATCTAGACAGAAGCCCTCTCAGAAACTACTTTGTGATATCTGCATTCAAGTCACAGAGTTGAACATTCGCTTTCTTAGAGCACGTTTGAAACACTCTTTTTGTAGTGTCTGGAAGTGGACATTTGGAGCGCTTTGATGCCTTTGGTGAAAAAGGGAATGTCTTCCCATAAAAAATAGACAGAAGCATTCTCAGAAACTTGTTTGTGATGTGTGTACCCAGCTAAAGGAGTTGAACATTTCTATTGATAGAGCAGTTTTGAAACACTCTTGTTGTGGAAAATGCAGGTGGATATTTGGATAGCTTGGAGGATTTCGTTGGAAGCGGGAATTCAAATAAAAGGTAGACAGCAGCATTCTCAGAAATTTCTTTCTGATGTCTGCATTCAACTCATAAGAGTTGAAGATTCCCTTTCATAGAGCAGGTTTGAAACACTCTTTCTGGAGTATCTGGATGTGGACATTTGGAGGGCTTTGATGCCTACGGTGAAAAAGTAAATATCTTCCCATAAAAACGAGACAGAAGGATTCTGAGAAACAAGTTTGTGATGTGTGTACTCAGCTAACAGAGTGGAACCTTTCTTTTTACAGAGCAGCTTTGAAACTCTATTTTTGTGGATTCTGCAAATGGATATTTAGATTGCTTTAATGATATCGTTGGAAAAGGGAATATCGTCATACAAAATCTAGACAGAAGCATTCTCACAAACTTCTTTGTGATGTGTGTCCTCAACTAACAGAGTTGAACCTTTCTTTTGATGCAGCAATTTGGAAACACCCTTTTGGTAGAAACTGTAACTGGATATTTGGATAGCTCTAACGATTTCGTTGGAAACGGGAATATCATCATCTAAAATCTAGACAGAAGCACTATTAGAAACTACTTGGTGATATCTGCATTCAAGTCACAGAGTAGAACATTCCCTTACTTCGAGCACGTTTGAAACACTCTTTTGGAAGAATCTGGAAGTGGACATTTGGAGCGCTTTGATGCCTTTGGTGAAAAGGAAACGTCTTCCAATAAAAGCCAGACAGAAGCATTCTCAGAAACTTGTTCATGATGTGTGTACTCAACTAAAAGAGTTGAACCTTTCTATTGATAGAGCAGTTTTGAAACACTCTTTTTGTGGATTCTGCAAGTGGATATTTGGATTGCTTTGAGGATTTCGTTGGAAGCGGGAATTCGTATAAACACTAGACAGCAGCATTCCCAGAAATTTCTTTCGGATATTTCCATTCAACTCAAAGAGATGAACATGGCCTTTCATAGAGCAGGTTTGAAACACTCTTTTTGTAGTTTGTGGAAGTGGACATTTCGATCGCCTTGACGCCTACGGTGAAAAAGGAAATATCTTCCCATAAAAAATAGACAGAAGCATTCTCAGAAACTTGTTGGTGATATGTGTCCTCAACTAACAGCAGTTGAACTTTGCCATTGATAGAGAGCAGTTTTGAAACACTCTTTTTGTGGAATCTGCAAGTGGATATTTGGATAGCTTGGAGGATTTCGTTGGAAGCGGGAATTCAAATAAAAGGTAGACAGCAGCATTCTCAGAAATTTCTTTCTGATGTTTGCATTCAACTCATAGAGTTGAACATTCCCTTTCATAGAGCAGGTTTGAAACACTCTTTCTGTACTATCTGGATGTGGACATTTGGAGCGCTTTGATGCCTACGGTGAAAAAGGAAATGTCTTCCCATAAAAAATTGAAGAAGGATTCTCAGAAACAAGTTTGTGATGTGTGTACTCAGCTAACAGAGTGGAACCTCTCTTTTGATGCAGCAGTTTGGAAACACTCTTTTTGTAGAAACTGTAAGTGGATATTTGGATAGCTCTAATGATTTCGTTGGAAACGGGAATATAATCATCTAAAATCTAGACAGAAGCCCTCTCAGAAACTACTTTGTGATATGTGCATTCAAGTCACAGAGTTGAACATTCGCTTTCTTAGAGCACGTTTGAAACACTCTTTTTGTAGTGTCTGGAAGTGGACATTTGGAGCGCTTTGATGCCTTTGGTGAAAAAGGGGAACGTCTACCCATAAAAACTAGACAGAAGCATTCTCAGAAACTTGTTTGTGATGTGTGTACCCAGCTAAAGGAGTTGAACATTTCTATTGATAGAGCAGTTTTGAAACACTCTTTTTGTGGAAAATGCAAGTGGATATTTGCATAGCTTGGAGGATTTCGTTGGAAGCGGGAGTTCAAATAAAAGGTAGACAGCAGCATTCTCAGAAATTTCTTTCTGATGTCTGCATTCAACTCATAGAGTTGAAGATTCCCTTTCATAGAGCAGGTTTGAAACACTCTTTCTGGAGTATCTGGATGTGGACATTTGGAGCGCTTTGATGCCTACGGTGAAAAAGTAAATATCTTCCCATAAAAACGAGACAGAAGGATTCTCAGAAACAAGTTTGTGATGTGTGTACTCAGCTAACAGAGTGGAACCTTTCTTTTTACAGAGCAGCTTTGAAACTCTATTTTTGTGGATTCTGCAAATTGATATTTAGATTGCTTTAACGATATCGTTGGAAAAGGGAATATGGTCATACAAAATACTAGACAGAAAGCATTCTCACAAACTTCTTTGTGACGTGTGTCCTCAACTAACAGAGTTGAACCTTTCTTTTGATGCAGCAGTTTGGAAACACTGTTTTTGTAGCAACTGTAAGTGGATATTTGGATAGCTCTAACGATTTCGTTGGAAACGGGAATATCATCATCTAAAATCTAGACAGAGCACTATTAGAAACTACTTGGTGATATCTGCATTCAAGTCACAGAGTTGAACATTCCCTTACTTTGAGCACGTTTCAAACACTCTTTTGGAAGAATCTGGAAGTGGACATTTGGAGCGCTTTGATGCCTTTGGTGAAAAGGAAACGTCTTCCAATAAAAGCCAGACAGAAGCATTCTCAGAAACTTGTTTGTGATGTGTGCACTCAACTAAAAGAGTTGAACCTTTCTATTGATAGAGCAGTTTTGAAACACTCTTTTTGTGGATTCTGCAAGTGGATATTTGGATTGCTTTGAGGATTTCGTTGGAAGCGGGAATTCGTATAAAAACTAGACAGCAGCATTCCCAGAAATTTCTTTCGGATATTTCCATTCGACTCATAGAGATGAACATGGCCTTTCATAGAGCAGGTTTGAAACACTCTTTTTGTAGTTTGTGGAAGTGGACATTTCGATCGCCTTGACGCCTACGGTGAAAAAGGAAATATCTTCCCATAAAAAATAGACAGAAGCATTCTCAGAAACTTGTTGGTGATATGTGTCCTCAACTAACAGAGTTGAACTTTGCCATTGATAGAGAGCAGTTTTGAAACACTCTTTTTGTGGAATCTGCAAGTGGATATTTGCATAGCTTAGAGGATTTCGTTGGAAGCGGGAATTCAAATAAAAGGTAGACAGCAGCATTCTCAGAAATTTCTTTCTGATGTCTGCATTCAACTCATAGAGTTGAAGATTCCCTTTCATAGAGCAGGTTTGAAACACTCTTTCTGGAGTATCTGGATGTGGACATTTGGAGCGCTTTGATG
Source organism: Homo sapiens (assembly GCF_000001405.40). NCBI lineage: Eukaryota > Metazoa > Chordata > Mammalia > Primates > Hominidae > Homo > Homo sapiens. The sequence goes on from NC_000022.11 coordinate 14,838,571, forward strand.
CCTACGGTGAGAAAGTAAATATCTTCCCATAAAAACGAGACAGAAGGATTCTCAGAAACAAGTTTGTGATGTGTGTACTCAGCTAACAGAGTGGAACCTCTCTTTTGATGCAGCAGTTTGGAAACACTCTTTTTGTAGAAACTGTAAGTGGATATTTGGATAGCTCTAATGATTTCGTTGGAAACGGGAGTATCATCATCTAAAATCTAGACAGAAGCACTCTCAGAAACTACTTTGTGATATCTGCATTCAAGTCACAGAGTTGAACATTCGCTTTCTTAGAGCACGTTTGAAACACTCTTTTTGTAGTGTCTGGAAGTGGACATTTGGAGCGCTTTGATGCCTTTGGTGAAAAAGGGAATGTTTACCCATAAAAACTAGACAGAAGCATTCTCAGAAACTTGTTTGTGATGTGTGTACCCAGCTAAAGGAGTTGAACATTTCTGTTGATAGAGCAGTTTTGATACACTCTTTTTGTGGAAAATGCAAGTGGATATTTGGATAGCTTGGAGGATTTCGTTGGAAGCGGGAATTCAAATAAAAGGTAGACAGCAGCATTCTCAGAAATTTCTTTCTGATGTCTGCATTCAACTCATAGAGTTGAAGATTCCCTTTCATAGAGCAGGTTTGAAACACTCGTTCTGGAGTATCCGGATGTGGACATTTGGAGCGCTTTGATGCCTACGGTGGAAAAGTAAATATGTTCCCATAAAAACGAGACAGAAGGATTCTGAGAAACAAGTTTGTGATGTGTGTACTCAGCTAACAGAGTGGAACCTTTCTTTTTACAGAGCAGCTTTGAAACTCTATTTTTGTGGATTCTGCAAATGGATATTTAGATTGCTTTAACGATATCGTTGGAAAAGGGAATATCGTCATACAAAATCTAGACAGAAGCATTCTCACAAACTTGCTTTGTGATGTGTGTCCTCAACTAACAGAGTTGAACCTTTCTTTTGATGCATCAGTTTGGAAACACTCTTTTTGTAGAAACTGTAAGTGGATATTTGGATAGCTCTAACGATTTCGTTGGAAACGGGAATATCATCATCTAAAATCTAGACAGAAGCACTATTAGAAACTACTTGGTGATATCTGCATTCAAGTCACACAGTTGAACATTCCCTTACTTCGACCACGTTTGAAACACTCTTTTGGAAGAATCTGGAAGTGGACATTTGGAGCGCTTTGATGCCTTTGGTGAAAAGGAAACGTCTTCCAATAAAAGCCAGAGAGAAGCATTCTCAGAAACTTGTTTGTGATGTGTGTACTCAACTAAAAGAGTTGAACCTTTCTATTGATAGAGCAGTTTTGAAACACTCTTTTTGTGGATTCTGCAAGTGGATATTTGGATTGCTTTGAGGATTTCGTTGGAAGCGGGAATTCGTATAAAAACTAGACAGCAGCATTCCCAGAAATTTCTTTCGGATATTTCCATTCAACTCATAGAGATGAACATCGCCTTTCATAGAGCAGGTTTGAAACACTCTTTTTGTAGTTTGTGGAAGTGGACATTTCGATCGCCTTGATGCCTACGGTGAAAAAGGAAATATCTTCCCATAAAAAATAGACAGAAGCATTCTCAGAAACTTGTTGGTGATATGTGTCCTCAACTAACAGAGTTGAACTTTGCCATTGATAGAGAGCAGTTTTGAAACACTCTTTTTGTGGAATCTGCAAGTGGATATTTGGATAGCTTGGAGGATTTCGTTGGAAGCGGGAATTCAAATAAAAGGTAGACAGCAGGATTCTGAGAAACAAGTTTGTGATGTGTGTACTCAGCTAACAGAGTGGAACCTCTCTTTTGATGCAGCAGTTTGGAAACACTCTTTTTGTAGAAACTGTATGTGGATATTTGGATAGCTCTAATGATTTCGTTGGAAACGGGAATATCATCATCTAAAATCTAGACAGAAGCCCTCTCAGAAACTACTTTGTGATATCTGCATTCAAGTAACAGAGTTGAACATTCGCTTTCTTAGAGCACGTTGGAAACACTCTTTTTGTAGTGTCTGGAAGTGGACATTTGGAGCACTTTGATGCCTTTGGTGAAAAAGGGAACGTCTTCCCATAAAAACTAGACAGAAGCATTCTCAGAAACTTGTTTGTGATGTGTGTACCCAGCTAAAGGAGTTGAACATTTCTATTGATAGAGCAGTTTTGAAACACTCTTTTTGTGGAAAATGCAAGTGGATATTTGGATAGCTTGGAGGATTTCGTTGGAAGCGGGAATTCAAATAAAAGGTAGCAGGAGGCTCAGAAACAAGTTTGTGATGTGTGTACTCAGCTAACAGAGTGGATCCTTTCTTTTTACAGAGCAGCTTTGAAACTCTATTTCTGTGGATTCTGCAAATTGATATTTGGGTTGATTTAACGATATCGATGGAAAAGGGAATATCTTCATTCAAAATCTAGACAGAAAGCATTCTCACAAACTTCTTTGTGATGTGTGTCCTCAACTAACAGAGTTGAACCTTTCTTTTGATGCAGCAATTTGGAAACACCCTTTTGGTAGAAACTGTAACTGGATATTTGGATAGCTCTAACGATTTCGTTGGAAACGGGAATATCATCATCTAAAATCTAGACAGAGCACTATTAGAAACTACTTGGTGATATCTGCATTCAAGTCACAGAGTTGAACATTCCCTTACTTTGAGCACGTTTCAAACACTCTTTTGGAAGAATCTGGAAGTGGACATTTGGAGCGCTTTGATGCCTTTGGTGAAAAGGAAACGTCTTCCAATAAAAGCCAGACAGAAGCATTCTCAGAAACTTGTTCGTGATGTGTGTACTCAACTAAAAGAGTTGAACCTTTCTATTGATAGCGCAGTTTTGAAACACTCTTTTTGTGGATTCTGCAAGTGGATATTTGGATTGCTTTGAGGATTTCGTTGGAAGCGGGAATTCGTATAAACCCTAGACAGCAGCATTCCCAGAAATTTCTTTCGGATATTTCCATTCAACTCATAGAGATGAACATCGCCTTTCATAGAGCAGGTTTGAAACACTCTTTTTGTAGTTTGTGGAAGTGGACATTTCGATTGCCTTGACGCCTACGGTGAAAAAGGAAATATCTTCCCATAAAAAATAGACAGAAGCATTCTCAGAAACTTGTTGGTGATATGTGTCCTCAACTAACAGAGTTGAACTTTGCCATTGATAGAGAGCAGTTTTGAAACACTCTTTTTGTGGAATCTGCAAGTGGATATTTGGATAGCTTGGAGGATTTCGTTGGAAGCGGGAATTCAAATAAAAGGTAGACAGCAGCATTCTCAGAAATTTCTTTCTGATGTCTGCATTCAACTCATAGAGTTGAAGATTCCCTTTTCATAGAGCAGGTTTGAAACACTCTTTCTGGAGTATCTGGATGTGGACATTTGGAGCGCTTTGATGCCTACGGTGAAAAAGTAAATATCTTCCCATAAAAACGAGACAGAAGGATTCTCAGAAACAAGTTTGTGATGTGTGTACTCAGCTAACAGAGTGGAACCTCTCTTTTGATGCAGCAGTTTGGAAACACTCTTTTTGTAGAAAATGTAAGTGGATATTTGGATAGCTCTAATGATTTCGTTGGAAACGGGAATATCATCATCTAAAATCTAGACAGAAGCAGTCTCAGAAACTACTTTGTGATATCTGCATTCCAGTCACAGAGTTGAAAACTCCCTTACTTAGAGCAGGTTTGAAACACTCTTTTTGTAGAATCTGGAAGTGGACATTTGGAGCGCTTTGATGCCTTTGGTGAAAAAGGAAATGTCTTCCCTTAAAAAGTAGACAGAAGCATTCTCAGAAACTTGTTTGTGATGTGTGTACCCAGCCAAAGGGGTTGAACATTTCTATTGATAGAGCAGTTTTGAAACACTCTTTTTGTGGAAAATGCAGGTGGATATTTGGATAGCTTGGAGGATTTCGTTGGAAGCGGGAATTCAAATAAAAGGTTGACAGCAGCATTCTCAGAAATTTCTTTCTGATGTCTGCATTCAACTCATAGAGTTGAAGATTCCCTTTCATAGAGCAGGTTTGAAACACTCTTTCTGGAGTATCTGGATGTGGACATTTGGAGCGCTTTGATGCCTACGGTGAAAAAGTAAATATCTTCCCATAAAAACGAGACAGAAGGATTCTGAGAAACAAGTTTGTGATGTGTGTACTCACCTAACAGAGTGGAACCTTTCTTTTTACAGAGCAGCTTTGAAACTCTATTTTTGTGGATTCTGCAAATTGATATTTAGATTGCTTTAACGATATCGTTGGAAAAGGGAATATCGTCATACAAAATCTAGACAGAAGCATTCTCACAAACTTGCTTTGTGATGTGTGTCCTCAACTAACAGAGTTGAACCTTTCTTTTGATGCAGCAATTTGGAAACACCCTTTTGGTAGAAACTGTAACTGGATATTTGGATAGCTCTAACGATTTCGTTGGAAACGGGAATATCATCATCTAAAATCTAGACAGAAGCACTATTAGAAACTACTTGGTGATATCTGCATTCAAGTCACAGAGTTGAACATTCCCTTACTTTGAGCACGTTTGAAACACTCTTTTGGAAGAATCTGGAAGTGGACATTTGGAGCGCTTTGATGCCTTTGGTGAAAAGGAAACGTCTTCCAATAAAAGCCAGACAGAAGCATTCTCAGAAACTTGTTCGTGATGTGTGTACTCAACTAAAAGAGTTGAACCTTTCTATTGATAGAGCAGTTTTGAAACACTCTTTTTGCGGATTCTGCAAGTGGATATTTGGATTGCTTTGAGGATTTCGTTGAAAGCGGGAATTCGTATAAACACTAGACAGCAGCATTCCCAGAAATTTCTTTCGGATATTTCCATTCGACTCATAGAGATGAACATGGCCTTTCATAGAGCAGGTTTGAAACACTCTTTTTGTAGTTTGTGGAAGTGGACATTTCGATCGCCTTGACGCCTACGGTGAAAAAGGAAATATCTTCCCATAAAAAATAGACAGAAGAATTCTCAGAAACTTGTTTGTGATGTGTATCCTCAACTGACAGAGTTGAACCTTGCCATTGATAGAGCAGTTTTGAAACACTCTGTTTGTGGAATCTGCAAGTGGATATTTGGATAGCCTGGAGGAATTCGTTGGAAGCGGGAATTCAAATAAAAGGTAGACAGCAGCATTCTCAGAAATTTCTTTGTGATGCTTGCATTCAACTCATAGAGTTGAACATTCCCTTTCATAGAGCAGGTTTGAAACACTCTTTCTGTACTATCTGGATGTGGACATTTGGAACTCTTTGATGCCTACGGTGAAAAAGTAAATATCTTCCCATAAAAACTAGACAGAAAGGATTCTGAGAAACAAGTTTGTGATGTGTGTACTCAGCTAACAGAGTGGAACCTCTCTTTTGATGCAGCAGTTTGGAAACACTCTTTTTGTAGAAACTGTAAGTGGTTATTTGGATAGCTCTAATGATTTCGTTGGAAACGGGAATATCATCATCTAAAATCTAGACAGAAGCCTTCTCAGAAACTACTTTGTGATATCTGCATTCAAGTCACAGAGTTGAACATTCGCTTTCTTAGAGCACGTTGGAAACACTCTTTTTGTAGTGTCTGGAAGTGGACATTTGGAGCGCTTTGATGCCTTTGGTGAAAAAGGGAATGTCTTCCCATAAAAACTAGACAGAAGCATTCTCAGAAACTTGTTTGTGATGTGTGTACCCAGCCAAAGGAGTTGAACATTTCTATTGATAGAGCAGTTTTGAAACGCTCTTTTTGTGGAAAATGCAGGTGGATATTTGGATAGCTTGGAGGATTTCGTTGGAAGCGGGAATTCAAATAAAAGGTAGACAGCAGCATTCTCAGAAATTTCTTTCTGATGTCTGCATTCAACTCATAGAGTTGAAGATTCCCTTTCCTAGAGCAGGTTTGAAACACTCTTTCTGGAGTATCTGGATGTGGACATTTGGAGCGCTTTGATGCCTACGGTGAAAAAGTAAATATCTTCCCATAAAAACGAGACAGAAGGATTCTGAGAGACAAGTTTGTGATGTGTGTACTCAGCTAACAGAGTGGAACCTTTCTTTTTACAGAGCAGCTTTGAAACTCTATTTTTGTGGATTCTGCAAATGGATATTTAGATTGCTTTAACGATATCATTGGAAAAGGGAATATCGTCATACAAAATCTGGACAGAAGCATTCTCACAAACTTCTTTGTGATGTGTGTCCTCAACTAACAGAGTTGAACCTTTATTTTGATGCAGCAGTTTGGAAACACTCTTTTTGTAGAAACTGTAAGTGGATATTTGGATAGCTCTAACGATTTCATTGGAAACGGGAATATCATCATCTAAAATCTAGACAGAAGCACTATTAGAAACTACTTGGTGATATCAGCATTCAAGTCACAGAGTTGAACATTCCCTTACTTCGAGCACGTTTGAAACACTCTTTTGGAAGAATCTGGAAGTGGACATTTGGAGCGCTTTGATGCCTTTGGTGAAAAGGAAACGTCTTCCAATAAAAGCCAGACAGAAGCATTCTCAGAAACTTGTTGGTGATGTGTGTACTCAACTAAAAGAGTTGAACCTTTCTATTGATAGAGCAGTTTTGAAACACTCTTTTTGTGGATTCTGCAAGTGGATATTTGGATTGCTTTGAGGATTTCGTTGGAAGCGGGAATTCGTATAAACACTAGACAGCAGCATTCCCAGAAATTTCTTTCGGATATTTCCATTCGACTCATAGAGATGAACATGGCCTTTCATAGAGCAGGTTTGAAACACTCTTTTTGTAGTTTGTGGAAGTGGACATTTCGATCGCCTTGACGCCTACGGTGAAAAAGGAAATATCTTCCCATAAAAAATAGACAGAAGCATTCTCAGAAAGTTGTTGGTGATATGTGTCCTCAACTAACAGAGTTGAACTTTGCCATTGATAGAGAGCAGTTTTGAAACACTCTTTTTGTGGAATCAGCAAGTGGATATTTGGATAGCTTGAAGGATTTCGTTGGAAGCGGGAATTCAAATAAAAGGTAGACAGCAGCATTCTCAGAAATTTCTTTCTGATGTCTGCATTCAACTCATAGAGTTGAAGATTCCCTTTCATAGAGCAGGTTTGAAATACTCTTTCTGTAGTATCTGGATGTGGACATTTGGAGCGCTTTGAGGCCTACGATGAAAAAGTAAATATCTTCCCATAAAAACGAGACAGAAGGATTCTGAGAAACAAGTTTGTGATGTGTGTACTCAGCTAACAGAGTGGAACCTCTCTTCTGATGCAGCAGTTTGGAAACACTCTTTTTGTAGAAACTGTAAGTGGATATTTGGTTAGCTCTAATGATTTCGTTGGAAATGGGAATATCATCATCTAAAATCTAGACAGAAGCCCTCTCAGAAACTACTTTGTGATATCTGCATTCAAGTCACAGAGTTGAACATTCGCTTTCTTAGAGCACGTTTGAAACACTCTTTTTGTAGTGTCTGGAAGTGGACATTTGGAGTGCTTTGATGCCTTTGGTGAAAAAGGGAATGTCTTCCCATAAAAACTAGACAGAAGCATTCTCAGAAACTTGTTTGTGATGTGTGTACCCAGCTAAAGGAGTTGAACATTTCTATTGATAGAGCAGTTTTGAAACACTCTTTTTGTGGAAAATGCAAGTGGATATTTGGATAGCATGGAGGATTTCGTTGGAAGCGGGAATTCAAATAAATGGTAGACAGCAGCATTCTCAGAAATTTCTTTCTGATGTCTGCATTCAACTCATAGAGTTAAAGATTCCCTTTCATAGAGCAGGTTTGAAACACTCGTTCTGGAGTATCTGGATGTGGACATTTGGAGCGCTTTGATGCCTACGGTGGAAAAGTAAATATCTTCCCATAAAAACGAGACAGAAGGATTCTCAGAAACAAGTTTGTGATGTGTGTACTCAGCTAACAGAGTGGAACCTTTCTTTTTAAAGAGCAGCTTTGAAACTCTATTTTTGTGGATTCTGCAAATTGATATTTAGATTGCTTTAACGATATCGTTGGAAAAGGGAATATCGTCATACAAAATCTAGACAGAAGCATTCTCACAAACTTCTTTGTGATGTGTGTCCTCAACTAACAGAGTTGAACCTTTCTTTTGATGCAGCAATTTGGAAACACCCTTTTGGTAGAAACTGTAACTGGATATTTGGATAGCTCTAACGATTTCGTTGGAAACGGGAATATCATCATCTAAAATCTAGACAGAAGCACTATTAGAAACTACTTGGTGATATCTGCATTCAAGTCACAGAGTAGAATATTCCCTTACTTCGAGCACGTTTGAAACACTCTTTTGGAAGAATCTGGAAGTGGACATTTGGAGCGCTTTGATGCCTTTGGTGAAAAGGAAACGTCTTCCAATAAAAGCCAGACAGAAGCATTCTCAGAAACTTGTTTGTGATGTGTGTACTCAACTAAAAGAGTTGAACCTTTCTATTGATAGAGCAGTTTTGAAACACTCTTTTTGTGGATTCTGCAAGTGGATATTTGGATTGCTTTGAGGATTTCGTTGGAAGCGGGAATTCGTATAAAAACTAGACAGCAGCATTCCCAGAAATTTCTTTCGGATATTTCCATTCGACTCATAGAGATGAACATGGCCTTTCATAGAGCAGGTTTGAAACACTCTTTTTGTAGTTTGTGGAAGTGGACATTTCGATCGCCTTGACGCCTATGGTGAAAAAGGAAATATCTTCCCATAAAAAATAGACAGAAGCATTCTCAGAAACTTGTTGGTGATATGTGTCCTCAACTAACAGAGTTGAACTTTGCCATTGATAGAGAGCAGTTTTGAAACACTCTTTTTGTGGAATCTGCAAGTGGATATTTGGATAGCTTGGAGGATTTCGTTGGAAGCGGGAATTCAAATAAAAGGTAGACAGCAGCATTCTCAGAAATTTCTTTCTGATGTCTGCATTCAACTCGTAGAGTTGAACATTCCCTTTCATAGAGCAGGTTTGAAACACTCTTTCTGGAGTATCTGGATGTGGACATTTGGAGCGCTTTGATGCCTACGGTGAAAAAGTAAATATCTTCCCATAAAAACGAGACAGAAGGATTCTGAGAAACAAGTTTGTGATGTGTGTACTCGGCTAACAGAGTGGAACCTCTCTTTTGATGCAGCAGTTTGGAAACACTCTTTTTGTAGAAACTGTAAGTGGATATTTGGATAGCTCTAATGATTTCGTTGGAAACGGGAATATCATCATCTAAAATCTAGACAGAAGCACTCTCAGAAACTACTGTGTGATATCTGCATTCAAGTCACAGAGTTGAACATTCGCTTTCTTAGAGCACGTTTGAAACACTCTTTTTGTAGTGTCTGGAAGTGGACATTTGGAGCGCTTTGATTCCTTTGGTGAAAAAGGGAATGTCTTCCCATAAAAACTAGGCAGAAGCATTCTCAGAAACTTGTTTGTGATGTGTGTACCCAGCTAAAGGAGTTGAACATTTCTATTGACAGAGCAGTTATGAAACACTCTTTTTGTGGAAAATGCAAGTGGATATTTGGATAGCTTGGAGGATTTCGTTGGAAGCGGGAATTCAAATAAAAGGTAGACAGCAGCATTCTCAGAAATTTCTTTCTGATGTCTGCATTCAACTCATAGAGTTGAAGATTCCCTTTCATGGAGCAGGTTTGAAACACTCGTTCTGCAGTATCTGGATGTGGACATTTGGAGCGCTTTGATGCCTACGGTGGAAAAGTAAATATCTTCCCATAAAAACGAGACAGAAGGATTCTGAGGAACAAGTTTGTGATGTGTGTACTCAGCTAACAGAGTGGAACCTTTCTTTTTACAGAGCAGCTTTGAAACTCTATTTTTGTGGATTCTGCAAATGGATATTTAGATTGCTTTAATGATATCGTTGGAAAAGGGAATATCGTCATACAAAATCTAGACAGAAGCATTCTCACAAACTTCTTTGTGATGTGTGTCCTCAACTAACAGAGTTGAACCTTTCTTTTGATGCAGCAATTTGGAAACACCCTTTTGGTAGAAACTGTAACTGGATATTTGGATAGCTCTAACGATTTCGTTGGAAACGGGAATATCATCATCTAAAATGTAGACAGAAGCACTATTAGAAACTACTTGGTGATATCTGCATTCAAGTCACAGAGTTGAACATTCCCTTACTTTGAGCACGTTTGAAACACTCTTTTGGAAGAATCTGGAAGTGGACATTTGGAGCGCTTTGATGCCTTTGGTGAAAAGGAAACGTCTTCCAATAAAAGCCAGAGAGAAGCATTCTCAGAAACTTGTTTGTGATGTGTGTACTCAACTAAAAGAGTTGAACCTTTCTATTGATAGAGCAGTTTTGAAACACTCTTTTTTTGGATTCTGCAAGTGGATATTTGGATTGCTTTGAGGATTTCGTTGGAAGCGGGAATTCGTATAACAACTAGACAGCAGCATTCCCAGAAATTTCTTTCGGATATTTCCATTCAACTCATAGAGATGAACATGGCCTTTCATAGAGCAGGTTTGAAACACTCTTTTTGTAGTTTGTGGAAGTGGACATTTCGATCGCCTTGACGCCTACGGTGAAAAAGGAAATATCTTCCCATAAAAAATAGACAGAAGCATTCTCAGAAATATCTTTCTGATGTTTGCATTCAACTCATAGAGTTGAACATTCCCTTTAATAGAGCAGGTTTGAAACACTCTTTCTGTACTATCTGGATGTGGACATTTGGAGCGCTTTGACGCCTACGGTGAAAAAGGAAATGTCTTCCCATAAAAAATTGAAGAAGCATTCTCAGAAATTACTTTCTGATGTCTGCATTCAACTCATAGAGTTGAAAACTCCCTTTCATAGCGCAGGTTTGAAACACTCTTTCTGTAGTATCTGGATGTGGACATTTGGAGCGCTTTGATACCTACGGTGAAAAAGTAAATATCTTCCCATAAAAACTAGACAGAAGGATTCTGAGAAACAAGTTTGTGATGTGTGTACTCAGCTAACAGAGTGGAACCTCTCTTTTGATGCAGCAGTTTGGAAACACTCTTTTTGTAGAAACTGTAAGTGGATATTTGGATAGCTCTAATGATTTCGTTGAAAACGGGAATATCATCATGTAAAATCTAGACAGAAGCACTCTCAGAAACTACTTTGTGATATCTGCATTCAAGTCACAGAGTTGAACATTCGCTTTCTTAGAGCACGTTTGAAACACTCTTTTTGTAGTCTCTGGAAGTGGACATTTGGAGCGCTTTGATGGCTTTGGTGAAAAAGGGAACGTCTTCCCATAAAAACTAGACAGAAGCATTCTCAGAAACTTGTTTGTGATGTGTGTACCCAGCCAAAGGAGTTGAACGTTTCTATTGATAGAGCAGTTTTGAAACACTCTTGTTGTGGAAAATGCAGGTGGATATTTGGATAGCTTGGAGGATTTCGTTGGAAGCGGGAATTCAAATAAAAGGTAGACAGCAGCATTCTCAGAAATTTCTTTCTGATGTCTGCATTCAACTCATAGAGTTGAAGATTCCCTTTCATAGAGCAGGTTTGAAACACTCGTTCTGGAGTATCTGGATGTGGACATTTGGAGCGCTTTGATGCCTACGGTGGAAAAGTAAATATCTTCCCATAAAAACGAGACAGAAGGATTCTGAGAGACAAGTTTGTGATGTGTGTACTCAGCTAACAGAGTGGAACCTTTCTTTTTACAGAGCAGCTTTGAAACTCTATTTTTGTGGATTCTGCAAATGGATATTTAGATTGCTTTAATGATATCGCTGGAAAAGGGAATATGGTCATACAAAATCTAGACAGAAGCATTCTCACAAACTTCTTTGTGATGTGTGTCCTCAACTAACAGAGTTGAACTTTTCTTCTGATGCAGCAGTTTGGAAACACTGTTTTTGTAGAAACTGTAAGTGGATATTTGGATAGCTCTAACGATTTCGTTGGAAACGGGAATATCATCATCTAAAATCTAGACAGAAGCACTATTAGAAACTACTTGGTGATATCTGCATTCAAGTCACAGAGTTGAACATTCCCTTACTTTGAGCACGTTTCAAACACTCTTTTGGAAGAATCTGGAAGTGGACATTTGGAGCGCTTTGATGCCTTTGGTGAAAAGGAAACGTCTTCCAATAAAAGCCAGACAGAAGCATTCTCAGAAACTTGTTTGAGATGTGTGTACTCAACTAAAAGAGTTGAACCTTTCTATTGATAGAGCAGTTTTGAAACACTCTTTTTGTGGATTCTGCAAGTGGATATTTGGATTGCTTTGAGGATTTCGTTGGAAGCGGGAATTCGTATAACAACTAGACAGCAGCATTCCCAGAAATTTCTTTCGGATATTTCCATTCAACTCATAGAGATGAACATCGCCTTTCATAGAGCAGGTTTGAAACACTCTTTTTGTAGTTTGTGGAAGTGGACATTTCGATCGCCTTGACGCCTACGGTGAAAAAGGAAATATCTTCCCATAAAAAATAGACAGAAGCATTCTCAGAAACTTGTTGGTGATATGTGTCCTCAACTAACAGAGTTGAACTTTGCCATTGATAGAGAGCAGTTTTGAAACACTCTTTTTGTGGAATCTGCAAGTGGATATTTGGATAGCTTGGAGGATTTCGTTGGAAGCGGGAATTCAAATAAAAGGTAGACAGCCAGCATTCTCAGAAATTGCTTTCTGATGTCTGCATTCAACTCATAGAGTTGAACATTCCCTTTCATAGGGCAGGTTTGAAATACTCTTTCTGTAGTATCTGGATGTGGACATTTGGAGCGCTTTGATGCCTACGGTGAAAAAGTAAATATCTTCCCATAAAAACGAGACAGAGGATTCTGAGAAACAAGTTTGTGATGTGTGTACTCAGCTAACAGAGTGGAACCTCTGTTTTGATGCAGCAGTTTGGAAACACTCTTTTTGTAGAAACTGTAAGTGGATATTTGGATAGCTCTAATGATTTCGTTGGAAACGGGAATATCATCATCTAAAATCTAGACAGAAGCCCTCTCAGAAACTACTTTGTGATATCTGCATTCAAGTCACAGAGTTGAACATTCGGTTTCTTAGAGCACGTTTGAAACACTCTTTTTGTAGTGTCTGGAAGTGGACATTTGGAGCGCTTTGATGCCTTTGGTGAAAAAGGGAATGTCTTCCCATAAAAACTAGACAGAAGCATTCTCAGAGACTTGTTTGTGATGTGTGTACCCAGCCAAAGGAGTTGAACATTTCTATTGATAGAGCAGTTTTGAAACACTCTTGTTGTGGAAAATGCAGGTGGATATTTGGATAGTTTGGAGGATTTCGTTGGAAGCGGGAATTCAAATAAAAGGTAGACAGCAGCATTCTCAGAAATTTCTTTCTGATGTCTGCATTCAACTCATAGAGTTGAAGATTCCCTTTCATAGAGCAGGTTTGAAACACTCGTTCTGGAGTATCTGGATGTGGACATTTGGAGCGCTTTGATGCCTACGGTGGAAAAGTAAATATCTTCCCATAAAAACGAGACAGAAAGGATTCTGAGAAACAAGTTTGTGATGTGTGTACTCAGCTAACACAGTGGAACCTTTCTTTTTACAGAGCAGCTTTGAAACTCTATTTTTGTGGATTCTGCAAATTGATATTTAGATTGCTTTAACGATATCGTTGGAAAAGGGAATATCGTCATACAAAATCTAGACAGAAGCATTCTCACAAACTTCTTTGTGATGTGTGTCCTCAACTAACAGAGTTGAACCTTTCTTTTGATGCAGCAATTTGGAAACACCCTTTTGGTAGAAACTGTAACTGGATATTTGGATAGCTCTAACGATTTCGTTGGAAACGGGAATATCATCATCTAAAATCTAGACAGAAGCACTCTCAGTAAACTACTTTTTGATATCTGCATTCAAGTCACAGAGTTGAACATTCCCTTACTTTGAGCACGTTTGAAACACTCTTTTGGAAGAATCTGGAAGTGGACATTTGGAGCGCTTTGATGCCTTTGGTGAAAAGGAAACGTCTTCCAATAAAAGCCCAACAGCAGCATTCTCAGAAACTTGTTTGTGATGTGTGTACTCAACTAAAAGAGTTGAACCTTTCTATTCATAGAGCAGTTTTGAAACACTCTTTTTGTGGATTCTGCAAGTGGATATTTGGATTGATTTGAGGATTTCGTTGGAAGCGGGAATTCGTATAAAAACTAGACAGCAGCATTCCCAGTAAATTTCTTTCGGATATTTCCATTCAACTCATAGAGATGAACATCGCCTTTCATAGAGCAGGTTTGAAACACTCTTTTTGTAGTTTGTGGAAGTGGACATTTCGATCGCCTTGACGCCTACAGTGAAAAAGGAAATATCTTCCCATAAAAAATAGACAGAAGCATTCTCAGAAACTTGTTGGTGATATGTGTCCTCAACTAACAGAGTTGAACTTTGCCATTGATAGAGAGCAGTTTTGAAACACTCTTTTTGTGGAATCTGCAAGTGGATATTTGGATAGCTTGGAGGATTTCGTTGGAAGCGGGAATTCAAATAAAGGGTAGACAGCAGCATTCTCAGAAATTTCTTTCTGATGTCTGCATTCAACTCATAGAGTTGAAGATTCCCTTTCATAGAGCAGGTTTGAAACACTCTTTCTGGAGTATCTGGATGTGGACATTTGGAGCGCTTTGATGCCTACGGTGGAAAAGTAAATATCTTCCCATAAAAACGAGACAGAAGGATTCTGAGAGACAAGTTTGTGATGTGTGTACTCAGCTAACAGAGTGGAACCTTTCTTTTTACAGAGCAGCTTTGAAACTCTATTTTTGTGGATTCTGCAAATGGATATTTAGATTGCTTTAACGATATCCGTTGGAAAAGGGAATATCGTCATACAAAATCTGGACAGAAGCACTCTCAGAAACTACTTTTTAATATCTGCATTCAAGTCACAGAGTTGAACATTCGCTTTCTTAGAGCACTTTTGAAACACTCTTTTTGTAGTATCTGGAAGTGGACATTTGGAGCTCTTTGATGCCTTTGGTGAAAAAGGAAATGTCTTCCCATAAAAACTAGACAGAAGCTTTCTCAGAAACTTGTTTGTGATGTGTGTACCCAGCGAAAGGAGTTGAACATTTCTATTGATAGAGCAGTTTTGAAACACTCTTTTTGTAGAATCTGCAAGTGGATATTTGGATAGCTTGGAGGTTTTCGTTGGAAGCGGGAATTCAAATAAAAGGTAGACAGCAGCATTCTCAGAAATTTCTTTCTGATGTCTGCATTCAACTCATAGAGTTGAAGATTCCCTTTCATAGAGCAGGTTTGAAACACTCTTTCTGGAGTATCTGTATGTGGACATTTGGAGCGCTTTGATGCCTACGGTGAAAAAGTAAATATCTTCCCATAAAAACGAGACAGAAGGATTCTGAGAAACAAGTTTGTGATGTGTGTACTCAGCTAACAGAGTGGAACCTTTCTTTTTACAGAGCAGCTTTGAAACTCTATTTTTGTGGATTCTGCAAATGGATATTTAGATTGCTTTAATGATATCGCTGGAAAAGGGAATATCGTCATACAAAATCTAGACAGAAGCATGCTCACAAACTTCTTTGTGACGTGTGTCCTCAACTAACAGAGTTGAACCTTTCTTTTGATGCAGCAGTTTGGAAACACTCTTTTTGTAGAAACTGTAAGTGGATATTTGGATAGCTCTAACGATTTCGTTGGAAACGGGAATATCATCATCTAAAATCTAGACAGAAGCACTATTAGAAACTACTTGGTGATATCTGCATTCAAGTCACAGAGTTGAACATTCCCTTACTTTGAGCACGTTTGAAACACTCTTTTGGAAGAATCTGTAAGTGGACATTTGGAGCGCTTTGATGCCTTTGGTGAAAAGGAAACGTCTTCCAATAAAAGCCAGACAGAAGCATTCTGAGAAACTTGTTCGTGATGTGTGTACTCAACTAAAAGAGTTGAACCTTTCTATTGATAGAGCAGTTTTGAAACACTCTTTTTGTGGATTCTGCAAGTGGATATTTGGATTGCTTTGAGGATTTCGTTGGAAGCGGGAATTCGTATAAACACTAGACAGCAGCATTCCCAGAAATTTCTTTCGGATATTTCCATTCAACTCATAGAGATGAACATCGCCTTTCATAGAGCTGGTTTGAAACACTCTTTTTGTAGTTTGTGGAAGTGGACATTTCGATCGCCTTGACGCCTACAGTGAAAAAGGAAATATCTTCCCATAAAAAATAGACAGAAGCATTCTCAGAAACTTGTTGGTGATATGTGTCCTCAACTAACAGAGTTGAACTTTGCCATTGATAGAGAGCAGTTTTGAAACACTCTTTTTGTGGAATCTGCAAGTGGATATTTGGATAGCTTGGAGGATTTCGTTGGAAGCGGGAATTCAAATAAAAGGTAGACAGCAGCATTCTCAGTAAATTTCTTTCTGATGTCTGCATTCAACTCATAGAGTTGAAGATTCCCTTTCATAGAGCAGGTTTGAAACACTCTTTCTGGAGTATCTGGATGTGGACATTTGGAGCGCTTTGATGCCTACGGTGAAAAAGTAAATATCTTCCCAGAAAAACGAGACAGAAGGATTCTGAGAAACAAGTTTGTGATGTGTGTACTCAGCTAACAGAGTGGAACCTCTCTTTTGATGCAGCAGTTTGGAAACACTCTTTTTGTAGAAACTGTAAGTGGATATTTGGATAGCTCTAATGATTTCGTTGGAAACGGGAATATCATCATCTAAAATCTAGACAGAAGCCCTCTCAGAAACTACTTTGTGACATCTGCATTCAAGTCACAGAGTTGAACATTCGCTTTCTTAGAGAACGTTGGAAACACTCTTTTTGTAGTGTCTGGAAGTGGACATTTGGAGCGCTTTGATGCCTTTGGTGAAAAAGGGAATGTCTTCCCATAAAAACTAGACAGAAGCATTCTCAGAGACTTGTTTGTGATGTGTGTACCCAGCCAAAGGAGTTGAACATTTCTATTGATAGAGCAGTTTTGAAACACTCTTGTTGTGGAAAATGCAGGTGGATATTTGGATAGCTTGGAGGATTTCGTTGGAAGCGGGAATTCAAATAAAAGGTAGACAGCAGCATTCTCAGAAATTTCTTTCTGATGTCTGCATTCAACTCATAGAGTTGAAGATTCCCTTTCATAGAGCAGGTTTGAAACACTCGTTCTGGAGTATCTGGATGTGGACATTTGGAGCGCTTTGATGCCTACGGTGGAAAAGTAAATATCTTCCCATAAAAACGAGACAGAAGGATTCTCAGAAACAAGTTTGTGATGTGTGTACTCAGCTAACAGAGTGGAACCTTTCTTTTTACAGAGCAGCTTTGAAACTCTATTTTTGTGGATTCTGCAAATTGATATTTAGATTGCTTTAACGATATCGTTGGAAAAGGGAATATCATCATACAAAATCTAGACAGAAGCATTCTCACAAACTTCTTTGTGATGTGTGTCCTCAACTAACAGAGTTGAACCTTTCTTTTGATGCAGCAATTTGGAAACACCCTTTTGGTAGAAACTGTAACTGGATATTTGGATAGCTCTAACGATTTCGTTGGAAACGGGAATATCATCATCTAAAATGTAGACAGAAGCACTATTAGAAACTACTTGGTGATATCTGCATTCAAGTCACAGAGTTGAACATTCCCTTACTTTGAGCACGTTTGAAACACTCTTTTGGAAGAATCTGGAAGTGGACATTTGGAGCGCTTTGATGCCTTTGGTGAAAAGGGAAACGTCTTCCAATAAAAGCCAGACAGGAAGCATTCTCAGAAACTTGTTCGTGATATGTGTACTCAACTAAAAGAGTTGAACCTTTCTATTCATAGCGCAGTTTTGAAACACTCTTTTTGTGGATTCTGCAAGTGGATATTTGGATTGCTTTGAGGATTTCGTTGGAAGCGGGAATTCATATAAAAACTAGACAGCAGCATTCCCAGAAATTTCTTTCGGATATTTCCATTCGACTCATAGAGATGAACATGGCCTTTCATAGAGCAGGTTTGAAACACTCTTTTTGTAGTTTGTGGAAGTGGACATTTCGATCGCCTTGACGCCTACGGTGAAAAAGGAAATATCTTCCCATAAAAAATAGACAGAAGCATTCTCAGAAACTTGTTGGTGATATGTGTCCTCAACTAACAGGGTTGAACTTTGCCATTGATAGAGAGCAGTTTTGAAACACTCTTTTTGTGGAATCTGCAAGTGGATATTTGGATAGCTTGGAGGATTTCGTTGGAAGCGGGAATTCAAATAAAAGGTAGACAGCAGCATTCTCAGAAATTTCTTTCTGATGTCTGCATTCAACTCATAGAGTTGTAGATTCCCTTTCATAGAGCAGGTTTGAAACACTCGTTCTGGAGTATCTGGATGTGGACATTTGGAGCGCTTTGATGCCTACGGTGGAAAAGTAAATATCTTCCCATAAAAACGAGACAGAAGGATTCTGAGAAACAAGTTTGTGATGTGTGTACTCAGCTAACAGAGTGGAACCTCTCTTTTGATGCAGCAGTTTGGAAACACTCTTTTTGTAGAAACTGTAAGTGGATATTTGGATAGCTCTAATGATTTCGTTGGAAACGGGAATATCATCATCTAAAATCTAGACAGAAGCACTATTAGAAACTACTTTGTGATATCTGCATTCAAGTCACAGGAGTTGAACATTCGCTTTCTTAGAGCACGTTGGAAACACTCTTTTTGTAGTGTCTGGAAGTGGACATTTGGAGCGCTTTGATGCCTTTGGTGAAAAAGGGAATGTCTTCCCATAAAAACTAGACAGAAGCATTCTCAGAAACTTGTTTGTGATGTGTGTACCCAGCCAAAGGAGTTGAAAATTTCTATTGATAGAGCAGTTTTGAAACACTCTTGTTGTGGAAAATGCAGGTGGATATTTGGATAGCTGGGAGGATTTCGTTGGAAGCGGGAATTCAAATAAAAGGTAGACAGCAGCATTCTCAGAAATTTCTTTCTGATGTCTGCATTCAACTCATAGAGTTGAAGATTCCCTTTCATAGAGCAGGTTTGAAACACTCGTTCTGGAGTATCTGGATGTGGACATTTGGAGCGCTTTGATGCCTACGGTGGAAAAGTAAATATCTTCCCATAAAAACGAGACAGAAGGATTCTCAGAAACAAGTTTGTGATGTGTGTACTCAGCTAACAGAGTGGAACCTTTCTTTTTACAGAGCAGCTTTGAAACTCTATTTTTGTGAATTCTGCAAATTGATATTTAGATTGCTTTAACGATATCGTTGGAAAAGGGAATACCGTCATACAAAATCTAGACAGAAGCATTCTCACAAACTTCTTTGTGATGTGTGTCCTCAACTAACAGAGTTGAACCTTTCTTTTGATGCAGCAGTTTGGAGACACTCTTTTTGTAGAAACTGTAAGTGGATATTTGGATAGCTCTAACGATTTCGTTGGAAACGGGAATATCATCATCTAAAATCTAGACAGAAGCACTATTAGAAACTACTTGGTGATATCTGCATTCAAGTCACAGAGTTGAACATTCCCTTACTTTGGGCACGTTTCAAACACTCTTTTGGAAGAATCTGGAAGTGGACATTTGGAGCGCTTTGATGCCTTTGGTGAAAAGGAAACGTCTTCCAATAAAAGCCAGACAGAAGCATTCTCAGAAACTTGTTCGTGATGTGTGTACTCAACTAAAAGAGTTGAACCTTTCTATTGATAGAGCAGTTTTGAAACACTCTTTTTGTGGATTCTGCAAGTGGATATTTGGATTGCTTTGAGGATTTCATCGGAAGCGGGAATTCGTATAAACACTAGACAGCCAGCATTCCCAGAAATTTCTTTCGGATATTTCCATTCGACTCATAGAGATGAACATGGCCTTTCATAGAGCAGGTTTGAAACACTCTTTTTGTAGTTTGTGGAAGTGGACATTTCGATCGCCTTGACGCCTACGGTGAAAAAGGAAATATCTTCCCATAAAAAATAGACAGAGCATTCTCAGAAACTTGTTGGTGATATGTGTCCTCAACTAACAGAGTTGAACTTTGCCATTGATAGAGAGCAGTTTTGAAACACTCTTTTTGTGGAATCTGCAAGTGGATATTTGGATAGCTTGGAGGATTTCGTTGGAAGCGGGAATTCAAATAAAAGGTAGACAGCAGCATTCTCAGAAATTTCTTTCTGATGTCTGCAATCAACTCATAGAGTTGAAGATTCCCTTTCATAGAGCAGGTTTGAAACACTCTTTGTGGAGTATCTGGATGTGGACATTTGGAGCGCTTTGATGCCTACGGTGAAAAAGTAAATATCTTCCCATAAAAACGAGACAGAAGGATTCTGAGAAACAAGTTTGTGATGTGTGTACTCAGCTAACAGAGTGGAACCTCTCTTTTGATGCAGCAGTTTGGAAACACTCTTTTTGTAGAAACTGTAAGTGGATATTTGGATAGCTCTAATGATTTCGTTGGAAACGGGAATATCATCATCTAAAATCTAGACAGAAGCCCTCTCAGAAACTACTTTGTGATATCTGCATTCAAGTCACAGAGTTGAACATTCGCTTTCTTAGAGCACGTTGGAAACACTCTTTTTGTAGTGTCTGGAAGTGGACATTTGGAGCGCTTTGATTCCTTTGGTGAAAAAGGGAACGTCTACCCATAAAAACTAGACAGAAGCATTCTCAGAAACTTGTTTGTGATGTGTGTACCCAGCCAAAGGAGTTGAACATTTCTATTGATAGAGCAGGTTTGAAACACTCTTTTTGTGGAAAATGCAGGTGGATATTTGGATAGCTTGGAGGATTTCGTTGGAAGCGGGAATTCAAATAAAAGGTAGACAGCAGCATTCTCAGAAATTACTTTCTGATGTCTGCATTCAACTCATAGAGTTGAAGATTCCCTTTCATAGAGCAGGTTTGAAACACTCTTTCTGGAGTATCTGGATGTGGACATTTGGAGCGCTTTGATGCCTACGGTGAAAAAGTAAATATCTTCCCATAAAAACGAGACAGAAGGATTCTCAGAAACAAGTTTGTGATGTGTGTACTCAGCTAACAGAGTGGAACCTTTCTTTTTACAGAGCAGCTTTGAAACTCTATTGTTGTGGATTCTGCAAATTGATATTTAGATTGCTTTAACGATATCGTTGGAAAAGGGAATACCGTCATACAAAATCTAGACAGAAGCATTCTCACAAACTTCTTTGTGATGTGTGTCCTCAACTAACAGAGTTGAACCTTTCTTTTGATGCAGCAATTTGGAAACACCCTTTTGGTAGAAACTGTAAGTGGATATTTGGATAGCTCTAACGATTTCGTTGGAAACGGGAATATCATCATCTAAAATCTAGACAGAAGCACTATTAGAAACTACTTGGTGATATCTGCATTCAAGTGACAGAGTTGAACATTCCCTTACTTTGAGCACGTTTGAAACACTCTTTTGGAAGAATCTGGAAGTGGACATTTGGAGCGCTTTGATGCCTTTGGTGAAAAGGAAACGTCTTCCAATAAAAGCCAGACAGAAGCATTCTCAGAAACTTGTTCGTGATGTGTGTACTCAACTAAAAGAGTTGAACCTTTCTATTGATAGAGCAGTTTTGAAACACTCTTTTTGTGGATTCTGCAAGTGGATATTTGGATTGCTTTGAGGATTTTGTTGGAAGCGGGAATTCGTATAAACACTAGACAGCAGCATTCCCAGAAATTTCTTTCGGATATTTCCATTCAACTCATAGAGATGAACATGGCCTTTCATAGAACAGGTTTGAAACACTCTTTTTGTAGTTTGTGGAAGTGGACATTTCGATCGCCTTGACGCCTACGGTGAAAAAGGGAATATCTACCCATAAAAAATAGACAGAAGCATTCTCAGAAACTTGTTGGCGATATGTGTCCTCAACTAACAGAGTTGAACTTTGCTATTGATAGAGAGCAGTTTTGAAACACTCTTTTTGTGGAATCTGCAAGTGGATATTTGGATAGCTTGGAGGATTTCGTTGGAAGCGGGAATTCAAATAAAAGGTAGACAGCAGCATTCTCAGAAATTTCTTTCTGATCTCTGCATTCAACTCATAGAGTTGAACATTCCCTTTCATAGGGCAGGTTTGAAATACTCTTTCTGTAGTATCTGGATGTGGACATTTGGAGCGCTTTGATGCCTACGGTGAAAAAGTAAATATCTTCCCATAAAAACGAGACAGAAGGATTCTGAGAAACAAGTTTGTGATGTGTGTACTCAGCTAACAGAGTGGAACCTCTCTTTTGATGCAGCAGTTTGGAAACACTCTTTTTGTAGAAATTGTAAGTGGATATTTGGATAGCTCTAATGATTTCGTTGGAAACGGGAATATCATCATCTAAAATCTAGACAGAAGCACTCTCAGAAACTACTTTGTGATATCTGCATTCAAGTCACAGAGTTGAACATTCGCTTTCTTAGAGCACGTTGGAAACACTCTTTTTGTAGTGTCTGGAAGTGGACACTTGGAGCGCTTTGATGCCTTTGGTGAAAAAGGGAACGTCTTCCCATAAAAACTAGACAGAAGCATTCTCAGAAACTTGTTTGTGATGTGTGTACCCAGCTAAAGGAGTTGAACATTTCTATTGATAGAGCAGTTTTGAAACACTCTTTTTGTGGAAAATGCAAGTGGATATTTGGATAGCTTGGAGGATTTCGTTGGAAGCGGGAATTCAAATAAAAGGTAGACAGCAGCATTCTCAGAAATTTCTTTCTGATGTCTGCATTCAACTCATAGAGTTGAAGATTCCCTTTCATAGAGCAGGTTTGAAACACTCTTTCTGGAGTATCTGGATGTGGACATTTGGAGGGCTTTGATGCCTACGGTGAAAAAGTAAATATCTTCCCATAAAAACGAGACAGAAGGATTCTGAGAAACAAGTTTGTGATGTGTGTACTCAGCTAACAGAGTGGAACCTTTCTTTTTACAGAGCAGCTTTGAAACTCTATTTTTGTGGATTCTGCAAATTGATATTTAGATTGCTTTAACGATATCGTTGGAAAAGGGAATATCGTCATACAAAATCTAGACAGAAGCATTCTCACAAACTTCTTTGTGATGTGTGTCCTCAACTAACAGAGTTGAACCTTTCTTTTGATGCAGCAGTTTGGAAACACTCTTTTTGTAGAAACTGTAAGTGGATATTTGGATAACTCTAACGATTTCGTTGGAAACGGGAATATCATCATCTAAAATCTAGACAGAAGCACTATTAGAAACTACTTGGTGATATCTGCATTCAAGTCACAGAGTTGAACATTCCCTTACTTTGAGCACGTTTCAAACACTCTTTTGGAAGAATCTGGAAGTGGACATTTGGAGCGCTTTGATGCCTTTGGTGAAAAGGAAACGTCTTCCAATAAAAGCCAGACAGAAGCATTCTCAGAAACTTGTTCTTGACGTGTGTACTCAACTAAAAGAGTTGAACCTTTCTATTGATAGAGCAGTTTTGAAACACTCTTTCTGTGGATTCTGCAAGTGGATATTTGGATTGCTTTGAGGATTTCGTTGGAAGCGGTAATTCGTATAACAACTAGACAGCAGCATTCCCAGAAATTTCTTTCGGATATTTCCATTCAACTCATAGAGATGAACATGGCCTTTCATAGAGCAGGTTTGAAACACTCTTTTTGTAGTTTGTGGAAGTGGACATTTCGATCGCCTTGACGCCTACAGTGAAAAAGGAAATATCTTCCCATAAAAAATAGACAGAAGCATTCTCAGAAACTTGTTGGTGATATGTGTCCTCAACTAACAGAGTTGAACTTTGCCATTGATAGAGAGCAGTTTTGAAACACTCTTTTTGTGGAATCTGCAAGTGGATATTTGGATAGCTTGGAGGATTTCGTTGGAAGCGGGAATTCAAATAAAAGGTAGACAGCCGCATTCTCAGAAATTTCTTTCTGATGTCTGCATTCAACTCATAGAGTTGAACATTCCCTTTCATAGAGCAGGTTTGAAACACTCTTTCTGGAGTATCTGGATGTGGACATTTGGAGCGCTTTGATGCCTACGGTGAAAAAGTAAATATCTTCCCATAAAAACGAGACAGAAGGATTCTCAGAAACAAGTTTGTGATGTGTGTACTCAGCTAAAAGAGTGGAACCTCTCTTTTGATGCAGCAGTTTGGAAACACTCTTTTTGTAGAAACTGTAAGTGGATATTTGGATAGCTCTAATGATTTCGTTGGAAACGGGAATATCATCATCTAAAATCTAGACAGAAGCACTCTCAGAAACTACTTTGTGATATCTGCATTCAAGTCACAGAGTTGAACATTCGCTTTCTTAGAGCACGTTTGAAACACTCTTTTTGTAGTGGCTGGAAGTGGACATTTGGAGCGCTTTGATGCCTTTGGTGAAAAAGGGAATGTCTTCCCATAAAAACTAGGCAGAAGCATTCTCAGAAACTTGTTTGTGATGTGTGTACCCAGCCAAAGGAGTTGAACATTTCTATTGATAGAGCAGTTTTGAAACACTCTTGTTGTGGAAAATGCAAGTGGATATTTGGATAGCTTGGAGGATTTCGTTGGAAGCGGGAATTCA
Source organism: Homo sapiens (assembly GCF_000001405.40). Classification (NCBI taxonomy): domain Eukaryota; kingdom Metazoa; phylum Chordata; class Mammalia; order Primates; family Hominidae; genus Homo; species Homo sapiens. The sequence continues at coordinate 14,863,082 of NC_000022.11, forward strand.
AATAAAAGGTAGACAGCAGCATTCTCAGAAATTTCTTTCTGATGTCTGCATTCAACTCATAGAGTTGAAGATTCCCTTTCATAGAGCAGGTTTGAAACAGTCTTTCTGGAGTTTCTGGATGTGGACATTTGGAGCGCTTTGATGCCTACGGTGAAAAAGTAAATATCTTCCCATAAAAACGAGACAGAAGGATTCTCAGAAACAAGTTTGTGATGTGTGTACTCAGCTAACAGAGTGGAACCTTTCTTTTTACAGAGCAGCTTTGAAACTCTATTTTTGTGGATTCTGCAAATGGATATTTAGATTGCTTTAACGATATCGTTGGAAAAGGGAATATCGTCATACAAAATACTGGACAGAAGCATTCTCACAAACTTCTTTGTGATGTGTTTCCTCAACTAACAGAGTTGAACCTTTCTTTTGATGCAGCAATTTGGAAACACCCTTTTGGTAGAAACTGTAACTGGATATTTGGATAGCTCTAACGATTTCGTTGGAAACGGGAATATCATCATCTAAAATCTAGACAGAAGCACTATTAGAAACTACTTGGTGATATCTGCATTCAAGTCACAGAGTAGAACATTCCCTTACTTCGAGCACGTTTGAAACACTCTTTTGGAAGAATCTGGAAGTGGACATTTGGAGCGCTTTGATGCCTTTGGTGAAAAGGAAACGTCTTCCAATAAAAGCCAGACAGAAGCATTCTCAGAAACTTGTTTGTGATGTGTGTACTCAACTAAAAGAGTTGAACCTTTCTATTGATAGAGCAGTTTTGAAACACTCTTTTTGTGGATTCTGCAAGTGGATATTTGGATTGCTTTGAGGATTTCGTTGGAAGCGGGAATTCGTATAACAACTAGACAGCAGCATTCCCAGAAATTTCTTTCGGATATTTCCATTCAACTCATAGAGATGAACATGGCCTTTCATAGAGCAGGTTTGAAACACTCTTTTTGTAGTTTGTGGAAGTGGACATTTCGATCGCCTTGACGCCTACGGTGAAAAAGTAAATATCTTCCCATAAAAAATAGAAACATTCTCAGAAACTTGTTGGTGATATGTGTCCTCAACTAACAGAGTTGAACTTTGCCATTGATAGAGAGCAGTTTTGAAACACTCTTTTTCCTGAATCTGCAAGTGGATATTTGGATAGTTTGGAGGATTTCGTTGGAAGCGGGAATTCAAATAAAAGGTAGACAGCAGCATTCTCAGAAATTTCTTTCTGATCTCTGCATTCAACTCATAGAGTTGAACATTCCCTTTCATAGGGCAGGTTTGAAATACTCTTTCTGTAGTATCTGGATGTGGACATTTGGAGCGCTTTGATGCCTACGGTGAAAAAGTAAATATCTTCCCATAAAAACGAGACAGAAGGATTCTGAGAAACAAGTTTGTGATGTGTGTACTCAGCTAACAGAGTGGAACCTCTCTTTTGATGCAGTAGTTTGGAAACACTCTTTTTGTAGAAACTGTAAGGGGATATTTGGATAGCTCTAATGATTTCGTTGGAAACGGGAATATCATCATCTAAAATCTAGAGAGAAGCCCTCTCAGAAACTACTCTGTGATATCTGCATTCAAGTCACAGAGTTGAACATTCGTTTTCTTAGAGCACGTTTGAAACACTCTTTTTGTAGTGTCTGGAAGTGGACATTTGGAGCGCTTTGATGCCTTTGGTGAAAAAGGGAATGTCTTCCCATAAAAACTAGACAGAAGCATTCTCAGAAACTTGTTTGTGATGTGTGTACCCAGCCAAAGGAGTTGAACATTTCTATTGATAGAGCAGTTTTGAAACACTCTTTTTGTGGAAAATGCAGGTGGATATTTGGATAGCTTGGAGGATTTCGTTGGAAGCGGGAATTCAAATAAAAGGTAGACAGCAGCATTCTCAGAAATTTCTTTCTGATGTCTGCATTCAACTCATAGAGTTGAAGATTCCCTTCCATAGAGCAGGTTTGAAACACTCGTTCTGGAGTATCTGGATGTGGACATTTGGAGCGCTTTGATGCCTACGGTGGAAAAGTAAATATCTTCCCATAAAAACGAGACAGAAGGATTCTCAGAAACAAGTTTGTGATGTGTGTACTCAGCTAACAGAGTGGAACCTTTCTTTTTACAGAGCAGCTTTGAAACTCTATTTTTGTGGATTCTGCAAATTGATATTTAGATTGCTTTAACGATATCGTTGGAAAAGGGAATATCGTCATACAAAATCTAGACAGAAGCATTCTCACAAACTTCTTTGTGATGTGTGTCCTCAACTAACAGAGTTGAACCTTTCTTTTGATGCAGCAGTTTGGAAACACTCTTTTTGTAGAAACTGTAAGTGGATATTTGGATAGCTCTAACGATTTCGTTGGAAACGGGAATATCATCATCTAAAATCTAAACAGAAGCACTATTAGAAACTACTTGGTGATATCTGCATTCAAGTCACAGAGTTGAACATTCCCTTACTTCGACCACGTTTGAAACGCTCTTTTGGAAGAATCTGGAAGTGGACATTTGGAGCGCTTTGATGCCTTTGGTGAAAAGGAAACGTCTTCCAATAAAAGCCAGAGAGAAGCATTCTCAGAAACTTGTTCGTGATGTGTGTACTCAACTAAAAGAGTTGAACCTTTCTATTGATAGAGCAGTTTTGAAACACTCTTTTTGTGGATTCTGCAAGTGGATATTTGGATTGCTTTGAGGATTTCATTGGAAGCGGGAATTCGTATAAACACTAGACAGCAGCATTCCCAGAAATTTCTTTCGGATATTTCCATTCGACTCATAGAGATGAACATGGCCTTTCATAGAGCAGGTTTGAAACACTCTTTTTGTAGTTTGTGGAAGTGGACATTTCGATCGCCTTGACGCCTACGGTGAAAAAGGAAATATCTTCCCATAAAAAATAGACAGAAGCATTCTCAGAAACTTGTTGGTGATATGTGTCCTCAACTAACAGAGTTGAACTTTGCCATTGATAGAGAGCAGTTTTGAAACACTCTTTTTGTGGAATCTGCAAGTGGATATTTGGATAGCTTGGAGGATTTCGTTGGAAGCGGGAATTCAAATAAAAGGTAGACAACAGCATTCTCAGAAATTTCTTTCTGATGTCTGCATTCAACTCATAGAGTTGAAGATTCCCTTTCATAGAGCAGGTTTGAAACACTCTTTCTGGAGTATCTGGATGTGGACATTTGGAGAGCTTTGATGCCTACGGTGAAAAAGTAAATATCTTCCCATAAAAACGAGACAGAAGGATTCTGAGAAACAAATTTGTGATGTGTGTACTCAGCTAACAGAGTGGAACCTCTCTTTTGATGCAGCAGTTTGGAAACACTCTTTTTGTAGAAACTGTAAGTGGATATTTGGAAGCTCTAATGATTTTGTTGGAAACGGGATTATCATCATCTAAAATCTAGACAGAAGCCCTCTCAGAAACTACTTTGTGATATGTGCATTCAAGTCACAGAGTTGAACATTCGCTTTCTTAGAGCACGTTGGAAACACTCTTTTTGTAGTGTCTGGAAGTGGACATTTGGAGCGCTTTGATGCCTTTGGTGAAAAAGGGAACGTCTTCCCATAAAAACTAGACAGAAGCATTCTCAGAAACTTGTTTGTGATGTGTGTACCCAGCCAAAGGAGTTGAACATTTCTATTGATAGAGCAGTTTTGAAACACTCTTGTTGTGGAAAATGCAGGTGGATATTTGGATAGCTTGGAGGATTTCGTTGGAAGGGGGAATTCAAATAAAAGGTAGACAGCAGCATTCTCAGAAATTTCTTTCTGATGTCTGCATTCAACTCATAGAGTTGAAGATTCCCTTTCATAGAGCAGGTTTGAAACACTCGTTCTGGAGTATCTGGATGTGGACATTTGGAGCGCTTTGATGCCTATGGTGGAAAAGTAAATATCTTCCCATAAAAACGAGACAGAAGGATTCTCAGAAACAAGTTTGTGATGTGTGTACTCAGCTAACAGAGTGGAACCTTTCTTTTTACAGAGCAGCTTTGAAACTCTATTTTTGTGGATTCTGCAAATTGATATTTAGATTGCTTTAACGATATCGTTGGAAAAGGGAATATCGTCATACAAAATCTAGACAGAAGCATTCTCACAAACTTCTTTGTGACGTGTGTCCTCAACTAACAGAGTTGAACCTTTCTTTTGATGCAGCAGTTTGGAAACACTGTTTTTGTAGCAACTGTAAGTGGATATTTGGATAGCTCTAACGATTTCGTTGGAAACGGGAATATCATCATCTAAAATCTAGACAGAAGCACTCTCAGAAACTACTTTGTGATATCTGCATTCAAGTCACAGAGTTCAACATTTGCTTTCTTAGAGCACGTTTGAAACACTCTTTTTGTAGTGTCTGGAAGTGGACATTTGGAGCGCTTTGATGCCTTTGGTGAAAAGGAAACGTCTTCCAATAAAAGCCAGACAGAAGCATTCTCAGAAACTTGTTTGTGATGTGTGTACTCAACTAAAAGAGTTGAACCTTTCTATTGATAGAGCAGTTTTGAAACACTCTTTTTGTGGATTCTGCAAGTGGATATTTGGATTGCTTTGAGGATTTCGTTGGAAGCGGGAATTCGTATAAACACTAGACAGCAGCATTCCCAGAAATTTCTTTCGGATATTTCCATTCAACTCATAGAGATGAACATCGCCTTTCATAGAGCAGGTTTGAAACACTCTTTTTGTAGTTTGTGGAAGTGGACATTTCGATCGCCTTGACGCCTACGGTGAAAAAGGAAATATCTTCCCATAAAAAATAGACAGAAGCATTCTCAGAAACTTGTTGGTGATATGTGTCCTCAACTAACAGAGTTGAACTTTGCCATTGATAGAGAGCAGTTTTGAAACACTCTTTTTGTGGAATCTGCAAGTGGATATTTGGATAGCTTGGAGGATTTCGTTGGAAGCGGGAATTCAAATAAAAGGTAGACAGCAGCATTCTCAGAAATTTCTTTCTGATGTCTGCATTCAACTCATAGAGTTGAAGATTCCCTTTCATAGAGCAGGTTTGAAACACTCTTTCTGGAGTATCTGGATGTGGACATTTGGAGCGCTTTGATGCCTACGGTGAAAAAGTAAATATCTTCCCATAAAAACGAGACTGAAGGATTCTGAGAAACAAGTTTGTGATGTGTGTACTCAGCTAACAGAGTGGAACCTCTCTTTTGAAGCAGCAGTTTGGAAACACTCTTTTTGTGGAAACTGTAAGTGGATATTTGGATAGCTCTAATGATTTCGTTGGAAACGGGAATATCATCATCTAAAATCTAGACAGAAGCCCTCTCAGAAACTACTTTGTGATATCTGCATTCAAGTCACAGAGTTGAACATTCGCTTTCTTAGAGCACGTTGGAAACACACTTTTTGTAGTGTCTGGAAGTGGACATTTGGAGCGCTTTGATGCCTTTGGTGAAAAAGGGAATGTCTTCCCATAAAAACTAGACAGAAGCATTCTCAGAAACTTGTTTGTGATGTGTGTACCCAGCCAAAGGAGTTGAACATTTCTATTGATAGAGCAGTTTTGAAACACTCTTGTTGTGGAAAATGCAGGTGGATATTTGGATAGCTTGGAGGATTTCGTTGGAAGCGGGAATTCAAATAAAAGGTAGACAGCAGCATTCTCAGAAATTTCTTTCTGATGTCTGCATTCAACTCATAGAGTTGAAGATTCCCTTTCATAGAGCAGGTTTGAAACACTCGTTCTGGAGTATCTGGATGTGGACATTTGGAGCGCTTTGATGCCTACGGTGGAAAAGTAAATATCTTCCCATAAAAACGACACAGAAGGATTCTGAGAAACAAGTTTGTGATGTGTGTACTCAGCTAACAGAGTGGAACCTTTCTTTTTACAGAGCAGCTTTGAAACTCTATTTTTGTGGATTCTGCAAATGGATATTTAGATTGCTTTAATGATATCGCTGGAAAAGGGAATATGGTCATACAAAATCTAGACAGAAGCATTCTCACAAACTTCTTTGTGACGTGTGACCTCAACTAACAGAGTTGAACCTTTCTTTTGATGCAGCAGTTTGGAAACACTGTTTTTGTAGCAACTGTAAGTGGATATTTGGATAGCTCTAACGATTTCGTTGGAAACGGGAATATCATCATCTAAAATCTAGACAGAAGCACTATTAGAAACTACTTGGTGATATCTGCATTCAAGTCACAGAGTTGAACATTCCCTTACTTTGAGCACGTTTCAAACACTCTTTTGGAAGAATCTGGAAGTGGACATTTGGAGCGCTTTGATGCCTTTGGTGAAAAGGAAACGTCTTCCAATAAAAGCCAGACCGAAGCATTCTCAGAAACTTGTTTGTGATGTGTGTACTCAACTAAAAGAGTTGAACCTTTCTATTGATAGAGCAGTTTTGAAACACTCTTTTTGTGGATTCTGCAAGTGGATATTTGGATTGCTTTGAGGATTTCGTTGGAAGCGGGAATTCGTATAAAAACTAGACAGCAGCATTCCCAGAAATTTCTTTCTGATATTTCCATTCAACTCATAGAGATGAACATGGCCTTTCATAGAGCAGGTTTGAAACACTCTTTTTGTAGTTTGTGGAAGTGGACATTTCGATCGCCTTGACGCCTACGGTGAAAAAGGAAATATCTTCCCATAAAAAATAGACAGAAGCATTCTCAGAAACTTGTTGGTGATATGTGTCCTCAACTAACAGAGTTGAACTTTGCCATTGATAGAGAGCAGTTTTGAAACACTCTTTTTGTGGAATCTGCAAGTGGATATTTGGATAGCTTGGAGGATTTCGTTGGAAGCGGGAATTCACATAAAAGGTAGACAGCAGCATTCTCAGCAAATTTCTTTCTGATGTCTGCATTCAACTCATAGAGTTGAAGATTCCCTTTCATAGAGCAGGTTTGAAACACTCTTTCTGGAGTATCTGGATGTGGACATTTGGAGCGCTTTGATGCCTACGGTGAAAAAGTATAATCTTCCCATAAAAACGAGACAGAAGGATTCTGAGAAACAAGTTTGTGATGTGTGTACTCAGCTAACAGAGTGGAACCTCTCTTTTGATGCAGCAGTTTGGAAACACTCTTTTTGTAGAAACTGTAAGTGGATATTTGGATAGCTCTAATGATTTCGTTGGAAACGGGAATATCATCATCTAAAATCTAGACAGAAGCCCTCTCAGAAACTACTTTGTGATATCTGCATTCAAGTCACAGGGTTGAACATTCGCTTTCTTAGAGCACGTTTGAAACACTCTTTTTGTAGTGTATGGAAGTGGACATTTGGAGCGCTTTGATGCCTTTGGTGAAAAAGGGAACGTCTTCCCATAAAAACTAGACAGAAGCATTCTCAGAAACTTGTTTGTGATGTGTGTACCCAGCCAAAGGAGTTGAACATTTCTATTGATAGAGCAGTTTTGAAACACTTGTTGTGGAAAATGCAGGTGGATATTTGGATAGCTTGGAGGATTTCGTTGGAAGCGTTAATTCAAATAAAAGGTAGACAGCAGCATTCTGAGAAATTTCTTTCTGATGTCTGCATTCAACTCATAGAGTTGAAGATTCCCTTTCATAGAGCAGGTTTGAAACACTCGTTCTGGAGTATCTGGATGTGGACATTTGGAGCGCTTTGATGCCTACGGTGGAAAAGTAAATATCTTCCCATAAAAACGAGACAGAAAGATTCTCAGAAACAAGTTTGTGATGTGTGTACTCAGCTAACAGAGTGGAACCTTTCTTTTTACAGAGCAGCTTTGAAACTCTATTTTTGTGGATTCTGCAAATTGATATTTAGATTGCTTTAACGATATCGTTGGAAAAGGGAATATCGTCATACAAAATCTAGACAGAAGCATTCTCACAAACTTCTTTGTGATGTGTGTCCTCAACTAACAGAGTTGAACCTTTCTTTTGATGCAGCAATTTGGAAACACCCTTTTGGTAGAAACTGTAACTGGATATTTGGATAGCTCTAACGATTTCGTTGGAAACGGGAATATCATCATCAAAAGGTAGACAGAAGCACTATTAGAAACTACTTGGTGATATCTGCATTCAAGTCACAGAGTAGAACATTCCCTTACTTCGAGCACGTTTGAAACACTCTTTTGGAAGAATCTGGAAGTGGACATTTGGAGCGCTTTGATGCCTTTGGTGAAAAGGAAACGTCTTCCAATAAAAGCCAGACAGAAGCATTCTCAGAAACTTGTTCGTGATATGTGTACTCAACTAAAAGAGTTGAACCTTTCTATTGATAGCGCAGTTTTGAAACACTCTTTTTGTGGATTCTGCAAGTGGATATTTGGATTGCTTTGAGGATTTCGTTGGAAGCGGGAATTCATATAAAAACTAGACAGCAGCATTCCCAGAAATTTCTTTCGGATATTTCCATTCAACTCATAGAGATGAACATGGCCTTTCATAGAGCAGGTTTGAAACACTCTTTTTGTAGTTTGTGGAAGTGGACGTTTCGATCGCCTTGACGCCTACGGTGAAAAAGGAAATATCTTCCCATAAAAAATAGACAGAAGCATTCTCAGAAACTTGTTGGTGATATGTGTCCTCAACTAACAGAGTTGAACTTTGCCATTGATAGAGAGCAGTTTTGAAACACTCTTTTTGTGGAATCTGCAAGTGGATATTTGGATAGCTTGGAGGATTTCGTTGGAAGCGGGAATTCAAATAAAAGGTAGACAGCAGCATTCTCAGAAATTTCTTTCTGATGTCTGCATTCAACTCATAGAGTTGAACATTCCCTTTCATAGAGCAGGTTTGAAACACTCTTTCTGGAGTATCTGGATGTGGACATTTGGAGCGCTTTGATGCCTACGGTGAAAAAGTAAATATCTTCCCATAAAAAGCGAGACAGAAGGATTCTCAGAAACAAGTTTGTGATGTGTGTACTCAGCTAACAGAGTGGAACCTCTCTTTTGATGCAGCAGTTTGGAAACACTCTTTTTGTAGAAACTGTAAGTGGATATTTGGATAGCTCTAATGATTCCGTTGGAAACGGGAATATCATCATCTAAAATCTAGACAGAAGCCCTCTCAGAAACTACTTTGTGATATCTGCATTCAAGTCACAGTAGTTGAACATTCGCTTTCTTAGGGCACGTTGGAAACACTCTTTTTGTAGTGTCTGGAAGTGGACATTTGGAGCGCTTTGATGCCTTTGGTGAAAAAGGGAACGTCTTCCCATAAAAACTAGACAGAAGCATTCTCAGAAACTTGTTTGTGATGTGTGTACCCAGCCAAAGGAGTTGAACATTTCTATTGATAGAGCAGTTTTGAAACACTCTTGTTGTGGAAAATGCAGGTGGATATTTGGATAGCTTGGAGGATTTCGTTGGAAGCGGGAATTCAAATAAAAGGTAGACAGCAGCATTCTCAGAAATTTCTTTCTAATGTCTGCATTCAACTCATAGAGTTGAAGATTCCCTTTCATAGAGCAGGTTTGAAACACTCTTTCTGGAGTATCTGGATGTGGACATTTGGAGCGCTTTGATGCCTACGGTGAAAAAGTAAATATCTTCCCATAAAAACGAGACAGAAGGATTCTGAGAAACAAGTTTGTGATGTGTGTACTCAGCTAACAGAGTGGAACCTTTCTTTTTACAGAGCAGCTTTGAAACTCTATTTTTGTGGATTCTGCAAATGGATATTTAGATTGCTTTAATGATATCGCTGGAAAAGGGAATATGGTCATACAAAATCTAGACAGAAGCATTCTCACAAACTTCTTTGTGATGTGTGTCCTCAACTAACAGAGTTGAACCTTTCTTTGGATGCAGCAGTTTGGAAACACTCTTTTTGTAGAAACTGTAAGTGGATATTTGGATAGCTCTAACGATTTCGTTGGAAACGGGAATATCATCATCTAAAATCTAGACAGAAGCACTATTAGAAACTACTTGGTGATATCTGCATTCAAGTCACAGAGTTGAACATTCCCTTACTTTGAGCACGTTTCAAACACTCTTTTGGAAGAATCTGGAAGTGGACATTTGGAGCGCTTTGATGCCTTTGGTGAAAAGGAAACGTCTTCCAATAAAAGCCAGACAGAAGCATTCTCAGAAACTTGTTCGTGATGTGTGTACTCAACTAAAAGAGTTGAACCTTTCTATTGATAGAGCAGTTTTGAAACACTCTTTTTGTGGATTCTGCAAGTGGATATTTGGATTGCTTTGAGGATTTCGTTGAAAGCGGGAATTCGTATAAACACTAGACAGCAGCATTCCCAGAAATTTCTTTCGGATATTTCCATTCAACTCATAGAGATGAACATGGCCTTTCATAGAGCAGGTTTGAAACACTCTTTTTGTAGTTTGTGGAAGTGGACATTTCGATCGCCTTGACGCCTACGGTGAAAAAGGAAATATCTTCCCATAAAAAATAGACAGAAGCATTCTCAGAAACTTGTTGGTGATATGTGTCCTCAACTAACAGAGTTGAACTTTGCCATTGATAGAGAGCAGTTTTGAAACACTCTTTTTGTGGAATCTGCAAGTGGATATTTGGATAGCTTGGAGGATTTCGTTGGAAGCGGGAATTCAAATAAAAGGTAGACAGCAGCATTCTCAGAAAATTTCTTTCTGATGTCTGCATTCAACTCATAGAGTTGAAGATTCCCTTTCATAGAGCAGGTTTGAAACACTCTTTCTGGAGTATCTGGATGTGGACATTTGGAGCGCTTTGATACCTACGGTGTAAAAGTAAATATCTTCCCATAAAAACGAGACAGAAGGATTCTGAGAAACAAGTTTGTGATGTGTGTACTCAGCTAACAGAGTGGAACCTCTCTTTTGATGCAGCAGTTTGGAAACACTCTTTTTGTAGAAACTGTAAGTGGATATTTGGATAGCTCTAATGATTTCGTTGGAAACGGGAATATCATCATCTAAAATCTAGACAGAAGCCCTCTCAGAAACTACTTTTTGATATCTGCATTCAAGTCACAGAGTTGAACATTCGCTTTCTTAGAGCACGTTTGAAACACTCTTTTTGTAGTGTCTGGAAGTGGACATTTGGAGCGCTTTGATGCCTTTGGTGAAAAAGGGAACGTCTTCCCATAAAAACTAGACAGAAGCATTCTCAGAAACTTGTTTGTGATGTGTGTACCCAGCTAAAGGAGTTGAACATTTCTATTGATAGAGCAGTTTTGAAACACTCTTTTTGTGGAAAATGCAAGTGGATATTTGGATAGCTTGGAGGATTTCGTTGGAAGCGGCAATTCAAATAAAAGGTAGACAGCAGCATTCTCAGAAATTTCTTTCTGATGTCTGCATTCAACTCATAGAGTTGAAGATTCCCTTTCATAGAGCAGGTTTGAAACACTCTTTCTGGAGTATCTGGATGTGGACATTTGGAGCGCTTTGATGCCTACGGTGAAAAAGTAAATATCTTCCCATAAAAACGAGACAGAAGGATTCTGAGAGACAAGTTTGTGATGTGTGTACTCAGCTAACAGAGTGGAACTTTTCTTTTTACAGAGCAGCTTTGAAACTCTATTTTTGTGGATTCTGCAAATGGATATTTAGATTGCTTTAACGATATCGTTGGAAAAGGGAATATCGTCATACAAAATCTGGACAGAAGCATTCTCACAAACTTCTTTGTGATGTGTGTCCTCAACTAACAGAGTTGAACCTTTCTTTTGATGCAGCAGTTTGGAAACACTCTTTTTGTAGAAACTGTAAGTGGATATTTGGATAGCTCTAACGATTTCATTGGAAACGGGAATATCATCATCTAAAATCTAGACAGAAGCACTATTAGAAACTACTTGGTGATATCTGCATTCAAGTCACAGATTTGAACATTCCCTTACTTTGAGCACGTTTGAAACACTCTTTTGGAAGAATCTGGAAGTGGACATTTGGAGCGCTTTGATGCCTTTGGTGAAAAGGAAACGTCTTCCAGTAAAAGCCAGACAGAAGCATTCTCAGAAACTTCTTTGTGATGTGTGTACTCAACTAAAAGAGTTGAACCTTTCTATTGATAGAGCAGTTTTGAAACACTCTTTTTGTGGATTCTGCAAGTGGATATTTGGATTGCTTTGAGGATTTCGTTGGAAGCGGGAATTCGTATAAAAACTAGACAGCAGCATTCCCAGAAATTTCTTTCGGATATTTCCATTCAACTCATAGAGATGAACATGGCCTTTCATAGAGCAGGTTTGAAACACACTTTTTGTAGTTTGTGGAAGTGGACATTTCGATCGCCTTGACGCCTACGGTGAAAAAGGAAATATCTTCCCATAAAAAATAGACAGAAGCATTCTCAGAAACTTGTTGGTGATATGTGTCCTCAACTAACAGAGTTGAACTTTGCCATTGATAGAGAGCAGTTTTGAAACACTCTTTTTGTGGAATCTGCAAGTGGATATTTGGATAGCTTGGAGGATTTCGTTGGAAGCGGGAATTCAAATAAAAGGTAGACAGCCAGCATTCTCAGAAATTTCTTTCTGATGTCTGCATTCAACTCATAGAGTTGAAGATTCCCTTTCATAGAGCAGGTTTGAAACACTCTTTCTGGAGTATCTGGATGTGGACATTTGGAGCGCTTTGATGCCTACGGTGAAAAAGTAAATATCTTCCCATAAAAACGAGACAGAGGATTCTGAGAAACAAGTTTGTGATGTGTGTACTCAGCTAACAGAGTGGAACCTCTCTTTTGATGCAGCAGTTTGGAAACACTCTTTTTGTAGAAACTGTAAGTGGATATTTGGATAGCTCTAATGATTTCGTTGGAAACGGGAATATCATCATCTAAAATCTAGACAGAAGCACTCTCAGAAACTACTTTGTGATATCTGCATTCAAGTCACAGAGTTGAACATTCGCTTTCTTAGAGCACGTTTGAAACACTCTTTTTGTAGTGTCTGGAAGTGGACATTTGGAGCGCTTTGATAACTTTGGTGAAAAAGGGAATGTCTTCCCATAAAAACTAGACAGAAGCATTCTCAGAAACTTGTTTGTGATGTGTGTACCCAGCCAAAGGAGTTGAACATTTCTATTGATAGAGCAGTTTTGAAACACTCTTGTTGTGGAAAATGCAAGTGGATATTTGGATAGCTTGGAGGATTTCGTTGGAAGCGGGAATTCAAATAAAAGGTAGACAGCAGCATTCTCAGAAATTTCTTTCTGATGTCTGCATTCAACTCATAGAGTTGAAGATTCCCTTTCATAGAGCAGGTTTGAAACACTCGTTCTGGAGTATCTGGATGTGGACATTTGGAGCGCTTTGATGCCTACGGTGGAAAAGTAAATCTCTTCCCATAAAAACGAGACAGAAGGATTCTGAGAAACAAGTTTGTGATGTGTGTACTCAGCTAACAGAGTGGAACCTTTCTTTTTACAGAGCAGCTTTGAAACTCTATTTTTGTGGATTCTGCAAATTGGTATTTAGATTGCTTTAACGATATCGTTGGAAAAGGGAATATCGTCATACAAAATCTAGACAGAAGCATTCTCACAAACTTCTTTGTGATGTGTGTCCTCAACTAACAGAGTTGAACCTTTCTTTTGATGCAGCAATTTGGAAGCACCCTTTTGGTAGAAACTGTAACTGGATATTTGGATAGCTACTAACGATTTCGTTGGAAACGGGAATATCATCATCTAAAATGTAGACAGAAGCACTATTAGAAACTACTTGGTGATATCTGCATTCAAGTCACAGAGTTGAACATTCCCTTACTTTGAGCACGTTTCAAACACTCTTTTGGAAGAATCTGGAAGTGGACATTTGGAGCGCTTTGATGCCTTTGGTGAAAAGGAAACGTCTTCCAATAAAAGCCAGACAGAAGCATTCTCAGAAACTTGTTTGTGATGTGTGTACTCAACTAAAAGAGTTGAACCTTTCTATTGATAGAGCAGTTTTGAAACACTCTTTTTGTGGATTCTGCAAGTGGATATTTGGATTGCTTTGAGGATTTCGTTGGAAGCGGGAATTCATATAAAAACTAGACAGCAGCATTCCCAGAAATTTCTTTCGGATATTTCCATTCAACTCATAGAGATTAACATGGCCTTTCATAGAGCAGGTTTGAAACACTCTTTTTGTAGTTTGTGGAAGTGGACATTTCGATCGCCTTGACGCCTACGGTGAAAAAGGAAATATCTTCCCATAAAAAATAGACAGAAGCATTCTCAGAAACTTGTTGGTGATATGTGTCCTCAACTAACAGAGTTGAACTTTGCCATTGAGAGAGCAGTTTTGAAACACTCTTTTTGTGGAATCTGCAAGTGGATATTTGGATAGCTTGGAGGATTTCGTTGGAAGCGGGAATTCAAATAAAAGGTAGACAGCAGCATTCTCAGAAATTTCTTTCTGATGTCTGCATTCAACTCATAGAGTTGAACATTCCCTTTCATAGAGCAGGTTTGAAACACTCTTTCTGGAGTATCTGGATGTGGACATTTGGAGCGCTTTGATGCCTACGGTGAAAAAGTAAATATCTTCCCATAAAAACGAGACAGAAGGATTCTGAGAAACAAGTTTGTGATGTGTGTACTCAGCTAACAGAGTGGAACCTCTCTTTTGATGCAGCAGTTTGGAAACACTCTTTTTGTAGAAACTGTAAGTGGATATTTGGATAGCTCTAATGATTTCCTTGGAAACGGGAATATCATCATCTAAAATCTAGACAGAAGCCCTCTCAGAAACTACTTTGTGATATCTGCATTCAAGTCACAGAGTTGAACATTCGCTTTCTTAGAGCACGTTTGAAACACTCTTTTTGTAGTGTCTGGAAGTGGACATTTGGAGCGCTTTGATGGCTTTGGTGAAAAAGGGAACGTCTTCCCATAAAAACTAGACAGAAGCATTCTCAGAAACTTGTTTGTGATGTGTGTACCCAGCCAAAGGAGTTGAACATTTCTTTTGATAGCGCAGTTTTGAAACACTCTTTTTGTGGATTCTGCAAGTGGATATTTGGATTGCTTTGAAGATTTCGTTGGAAGCGGGAATTCGTATAAACACTAGACAGCAGCATTCTCAGAAAATTTCTTTCTGATGTCTGCATTCAACTCATAGAGTTGAAGATTCCCTTTCATAGAGCAGGTTTGAAACACTCTTTCTGGAGTATCTGGATGTGGACATTTGGAGCGCTTTGATGCCTACGGTGAAAAAGTAAATATCTTCCCATAAAAACGAGACAGAAGGATTCTCAGAAACAAGTTTGTGATGTGTGTACTCAGCTAACAGAGTGGAACCTTTCTTTTTACAGAGCAGCTTTGAAACTCTATTTTTGTGGATTCTGCAAATTGATATTTAGATTGCTTTAACGATATTGTTGGAAAAGGGAATATCGTCATACAAAATCTAGACAGAAGCATTCTCACAAACTTCTTTGTGATGTGTGTCCTCAACTTACAGAGTTGAACCTTTCTTTTGATGCAGCAGTTTGGAAACACTCTTTTTGTAGAAACTGTAAGTGGATATTTGGATAGCTCTAACGATTTCGTTGGAAACGGGAATATCATCATCTAAAATCTAGACAGAAGCACTATTAGAAACTACTTGGTGATATCTGCATTCAAGTCACAGAGTAGAACATTCCCTTACTTCGACCACGTTTGAAACACTCTTTTGGAAGAATCTGGAAGTGGACATTTGGAGCGCTTTGATGCCTTTGGTGAAAAGGAAACGTCTTCCAATAAAAGCCAGACAGAAGCATTCTCAGAAACTTGTTTGTGATGTGTGTACTCAACTAAAAGAGTTGAACCTTTCTATTGATAGAGCAGTTTTGAAACACTCTTTTTGTGGATTCTGCAAGTGGATATTTGGATTGCTTTGAGGATTTCGTTGGAAGCGGGAATTCGTATAAAAACTAGACAGCAGCATTCCCAGAAATTTCTTTCGGATATTTCCATTCGACTCATAGAGATGAACATGGCCTTTCATAGAGCAGGTTTGAAACACTCTTTTTGTAGTTTGTGGAAGTGGACATTTCGATCGCCTTGACGCCTACGGTGAAAAAGGAAATATCTTCCCATAAAAAATAGACAGAAGCATTCTCAGAAACTTGTTGGTGATATGTGTCCTCAACTAACAGAGTTGAACTTTGCCATTGATAGAGAGCAGTTTTGAAACACTCTTTTTGTGGAATCTGCAAGTGGATATTTGGATAGCTTGGAGGATTTCGTTGGAAGCGGGAATTCAAATAAAAGGTAGACAGCAGCATTCTCAGGAAATTTCTTTCTGATGTCTGCATTCAACTCATAGAGTTGAAGATTCCCTTTCATAGAGCAGGTTTGAAACACTCTTTGTGGAGTATCTGGATGTGGACATTTGGAGCGCTTTGATGCCTACGGTGAAAAAGTAAATATCTTCCCATAAAAACGAGACAGAAGGATTCTGAGAAACAAGTTTGTGATGTGTGTACTCAGCTAACAGAGTGGAACCTCTGTTTTGATTCAGCAGTTTGGAAACACTCTTTTTGTAGAAACTGTAAGTGGATATTTGGATAGCTCTAATGATTTCGTTGGAAAAGGGAATATCATCATCTAAAATCTAGACAGAAGCCCTCTCAGAAACTACTTTGTGATATCTGCATTCAACTCACAGAGTTGAACATTCGGTTTCTTAGAGCACGTTTGAAACACTCTTTTTGTAGTGTCTGGAAGTGGACATTTGGAGCGCTTTGATGCCTTTGGTGAAAAAGGGAATGTCTTCCCATAAAAACTAGACAGAAGCATTCTCAGAAACTTGTTTGTGATGTGTGTACCCAGCCAAAGGAGTTGAACATTTCTATTGATAGAGCAGTTTTGAAACGCTCTTTTTGTGGAAAATGCAGGTGGATATTTGGATAGCTTGGAGGATTTCGTTGGAAGCGGGAATTCAAATAAAAGGTAGACAGCAGGATTCTCAGAAACAAGTTTGTGATGTGTGTACTCAGCTAACAGAGTGGAACCTTTCTTTTTACAGAGCAGCTTTGAAACTCTATTTTTGTGGATTCTGCAAATTGATATTTAGATTGCTTTAATGATATCGTTGGAAAAGGGAATATGGTCATACAAAATCTAGACAGAAGCATTCTCACAAACTTCTTTGTGATGTGTGTCCTCAACTAACAGAGTTGAACCTTTCTTTTGATGCAGCAGTTTGGAAACGCTCTTTTTGTAGAAACTGTAAGTGGATATTTGGATAGCTCTAACGATTTTGTTGGAAACGGGAATATCATTATCTAAAATCTAGACAGAAGCACTCTCAGAAACTACTTTTTGATATCTGCATTCAAGTCATAGAGTTGAACATTCGCTTTCTTAGAGCACTTTTGAAACACTCTTTTTGTAGTATCTGGAATTGGACATTTGGAGCTCTTTGATGCCTTTGGTGAAAAAGGAAATGTCATCCCATAAAAACTAGACAGAAGCATTCTCAGAAACTTGTTTGTGATGTGTGTACCTCAACTAAAAGAGTTGAACCTTTCTATTGATAGAGCAGTTTTGAAACACTCTTTTTGTGGATTCTGCAAGTGGATATTTGGATTGCTTTGAGGATTTCGTTGGAAGCGGGAATTCATATAAAAACTAGACAGCAGAAATCTCAGAAACTTGTTTGTGATGTGTATCCTCAACTGACAGAGTTGAACCTTGCCATTGATAGAGCAGTTTTGAAACACTCTTTTTGTGGAATCTGCAAGGGGATATTTGGATAGCCTGGAGGATTTCGTTGGAAGCGGGAATTCAAATAAAAGGTAGACAGCAGCATTCTCAGAAACTTGTTGGTGATATGTGTCCTCAACTAACAGAGTTGAACTTTGCCATTGATAGAGAGCAGTTTTGAAACACTCTTTTTGTGGAATCTGCAAGTGGATATTTGGATAGCTTGGAGGATTTCGTTGGAAGCGGGAATTCAAATAAAAGGTAGACAGCAGAGCATTCTCAGAAATTTCTTTCTGATGTCTGCATTCAACTCATAGAGTTGAAGATTCCCTTTCATAGAGCACGTTTGAAACACTCTTTCTGGAGTATCTGGATGTGGACATTTGGAGCGCTTTGATGCCTACGGTGAGAAAGTAAATATCTTCCCATAAAAACGAGACAGAAGGATTCTGAGAAACAAGTTTGTGATGTGTATACTCAGCTAACAGAGTGGAACCTCTCTTTTGATGCAGCAGTTTGGAAACACTCTTTTTGTAGAAACTGTAAGTGGATATTTGGATAGCTCTAATGATTTCGTTGGAAACGGGAATATCATCATCTAAAATCTAGACAGAAGCCCTCTCAGAAACTACTTTGTGATATCTGCATGCAAGTCACAGAGTTGAACATTCGCTTTCTTAGAGCACGTTGGAAACACTCTTTTTGTAGTGTCTGGAAGTGGACATTTGGAGCGCTTTGATGCCTTTGGTGAAAAAGGGAATGTCTTCCCATAAAAACTAGACAGAAGCATTCTCAGAAACTTGTTTGTGATGTGTGTACCCAGCCAAAGGAGTTGACCATTTCTATTGATAGAGCAGTTTTGAAACACTCTTGTTGTGGAAAATGCAGGTGGATATTTGGATAGCTTGGAGGATTTCTTTGGAAGCGGGAATTCAAATAAAAGGTACACAGCAGCATTCTCAGAAATTTCTTTCTGATGTCTGCATTCAACTCATAGAGTTGAAGATTCCCTTTCATAGAGCAGGTTTGAAACAGTCTTTCTGGAGTATCTGGATGTGGACATTTGGAGCGCTTTGATGCCTACGGTGAAAAAGTAACTATCTTCCCATAAAAACGAGACAGAAGGATTCTCAGAAACAAGTTTGTGATGTGTGTACTCAGCTAACAGAGTGGAACCTTTCTTTTTACAGAGCAGCTTTGAAACTCTATTTTTGTGGATTCTGCAAATTGATATTTAGTTTGCTTTAACGATATCGTTGGAAAAGGGAATATCGTCATACAAAATCTAGACAGAAGCATTCTCACAAACTTCTTTGTGATGTGTGTCCTCAACTAACAGAGTTGAACCTTTCTTTTGATGCAGCAGTTTGGAAACACCCTTTTGGTAGAAACTGTAACTGGATATTTGGATAGCTCTAACGATTTCGTTGGAAACGGGAATATCATCATCTAAAATCTAGACAGAAGCACTATTAGAAACTACTTGGTGATATCTGCATTCAAGTCAAAGAGTTGAACATTCCCTTACTTTGAGCACGTTTGAAACACTCTTTTGGAAGAATCTGGAAGTGGACATTTGGTGCGCTTTGATGCCTTTGGTGAAAAGGAAACGTCTTCCAATAAAAGCCAGACAGAAGCATTCTCAGAAACTTGTTCTTGATGTGTGTACTCAACTAAAAGAGTTGAACCTTTCTATTGATAGAGCAGTTTTGAAACACTCTTTTTGTGGATTCTGCAAGTGGATATTTGGATTGCTTTGAGGATTTCGTTGGAAGCGGGAATTCGTATAACAACTAGACAGCAGCATTCCCAGAAATTTCTTTCGGATATTTCCATTCAACTCATAGAGATGAACATGGCCTTTCATAGAGCAGGTTTGAAACACTCTTTTTGTAGTTTGTGGAAGTGGACATTTCGATCGCCTTGACGCCTACGGTGAAAAAGGAAATATCTTCCCATAAAAAATAGACAGAAGCATTCTCAGAAACTTGTTGGTGATATGTGTCCTCAACTAACAGAGTTGAACTTTGCCATTGATAGCAGTTTTGAAACACTCTTTTTGTGGAATCTGCAAGTGGATATTTGGATAGCTTGGAGGATTTCGTTGGAAGCGGGAATTCAAATAAAAGGTAGACAGCAGCATTCTCAGAAATTTCTTTGTGATGTTTGCATTCAACTCATAGAGTTGAACATTCCCTTTCATAGAGCAGGTTTGAAACACTCTTTCTGTACTATCTGGATGTGGACATTTGGAACGCTTTGATGCCTACGGTGAAAAAGTAAATATCTTCCCATAAAAGCTAGACAGAAGGATTCTGAGAAACAAGTTTGTGATGTGTGTACTCAGCTAACAGAGTGGAACCTCTCTTTTGATGCAGCAGTTAGGAAACACTCTTTTTGTAGAAACTGTAAGTGGATATTTGGATAGCTCTAATGATTTCGTTGGAAACGGGAATATCATCATCTAAAATCTAGACAGAAGCCCTCTCAGAAACTACTTTGTGATATCTGCATTCAAGTCACAGAGTTGAACATTCGCTTTCTTAGAGCACGTTGGAAACACTCTTTTTGTAGTGTCTGGAAGTGGACATTTGGAGCGCTTTGATGCCTTTGGTGAAAAAGGGAACGTCTTCCCATAAAAACTAGACAGAAAGCATTCTCAGAAACTTGTTTGTGATGTGTGTACCCAGCTAAAGGAGATGAACATTTCTATTGATAGAGCAGTTTTGAAACACTCTTTTTGTGGAAAATGCAAGTGGATATTTGGATAGCTTGGAGGATTTCGTTGGAAGCGGGAATTCAAATAAAAGGTAGACAGCAGCATTCTCAGAAATTTCTTTCTGATGTCTGCATTCAACTCATAGAGTTGAAGATTCCCTTTCATAGAGCAGGTTTGAAACACTGTTTCTGGAGTATCTGGATGTGGACATTTGGAGCGCTTTGATGCCTACGGTGAAAAAGTAAATATCTTCCCATAAAAACGAGACAGAAGGATTCTCAGAAACAAGTTTGTAATGTGTGTACTCAGCTAACAGAGTGGAACCTTTCTTTTTACAGAGCAGCTTTGAAACTCTATTTTTGTGGATTCTGCAAATGGATATTTAGATTGCTTTAACGATATCGTTGGAAAAGGGAATATCGTCATACAAAATCTGGACAGAAGCATTCTCACAAACTTCTTTGTGATGTGTGTCCTCAACTAACAGAGTTGAACCTTTCTTTTGATGCAGCAATTTGGAAACACCCTTTTGGTAGAAACTGTAACTGGATATTTGGATAGCTCTAACGATTTCGTTGGAAACGGGAATATCATCATCTAAAATGTAGACAGAAGCACTATTAGAAACTACTTGGTGATATCTGCATTCAAGTCACAGAGTTGAACATTCGCTTTCTTAGAGCACGTTTGAAACACTCTTTTTGTAGTGTCTGGAAGTGGACATTTGGAGCGCTTTGATGCCTTTGGTGAAAAAGGGAACGTCTTCCCATAAAAACTAGACAGAAGCATTCTCAGAAACTTGTTTGTGATGTGTGTACTCAACTAAAAGAGTTGAACCTTTCTATTGAAAGAGCAGTTTTGAAACACTCTTTTTGTGGATTCTGCAAGTGGATATTTGGATTGCTTTGAGGATTTCGTTGGAAGCGGGAATTCGTATAAAAACTAGACAGCAGCATTCCCAGGAAATTTCTTTCGGATATTTCCATTCGACTCATAGAGATGAACATGGCCTTTCATAGAGCAGGTTTGAAACACTCTTTTTGTAGTTTGTGGAAGTGGACATTTCGATCGCCTTGACGCCTACGGTGAAAAAGGAAATATCTTCCCATAAAAAATAGACAGAAGCATTCTCAGAAACTTCTTGGTGATATGTGTCCTCAACTAACAGAGTTGAACTTTGCCATTGATAGAGAGCAGTTTTGAAACACTCTTTTTGTGGAATCTGCAAGTGGATATTTGGATAGCTTGGAGGATTTCGTTGGAAGCGGGAATTCAAATTAAAGGTAGACAGCAGCATTCTCAGTAAATTTCTTTCTGATGTCTGCATTCAACTCATAGAGTTGAAGATTCCCTTTCATAGAGCAGGTTTGAAACACTCGTTCTGGAGTATCTGGATGTGGACATTTGGAGCGCTTTGATGCCTACGGTGGAAAAGTAAATATCTTCCCATAAAAACGAGACAGAAGGATTCTCAGAAACAAGTTTGTGATGTGTGTACTCAGCTAACGGAGTGGAACCTTTCTTTTTACAGAGCAGCTTTGAAACTCTATTTTTCTGGATTCTGCAAATTGATATTTAGATTGCTTTAACGATATCGTTGGAAAAGGGAATATCGTCATACAAAATCTAGACAGAAGCACTCTCAGAAACTACTTTGTGATATCTGCATTCAAGTCACAGAGTTGAACATTCGCTTTCTTAGAGCACGTTTGAAACACTCTTTTTGTAGTGTCTGGAAGTGGACATTTGGAGCGCTTTGATTCCTTTGGTGAAAAAGGGAATGTCTACCCATAAAAACTAGACAGAAGCATTCTCAGAAACTTGTTTGTGATGTGTGTACCCAGCCAAAGGAGTTGAACATTTCTATTGATAGAGCAGTTTTGAAACGCTCTTTTTGTGGAAAATGCAGGTGGATATTTGGATAGCTTGGAGGATTTCGTTGGAAGCGGGAATTCAAATAAAAGGTAGACAGGAGCATTCTCAGAAATTACTTTCTGATGTCTGCATTCAACTCATAGAGTTGAAGATTCCCTTTCATAGAGCAGGTGTGAAACACTCTTTCTGTAGTATCTGGATGTGGACATTTGTTGCGCTTTGATACCTACTGTGAAAAAGTAAATATCTTCCCATAAAAACTAGACAGAAGGATTCTCAGAAACAAGTTTGTGATGTGTGTACTCAGCTAACAGAGTGGATACTTTCTTCTTACAGAGCAGCTTTGAAACTCTATTTCTGTGGATTCTGCAAATTGATATTTGGGTTGATTTAGCGACATCGTTGGAAAAGGGAATATCTTCATACAAAATCCAGACAGAAAGCATTCTCACAAACTTCTTTGTGATGTGTGTCCTCAACTAACAGAGTTGAACTTTTCTTTTGATGCAGCAGTTTGGAAACACTGTTTTTGTAGAAACTGTAAGTGGATATTTGGATAGCTCTAACGATTTCGTTGGAAACGGGAATATCATCATCTAAAATCTAGACAGAAGCACTATTAGAAACTACTTGGTGATATCTGCATTCAAGTCACAGAGTAGAACATTCCCTTACTTCGAGCACGTTTGAAACACTCTTTTGGAAGAATCTGGAAGTGGACATTTGGAGCGCTTTGATGTCTTTGGTGAAAAGGAAACGTCTTCCAATAAAAGCCAGACAGAAGCATTCTCAGTAAACTTGTTGGTGATGTGTGTACTCAACTAAAAGAGTTGAACCTTTCTATTGATAGAGCAGTTTTGAAACACTCTTTTTGTGGATTCTGCAAGTGGATATTTGGATTGCTTTGAGGATTTCGTTGGAAGCGGGAATTCGTATAAACACTAGACAGCAGCATTCCCAGAAATTTCTTTCGGATATTTCCATTCAACTCATAGAGATGAACATGGCCTTTCATAGAGCAGGTTTGAAACACTCTTTTTGTAGTTTGTGGAAGTGGACATTTCGATCGCCTTGACGCCTACGGTGAAAAAGGAAATATCTTCCCATAAAAAATAGACAGAAGCATTCTCAGAAACTTGTTGGTGATATGTGTCCTCAACTAACAGAGTTGAACTTTGCCATTGATAGAGAGCAGTTTTGAAACACTCTTTTTGTGGAATCTGCAAGTGGATATTTGGATAGCTTGGAGGATTTCGTTGGAAGCGGGAATTCAAATAAAAGGTAGACAGCAGCATTCTCAGAAATTTCTTTCTGATGTCTGCATTCAACTCATAGAGTTGAGCATTCCCTTTCATAGGGCAGGTTTGAAATACTCTTTCTGTAGTATCTGGTTGTGGACATTTGGAGCGCTTTGATGCCTACGGTGAAAAAGTAAATATCTTCCCATAAAAACGAGACAGAAGGATTCTGAGAAACAAGTTTGTGATGTGTGTACTCAGCTAACAGAGTGGAACCTCTCTTTTGATGCAGTAGTTTGGAAACACTCTTTTTGTAGAAACTGTAAGTGGATATTTGGATAGCTCTAATGATTTCGTTGGAAACGGGAATATCATCATCTAAAATCTAGACAGAAGCACTCTCAGAAACTACTTTGTGATATCTGCATTCAAGTCACAGAGTTGAACATTCGCTTTCTTAGAGCACGTTTGAAACACTCTTTTTGTAGTGTCTGGAAGTGGACATTTGGAGTGCTTTGATTCCTTTGGTGAAAAAGGGAATGTCTACCCATAAAAACTAGACAGAAGCATTCTCAGAAACTTGTTTGTGATGTGTGTACCCAGCTAAAGGAGTTGAACGTTTCTATTGATAGAGCAGTTTTGAAACACTCTTTTTGTGGAAAATGCTAGTGGATATTTCGATAGCTTGGAGGATTTCCTTGGAAGCGGGAATTCAAATAAAAGGTAGACAGCAGCATTCTCAGAAATTTCTTTCTGATGTCTGCATTCAACTCATAGAGTTGAAGATTCCCTTTCATAGAGCAGGTTTGAAACACTCGTTCTGGAGTATCTGGATGTGGACATTTGGAGCGCTTTGATGCCTACGGTGGAAAAGTAAATATCTTCCCATAAAAACGAGACAGAAGGATTCTCAGAAACAAGTTTGTGATGTGTGTACTCAGCTAACAGAGTGGAACCTTTCTTTTTACAGAGCAGCTTTGAAACTCTATTTTTGTGGATTCTGCAAATGGATATTTAGATTGCTTTAACGATATCGTTGGAAAAGAGAATATCGTCATACAAAATCTGGACAGAAGCATTCTCACAAACTTCTTTGTGACGTGTGTCCTCAACTAACAGAGTTGAACCTTTCTTTTGATGCAGCAGTTTGGAAACACTGTTTTTGTAGCAACTGTAAGTGGATATTTGGATAGCTCTAACGATTTCGTTGGAAACGGGAATATCATCATCTAAAATCTAGACAGAAGCACTATTAGAAACTACTTGGTGATATCTGCATTCAAGTCACAGAGTGGAACATTCCCTTACTTTGAGCACGTTTCAAACACTCTTTTGGAAGAATCTGGAAGTGGACATTTGGAGCGCTTTGATGCCTTTGGTGAAAAGGAAACGTCTTCCAATAAAAGCCAGACAGAAGCATTCTCAGAAACTTGTTTGTGATGTGTGTACTCAACTAAAAGAGTTGAACCTTTCTATTGATAGAGCAGTTTTGAAACACTCTTTTTGTGGATTCTGCAAGTGGATATTTGGATTGCTTTGAGGATTTCGTTGGAAGCGGGAATTCGTATAAAAACTAGACAGCAGCATTCCCAGAAATTTCTTTCGGATATTTCCATTCAACTCATAGAGATGAACATCGCCTTTCATAGAGCACGTTTGAAACACTCTTTTTGTAGTTTGTGGAAGTGGACATTTGGATCGCCTTGACGCCTACGGTGAAAAAGGAAATATCTTCCCATAAAAAATAGACAGAAGCATTCTCAGAAACTTGTTGGTGATATGTGTCCTCAACTAACAGAGTTGAACTTTGCCATTGATAGAGAGCAGTTTTGAAACACTCTTTTTGTGGAATCTGCAAGTGGATATTTGGATAGCTTGGAGGATTTTGTTGGAAGCGGGAATTCAAATAAAAGGTAGACAGCAGCATTCTCAGAAATTTCTTTCTGATGTCTGCATTCAACTCATAGAGTTGAAGATTCCCTTTCATAGAGCAGGTTTGAAACACTCTTTCTGGAGTATCTGGATGTGGACATTTGGAGCGCTTTGATGCCTACGGTGAAAAAGTAAATATCTTCCCATAAAAACGAGACAGAAGGATTCTGAGAAACAAGTTTGTGATGTGTGTACTCAGCTAACAGAGTGGAACCTCTCTTTTGATGCAGCAGTTTGGAAACACTCTTTTTGTAGAAACTGTAAGTGGATATTTGGATAGCTCTAATGATTTCGTTGGAAACGGGAATATCATCATCTAAAATCTAGACAGAAGCCCTCTCAGAAACTACTTTGTGATATCTGCATTCAAGTCACAGAGTTGAACATTCACTTTCTTAGAGCACGTTTGAAACACTCTTTTTGTAGTGTCTGGAAGTGGACATTTGGAGCGCTTTGATGCCTTTGGTGAAAAAGGGAACGTCTTCCCATAAAAACTAGACAGAAGCATTCTCAGAAACTTGTTTGTGATGTGTGTACCCAGCCAAAGGAGTTGAACATTTCTATTGATAGAGCAGTTTTGAAACACTCTTTTTGTGGAAAATGCAGGTGGATATTTGGATAGCTTGGAGGATTTCGTTGGAAGCGGGAATTCAAATAAAAGGTAGACAGCAGCATTCTCAGAAATTTCTTTCTGATGTCTGCATTCAACTCATAGAGTTGAACATTCCCCTTTCATAGAGCAGGTTTGAAACACTCTTTCTGGAGTATCTGGATGTGGACATTTGGAGCCCTTTGATGCCTACGGTGAAAAAGTAAATATCTTCCCATAAAAACGAGACAGAAGGATTCTGAGAGACAAGTTTGTGATGTGTGTACTCAGCTAACAGAGTGGAACCTTTCTTTTTACAGAGCAGCTTTGAAACTCTATTTTTGTGGATTCTGCAAATGGATATTTAGATTGCTTTAATGATATCGTTGGAAAAGGGAATATCGTCATACAAAATCTGGACAGAAGCATTCTCACAAACTTCTTTGTGATGTGTGTCCTCAACTAACAGAGTTGAACCTTTCTTTTGATGCAGCAATTTGGAAACACCCTTTTGGTAGAAACTGTAACTGGATATTTGGATAGCTCTAACGATTTCGTTGGAAACGGGAATATCATCATCTAAAATGTAGACAGAAGCACTATTAGAAACTACTTGGTGATATCTGCATTCAAGTCACAGAGTTGAACATTCCCTTACTTTCGAGCACGTTTGAAACACTCTTTTGGAAGAATCTGGAAGTGGACATTTGGAGCGCTTTGATGCCTTTGGTGAAAAGGAAACGTCTTCCAATAAAAGCCAGACAGAAGCATTCTCAGAAACTTGTTTGTGATGTGTGTACTCAACTAAAAGAGTTGAACCTTTCTATTGATAGAGCAGTTTTGAAACACTCTTTTTGTGGATTCTGCAAGTGGATATTTGGATTGCTTTGAGGATTTCGTTGGAAGCGGGAATTCATATAATAACTAGACAGCAGCATTACCAGAAATTTCTTTCGGATATTTCCATTCAACTCATAGAGAAGAACATGGCCTTTCATAGAGCAGGTTTGAAACACTCTTTTTGTAGTTTGTGGAAGTGGACATTTCGATCACCTTGACGCCTACGGTGAAAAAGGAAATATCTTCCCATAAAAAATAGACAGAAGCATTCTCAGAAACTTGTTGGTGATATGTGTCCTCAACTAACAGAGTTGAACTTTGCCATTGATAGAGAGCAGTTTTGAAACACTCTTTTTGTGGAATATGCAAGTGGATATTTGGATAGCTTGGAGGATTTCGTTGGAAGCGGGAATTCAAATAAAAGGTAGACAGCAAGCATTCTCAGAAATTTCTTTGTGATGCTTGCATTCAACTCATAGAGTTGAACATTCCCTTTCATACAGCAGGTTTGAAACACTCTTTCTGTACTATCTGCATGTGGACATTTGGAACTCTTTGATGCCTACGGTGAAAAAGTAAATATCTTCCCATAAAAACTAGACAGAAGGATTCTGAGAAACAAGTTTGTGATGTGTGTACTCAGCTAACAGAGGTGGAACCCCTCTTTTGATGCAGCAGTTTGGAAACACTCTTTTTGTAGAAACTGTAAGTGGATATTTGGATAGCTCTAATGATTTCGTTGGAAACGGGAATATCATCATCTAAAATCTAGACAGAAGCACTATTAGAAACTACTTGGTGATATCTGCATTCAAGTCACAGAGTTGAACATTCCCTTACTTCGACCACGTTTGAAACACTCTTTTTGTAGTGTCTGGAAGTGGACATTTGGAGCGCTTTGATGCCTTTGGTGAAAAAGGGAATGTCTTCCCATAAAAACTAGACAGAAGCATTCTCAGAAACTTGTTTGTGATGTGTGTACCCAGCCAAAGGAGTTGAACATTTCTATTGATAGAGCAGTTTTGAAACACTCTTTTTGTGGAAAATGCAGGTGGATATTTGGATAGCTTGGAGGATTTCGTTGGAAGAGGGAATTCAAATAAAAGGTAGACAGCAGCATTCTCAGAAATTTCTTTCTGATGTCTGCATTCAACTCATAGAGTTGAAGATTCCCTTTCATAGAGCAGGTTTGAAACACTCTTTCTGGAGTATCTGGATGTGGACATTTGGAGCGCTTTGATGCCTACGGTGAAAAAGTAAATATCTTCCCATAAAAACGAGACAGAAGGATTCTCAGAAACAAGTTTGTGATGTGTGTACTCAGCTAACAGAGTGGAACCTTTCTTTTTACAGAGCAGCTTTGAAACTCTAGTTTTGTGGATTCTGCAAATTGATATTTAGATTGCTTTAACGATATCGTTGGAAAAGGGAATATCGTCATACAAAATCTAGACAGAAGCATTCTCACAAACTTCTTTGTGATGTGTGTCCTCAACTAACAGAGTTGAACCTTTCTTTTGATGCAGCAATTTGGAAACACCCTTTTGGTAGAAACTGTAACTGGATATTTGGATAGCTCTAACGATTTCGTTGGAAACGGGAATATCATCATCTAAAATGTAGACAGAAGCACTATTAGAAACTACTTGGTGATATCTGCATTCAAGTCACAGAGTAGAACATTCCCTTACTTCGAGCACGTTTGAAACACTCTTTTGGAAGAATCTGGAAGTGGACATTTGGAGCGCTTTGATGCCTTTGGTGAAAAGGAAACGTCTTCCAATAAAAGCCAGACAGAAGCATTCTCAGAAACTTGTTTGTGATGTGTGTACTCAACTAAAAGAGTTGAACCTTTCTATTGATAGAGCAGTTTTGAAACACTCTTTTTGTGGATTCTGCAAGTGGATATTTGGATTGCTTTGAGGATTTCGTTGGAAGCGGGAATTCGTATAAAAACTAGACAGCAGCATTCCCAGAAATTTCTTTCAGATATTTCCATTCGACTCATAGAGATGAACATGGCCTTTCATAGAGCAGGTTTGAAACACTCTTTTTGTAGTTTGTGGAAGTGGACATTTCGATCGCCTTGACGCCTACGGTGAAAAAGGAAATATCTTCCCATAAAAAATAGACAGAAGCATTCTCAGAAACTTGTTGGTGATATGTGTCCTCAACTAACAGAGTTGAACTTTGCCATTGATAGAGAGCAGTTTTGAAACACTCTTTTTCCTGAATCTGCAAGTGGATATTTGGATAGTTTGGAGGATTTCGTTGGAAGCGGGAATTCAAATAAAAGGTAGACAGCAGGATTCTGAGAAACAAGTTTGTGATGTGTGTACTCAGCTAACAGAGTGGAACCTCTGTTTTGATACAGCAGTTTGGAAACACTCTTTTTGTAGAAACTGTAAGTGGATATTTGGATAGCTCTAATGATTTCGTTGGAAAAGGGAATATCATCATCTAAAATCTAGACAGAAGCCCTCTCAGAAACTACTTTGTGATATCTGCATTCAAGTCACAGAGTTGAACATTCGCTTTCTTAGAGCACGTTGGAAACACTCTTTTTGTAGTGTCTGGAAGTGGACATTTGGAGCGCTTTGATGCCTTTGGTGAAAAAGAGAATGTCTTCCCATAAAAACTAGACAGAAGCATTCTCAGAAACTTGTTTGTGATGTGTGTACCCAGCCAAAGGAGTTGAACATTTCTATTGATAGAGCAGTTTTGAAACGCTCTTTTTGTGGAAAATGCAGGTGGATATTTGGATAGCTTGGAGGATTTCGTTGGAAGCGGGAATTCAAATAAAAGGTAGACAGCAGCATTCTCAGAAATTTCTTTCTGATGTCTGCATTCAACTCATAGAGTTGAAGATTCCCTTTCATAGAGCAGGTTTGAAACAGTCTTTCTGGAGTATCTGGATGTGGACATTTGGAGTGCTTTGATGCCTACGGTGAAAATGTAAATATCTTCCCATAAAAACGAGACAGAAGGATTCTGAGAAACAAGTTTGTGATGTGTGTACTCAGCTAACAGAGTGGAACCTTTCTTTTTACAGAGCAGCTTTGAAACTCTATTTTTGTGGATTCTGCAAATGGATATTTAGATTGCTTTAACGATATCGCTGGAAAAGGGAATATCGTCATACAAAATCTAGACAGAAGCATTCTCACAAACTTCTTTGTGATGTGTGTCCTCAACTAACAGAGTTGAACCTTTCTTTTGATGCAGCAATTTGGAAACACCCTTTTGGTAGAAACTGTAACTGGATATTTGGATAGCTCTAACGATTTCGTTGGAAACGGGAATATCATCATCTAAAATCTAGACAGAAGCACTATTAGAAACTACTTGGTGATATCTGCATTCAAGTCACAGAGTTGAACATTCCCTTACTTTGAGCACGTTTGAAACACTCTTTTGGAAGAATCTGGAAGTGGACATTTGGAGCGCTTTGATGATGCCTTTGGTGAAAAGGAAACGTCTTCCAATAAAAGCCAGACAGAAGCATTCTCAGAAACTTGTTTGTGATGTGTGTACTCAACTAAAAGAGTTGAACCTTTCTATTGATAGAGCAGTTTTGAAACACTCTTTTTGTGGATTCTGCAAGTGGATATTTGGATTGCTTTGAGGATTTCGTTGTAAGCGGGAATTCGTATAAAAACTAGACAGCAGCATTCCCAGAAATTTCTTTCGGATATTTCCATTCGACTCATAGAGATGAACATGGCCTTTCATAGAGCAGGTTTGAAACACTCTTTTTGTAGTTTGTGGAAGTGGACATTTCGATCGCCTTGACGCCTACGGTGAAAAAGGAAATATCTTCCCATAAAAAATAGACAGAAGCATTCTCAGAAACTTGTTGGTGATATGTGTCCTCAACTAACAGAGTTGAACTTTGCCATTGATAGAGAGCAGTTTTGAAACACTCTTTTTGTGGAATCTGCAAGTGGATATTTGGATAGCTTGGAGGATTTCGTTGGAAGCGGGAATTCAAATAAAAGGTAGACAGCAGGATTCTCAGAAACAAGTTTGTGATGTGTGTACTCAGCTAACAGAGTGGAACCTCTCTTTTGATGCAGCAGTTTGGAAACACTCTTTTTGTAGAAACTGTAAGTGGATATTTGGATAGCTCTAATGATTTCGTTGGAAACCGGAATATCATCATCTAAAATCTAGACAGAAGCCCTCTCAGAAACTACTTTGTGATATCTGCATTCAAGTCACAGAGTTGAACATTCGCTTTCTTAGAGCACGTTTGAAACACTCTTTTTGTAGTGTCTGGAAGTGGACATTTGGAGCGCTTTGATGTCTTTGGGGAAAAAGGGAATGTCTTCCCATAAAAACTAGACAGAAGCATTCTCAGAAACTTGTTTGTGATGTGTGTACCCAGCCAAAGGAGTTGAACATTTCTATTGATAGAGCAGTTTTGAAACACTCTTTTTGTGGAAAATGCAGGTGGATATTTGGATAGCTTGGAGGATTTCGTTGGAAGCGGGAATTCAAATAAAAGGTAGACAGCAGGATTCTCAGAAACAAGTTTGTGATGTGTGTACTCAGCTAACAGAGTGGAACCTTTCTTTTTACAGAGCAGCTTTGAAACTCTATTTTTGTGGATTCTGCAAATTGATATTTAGATTGCTTTAACGATATCGTTGGAAAAGGGAATATCGTCATACAAAATCTAGACAGAAGCATTCTCACAAACTTCTTTGTGATGTGTTTCCTCAACTAACAGAGTTGAACCTTTCTTTTGATGCAGCAATTTGGAAACACCCTTTTGGTAGAAACTGTAACTGGATATTTGGATAGCTCTAACGATTTTGTTGGAAACGGGAATATCATCATCTAAAATCTAGACAGAAGCACTATTAGAAACTACTTGGTGATATCTGCATTCAAGTCACAGAGTTGAACATTCCCTTACTTTGAGCACGTTTCAAACACTCTTTTGGAAGAATCTGGAAGTGGACATTTGGAGCGCTTTGATGCCTTTGGTGAAAAGGAAACGTCTTCCAATAAAAGCCAGACAGAAGCATTCTCAGAAACTTGTTTGTGATGTGTGTACTCAACTAAAAGAGTTGAACCTTTCTATTGATAGAGCAGTTTTGAAACACTCTTTTTGTGGATTCTGCAAGTGGATATTTGGATTGCTTTGAGGATTTCGTTGGAAGCGGGAATTCGTATAACAACTAGACAGCAGCATTCCCAGAAATTTCTTTCGGATATTTCCATTCAACTCATAGAGATGAACATGGCCTTTCATAGAGCAGGTTTGAAACACTCTTTTTTGTAGTTTGTGGAAGTGGACATTTCGATCGCCTTGACGCCTACGGTGAAAAAGGAAATATCTACCCATAAAAAATAGACAGAAGCATTCTCAGAAACTTGTTGGCGATATGTGTCCTCAACTAACAGAGTTGAACTTTGCCATTGATAGAGAGCAGTTTTGAAACACTCTTTTTCCTGAATCTGCAAGTGGATATTTGGATAGCTTGGAGGATTTCGTTGGAAGCGGGAATTCAAATAAAAGGTAGACAGCAGCATTCTCAGAAATTTCTTTCTGATGTCTGCATTCAACTCATAGAGTTGAAGATTCCCTTTCATAGAGCAGGTTTGAAACACTCTTTCTGGAGTATCTGGATGTGGACATTTGGAGCGCTTTGATGCCTACGGTGAAAAAGTAAATATCTTCCCAGAAAAACGAGACAGAAGGATTCTCAGAAACAAGTTTGTGATGTGTGTACTCAGCTAACAGAGTGGAACCTCTCTTCTGATGCAACAGTTTGGAAACACTCTTTTTGTAGAAACTGTAAGTGGATATTTGGATAGCTCTAATGATTTCGTTGGAAACGGGAATATCATCATCTAAAATCTAGACAGAAGCCCTCTCAGAAACTACTTTGTGATATCTGCATTCAAGTCACAGAGTTGAACATTCGCTTTCTTAGAGCACGTTTGAAACACTCTTTTTGCAGTGTCTGGAAGTGGACATTTGGAGCGCTTTGATGCCTTTGGTGAAAAAGGGAATGTCTTCCCATAAAAACTAGACAGAAGCATTCTCAGAAACTTGTTTGTGATGTGTGTACCCAGCCAAAGGAGTTGAACATTTCTATTGATAGAGCAGTTTTGAAACACTCTTGTTGTGGAAAATGCAGGTGGATATTTGGATAGCTTGGGGGATTTCGTTGGAAGCGGGAATTCAAATAAAAGGTAGACAGCAGCATTCTCAGAAATTTCTTTCTGATGTCTGCATTCAACTCATAGAGTTGAAGATTCCCTTTCATAGAGCAGGTTTGAAACACTCGTTCTGGAGTATCTGGATGTGGACATTTGGAGCGCTTTGATGCCTACGGTGGAAAAGTAAATATCTTCCCATAAAAACGAGACAGAAGGATTCTCAGAAACAAGTTTGTGATGTGTGTACTCAGCTAACAGAGTGGAACCTTTCTTTTTACAGAGCAGCTTTGAAACTCTATTTTTGTGGATTCTGCAAATTGATATTTAGATTGCTTTAACGATATCATTGGAAAAGGGAATATGGTCATACAAAATCTAGACAGAAGCATTCTCACAAACTTCTTTGTGATGTGTGTCCTCAACTAACAGAGTTGAACCTTTCTTTTGATGCAGCAATTTGGAAACACCCTTTTGGTAGAAACTGTAACTGGATATTTGGATAGCTCTAACGATTTCGTTGGAAACGGGAATATCATCATCTAAAATGTAGACAGAAGCACTATTAGAAACTACTTGGTGATATCTGCATTCAAGTCACAGAGTAGAACATTCCCTTACTTCGAGCACGTTTGAAACACTCTTTTGGAAGAATCTGGAAGTGGACATTTGGAGCGCTTTGATGCCTTTGGTGAAAAGGAAACGTCTTCCAATAAAAGCCAGAAAGAAGCATTCTCAGAAACTTGTTCGTGATGTGTGTACTCAACTAAAAGAGTTGAACCTTTCTATTGATAGAGCAGTTTTGAAACACTCTTTTTGTGGATTCTGCAAGTGGATATTTGGATTGCTTTGAGGATTTCGTTGGAAGCGGGAATTCGTATAAGCACTAGACAGCAGCATTCCCAGAAATTTCTTTCGGATATTTCCATTCAACTCATAGAGATGAACATGGCCTTTCATAGAGCAGGTTTGAAACACTCTTTTTGTAGTTTGTGGAAGTGGACATTTCGATCGCCTTGACGCCTACGGTGAAAAAGGAAATATCTTCCCATAAAAAATAGACAGAAGCATTCTCAGAAACTTGTTGGTGATATGTGTCCTCAACTAACAGAGTTGAACTTTGCCATTGATAGAGAGCAGTTTTGAAACACTCTTTTTGTGGAATCTGCAAGCGGATATTTGGATAGCTTGGAGGATTTCGTTGGAAGCGGGAATTCAAATAAAAGGTAGACAGCAGCATTCTCAGAAATTTCTTTCTGATGTCTGCATTCAACTCATAGAGTTGAACATTCCCTTTCATAGGGCAGGTTTGAAATACTCTTTCTGTAGTATCTGGATGTGGACATTTGGAGCGCTTTGATGCCTACGGTGAAAAAGTAAATATCTTCCCATAAAAACGAGACAGAAGGATTCTGAGAAACAAGTTTGTGATGTGTGTACTCAGCTAACAGAGTGGAACCTCTGTTTTGATGCAGCAGTTTGGAAACACTCTTTTTGTAGAAACTGTAAGTGGATATTTGGATAGCTCTAATGATTTCTTTGGAAACGGGAATATCATCATCTAAAATCTAGACAGAAGCACTCTCAGAAACTACTTTGTGATATCTGCACTCAAGTCACAGAGTTGAACATTCGCTTTCTTAGAGCACGTTTGAAACACTCTTTTTGTAGTGGCTGGAAGTGGACATTTGGAGCGCTTTGATGCCTTTGGTGAAAAAGGGAATGTCTTCCCATAAAAACTAGGCAGAAGCATTCTCAGAAACTTGTTTGTGATGTGTGTACCCAGCCAAAGGAGTTGAACATTTCTATTGATACAGCAGTTTTGAAACACTCTTGTTGTGGAAAATGCAGGTGGATATTTGGATAGCTTGGAGGATTTCGTTGGAAGCGGGAATTCAAATAAAAGCTAGACAGCAGCATTCTCAGAAATTTCTTTCTGATGTCTGCATTCAACTCATAGAGTTGAAGATTCCCTTTCATAGAGCAGGTTTGAAACACTCGTTCTGGAGTATCTGGATGTGGACATTTGGAGCGCTTTGATGCCTACGGTGGAAAAGTAAATATCTTCCCATAAAAACGAGACAGAAGGATTCTCAGAAACAAGTTTGTGATGTGTGTACTCAGCTAACAGAGTGGAACCTTTCTTTTAACAGAGCAGCTTTGAAACTCTAGTTTTGTGGATTCTGCAAATTGATATTTAGATTGCTTTAACGATATCGTTGGAAAAGGGAATATCCTCATACAAAATCTAGACAGAAGCATTCTCACAAACTTCTTTGTGATGTGTGTCCTCAACTAACAGAGTTGAACCTTTCTTTTGATGCAGCAATTTGGAAACACCCTTTTGGTAGAAACTGTAACTGGATATTTGGATAGCTCTAACGATTTCGTTGGAAACGGGAATATCATCATCTAAAATCTAGACAGAAGCACTATTAGAAACTACTTGGTGATATCTGCATTCAAGTCACAGAGTTGAACATTCCCTTACTTTGAGCACGTTTGAAACACTCTTTTGGAAGAATCTGGAAGTGGACATTTGGAGCGCTTTCATGCCTACGGTGGAAAAGTAAATATCTTCCCATAAAAACGAGACAGAAGCATTCTCAGAAACTTGTTTGTGATGTGTGTACTCAACTAAAAGAGTTGAACCTTTCTATTGATAGAGCAGTTTTGAAACACTCTTTTTGTGGATTCTGCAAGTGGATATTTGGATTGCTTTGAGGATTTCGTTGGAAGCGGGAATTCGTATAAAAACTAGACAGCAGCATTCCCAGAAATTTCTTTCGGATATTTCCATTCGACTCATAGAGATGAACATGGCCTTTCATAGAGCAGGTTTGAAACACTCTTTTTGTAGTTTGTGGAAGTGGACATTTCGATCGCCTTGACGCCTACGGTGAAAAAGGAAATTCTTCCCATAAAAAATAGACAGAAGCATTCTCAGAAACTTGTTGGTGATATGTGTCCTCAACTAACAGAGTTGAACTTTGCCATTGATAGAGAGCAGTTTTGAAACACTCTTTTTGTGGAATCTGCAAGTGGATATTTGGATAGCTTGGAGGATTTCGTTGGAAGCGGGAATTCAAATAAAAGGTAGACAGCAGCATTCTCAGAAATTTCTTTCTGATGTCTGCATTCAACTCATAGAGTTGAAGATTCCCTTTCATAGAGCAGGTTTGAAACACTCTTTCTGGAGTATCTGGATGTGGACATTTGGAGCGCTTTGATGCCTACGGTGAAAAAGTAAATATCTTCCCATAAAAACGAGAAAGAAGCATTCTCACAAACTTCTTTGTGATGTGTGTCCTCAACTAACAGAGTTGAACCTTTCTTTTGATTCAGCAGTTTGGAAACACTCTTTTTGTAGAAACTGTAAGTGGATATTTGGATAGCTCTAACGATTTCGTTGGAAACGGGAATATCATCATCTAAAATCTAGACAGAAGCACTATTAGAAACTACTTTGTGATATCTGCATTCAAGTCACAGAATTGAACATTCGCTTTCTTAGAGCACGTTGGAAACACTCTTTTTGTAGTGTCTGGAAGTGGACATTTGGAGCGCTTTGATGCCTTTGGTGAAAAAGGGAATGTCTTCCCATAAAAACTAGACAGAAGCATTCTCAGAAACTTGTTTGTGATGTGTGTACCCAGCCAAAGGAGTTGAACATTTCTATTGATAGAGCAGGTTTGAAACACTCTTTTTGTGGAAAATGCAGGTGGATATTTGGATAGCTTGGAGGATTTCGTTGGAAGCGGGAATTCAAATAAAAGGTAGACAGCAGCATTCTCAGAAATTTCTTTCTGATGTCTGCATTCAACTCATAGAGTTGAAGATTCCCTTTCATAGAGCAGGTTTGAAACACTCGTTCTGGAGTATCTGGATGTGGACATTTGGAGCGCTTTGATGCCTACGGTGGAAAAGTAAATATCTTCCCATAAAAACGAGACAGAAGGATTCTCAGAAACAAGTTTGTGATGTGTGTACTCAGCTAACAGAGTGGAACCTTTCTTTTTACAGAGCAGCTTTGAAACTCTATTTTTGTGGATTCTGCAAATTGATATTTAGGTTGCCTTAACGATATCGTTGGAAAAGGGAATATCGTCATACAAAATCTAGACAGAAGCATTCTCACAAACTTCTTTGTGATGTGTGTCCTCAACTAACAGAGTTGAACCTTTCTTTTGATGCAGCAGTTTGGAAACACTCTTTTTGTAGAAACTGTAAGTGGATATTTGGATAGCTCTAACGATTTCGTTGGAAACGGGAATATCATCATCTAAAATCTAGACAGAAGCACTATTAGAAACTACTTGGTGATATCTGCATTCAAGTCACAGAGTTGAACATTCCCTTACTTTGAGCACGTTTGAAACACTCTTTTGGAAGAATCTGGAAGTGGACATTTGGAGCGCTTTGATGCCTTTGGTGAAAAGGAAACGTCTTCCAATAAAAGCCAGACAGAAGCATTCTCAGAAACTTGTTTGTGATGTGTGTACCCAGCCAAAGGAGTTGAACATTTCTATTGATAGAACAGTTTTGAAATACTCTTTTTGTGGAAAATGCAGGTGGATATTTGGATACCTTGGAGGATTTCGTTGGAAGCGGGAATTCAAATAAAAGGTAGACAGCCAGCATTCCCAGGAAATTTCTTTCGGATATTTCCATTCAACTCATAGCAGGATGAACATGGCCTTTCATAGAGCAGGTTTGAAACACTCTTTTTGTAGTTTGTGGAAGTGGACATTTCGATCGCCTTGACGCCTACGCTGAAAAAGGAAATATCTTCCCATAAAAAATAGACAGAGCATTCTCAGAAACTTGTTGGTGATATGTGTCCTCAACTAACAGAGTTGAACTTTGCCATTGATAGAGAGCAGTTTTGAAACACTCTTTTTGTGGAATCTGCAAGTGGATATTTGGATAGCTTGGAGGATTTCGTTGGAAGCGGGAATTCAAATAAAAGGTAGACAGCAGCATTCTCAGAAATTTCTTTCTGATGTCTGCATTCAACTCATAGAGTTGAAGATTCCCTTTCATAGAGCATGTTTGAAACACTCTTTCTGGAGTATCTGGATGTGGACATTTGGAGCGCTTTGATGCCTACGGTGAAAAAGTAAATATCTTCCCATAAAAACGAGACAGAAGGATTCTGAGAAACAAGTTTGTGATGTGTGTACTCAGCTAACAGAGTGGAACCTCTCTTTTGATGCAGCAGTTTGGAAACACTCTTTTTGTAGAAACTGTAAGTGGATATTTGGATAGCTCTAATGATTTCGTTGGAAACGGGAATATCATCATCTAAAATCTAGACAGAAGCCCTCTCAGAAACTGCTTTGTGATATCTGCATTCAAGTCACAGAGTTGAACATTCGCTTTCTTAGAGCACGTTTGAAACACTCTTTTTGTAGTGTCTGGAAGTGGACATTTGGAGCGCTTTGATGCCTTTGGTGAAAAGGGGAATGTCTTCCCATAAAAACTAGACAGAAGCATTCTCAGAAACTTGTTTGTGATGTGTGTACCCAGCCAAAGGAGTTGAACATTTCTATTGATAGAGCAGTTTTGAAACGCTCTTTTTGTGGAAAATGCAGGAGGATATTTGGATAGCTTGGAGGATTTCGTTGGAAGCGGGAATTCAAATAAAATTTAGACAGCAGCATTCTCAGAAATTTCTTTCTGATGTCTGCATTCAACTCATAGAGTTGAAGATTCCCTTTCATAGAGCAGGTTTGAAACACTCTTTGTGGAGTATCTGGATGTGGACATTTGGAGCGCTTTGATGCCTACGGTGAAAAAGTAAATATCTTCCCATAAAAACGAGACAGAAGGATTCTGAGAAACAAGTTTGTGATGTGTGTACTCAGCTAACAGAGTGGAACCTTTCTTTTTACAGAGCAGCTTTGAAACTCTATTTTTGTGGATTCTGCAAATGGATATTTAGATTGCTTTAACGATATCGTTGGAAAAGGGAATATCGTCATACAAAATCTAGACAGAAGCATTCTCACAAACTTCTTTCTGATGTGTGTCCTCAACCAACAGAGTTGAACCTTTCTTTTGATGCAGCAGTTTGGAAACACTCTTTTTGTAGAAACTGTAAGTGGATATTTGGATAGCTCTAACGATTTCGTTGGAAACGGGAATATCATCATCTAAAATCTAGACAGAAGCACTATTAGAAACTACTTGGTGATATCTGCATTCAAGTCACAGAGTTGAACATTCCCTTACTTTGAGCACGTTTGAAACACTCTTTTGGAAGAATCTGGAAGTGGACATTTGGAGCGCTTTGATGCCTTTGGTGAAAAGGAAACGTCTTCCAATAAAAGCCAGACAGAAGCATTCTCAGAAACTTGTTCGTGATGTGTGTACTCAACTAAAAGAGTTGAACCTTTCTATTGATAGAGCAGTTTTGAAACACTCTTTTTGTGGATTCTGCAAGTGGATATTTGGATTGCTTTGAGGATTTCGTTGGAAGCGTGAATTCGTATAAACACTAGACAGCAGCATTCCCAGAAATTTCTTTCGGATATTTCCATTCAACTCATAGAGATGAACATGGCCTTTCATAGAGCAGGTTTGAAACACTCTTTTTGTAGTTTGTGGAAGTGGACATTTCGATCGCGTTGACGCCTACGGTGAAAAAGGAAATATCTTCCCATAAACAATAGACAGAAGCATTCTCAGAAACTTGTTGGTGATATGTGTCCTCAACTAACAGAGTTGAACTTTGCCATTGATAGAGAG
Organism: Homo sapiens; assembly: GCF_000001405.40. Lineage (NCBI taxonomy): Eukaryota > Metazoa > Chordata > Mammalia > Primates > Hominidae > Homo > Homo sapiens. The sequence continues at coordinate 14,902,787 of NC_000022.11, forward strand.
CAGTTTTGAAACACTCTTTTTGTGGAATCTGCAAGTGGATATTTGGATAGCTTGGAGGATTTCGTTGGAAGCGGGAATTCAAATAAAAGGTAGACAGCAGCATTCTCAGAAATTTCTTTCTGATGTCTGCATTCAACTCATAGAGTTGAAGATTCCCTTTCATAGAGCAGGTTTGAAACACTCTTTCTGGAGTATCCGGATGTGGACATTTGGAGCGCTTTGATGCCTACGGTGAAAAAGTAAATATCTTCCCATAAAAACGAGACAGAAGGATTCTGAGAAACAAGTTTGTGATGTCTGTACTCGGCTAACAGAGTGGAACCTCTCTTTTGATGCAGCAGTTTGGAAACACTCTTTTTGTAGAAACTGTAAGTGGATATTTGGATAGCTCTAATGATTTCGTTGGAAACGGGAATATCATCATCTAAAATCTAGACAGAAGCACTCTCAGAAACCACTTTGTGATATCTGCATTCAAGTCACAGAGTTGAACATTCGCTTTCTTAGAGCACGTTTGAAACACTCTTTTTGTAGTGTCTGGAAGTGGACATTTGGAGCGCTTTGATGGCTTTGGTGAAAAAGGGAACGTCTTCCCATAAAAACTAGACAGAAGCATTCTCAGAAACTTGTTTGTGATGTGTGTACCCAGCCAAAGGAGTTGAACGTTTCTATTGATAGAGCAGTTTTGAAACACTCTTGTTGTGGAAAATGCAAGTGGATATTTGGATAGCTTGGAGGATTTCGTTGGAAGCGGGAATTCAAATAAAAGGTAGACAGCAGCATTCTCAGAAATTTCTTTCTGATGTCTGCATTCAACTCATAGAGTTGAAGATTCCCTTTCATAGAGCAGGTTTGAAACACTCTTTCTGGAGTATCTGGATGTGGACATTTGGAGCGCTTTGATGCCTACGGTGAAAAAGTAAATATCTTCCCATAAAAACGAGACAGAAGGATTCTCAGAAACAAGTTTGTGATGTGTGTACTCAGCTAAAAGAGTGGAACCTTTCTTTTTACAGAGCAGCTTTGAAACTCTATTTTTGTGGATTCTGCAAATTGATATTTAGATTGCTTTAACGATATCGTTGGAAAAGGGAATATCGTCATACAAATTCTAGACAGAAGCATTCTCACAAACTTCTTTGTGATGTGTGTCCTCAACTAACAGAGTTGAACCTTTCTTTTGATGCAGCAGTTTGGAAACACTCTTTTTGTAGAAACTGTAAGTGGATATTTGGATAGCTCTAACGATTTCGCTGGAAACGGGAATATCGTCATCTAAAATCTAGACAGAAGCACTATTAGAAACTACTTGGTGATATCTGCATTCAAGTCACAGAGTTGAACATTCCCTTACTTTGAGCACGTTTCAAACACTCTTTTGGAAGAATCTGGAAGTGGACATTTGGAGCGCTTTGATGCCTTTGGTGAAAAGGAAACGTCTTCCAATAAAAGCCAGACAGAAGCATTCTCAGAAACTTGTTGGTGATGTGTGTACTCAACTAAAAGAGTTGAACCTTTCTATTGATAGAGCAGTTTTGAAACACTCTTTTTGTGGATTCTGCAAGTGGATATTTGGATTGCTTTGAGGATTTCGTTGGAAGCGGGAATTCATATAAAAACTAGACAGCAGCATTCCCAGAAATTTCTTTCGGATATTTCCATTCAACTCATAGAGATGAACATCGCCTTTCATAGAGCAGGTTTGAAACACTCTTTTTGTAGTTTGTGGAAGTGGACATTTCGATCGCCTTGACGCCTACGGTGAAAAAGGAAATATCTTCCCATAAGAAAATAGACAGAAGCATTCTCAGAAACTTGTTGGTGATATGTGTCCTCAACTAACAGAGTTGAACTTTGCCATTGATAGAGAGCAGTTTTGAAACACTCTTTCTGTGGAATCTGCAAGTGGATATTTGGATAGCTTGGAGGATTTCGTTGGAAGTGGGAATTCAAATAAAAGGTAGACAGCAGCATTCTCAGAAATTTCTTTCTGATGTCTGCATTCAACTCATAGAGTTGAAGATTCCCTTTCATAGAGCAGGTTTGAAACACTCTTTCTCGAGTATCTGGATGTGGACATTTGGAGCGCTTTGGTACCTTCGGTGAGAAAGTAAATATCTTCCCATAAAACCGAGACAGAAGGATTCTGAGAAACAAGTTTGTGATGTGTGTACTCAGCTAACAGAGTGGAACCTCTCTTTTGATGCAGCAGTTTGGAAACACTCTTTTTGTAGAAACTGTAAGTGGATATTTGGATAGCTCTAATGATTTCGTTGGAAACGGGAATATCATCATCTAAAATCTAGACAGAAGCCCTTTCAGAAACTACTTTGTGATATCTGCATTCAAGTCACAGAGTTGAACATTCGGTTTCTTAGAGCACGTTTGAAACACTCTTTTTGTAGTGTCTGGAAGTGGACATTTGGAGCGCTTTGATGCCTTTGGTGAAAAAGGGAATGTCTTCCCATAAAAACTAGACAGAAGCATTCTCAGAAACTTCTTTGTGATGTGTGTACCCAGCCAAAGGAGTTGAACATTTCTATTGATAGAGCAGTTTTGAAACACTCTTGTTGTGGAAAATGCAGGTGGATATTTGGATAGCTTGGAGGATTTCGTTGGAAGCGGGAATTCAAATAAAAGGTAGACAGCAGCATTCTCAGAAATTTCTTTCTGATGTCTGCATTCAACTCATAGAGTTGAAGATTCCCTTTCATAGAGCAGGTTTGAAACACTCGTTCTGGAGTATCTGGATGTGGACATTTGGAGCGCTTTGATGCCTACGGTGGAAAAGTAAATATCTTCCCATAAAAACGAGACAGAAGGATTCTGAGAAACAAGTTTGTGATGTGTGTACTCAGCTAACAGAGTGGAACCTTTCTTTTTACAGAGCAGCTTTGAAACTCTATTTTTGTGGATTCTGCAAATGGATATTTAGATTGCTTTAACGATATCGTTGGAAAAGGGAATATCGTCATACAAAATCTGGACAGAAGCATTCTCACAAACTTCTTTGTGATGTGTGTCCTCAACTAACAGAGTTGAACCTTTCTTTTGATGCAGCAATTTGGAAACACCCTTTTGGTAGAAACTGTAACTGGATATTTGGATAGCTCTAACGATTTCGTTGGAAACGGGAATATCATCATCTAAAATCTAGACAGAAGCACTATTAGAAACTACTTGGTGATATCTGCATTCAAGTCACAGAGTAGAACATTCCCTTACTTCGACCACGTTTGAAACACTCTTTTAGAAGAATCTGGAAGTGGACATTTGGAGCGCTTTGATGCCTTTGGTGAAAAGGAAACGTCTTCCAATAAAAGCCAGACAGAAGCATTCTCAGAAACTTGTTTCTGATGTGTGTACTCAACTAAAAGAGTTGAACCTTTCTATTGATAGAGCAGTTTTGAAACACTCTTTTTGTGGATTCTGCAAGTGGATATTTGGATTGCTTTGAGGATTTCGTTGGAAGCGGGAATTCGTATAAAAACTAGACAGCAGCATTCCCAGAAATTTCTTTCGGATATTTCCATTCAACTCATAGAGATGAACATGGCCTTTCATAGAGCAGGTTTGAAACACTCTTTTTGTAGTTTGTGGAAGTGGACATTTCGATCGCCTTGACGCCTACGGTGAAAAAGGAAATATCTTCCCATAAAAAATAGACAGAAGCATTCTCAGAAACTTGTTTGTGATATGTGTCCTCAACTAACAGAGTTGAACTTTGCCATTGATAGAGAGCAGTTTTGAAACACTCTTTTTGTGGAATCTGCAAGTGGATATTTGGATAGCTTGGAGGATTTCGTTGGAAGCGGGAATTCAAATAAAAGGTAGACAGCAGCATTCTCAGAAATTTCTTTCTGATGTCTGCATTCAACTCATAGAGTTGAAGATTCCCTTTCATAGAGCAGGTTTGAAACACTCTTTCTGGAGTATCTGGATGTGGACATTTGGAGCGCTTTGAGGCCTACGGTGAGAAAGTAAATATCTTCCAATAAAAACGAGAGAGAAGGATTCTGAGAAACAAGTTTGTGATGTGTGTACTCAGCTAACAGAGTGGAACCTCTCTTTTGATGCAGCAGTTTGGAAACACTCTTTTTGTAGAAACTGTAAGTGGATATTTGGATAGCTCTAATGATTTCGTTGGAAACGGGAATATCATCATCTAAAATCTAGACAGAAGCCCTCTCAGAAACTACTTTGTGATATCTGCATTCAAGTCACAGAGTTGAACATTCGCTTTCTTAGAGCACGTTTGAAACACTCTTTTTGTAGTGTCTGGAAGTGGACATTTGGAGCGCTTTGATGTCTTTGGTGAAAAAGGGAATGTCTACCCATAAAAACTAGACAGAAGCATTCTCAGAAACTTGTTTGTGATGTGTGTACCCAGCCAAAGGAGTTGAACATTTCTATTGATAGAGCAGTTTTGAAACACTCTTGTTGTGGAAAATGCAGGTGGATATTTGGATAGCTTGGAGGATTTCGTTGGAAGCGGGAATTCAAATAAAAGGTAGACAGCAGCATTCTCAGAAATTTCTTTCTGATGTCTGCATTCAACTCATAGAGTTGAAGATTCCCTTTCATAGAGCAGGTTTGAAACACTCGTTCTGGAGTATCTCGATGTGGACATTTGGAGCGCTTTGATGCCTACGGTGGAAAAGTAAATATCTTCCCATAAAAACGAGACAGAAAGGATTCTCAGAAACAAGTTTGTAATGTGTGTACTCAGCTAACAGAGTGGAACCTTTCTTTTTACAGAGCAGCTTTGAAACTCTATTGTTGTGGATTCTGCAAATTGATATTTAGATTGCTTTAACGATATCGTTGGAAAAGGGAATACCGTCATACAAAATCTAGACAGAAGCATTCTCACAAACAGCTTTGAGATGTGTGTCCTCAACTAACAGAGTTGAACTTTTCTTTTGATGCAGCAGTTTCGAAACACCCTTTTGGTAGAAACTGTAAGTGGATATTTGGATAGCTCTAACGATTTCGTTGGAAACGGGAATATCATCATCTAAAATCTAGACAGAAGCACTATTAGAAACTACTTGGTGATATCTGCATTCAAGTCACAGAGTTGAACATTCCCTTACTTTGAGCACGTTTGAAACACTCTTTTGGAAGAATCTGGAAGTGGACATTTGGAGCGCTTTGATGCCTTTGGTGAAAAGGAAACGTCTTCCAATAAAAGCCAGACAGAAGCATTCTCAGAAACTTGTTCGTGATGTGTGTACTCAACTAAAAGAGTTGAACCTTTCTATTGATAGAGCAGTTTTGAAACACTCTTTTTGTGGATTCTGCAAGTGGATATTTGGATTGCTTTGAGGATTTCGTTGGAATCGGGAATTCGTATAAAAACTAGACAGCAGCATTGCCAGAAATTTCTTTCGGATATTTCCATTCAACTCATAGAGATGAACATGGCCTTTCATAGAGCAGGTTTGAAACACTCTTTTTGTAGTTTGTGGAAGTGGACATTTCGATCGCCTTGACGCCTACGGTGAAAAAGGAAATATCTTCCCATAAAAAATAGACAGAAGCATTCTCAGAAACTTGTTGGTGATATGTGTCCTCAACTAACAGAGTTGAACTTTGCCATTGATAGAGAGCAGTTTTGAAACACTCTTTTTGTGGAATCTGCAAGTGGATATTTGGATAGCTTGGAGGATTTCGTTGGAAGCGGGAATTCAAATAAAAGGTAGACAGCAGCATTCTCAGAAATTTCTTTGTGATGTTTGCATTCAACTCATAGAGTTGAACATTCCCTGTCATAGAGCAGGTTTGAAACACTCTTTCTGTACTATCTGGATGTGGACATTTGGAACGCTTTGATGCCTACGGTGAAAAAGTAAATATCTTCCCATAAAAGCTAGACAGAAGGATTCTGAGAAACAAGTTTGTGATGTGTGTACTCAGCTAACAGAGTGGAACCTCTCTTTTGATGCAGCAGTTTGGAAACACTCTTTTTGTAGAAACTGTAAGTGGATATTTGGATAGCTCTAATGATTTCGTTGGAAACCGGAATATCATCATCTAAAATCTAGACAGAAGCCCTCTCAGAAACTACTTTGTGATATCTGCATTCAAGTCACAGAGTTGAACATTCGCTTTCTTAGAGCACGTTGGAAACACTCTTTTTGTAGTGTCTGGAAGTGGACATTTGGAGCGCTTTGATGCCTTTGGTGAGAAAGGGAACGTCTTCCCATAAAAACTAGACAGAAGCATTCTCAGAAACTTGTTTGTGATGTGTGTACCCAGCCAAAGGAGTTGAACATTTCTATTGATAGAGCAGGTTTGAAACACTCTTTTTGTGGAAAATGCAAGTGGATATTTGGATAGCTTGGAGGATTTCGTTGGAAGCGGGAATTCAAATAAAAGGTAGACAGCAGCATTCTCAGAAATTTCTTTCTGATGTCTGCATTCAACTCATAGAGTTGAAGATTCCCTTTCATAGAGCAGGTTTGAAACACTCGTTCTGGAGTATCTGGATGTGGACATTTGGAGCGCTTTGATGCCTACGGTGGAAAAGTAAATATCTTCCCATAAAAACGAGACAGAAGGATTCTCAGAAACAAGTTTGTGATGTGTGTACTCAGCTAACAGAGTGGAACCTTTATTTTTACAGAGCAGCTTTGAAACTCTATTTTCGTGGATTCTGCAAATTGATATTTAGATTGCTTTAACGATATCGTTGGAAAAGGGAATATCGTCATACAAAATCTAGACAGAAGCATTCTCACAAACTTCTTTGTGATGTGTGTCCTCAACTAACAGAGTTGAACCTTTCTTTTGATGCAGCAATTTGGAAACACCCTTTTGGTAGAAACTGTAACTGGATATTTGCTTAGCTCTAACGATTTCGTTGGAAACGGGAATATCATCATCTGAAATCTAGACAGAAGCACTATTAGAAACTACTTGGTGATATCTGCATTCAAGTCACGGAGTTGAACATTCCCTTACTTTGAGCACGTTTCAAACACTCTTTTGGAAGAATCTGGAAGTGGACATTTGGAGCGCTTTGATGCCTTTGGTGAAAAGGAAACATCTTCCAATAAAAGCCAGACAGAAGCATTCTCAGAAACTTGTTTGTGATGTGTGTACTCAACTAAAAGAGTTGAACCTTTCTATTGATAGAGCAGTTTTGAAACACTCTTTTTGTGGATTCTGCAAGTGGATATTTGGATTGCTTTGAGGATTTCGTTGGAAGCGGGAATTCGTATAAAAACTAGACAGCAGCATTCCCAGAAATTTCTTTCGGATATTTCCATTCGACTCATAGAGATGAACATGGCCTTTCATAGAGCAGGTTTGAAACACTCTTTTTGTAGTTTGTGGAAGTGGACATTTCGATCGCCTTGACGCCTACGGTGAAAAAGGAAATATCCTTCCCATAAAAAATAGACAGAAGCATTCTCAGAAACTTGTTAGTGATATGTGTCCTCAACTAACAGAGTTGAACTTTGCCATTGATAGAGAGCAGTTTTGAAACACTCTTTTTGTGGAATCTGCAAGTGGATATTTGGATAGCTTGGAGGATTTCGTTGGAAGCGGGAATTCAAATAAAAGGTAGACAGCAGCATTCTCAGAAATTTCTTTCTGATGTCTGTATTCAACTCATAGAGTTGAACATTCCCTTTCATAGGGCAGGTTTGAAATACTCTTTCTGTAGTATCTGGATGTGGACATTTGGAGCGCTTTGAGGCCTACGATGAAAAAGTAAATATCTTCCCATAAAAACGAGACAGAAAGGATTCTGAGAAACAAGTTTGTGATGTGTGTACTCAGCTAACAGAGTGGAACCTCTCTTTTGATGCAGCAGTTTGGAAACACTCTTTTTGTAGAAACTGTAAGTGGATATTTGGATAGCTCTAATGATTTCGTTGGAAACGGGAATATCATCATCTAAAATCTAGACAGAGCCCTCTCAGAAACTACTTTGTGATATCTGCATTCAAGTCACAGAGTTGAACATTCGCTTTCTTAGAGCACGTTTGAAACACTCTTTTTATAGTGTCTGGAAGTGGACATTTGGAGCGCTTTGATGCCTTTGGTGAAAAAGGGAATGTCTTCCCATAAAAAATAGACAGAAGCATTCTCAGAAACTTGTTTGTGATGTGTGTACCCAGCTAAAGGAGTTGAACATTTCTATTGATAGAGCAGTTTTGAAACACTCTTTTTGTGGAAAATGCAAGTTGATATTTGGATAGCTTGGAGGATTTCGTTGGAAGCGGGAATTCAAATAAAAGGTAGACAGCAGCATTCTCAGAAATTTCTTTCTGATGTCTGCATTCAACTCATAGAGTTGAAGATTCCCTTTCATAGAGCAGGTTTGAAACACTCGTTCTGGAGTATCTGGATGTGGACATTTGGAGCGCTTTGATGCCTACGGTGGAAAAGTAAGTATCTTCCCATAAAAACGAGACAGAAGGATTCTGAGAAACAAGTTTGTGATGTGTGTACTCAGCTAACAGAGTGGAACCTTTCTTTTTACAGAGCAGCTTTGAAACTCTATTTTTGTGGATTCTGCAAATGGATATTTAGATTGCTTTAACGATATCGCTGGAAAAGGGAATATGGTCATACAAAATCTAGACAGAAGCATTCTCACAAACTTCTTTGTGATGTGTGTCCTCAACTAACAGAGTTGAACCTTTCTTTTGATGCAGCAGTTTGGAAACACTGTTTTTGTAGAAACTGTAAGTGGATATTTGGATAGCTCTAACGATTTCGTTGGAAACGGGAATATCATCATCTAAAATCTAGACAGAAGCACTATTAGAAACTACTTGGTGATATCTGCATTCAAGTCACAGAGTTGAAGATTCCCTTACTTTGAGCACGTTTGAAACACTCTTTTGGAAGAATCTGGAAGTGGACATTTGGAGCGCTTTGATGCCTTTGGTGAAAAGGAAACGTCTTCCAATAAAAGCCAGACAGAAGCATTCTCAGAAAGTTGTTTGTGATGTGTGTACTCAACTAAAAGAGTTGAACCTTTCTATTGATAGAGCTGTTTTGAAACACTCTTTTTGTGGAATCTGCAAGTGGATATTTGGATTGCTTTGAGCATTTCGTTGGAAGCGGGATTTCATATAAAAACTAGACAGCAGCATTCCCAGAAATTTCTTTCGGATATTTCCATTCAACTCATAGAGATGAACATGGCCTTTCATAGAGCAGGTTTGAAACACTCTTTTTGTAGTTTGTGGAAGTGGACATTTCGATCGCCTTGACTCCTACGCTGAAAAAGGAAATATCTTCCCATAAAAAATAGACAGAAGCATTCTCAGAAACTCGTTGGTGATATGTGTCCTCAACTAACAGAGTTGAACTTTGCCATTGATAGAGAGCAGTTTTGAAACACTCTTTTTGTGGAATCTGCAAGTGGATATTTGGATAGCTTGGAGGATTTCGTTGGAAGCGGGAATTCAAATAAAAGGTAGACAGCAGCATTCTCAGAAATTTCTTTCTGATGTCTGCATTCAACTCATAGAGTTGAACATTCCCTTTCATAGAGCAGGTTTGAAATACTCTTTCTGTGGTATCTGGATGTGGACATTTGGAGCGCTTTGAGGCCTACGGTGAAAAAGTAAATATCTTCCCATAAAAACGAGACAGAAGGATTCTGAGAAACAAGTTTGTGATGTGTGTACTCAGCTAACAGAGTGGAACCTCTCTTTTGATGCAGCAGTTTGGAAACACTCTTTTTGTAGAAACTGTAAGTGGATATTTGGATAGCTCTAATGATTTCGTTGGAAACGGGAATATCATCATCTAAAATCTAGACAGAAGCCGTCTCAGAAACTACTTTGTGATATCTGCATTCAAGTCACAGAGTTGAACATTCGGTTTCTTAGAGCACGTTTGAAACACTCTTTTTGTAGTGTCTGGAAGAGGACATTTGGAGCGCTTTGATGCCTTTGGTGAAAAAGGGAATGTCTTCCCATAAAAACTAGACAGAAGCATTCTCAGAAACTTGTTTGTGATGTGTGTACCCAGCCAAAGGAGTTGAACATTTCTATTGATAGAGCAGTTTTGAAACACTCTTTTTGTGGAAAATGCAGGTGGATATTTGGATAGCTTGGAGGATTTCGTTGGAAGCGGGAATTCAAATAAAAGGTAGACAGCAGCATTCTCAGAAATTTCTTTCTGATGTCTGCATTCAACTCATAGAGTTGAAGATTCCCTTTCATAGAGCAGGTTTGAAACACTCGTTCTGGAGTATCTGGATGTGGACATTTGGAGCACTTTGATGCCTACGGTGGAAAAGTAAATATCTTCCCATAAAAACGAGACAGAAGGATTCTCAGAAACAAGTTTGTGATGTGTGTACTCAGCTAACAGAGTGGAACCTTTCTTTTTACAGAGCAGCTTTGAAACTCTATTTTTGTGGATTCTGCAAATTGATATTTAGATTGCTTTAACGATATCGTTGGAAAAGGGAATATCGTCATACAAAATCTAGACAGAAGCATTCTCACAAACTTCTTTGTGATGTGTGTCCTCAACTAACAGAGTTGAACCTTTCTTTTGATGCAGCAATTTGGAAACACCCTTTTGGTAGAAACTGTAACTGGATATTTGGATAGCTCTAACGATTTCGTTGGAAACGGGAATATCATCATCTAAAATGTAGAGAGAAGCACTATTAGAAACTACTTGGTGATATCTGCATTCAAGTCACAGAGTTGAACATTCCCTTACTTTGAGGACGTTTGAAACACTCTTTTGGAAGAATCTGGAAGTGGACATTTGGAGCGCTTTGATGCCTTTGGTGAAAAGGAAACGTCTTCCAATAAAAGCCAGACAGAAGCATTCTCAGAAACTTGTTCGTGATGTGTGTACTCAACTAAAAGAGTTGAACCTTTCTATTGATAGAGTAGTTTTGAAACACTCTTTTTGTGGATTCTGCAAGTGGATATTTGGATTGCTTTGAGGATTTCGTTGGAAGCGGGAATTCGTATAAACACTAGACAGCAGCATTCCCAGAAATTTCTTTCGGATATTTCCATTCAACTCATAGAGATGAACATGGCCTTTCATAGAGCAGGTTTGAAACACTCTTTTTGTAGTTTGTGGAAGTGGACATTTCGATCGCCTTGACGCCTACGGTGAAAAAGGAAATATCTTCCCATAAAAAATAGACAGAAGCATTCTCAGAAACTTGTTGGTGATATGTGTCCTCAACTAACAGAGTTGAACTTTGCCATTGGTAGAGAGCAGTTTTGAAACACTCTTTTTGTGGAATCTGCAAGTGGATATTTGGATAGCTTGGAGGATTTCGTTGGAAGCGGGAATTCAAATAAAAGGTAGACAGCAGCATTCTCAGAAATTTCTTTCTGATGTCTGCATTCAACTCATAGAGTTGAACATTCCCTTTCATAGAGCAGGTTTGAAACACTCTTTCTGGAGTATCTGGATGTGGACATTTGGAGCGCTTTGATGCCTACGGTGAAAAAGTAAATATCTTCCCATAAAAACGAGACAGAAGGATTCTGAGAAACAAGTTTGTGATGTGTGTACTCAGCTAACAGAGTGGAACCTCTCTTTTGATGCAGCAGTTTGGAAACACTCTTTTTGTAGAAACTGTAAGTGGATATTTGGATAGCTCTAACGATTTCGTTGGAAACGGGAATATCATCATCTAAAATCTAGACAGAAGCACTATTAGAAACTACTTGGTGTTATCTGCATTCATGTCACAGAGTAGAACATTCCCTTACTTCGAGCACGTTTGAAACACTCTTTTGGAAGAATCTGGAAGTGGACATTTGGAGCGCTTTGATGCCTTTGGTGAAAAGGAAACGTCTTCCAATAAAAGCCAGACAGAAGCATTCTCAGAAACTTGTTTGTGATGTGTGTACCCAGCAAAAGGAGTTGAACATTTCTATTGATAGAGCAGTTTTGAAACACTCTTTTTGTGGAAAATGCAGGTGGATATTTGGATAGCTTGGAGGATTTCGTTGGAAGCGGGAATTCAAATAAAAGGTAGACAGCAGCATTCTCAGAAATTTCTTTCTGATGTCTGCATTCAACTCATAGAGTTGAAGATTCCCTTTCATAGAGCAGGTTTGAAACACTCGTTCTGGAGTATCTGGATGTGGACATTTGGAGCGCTTTGATGCCTACGGTGGAAAAGTAAATATCTTCCCATAAAAACGAGACAGAAGGATTCTCAGAAACAAGTTTGTGATGTGTGTACTCAGCTAACAGAGTGGAACCTTTCTTTTAACAGAGCAGCTTTGAAACTCTAGTTTTGTGGATTCTGCAAATTGATATTTAGATTGCTTTAACGATATCGTTGGAAAAGGGAATATCGTCATACAAAATCTAGACAGAAGCATTCTCACAAACTTCTTTGTGATGTGTGTCCTCAACTAACAGAGTTGAACCTTTCTTTTGATGCAGCAATTTGGAAACACCCTTTTGGTAGAAACTGTAACTGGATATTTGGATAGCTCTAACGATTTCGTTGGAAACGGGAATATCATCATCTAAAATCTAGACAGAAGCACTATTAGAAACTACTTGGTGATATCTGCATTCAAGTCACAGAGTTGAACATTCCCTTACTTTGAGCACGTTTCAAACACTCTTTTGGAAGAATCTGGAAGTGGACATTTGGAGCTGCTTTGATGCCTTTGGTGAAAAGGAAACGTCTTCCAATAAAAGCCAGACAGAAGCATTCTCAGAAACTTGTTTGTGATGTGTGTACTCAACTAAAAGAGTTGAACCTTTCTATTGATAGAGCAGTTTTGAAACACTCTTTTTGTGGATTCTGCAAGTGGATATTTGGATTGCTTTGAGGATTTCGTTGGAAGCGGGAATTCGTATAAAAACTAGACAGCAGCATTCCCAGGAATTTCTTTCGGATATTTCCATTCAACTCATAGAGATGAACATGGCCTTTCATAGAGCAGGTTTGAAACACACTTTTTGTAGTTTGTGGAAGTGGACATTTCAATCGCCTTGATGCCTACGGTGAAAAAGGAAATATCTTCCCATAAAAAATAGAGAGAAGCATTCTCAGAAACTTGTTGGTGATATGTGTCCTCAACTAACAGAGTTGAACTTCGCCATTGATAGAGAGCAGTTTTGAGACACTCTTTTTGTGGAATCTGCAAGTGGATATTTGGATAGCTTGGAGGATTTCGTTGGAAGCAGGAATTCAAATAAAAGGTAGACAGCCAGCATTCTCAGAAATTTCTTTCTGATGTCTGCATTCAACTCATAGAGTTGAACATTCTCTTTCATAGAGCAGGTTTGAAACACTCTTTCTGGAGTATCTGGATGTGGACATTTGGAGCGCTTTGATGCCTACGGTGAAAAAGTAAATATCTTCCCATAAAAACGAGACAGTAAGGATTCTCAGAATCAAGTTTGTGATGTGTGTACTCAGCTAACAGAGTGGAACCTCTCTTTTGATGCAGCAGTTTGGAAACACTCTTTTTGTAGAAACTGTAAGTGGATATTTAGATAGCTCTAATGATTTCGTTGGAAACGGGAATATCATCATCTAAAATCTAGACAGAAGCACTATTAGAAACTACTTTGTGATATCTGCATTCAAGTCACAGAGTTGAACATTCGCTTTCTTAGAGCACGTTGGAAACACTCATTTTGTAGTGTCTGGAAGTGGACATTTGGAGCGCTTTGATGCCTTTGGTGAAAAAGGAAACGTCTTCCAATAAAAGCCAGACAGAAGCATTCTCAGAAACTTGTTTGTGATGTGTGTACCCAGCCAAAGGAGTTGAACATTTCTATTGATAGAGCAGTTTTGAAACGCTCTTTTTGTGGAAAATGCAGGTGGATATTTGGATAGCTTGGAGGATTTCGTTGGAAGCGGGAATTCAAATAAAAGGTAGACAGCAGCATTCTCAGAAATTTCTTTCTCATGTCTGCATTCAACTCATAGAGTTGAAGATTCCCTTTCATAGAGCAGGTTTGAAACACTCTTTCTGGAGTATCTGGATGTGGACATTTGGAGCGCTTTGATGCCTACGGTGAAAAAGTAAATATCTTCCCATAAAAACGAGACAGAAGGATTCTGAGAGACAAGTTTGTGATGTGTGTACTCAGCTAACAGAGTGGAACCTTTCTTTTTACAGAGCAGCTTTGAAACTCTATTTTTGTGGATTCTGCAAATGGATATTTAGATTGCTTTAATGATATCGTTGGAAAAGGGAATATCGTCATACAAAATCTGGACAGAAGCATTCTCACAAACTTCTTTGTGATGTGTGTCCTCAACTAACAGAGTTGAAACTTTCTTTTGATGCAGCAGTTTGGAAACACTCTTTTTGTAGAAACTGTAAGTGGATATTTGGATAGCTCTAACGATTTCGTTGGAAACGGGAATATCATCATCTAAAATCTAGACAGAAGCACTATTAGAAACTACTTGGTGATATCTGCATTCAAGTCACAGAGTTGAACATTCCCTTACTTTGAGCACGTTTGAAACACTCTTTTGGAAGAATCTGGAAGTGGACATTTGGAGCGCTTTGATGCCTTTGGTGAAAAGGAAACGTCTTCCAATAAAAGCCAGACAGAAGCATTCTCAGAAACTTGTTCGTGGTGTGTGTACTCAACTAAAAGAGTTGAACCTTTCTATTGATAGAGCAGTTTTGAAACACTCTTTTTGTGGATTCTGCAAGTGGATATTTGGATTGCTTTGAGGATTTCGTTGGAAGCGGGAATTCGTATAAACACTAGACAGCAGCATTCCCAGAATTTTCTTTCGGATATTTCCATTCAACTCATAGAGATGAACATGGCCTTTCATATTGAAACACTCTTTTTGTAGTTTGTGGAAGTGGACAGTTCGATCGCCTTGACGCCTACGGTGAAAAAGGAAATATCTTCCCATAAAAAATAGACAGAAGCATTCTCAGAAACTTGTTGGTGATATGTGTCCTCAACTAACAGAGTTGAACTTTGCCATTGATAGAGAGCAGTTTTGAAACACTCTTTTTGTGGAATCTGCAAGTGGATATTTGGATAGCTTGGAGGATTTCGTTGGAAGCGGGAATTCAAATAAAAGGTAGACAGCAGGATTCTGAGAAACAAGTTTGTGATGTGTGTACTCAGCTAACAGAGTGGAACCTCTCTTTTGATGCAGCAGTTTGGAAACACTCTTTTTGTAGAAACTGTAAGTGGATATTTGGATAGCTCTAATTATTTCGTTGGAAACGGGAATATCATCATCTAAAATCTAGACAGAAAGCACTCTCAGGAAACTACTTTGTGATATCTGCATTCAAGTCACAGAGTTGAACATTCGCTTTCTTAGAGCACGTTTGAAACACTCTTTTTGTAGTGTCTGGAAGTGGACATTTGGAGCGCTTTGATGGCTTTGGTGAAAAAGGGAACGTCTTCCCATAAAAACTAGACAGAAGCATTCTCAGAAACTTGTTTGTGATGTGTGTACCCAGCCAAAGGAGTTGAACGTTTCTATTGATAGAGCAGTTTTGAAACACTCTTGTTGTGGAAAATGCAAGTGGATATTTGGATAGCTTGGAGGATTTCGTTGGAAGCGGGAATTCAAATAAAAGGTAGACAGCAGCATTCTCAGAAATTTCTTTCTGATGTCTGCATTCAACTCATAGAGTTGAAGATTCCCTTTCATAGAGCAGGTTTGAAACACTCGTTCTGGAGTATCTGGATGTGGACATTTGGAGCGCTTTCGATGCCTACGGTGGAAAAGTAAATATCTTCCCATAAAAACGAGACAGAAGGATTCTCAGAAACAAGTTTGTGATGTGTGTACTCAGCTAACAGAGTGGAACCTTTCTTTTTACAGAGCAGCTTTGAAACTCTATTTTTGTGGATTCTGCAAATTGATATTTAGATTGCTTTAACGATATCGTTGGAAAAGGGAATATGGTCATACAAAATCTAGACAGAAGCATTCTCACAAACTTCTTTGTGATGTGTGTCCTCAACTAACAGAGTTGAACCTTTCTTTTGATGCAGCAATTTGGAAACACCCTTTTGGTAGAAACTGTAAGTGGATATTTGGATAGCTCTAACGATTTCGTTGGAAACGGGAATATCATCATCTAAAATCTAGACAGAAGCACTATTAGAAACTACTTGGTGATATCTGCATTCAAGTCTCAGAGTTGAACATTCCCTTACTTCGAACACGTTTGAAACACTCTTTTGGAAGAATCTGGAAGTGGACATTTGGAGCGCTTTGATGCCTTTGGTGAAAAGGAAACGTCTTCCAATAAAAGCCAGACAGAAGCATTCTCAGAAACTTGTTTGTGATGTGTGTACTCAACTAAAAGAGTTGAACCTTTCTATTGATAGAGCAGTTTTGAAACACTCTTTTTGTGGATTCTGCAAGTGGATATTTGGATTGCTTTGAGGATTTCGTTGGAAGCGGGAATTCGTATAAAAACTAGACAGCAGCATTCCCAGAAATTTCTTTCGGATATTTCCATTCGACTCATAGAGATGAACATGGCCTTTCATAGAGCAGGTTTGAAACACTCTTTTTGTAGTTTGTGGAAGTGGACATTTCGATCGCCTTGACGCCTACGGTGAAGAAGGAAATATCTTCCCATAAAAAATAGACAGAAGCATTCTCAGAAACTTGTTGGTGATATGTGTCCTCAACTAACAGAGTTGAACTTTGCCATTGATAGAGAGCAGTTTTGAAACACTCTTTTTGTGGAATCTGCAAGTGGATATTTGGATAGCTTGGAGGATTTCGTTGGAAGCGGGAATTCAAATAAAAGGTAGACAGCAGCATTCTCAGAAATTTCTTTCTGATGTCTGCATTCAACTCATAGAGTTGAAGATTCCCTTTCATAGAGCAGGTTTGAAACACTCTTTCTGGAGTATCTGGATGTGGACATTTGGAGCGCTTTGATGCCTACGGTGAAAAAGTAAATATCTTCCAATAAAAACGAGACAGAAGGATTCTGAGAAACAAGTTTGTGATGTGTGTACTCAGCTAACAGAGTGGAACCTCTCTTTTGATGCAGCAGTTTGGAAACACTCTTTTTGTAGAAACTGTAAGTGGATATTTGGATAGCTCTAATGATTTCGTTGGAAACGGGAATATCATCATCTAAAATCTAGACAGAGGCACTCTCAGAAACTACTGTGTGATATCTGCATTCAAGTCACAGAGTTGAACATTCGCTTTCTTAGAGCACGTTTGAAACACTCTTTTTGTAGTGTCTGGAAGTGGACATTTGGAGCGCTTTGATTCCTTTGGTGAAAAAGGGAATGTCTACCCATAAAAACTAGACAGAAGCATTCTCAGAAACTTGTTTGTGATGTGTGTACCCAGCCAAAGGAGTTGAACATTTCTATTGATAGAGCAGTTTTGAAACACTCTTGTTGTGGAAAATGCAGGTGGATATTTGGATAGCTTGGAGGATTTCGTTGGAAGCGGGAATTCAAATAAAAGGTAGACAGCAGCATTATCAGAAATTTCTTTCTGATGTCTGCATTCAACTCATAGAGTTGAAGATTCCCTTTCATAGAGCAGGTTTGAAACACTCGTTCTGGAGTATCTGGATGTGGACATTTGGAGCGCTTTGATGCCTACGGTGGAAAAGTAAATATCTTCCCATAAAAACGAGACAGAAGGATTCTGAGAGACAAGTTTGTGATGTGTGTACTCAGCTAACAGAGTGGAACCTTTCTTTTTACAGAGCAGCTTTGAAACTCTATTTTTGTGGATTCTGCAAATGGATATTTAGATTGCTTTAACGATATCGTTGGAAAAGGGAATATCGTCATACAAAATCTGGACAGAAGCATTCTCACAAACTTCTTTGTGATGTGTGTCCTCAACTAACAGAGTTGAACCTTTCTTTTGATGCAGCAGTTTGGAATCACCCTTTTGGTAGAAACTGTAACTTGATATTTGGATAGCTCTAACGATTTCGTTGGAAACGGGAATATCATCATCTAAAATCTAGACAGAAGCACTATTAGAAACTACTTGGTGATATCTGCATTCAAGTCACAGAGTTGAACATTCCCTTACTTTGAGCACGTTTCAAACACTCTTTTGGAAGAATCTGGAAGTGGACATTTGGAGCGCTTTGATGCCTTTGGTGAAAAGGAAACGTCTTCCAATAAAAGCCAGACAGAAGCATTCTCAGGAAACTTGTTTGTGATGTGTGTACTCAACTAAAAGAGTTGAACCTTTCTATTGATAGAGCAGTTTTGAAACACTCTTTTTGTGGATTCTGCAAGTGGATATTTGGATTGCTTTGAGGATTTCGTTGGAAGCGGGAATTCGTATAACAACTAGACAGCAGCATTCCCAGAAATTTCTTTCGGATATTTCCATTCAACTCATAGAGATGAACATGGCCTTTCATAGAGCAGGTTTGAAACACTCTTTTTGTAGTTTGTGGAAGTGGACATTTCGATCGCCTTGACGCCTACGGTGAAAAAGGAAATATCTTCCCATAAAAAATAGACAGAAGCATTCTCAGAAACTTGTTGGTGATATGTGTCCTCAACTAACAGAGTTGAACTTTGCCATTGATAGAGAGCAGTTTAGAAACACTCTTTTTGTGGAATCTGCAAGTGGATATTTGGATAGCTTGGAGGATTTCGTTGGAAGCGGGAATTCAAATAAAAGGTAGACAGCAGCATTCTCAGAAATTTCTTTCTGATGTCTGCATTCAACTCATAGAGTTGAAGATTCCCTTTCATAGAGCAGGTTTGAAACACTCTGGAGTATCTGGATGTGGACATTTGGAGCGCTTTGATGCCTACGGTGAAAAAGTAAATATCTTCCCATAAAAACGACACAGAAGGATTCTCAGAAACAAGTTTGTGATGTGTGTACTCAGCTAACAGAGTGGAACCTCTCTTTTGATGCAGCAGTTTGGAAACACTCTTTTTGTAGAAACTGTAAGTGGATATTTGGATAGCTCTAATGATTTCGTTGGAAACGGGAATATCATCATCTAAAATCTAGACAGAAGCACTCTCAGAAACTACTTTGTGATATCTGCATTCAAGTCACAGAGTTGAACGTTCGCTTTCTTAGAGCACGTTTGAAACACTCTTTTTGTAGTGTCTGGAAGTGGACATTTGGAGTGCTTTGATTCCTTTGGTGAAAAAGGGAATGTCTACCCATAAAAACTAGACAGAAGCATTCTCAGAAACTTGTTTGTGATGTGTGTACCCAGCCAAAGGAGTTGAACATTTCTATTGATAGAGCAGTTTTGAAACACTCTTGTTGTGGAAAATGCAGGTGGATATTTGGATAGCTTGGAGGATTTCGTTGGAAGCGCGAATTCAAATAAAAGGTAGACAGCAGCATTCTCAGAAATTTCTTTCTGATGTCTGCATTCAACTCATAGAGTTGAAGATTCCCTTTCATAGAGCAGGTTTGAAACACTCGTTCTGGAGTATCTGGATGTGGACATTTGGAGCGTTTGATGCCTACGGTGGAAAAGTAAATATCTTCCCATAAAAACGAGACAGAAGGATTCTGAGAAACAAGTTTGTGATGTGTGTACTCAGCTAACAGAGTGGAACCTTTCTTTTTACAGAGCAGCTTTGAAACTCTATTTTTGTGGATTCTGCAAATGGATATTTAGATTGCTTTAACGATATCGTTGGAAAAGGGAATATCGTCATACAAAATCTAGACAGAAGCATTCTCACAAACTTCTTTGTGATGTGTGTCCTCAACTAACAGAGTTGAACCTTTCTTTTGATGCAGCAGTTTGGAAACACTCTTTTTGTAGAAACTGTAAGTGGATATTTGGATAGCTCTAACGATTTCGTTGGAAACGGGAATATCATCATCTAAAATCTAGACAGAAGCACTATTAGAAACTACTTGGTGATATCTGCATTCAAGTCACAGAGTTGAACATTCCCTTACTTTGAGCACGATTGAAACACTCTTTTGGAAGAATCTGGAAGTGGACATTTGGAGCGCTTTGATGCCTTTGGTGAAAAGGAAACGTCTTCCAATAAAAGCCAGACAGAAGCATTCTCAGAAACTTGATCGTGATGTGTGTACTCAACTAAAAGAGTTGAACCTTTCTATTGATAGAGCAGTTTTGAAACACTCTTTTTGTGGATTCTGCAAGTGGATATTTGGATTGCTTTGAGGATTTTGTTGGAAGCGGGAATTCGTATAAACACTAGACAGCAGCATTCCCAGAAATTTCTTTTGGATATTTCCATTCAACTCATAGAGATGAACATGGCCTTTCATATTGAAACACTCTTTTTGTAGTTTGTGGAAGTGGACATTTCGATCGCCTTGACGCCTACGGTGAAAAAGGAAATATCTTCCCATAAAAAATAGACAGAAGCATTCTCAGAAACTTGTTGGTGATATGTGTCCTCAACTAACAGAGTTGAACTTTGCCATTGATAGAGAGCAGTTTTGAAACACTCTTTTTGTGGAAAATGCAGGTGGATATTTGGATAGCTTGGAGGATTTCGTTGGAAGCGGGAATTCAAATAAAAGGTAGACAGCAGCATTCTCAGAAATTTCTTTCTGATGTCTGCATTCAACACATAGAGTTGAAGATTCCCTTTCATAGAGCAGGTTTGAAACACTCTTTCTGGAGTATCTGGATGTGGACATTTGGAGCGCTTTGATGCCTACGGTGAAAAAGTAAATATCTTCCCATAAAAACGAGACAGAAGGATTCTGAGAAACAAGTTTGTGATGTGTGTACTCAGCTAACAGAGTGGAACCTCTCTTTTGATGCAGCAGTTTGGAAACACTCTTTTTGTAGAAACTGTAAGTGGATATTTGGATAGCTCTAATGATTTCGTTGGAAACGGGAATATCATCATCTAAAATCTAGACAGAAGCCCTCTCAGGAAACTACTTTGTGATATCTGCATTCAAGTCACAGAGTTGAACATTCACTTTCTTAGAGCACGTTTGAAACACTCTTTTTGTAGTGTCTGGAATTGGACATTTGGAGCGCTTTGATGCCTTTGGTGAAAAAGGGAACGTCTTCCCATAAAAACTAGACAGAAGCATTCTCAGAAACTTGTTTGTGATGTGTGTACCCAGCCAAAGGAGTTGAACATTTCTATTGATAGAGCAGTTTTGAAACACTCTTTTTGTGGAAAATGCAGGTGGATATTTGGATAGCTTGGAGGATTTCGTTGGAAGCGGGAATTCAAACAAAAGGTAGACAGCAGCATTCTCAGAAATTTCTTTCTGATGTCTGCATTCAACTCATAGAGTTGAAGATTCCCTTTCATAGAGCAGGTTTGAAACACTCTTTCTGGAGTATCTGGATGTGGACATTTGGAGCGCTTTGATGCCTACGGTGAAAAAGTAAATATCTTCCCATAAAAACGAGACAGAAGGATTCTGAGAGACAAGTTTGTGATGTGTGTACTCAGCTAACAGAGTGGAACCTTTCTTTTTACAGAGCAGCTTTGAAACTCTATTTTTGTGGATTCTGCAAATGGATATTTAGATTGCTTTAACGATATCGTTGGAAAAGGGAATATCGTCATACAAAATGCTGGACAGAAGCATTCTCACAAACTTCTTTGTGACGTGTGTCCTCAACTAACAGAGTTGAACCTTTCTTTTGATGCAGCAGTTTGGAAACACTGTTTTTGTAGCAACTGTAAGTGGATATTTGGATAGCTCTAACGATTTCGTTGGAAACGGGAATATCATCATCTAAAATCTAGACAGAAGCACTATTAGAAACTACTTGGTGATATCTGCATTCAAGTCACAGAGTAGAACATTCCCTTACTTCGAGCACGTTTGAAACACTCTTTTGGAAGAATCTGGAAGTGGACATTTGGAGCGCTTTGATGCCTTTGGTGAAAAGGAAACGTCTTCCAATAAAAGCCAGACAGAAGCATTCTCAGAAACTTGTTTGTGATGTGTGTACTCAACTAAAAGAGTTGAACCTTTCTATTGATAGAGCAGTTTTGAAACACTCTTTTTGTGGATTCTGCAAGTGGATATTTGGATTGCTTTGAGGATTTCGTTGGAAGCGGGAATTCGTATAAACACTAGACAGCAGCATTCCCAGAAATTTCTTTCGGATATTTCCATTCAACTCATAGAGATGAACATGGCCTTTCATAGAGCAGGTTTGAAACACTCTTTTTGTAGTTTGTGGAAGTGGACATTTCGATCGCCTTGACGCCTACGGTGAAAAAGGAAATATCTTCCCATAAAAATAGACAGAAGCATTCTCAGAAACTTGTTGGTGATATGTGTCCTCAACTAACAGAGTTGAACTTTGCCATTGATAGAGAGCAGTTTTGAAACACTCTTTTTGTGGAATCTGCAAGTGGATATTTGGATAGCTTGGAGGATTTCGTTGGAAGCGGGAATTCAAATAAAAGGTAGACAGCAGCATTCTCAGAAATTTCTTTGTGATGTCTGCATTCAACTCATAGAGTTGAAGATTCCCTTTCATAGAGCAGGTTTGAAACACTCGTTCTGGAGTATCTGGATGTGGACATTTGGAGCGCTTTGATGCCTACGGTGGAAAAGTAAATATCTTCCCATAAAAACGAGACAGAAGGATTCTGAGAAACAAGTTTGTGATGTGTGTACTCAGCTAACAGAGTGGAACCTCTCTTCTGATGCAGCAGTTTGGAAACACTCTTTTTGTAGAAACTGTAAGTGGATATTTGGATAGCTCTAATGATTTCGTTGGAAATGGGAATATCATCAACTAAAATCTAGACAGAAGCCCTCTCAGAAACTACTTTGTGATATCTGCATTCAAGTCACAGAGTTGAACATTCGCTTTCTTAGAGCACGTTGGAAACACTCTTTTTATAGTGTCTGGAAGTGGACATTTGGAGCGCTTTGATGCCTTTGGTGAAAAAGGGAATGTCTTCCCATAAAAACTAGACAGAAGCATTCTCAGAAACTTGTTTGTGATGTGTGTACCCAGCCAAAGGAGTTGAACATTTCTATTGATAGAGCAGTTTTGAAACACTCTTTTTGTGGAAAATGCAGGTGGATATTTGGATAGCTTGGAGGATTTCGTTGGAAGCGGGAATTCAAATAAAAGGTAGACAGCAGCATTCTCAGAAATTTCTTTCTGATGTCTGCATTCAACTCATAGAGTTGAAGATTCCCTTTCATAGAGCAGGTTTGAAACACTCTTTCTGGAGTATCTGGATGTGGACATTTGGAGCGCTTTGATGCCTACGGTGAAAAAGTAAATATCTTCCCATAAAAACGAGACAGAAGGATTCTCAGAAACAAGTTTGTGATGTGTGTACTCAGCTAACAGAGTGGAACCTTTCTTTTTACAGAGCAGCTTTGAAACCCTATTTTTGTGGATTCTGCAAATGGATATTTAGATTGCTTTAATGATATCGCTGGAAAAGGGAATATGGTCATACAAAATCTAGACAGAAGCATTCTCACAAACTTCTTTGTGATGTGTGTCCTCAACTAACAGAGTTGAACCTTTCTTTTGATGCAGCAATTTGGAAACACCCTTTTGGTAGAAACTGTAACTGGATATTTGGATAGCTCTAACGATTTCGTTGGAAACGGGAATATCATCATCAAAAGGTAGACAGAAGCACTATTAGAAACTACTTGGTGATATCTGCATTCAAGTCACAGAGTTGAACATTCCCTTACTTTGAGCACGTTTCAAACACTCTTTTGGAAGAATCTGGAAGTGGACATTTGGAGCGCTTTGATGCCTTTGGTGAAAAGGAAACGTCTTCCAATAAAAGCCAGACAGAAGCATTCTCAGAAACTTGTTTGTGATGTGTGTACTCAACTAAAAGAGTTGAACCTTTCTATTGATAGAGCAGTTTTGTAACACTCTTTTTGTGGATTCTGCAAGTGGATATTTGGATTGCTTTGAGGATTTCGTTGGAAGCGGGAATTCGTATAAAAACTAGACAGCCAGCATTCCCAGAAATTTCTTTCGGATATTTCCATTCAACTCATAGAGATGAACATGGCCTTTCATAGAGCAGGTTTGAAACACTCTTTTTGTAGTTTGTGGAAGTGGACATTTCGATCGCCTTGACGCCTACGGTGAAAAAGGAAATATCTTCCCATAAAAAATAGACAGAAGCATTCTCAGAAACTTGTTGGTGATATGTGTCCTCAACTAACAGAGTTGAACTTTGCCATTGATAGAGAGCAGTTTTGAAACACTCTGTTTGTGGAATCTGCAAGTGGATATTTGGATAGCTTGGAGGATTTCGTTGGAAGCGGGAATTCAAATAAAAGGTAGACAGCAGCATTCTCAGAAATTTCCTTCTGATGTCTGCATTCAACTCATAGAGTTGAAGATTCCCTTTCATAGAGCAGGTTTGAAACACTCTTTCTGGAGTATCTGGATGTGGACATTTGGAGCGCTTTGATGCCTACGGTGAAAAAGTAAATATCTTCCCAGAAAAACGAGACAGAAGGATTCTGAGAAACAAGTTTGTGATGTGTGTACTCAGCTAACAGAGTGGAACCTCTCTTTTGATGCAGCAGTTTGGAAACACTCTTTTTGTAGAAACTGTAAGTGGATATTTGGATAGCTCTAATGATTTCGTTGGAAACGGGAATATCATCATCTAAAATCTAGACAGAAGCCCTCTCAGAAACTACTTTGTGATATCTGCATTCAAGTCACAGAGTTGAACATTCGCTTTCTTAGAGCACGTTGGAAACACTCTTTTTGTAGTGTCTGGAAGTGGACATTTGGAGTGCTTTGATGCCTTTGGTGAAAAAGGGAATGTCTTCCCATAAAAACTAGACAGAAGCATTCTCAGAAACTTGTCTGCGATGTGTGTACCCAGCTAAAGGAGTTGAACATTTCTATTGATAGAGCAGTTTTGAAACACTCTTTTTGTGAAAAATGCAAGTGGATATTTGGATAGCTTGGAGGATTTCGTTGGAAGCGGGAATTCAAATAAAAGGTAGACAGCAGCATTCTCAGAAAATTTCTTTCTGATGTCTGCATTCAACTCATAGAGTTGAAGATTCCCTTTCATAGAGCAGGTTTGAAACACTCTTTCTGGAGTATCTGGATGTGGACATTTGGAGCGCTTTGATGCCTACGGTGAAAAAGTAAATATCTTCCCATAAAAACGAGACAGAAGGATTCTGAGAAACAAGTTTGTGATGTGTGTACTCAGCTAACAGAGTGGAACCTTTCTTTTTACAGAGCAGCTTTGAAACTCTATTTTTGTGGATTCTGCAAATTGATATTTAGATTGCTTTAACGATATCGTTGGAAAAGGGAATATCGTCATACAAAATCTAGACAGAAGCATTCTCACAAACTTCTTTGTGATGTGTGTCCTCAACTAACAGAGTTGAACCTTTCTTTTGATGCAGCAGTTTGGAAACACTCTTTTTGTAGAAACTAAGTGGATATTTGGATAGCTCTAACGATTTCGTTGGAAACGGGAATATCATCATCTAAAATCTAGACAGAAGCACTATTAGAAACTACTTGGTGATATCTGCATTCAAGTCACAGAGTTGAACATTCCCTTACTTTGAGCACGTTTCAAACACTCTTTTGGAAGAATCTGGAAGTGGACATTTGGAGCGCTTTGATGCCTTTGGTGAAAAGGAAACGTCTTCCAATAAAAGCCAGACAGAAGCATTCTCAGAAACTTGTTTGTGATGTGTGTACTCAACTAAAAGAGTTGAACCTTTCTATTGATAGAGCAGTTTTGAAACACTCTTTTTGTGGATTCTGCAAGTGGATATTTGGATTGCTTTGAGGATTTCGTTGGAAGCGGGAATTCGTATAAAAACTAGACAGCAAGCATTCCCAGAAATTTCTTTCGGATATTTCCATTCAACTCATAGAGATGAACATCGCCTTTCATAGAGCAGGTTTGAAACACTCTTTTTGTAGTTTGTGGAAGTGGACATTTCGATCGCCTTGACGCCTATGGTGAAAAAGGAAATATCTTCCCATAAAAAATAGACAGAAGCATTCTCAGAAACTTGTTGGTGATATGTGTTCTCAACTAACAGAGTTGAACTTTGCCATTGATAGAGAGCAGTTTTGAAACACTCTTTTTGTGGAATCTGCAAGTGGATATTTGGATAGCTTGGAGGATTTCGTTGGAAGCGGGAATTCAAATAAAAGGTAGACAGCAGCATTCTCAGAAATTTCTTTCTGATGTCTGCATTCAACTCATAGAGTTGAAGATTCCCTTTCATAGAGCAGGTTTGAAACACTCTTTCTGGAGTATCTGGATGTGGACATTTGGAGCGCTTTGATGCCTACGGTGGAAAAGTAAATATCTTCCCATAAAAACGAGACAGAAGGATTCTCAGAAACAAGTTTGTGATGTGTGTACTCAGCTAACAGAGTGGAACCTCTCTTCTGATGCAGAAGTTTGGAAACACTCTTTTTGTAGAAACTGTAAGTGGATATTTGGATAGCTCTAATGATTTCGTTGGAAACGGGAATATCATCATCTAAAATCTAGACAGAAGCCCTCTCAGAAACTACTTTGTGATATCTGCATTCAAGTCACAGAGTTGAACATTCGCTTTCTTAGAGCACGTTTGAAACACTCTTTTTGTAGTGTCTGGAAGTGGACATTTGGAGCGCTTTGATTCCTTTTGTGAAAAAGGGAATGTCTACCCATAAAAACTAGACAGAAGCATTCTCAGAAACTTGTTTGTGATGTGTGTACCCAGCCAAAGGAGTTGAACATTTCTATTGATAGAGCAGTTTTGAAACACTCTTGTTGTGGAAAATGCAGGTGGATATTTGGATAGCTTGGAGGATTTCGTTGGAAGCGGGAATTCAAATAAAAGGTAGACAGCAGCATTCTCAGAAATTTCTTTCTGATGTCTGCATTCAACTCATAGAGTTGAAGATTCCCTTTCCTAGAGCAGGTTTGAAACACTCTTTCTGGAGTATCTGGATGTGGACATTTGGAGCGCTTTGATGCCTACGGTGAAAAAGTAAATATCTTCCCATAAAAACGAGACAGAAGGATTCTCAGAAACAAGTTTGTGATGTGTATACTCAGCTAACAGAGTGGAACCTTTCTTTTTACAGAGCAGCTTTGAAACTCTATTTTTGTGGATTCTGCAAATTGATATTTAGATTGCTTTAACGATATCGTTGGAAAAGGGAATATCGTCATACAAAATCTAGACAGAAGCATTCTCAGAAACTTCTTTGTGATGTGTGTCCTCAACTAACAGAGTTGAACCTTTCTTTTGATGCAGCAGTTTGGAAACACTCTTTTTGTAGAAACTGTAAGTGGATATTTGGATAGCTCTAACGATTTCATTTGAAACGGGAATATCATCATCTAAAATCTAGACAGAAGCAGTATTAGCAACTACTTGGTGATATCTGCATTCAAGTCAGAGAGTAGAACGTTACCATAGTTTGAGCACGTTTGAAAC
Organism: Homo sapiens; assembly: GCF_000001405.40. Lineage (NCBI taxonomy): Eukaryota > Metazoa > Chordata > Mammalia > Primates > Hominidae > Homo > Homo sapiens. The sequence continues at coordinate 14,930,157 of NC_000022.11, forward strand.
ACTCTTTTTGTAGAATCTGGAATTGGACATTTGGAGCGCTTTGATGCCATTGGTGAAAAGGAAACGTCTTCCCATAAAAGCTAGACAGAAGCATTCTCAGAAACTTGTTTGTGATGTGTGTACTCAACTAAAAGAGTGGAACCTTTCTATTGATAGAGCAGTTTTGAAACACTCTTTTTGTGGATTCTGCAAGTGGATATTTGGATTGCTTTGAGGATTTCGTTGGAAGCGGGAATTCGTATAAAAACTAGACAGCAGCATTCCCAGAAATTTCTTTCGGATATTTCCATTCAACTCATAGAGATGAACATGGCCTTTCATAGAGCAGGTTTGAAACACTCTTTTTGTAGTTTGTGGAAGTGGACATTTCGATCGCCTTGACGCCTACGGTGAAAAAGGAAATATCTTCCCATAAAAAATAGACAGAAGCATTCTCAGAAACTTGTTGGTGATATGTGTCCTCAACTAACAGAGTTGAACTTTGCCATTGATAGAGAGCAGTTTTGAAACACTCTTTTTGTGGAATCTGCAAGTGGATATTTGGATAGCTTGGAGGATTTCGTTGGAAGCGGGAATTCAAATAAAAGGTAGACAGCAGCATTCTCAGAAATTTCTTTCTGATGTCTGCATTCAACTCATAGAGTTGAAGATTCCCTTTCATAGAGCAGGTTTGAAACACTCTTTCTGGAGTATCTGGATGTGGACATTTGGAGCGCTTTGATGCCTACGGTGAAAAAGTAAATATCTTCCCATAGAAACGAGACAGAAGGATTCTGAGAAACAAGTTTGTGATGTGTGTACTCAGCTAACAGAGTGGAACCTCTCTTTTGATGCAGCAGTTTGGAAACACTCTTTTTGTAGAAACTGTAAGTGGATATTTGGATAGCTCTAATGATTTCGTTGGAAACGGGAATATCATCATCTAAAATCTAGACAGAAGTCCTCTCAGAAACTACTTTGTGATATCTGCATTCAAGTCACAGAGTTGAACATTCGCTTTCTTAGAGCACGTTGGAAACACTCTTTTTGTAGTGTCTGGAAGTGGACATTTGGAGCGCTTTGATGCCTTTGGTGAAAAAGGGAATGTCTTCCCATAAAAACTAGACAGAAGGATTCTCAGAAACTTGTTTGTGATGTGTGTACCCAGCTAAAGGAGTTGAACATTTCTATTGATAGAGCAGTTTTGAAACACTCTTTTTGTGGAAAATGCAAGTGGATATTTGGATAGGTTGGAGGATTTCGTTGGAAGCGGGAATTCAAATAAAAGGTAGACAGCAGCATTCTCAGAAATTTCTTTCTGATGTCTGCATTCAACTCATAGAGTTGAAGATTCCCTTTCATAGAGCAGGTTTGAAACACTCTTTCTGGAGTATCTGGATGTGGACATTTGGAGCGCTTTGATGCCTACGGTGAAAAAGTAAATATCTTCCCATAAAAACGAGACAGAAGGATTCTGAGAGACAAGTTTGTGATGTGTGTACTCAGCTAACAGAGTGGAACCTTTCTTTTTACAGAGCAGCTTTGAAACTCTATTTTTGTGGATTCTGCAAATGGATATTTAGATTGCTTTAATGATATCGCTGGAAAAGGGAATATGGTCATACAAAATCTAGACAGAAGCATTCTCACAAACTTCTTTGTGATGTGTGTCCTCAACTAACAGAGTTGAACCTTTCTTTTGATGCAGCAGTTTGGAAACACTCTTTTTGTAGAAACTGTAAGTGGATATTTGGATAGCTCTAACGATTTCGTTGGAAACGGGAATATCATCATCTAAAATCTAGACAGAAGCACTATTAGAAACTACTTGGTGATATCTGCATTCAAGTCACAGAGTTGAACATTCCCTTACGTTGAGCACGTTTGAAACACTCTTTTGGAAGAATCTGGAAGTGGACATTTGGAGCGCTTTGATGCCTTTGGTGAAAAGGAAACGTCTTCCAATAAAAGCCAGACAGAAGCATTCTCAGAAACTTGTTTGTGATGTGTGTACTCAACTAAAAGAGTTGAACCTTTCTATTGATAGAGCAGTTTTGAAACACTCTTTTTGTGGATTCTGCAAGTGGATATTTGGATTGCTTTGAGGATTTCGTTGGAAGCGGGAATTCGTATAAAAACTAGACAGCAGCATTCCCAGAAATTTCTTTCGGATATTTCCATTCGACTCATAGAGATGAACATGGCCTTTCATAGCAGCAGGTTTGAAACACTCTTTTTGTAGTTTGTGGAAGTGGACATTTCGATCGCCTTGACGCCTACGGTGAAAAAGGAAATATCTTCCCATAAAAAATAGACAGAAGCATTCTCAGAAACTTGTTTGTGATGTGTGTACCCAGCCAAAGGAGTTGAACATTTCTATTGATAGAGCAGTTTTGAAACACTCTTGTTGTGGAAAATGCAGGTGGATATTTGGATAGCTTGGAGGATTTCGTTGTAAGCGGGAATTCAAATAAAAGGTAGACAGCAGCATTCTCAGAAATTTCTTTCTGATGTCTGCATTCAACTCATAGAGTTGAACATTCCCTTTCATAGAGCAGGTTTGAAACAGTCTTTCTGGAGTATCTGGATGTGGACATTTGGAGCGCTTTGATGCCTACGGTGAAAAAGTAAATATCTTCCCATAAAAACGAGACAGAAGGATTCTGAGAAACAAGTTTGTGATGTGTGTACTCAGCTAACAGAGTGGAACCTCTCTTTTGATGCAGCAGTTTGGAAACACTCTTTTTGTAGAAACTGTAATTGGATATTTGGATAGCTCTAATGATTTCGTTGGAAACGGGAATATCATCATCTAAAATCTAGACAGAAGCCCTCTCAGAAACTACTTTGTGATATCTGCATTCAAGTCACAGAGTTGAACATTCGCTTTCTTAGGGCACGTTGGAAACACTCTTTTTGTAGTGTCTGGAAGTGGACATTTGGAGCGCTTTGATGCCTTTGGTGAAAAAGGGAACGTCTTCCCATAAAAACTAGACAGAAGCATTCTCAGAAACTTGTTTGTGATGTGTGTACCCAGCTAAAGGAGTTGAACATTTCTATTGATAGAGCAGTTTTGAAACACTCTTTTTGTGGAAAATGCAAGTGGATATTTGGATAGCTTGGAGGATTTCGTTGGAAGCGGGAATTCAAATAAAAGGTAGACAGCAGGATTCTCAGAAACAAGTTTGTGATGTGTGAACTCAGCTAACAGAGTGGAACCTTTCTTTTTACAGAGCAGCTTTGAAACTCTATTTTTGTGGATTCTGCAAATTGATATTTAGATTGCTTTAACGATATCGTTGGAAAAGGGAATATGGTCATACAAAATCTAGACAGAAGCATTCTCACAAACTTCTTTGTGATGTGTGTCCTCAACTAACAGAGTTGAACCTTTCTTTTGATGCAGCAATTTGGAAACACCCTTTTGGTAGAAACTGTAACTGGACATTTGGATAGCTCTAACGATTTCGTTGGAAACGGGAATATCATCATCTAAAATCTAGACAGAAGCACTATTAGAAACTACTTGGTGATATCTGCATTCAAGTCACAGAGTAGAACATTCCCTTACTTCGAGCACGTTTGAAACACTCTTTTGGAAGAATCTGGAAGTGGACATTTGGAGCGCTTTGATGCCTTTGGTGAAAAGGAAACGTCTTCCAATAAAAGCCAGACAGAAGCATTCTCAGAAACTTGTTTGTGATGTGTGTACCCAGCCAAAGGAGTTGAACATTTCTATTGATAGAGCAGTTTTGAAACACTCTTGTTTTGGAAAATGCAGGTGGATATTTGGATAGCTTGGAGGATTTCGTTGGAAGCGGGAATTCAAATAAAAGGTAGACAGCAGCATTCCCAGAAATTTCTTTCGGATATTTCCATTCGACTCATAGAGATGAACATGGCCTTTCATAGAGCAGGTTTGAAACACTCTTTTTGTAGTTTGTGGAAGTGGACATTTCGATCGCCTTGACGCCTACGGTGAAAAAGGAAATATCTTCCCATAAAAAATAGACAGAAGCATTCTCAGAAACTTGTTGGTGATATGTGTCCTCAACTAACAGAGTTGAACTTTGCCATTGATAGAGAGCAGTTTTGAAACACTCTTTTTGTGGAATCTGCAAGTGGATATTTGGATAGCTTGGAGGATTTCGTTGGAAGCGGGAATTCAAATAAAAGGTAGACAGCAGCATTCTCAGAAATTTCTTTCTGATCTCTGCATTCAACTCATAGAGTTGAAGATTCCCTTTCATAGAGCAGGTTTGAAACACTCTTTCTGGAGTATCTGGATGTGGACATTTGGAGCGCTTTGATGCCTACGGTGAAAAAGTAAATATCTTCCCATAAAAACGAGACAGAAGGATTCTGAGAAACAAGTTTGTGATGTGTGTACTCAGCTAACAGAGTGGAACCTCTCTTTTGATGCAGCAGTTTGCAAACACTCTTTTTGTAGAAACTGTAAGTGGATATTTGGATAGCTCTAATGATTTCGTTGGAAACGGGAATATCATCATCTAAAATCTAGACAGAAGCACTCTCAGAAACTACTGTGTGATATCTGCATTCAAGTCACAGAGTTGAACATTCGCTTTCTTAGAGCACGTTTGAAACACTCTTTTTGTAGTGTCTGGAAGTGGACATTTGGAGCGCTTTGATGCCTTTGGTGAAAAAGGGAATGTCTACCCATAAAAACTAGACAGAAGCATTCTCAGAAACTTGTTTGTGATGTGTGTACCCAGCCAAAGGAGTTGAACATTTCTATTGATAGAGCAGTTTTGAAACACTCTTGTTGTGGAAAATGCAGGTGGATATTTGGATAGCTTGGAGGATTTCGTTGGAAGCGGGAATTCAAATAAAAGGTTGACAGCGGCATTCTCAGAAATTTCTTTCTGATGTCTGCATTCAACTCATAGAGTTGAAGATTCCCTTTCATAGAGCAGGTTTGAAACACTCTTTCTGGAGTATCTGGATGTGGACATTTGGAGCGCTTTGATGCCTACGGTGAAAAAGTAAATATCTTCCCATAAAAACGAGACAGAAGGATTCTGAGAAACAAGTTTGTGATGTGTGTACTCAGCTAACAGAGTGGAACCTTTCTTTTTACAGAGCAGCTTTGAAACTCTATTTTTGTGGATTCTGCAAATGGATATTTAGATTGCTTTAATGATATCGCTGGAAAAGGGAATATGGTCATACAAAATCTAGACAGAAGCACTCTCACAAACTTCTTTGTGATGTGTGTCCTCAACTAACAGAGTTGAACCTTTCTTTTGATGCAGCAATTTGGAAACACCCTTTTGGTAGAAACTGTAACTGGATATTTGGATAGCTCTAACGATTTCGTTGGAAACGGGAATATCATCATCTAAAATGTAGACAGAAGCACTATTAGAAACTACTTGGTGATATCTGCATTCAAGTCACAGAGTTGAACATTCCCTTACTTCGAGCACGTTTGAAACACTCTTTTGGAAGAATCTGGAAGTGGACATTTGGAGCGCTTTGATGCCTTTGGTGAAAAGGAAACGTCTTCCAATAAAAGCCAGACAGAAGCATTCTCAGAAACTTGTTCGTGATGTGTGTACTCAACTAAAAGAGTTGAACCTTTCTATTGATAGAGCAGTTTTGAAACACTCTTTTTGTGGATTCTGCAAGTGGATATTTGGATTGCTTTGAGGATTTCGTTGGAAGCGGGAATTCATATAAAAACTAGACAGCAGCATTCCCAGAAATTTCTTTCGGATATTTCCATTCAACTCATAGAGATGAACATGGCCTTTCATAGAGCAGGTTTGAAACACTCTTTTTGTAGTTTGTGGAAGTGGACATTTCGATCGCCTTGACGGCTACGGTGAAAAAGGAAATATCTTCCCATAAAAAATAGACAGAAGCATTCTCAGAAACTTGTTGGTGATATGTGTCCTCAACTAACAGAGTTGAACTTTGCCATTGATAGAGAGCAGTTTTGAAACACTCTTTTTGTGGAATCTGCAAGTGGATATTTGGATAGCTTGGAGGATTTCGTTGGAAGCGGGAATTCAAATAAAAGGTAGACAGCAGGATTCTGAGAAACAAGTTTGTGATGTGTGTACTCAGCTAACAGAGTGGAACCTCTCTTTTGATGCAGCAGTTTGGAAACACTCTTTTTGTAGAAACTGTAAGTGGATATTTGGATAGCTCTAATGATTTCGTTGGAAACGGGAATATCATCATCTAAAATCTAGACAGAAGCCCTCTCAGAAACTACTTTGTGATATCTGCATTCAAGTCACAGAGTTGAACATTCGCTTTCTTAGAGCACGTTTGAAACACTCTTTTTGTAGTGTCTGGAAGTGGACATTTGGAGCGCTTTGATGCCTTTGTGAAAAAGGGAACGTCTTCCCATAAAAACTAGACAGAAGCATTCTCAGAAACCTGTTTGTGATGTGTGTACCCAGCCAAAGGAGTTGAACATTTCTATTGATAGAGCAGTTTTGAAACGCTCTTTTTGTGGAAAATGCAGGTGGATATTTGGATAGCTTGGAGGATTTCGTTGGAAGCGGGAATTCAAATAAAAGGTAGACAGCAGCATTCTCAGAAATTTCTTTCTGATGTCTGCATTCAACTCATAGAGTTGAAGATTCCCTTTCATAGAGCAGGTTTGAAACACTCTTTCTGGAGTATCTGGATGTGGACATTTGGAGCGCTTTGATGCCTACGGTGAAAAAGTAAATATCTTCCCATAAAAACGAGACAGAAGGATTCTGAGAGACAAGTTTGTGATGTGTGTACTCAGCTAACAGAGTGGAACCTTTCTTTTTACAGAGCAGCTTTGAAACTCTATTTTTGTGGATTCTGCAAATGGATATTTAGATTGCTTTAATGATATCGTTGGAAAAGGGAATATGGTCATACAAAATCTAGACAGGATAAGCATTCTCACAAACTTCTTTGTGATGTGTGTCCTCAACTAACAGAGTTGAACCTTTCTTTTGATGCAGCAATTTGGAAACACCCTTTTGGTAGAAACTGTAACTGGATATTTGGATAGCTCTAACGATTTCGTTGGAAACGGGAATATCATCATCTAAAATCTAGACAGAAGCACTATTAGAAACTACTTGGTGATATCTGCATTCAAGTCACAGAGTTGAACATTCCCTTACTTCGACCACGTTTGAAACACTCTTTTGGAAGAATCTGGAAGTGGACATTTGGAGCGCTTTGATGCCTTTGGTGAAAAGGAAACGTCTTCCAATAAAAGCCAGACAGAAGCATTCTCAGAAACTTGTTCGTGATGTGTGTACTCAACTAAAAGAGTTGAACCTTTCTATTGATAGAGCAGTTTTGAAACACTCTTTTTGTGGATTCTGCAAGTGGATATTTGGATTGCTTTGAGGATTTCCGTTGGAAGCGGGAATTCGTATAAACACTAGACAGCAGCATTCCCAGAAATTTCTTTCGGATATTTCCATTCAACTCATAGAGATGAACATGGCTTTTCATAGAGCAGGTTTGAAACACTCTTTTTGTAGTTTGTGGAAGTGGACATTTCGATCGCCTTGACGCCTACGCTGAAAAAGGAAATATCTTCCCATAAAAAATAGACAGAAGCATTCTCAGAAACTTGTTGGTGATATGTGTCCTCAACTAACAGAGTTGAACTTTGCCATTGATAGAGAGCAGTTTTGAAACACTCTTTTTGTGGAATCTGCAAGTGGATATTTGGATAGCTTGGAGGATTTCGTTGGAAGCGGGAATTCAAATAAAGGGTAGACAGCAGGATTCTGAGAAACAAGTTTGTGATGTGTGTACTCAGCTAACAGAGTGGAACCTCTCTTTTGATGCAGCAGTTTGGAAACACTCTTTTTGTAGAAACTGTAAGTGGATATTTGGATAGCTCTAATGATTTCGTTGGAAACGGGAATATCATCATCTAAAATCTAGACAGAAGCCCTCTCAGAAACTACTTTGTGATATCTGCATTCAAGTCACAGAGTTGAACATTCGCTTTCTTAGAGCACGTTTGAAACACTCTTTTTGTAGTGTCTGGAAGTGGACATTTGGAGCGCTTTGATGACTTTGGTGAAAAAGGGAACGTCTTCCCATAAAAACTAGACAGAAGCATTCTCAGAAACTTGTTTGTGATGTGTGTACCCAGCCAAAGGAGTTGAACATTTCTATTGATAGAGCAGTTTTCAAACACTCTTTTTGTGGAAAATGCAGGTGGATATTTGGATAGCTTGGAGGATTTCGTTGGAAGCGGGAATTCAAATAAAAGGTAGACAGCAGCATTCTCAGAAATTTCTTTCTGATGTCTGCATTCAACTCATAGCAGTTGAAGATTCCCTTTCATAGAGCAGGTTTGAAACACTCTTTCTGGAGTATCTGGATGTGGACATTTGGAGCGCTTTGATGCCTACGGTGAAAAAGTAAATATCTTCCCATAAAAACGAGACAGAAGGATTCTCAGAAACAAGTTTGTGATGTGTGTACTCAGCTAAAAGAGTGGAACCTTTCTTTTTACAGAGCAGCTTTGAAACTCTATTTTTGTGGATTCTGCAAATTGATATTTAGATTGCTTTAACGATATCGTTGGAAAAGGGAATATCGTCATACAAAATCTAGACAGAAGCATTCTCACAAACTTCTTTGTGATGTGTGTCCTCAACTAACAGAGTTGAACCTTTCTTTTGATGCAGCAGTTTGGAAACACTCTTTTTGTAGAAACTGTAAGTGGACATTTGGATAGCTCTAACGATTTCGTTGGAAACGGGAATATCATCATCTAAAATCTAGACAGAAGCATTCTCAGAAACTTGTTGGTGATGTGTGTACTCAACTAAAAGAGTTGAACCTTTCTATTGATAGAGCAGTTTTGAAACACTCTTTTTGTGGATTCTGCAAGTGGATATTTGGATTGCTTTGAGGATTTCGTTGGAAGCGGGAATTCATATAAACACTAGACAGCAGCATTCCCAGAAATTTCTTTCGGATATTTCCATTCAACTCATAGAGATGAACATCGCCTTTCATAGAGCAGGTTTGAAACACTCTTTTTGTAGTTTGTGGAAGTGGACATTTCGATCGCCTTGACGCCTACGGTGAAAAAGGAAATATCTTCCCATAAAAAATAGACAGAAGCATTCTCAGAAACTTGTTGGTGATATGTGTCCTCAACTAACAGAGTTGAACTTTGCCATTGATAGAGAGCAGTTTTGAAACACTCTTTTTGTGGAATCTGCAAGTGGATATTTGGATAGCTTGGAGGATTTCGTTGGAAGCGGGAATTCAAATAAAAGGTAGACAGCAGCATTCTCAGGAATTTCTTTCTGATGTCTGCATTCAACTCATAGAGTTGAAGATTCCCTTTCATAGAGCAGGTTTGAAACACTCTTTCTGGAGTATCTGGATGTGGACATTTGGAGCGCTTTGATGCCTACGGTGAAAAAGTAAATCTCTTCCCATAAAAACGAGACAGAGGATTCTGAGAAACAAGTTTGTGATGTGTGTACTCAGCTAACAGAGTGGAACCTCTCTTTTGATGCAGCAGTTTGGAAACACTCTTTTTGTAGAAACTGTAAGTGGATATTTGGATAGCTCTAATGATTTCGTTGGAAACGGGAATATCATCATCTAAAATCTAGACAGAAGCCCTCTCAGAAACTACTTTGTGATATCTGCATTCAAGTCACAGAGTTGAACATTCGCTTTCTTAGAGCACGTTTGAAACACTCTTTTTGTAGTGTCTGGAAGTGGACATTTGGAGCGCTTTGATGCCTTTGGTGAAAAAGGGAACGTCTTCCCATAAAAACTAGACAGAAGCATTCTCAGAAACTTGTTTGTGATGTGTGTACCCAGCCAAAGGAGTTGAACATTTCTATTGATAGAGCAGTTTTGAAACACTCTTTTTGTGGAAAATGCAAGTGGATATTTGGATAGCTTGGAGGTTTTCGTTGGAAGCGGGAATTCAAATAAAAGGTAGACAGCAGCATTCTCAGAAATTTCTTTCTGATGTCTGCATTCAGCTCATAGAGTTGAAGATTCCCTTTCATAGAGCAGGTTTGAAACACTCTTTCTGGAGTATCTGGTTGTGGACATTTGGAGCGCTTTGATGCCTACGGTGAAAAAGTAAATATCTTCCCATAAAAACGAGACAGAAGGATTCTGAGAAACAAGTTTGTGATGTGTGTACTCAGCTAACAGAGTGGAACCTTTCTTTTTACAGAGCAGCTTTGAAACTCTATTTTTGTGGATTCTGCAAATGGATATTTAGATTGCTTTAATGATATCGCTGGAAAAGGGAATATGGTCATACAAAATCTAGACAGAAGCATTCTCACAAACTTCTTTGTGATGTGTGTCCTCAACTAACAGAGTTGAACCTTTCTTTTGATGCAGCAGTTTGGAAACACTCTTTTTGTAGAAACTGTAAGTGGATATTTGGATAGCTCTAACGATTTCGTTGGAAACGGGAATATCATCATCTAAAATCTAGACAGAAGCACTATTAGAAACTACTTGGTGATATCTGCATTCAAGTCACAGAGTAGAACATTCCCTTACTTCGAGCACGTTTGAAACACTCTTTTGGAAGAATCTGGAAGTGGACATTTGGAGCGCTTTGATGCCTTTGGTGAAAAGGAAACGTCTTCCAATAAAAGCCAGACAGAAGCATTCTCAGAAACTTGTTCGTGATGTGTGTACTCAACTAAAAGAGTTGAACCTTTCTATTGATAGCGCAGTTTTGAAACACTCTTTTTGTGGATTCTGCAAGTGGATATTTGGATTGCTTTGAGGATTTCGTTGGAAGCGGGAATTCATATAAAAACTAGACAGCAGCATTCCCAGAAATTTCTTTCGGATATTTCCATTCAACTCATAGAGATGAACATGGCCTTTCATAGAGCAGGTTTGAAACACTCTTTTTGTAGTTTGTGGAAGTGGACATTTCGATCGCCTTGACGCCTACGGTGAAAAAGGAAATATCTTCCCATAAAAAATAGACAGAAGCATTCTCAGAAACTTGTTGGTGATATGTGTCCTCAACTAACAGAGTTGAACTTTGCGATTGATAGAGAGCAGTTTTGAAACACTCTTTTTGTGGAATCTGCAAGTGGATATTTGGATAGCTTGGAGGATTTCGTTGGAAGCGGGAATTCAAATAAAAGGTAGACAGCAGCATTCTCAGAAATTTCTTTCTGATGTCTGCATTCAACTCATAGAGTTGAAGATTCCCTTTCATAGAGGAGGTTTGAAACACTCTTTCTGGAGTATCTGGACGTGGACATTTGGAGCGCTTTGATGCCTATGGTGAAAAAGTAAATATCTTCCCATAAAAACGAGACAGAAGGATTCTCAGAAACAAGTTTGTGATGTGTGTACTCAGCTAACAGAGTGGAACCTCTCTTTTGATGCAGCAGTTTGGAAATACTCTTTTTGTAGAAACTGTAAGTGGATATTTGGATAGCTCTAATGATTTCGTTGGAAACGGGAATATCATCATCTAAAATCTAGACAGAAGCACTCTCAGAAACTACTTTGTGATATCTGCATTCAAGTCACAGAGTTGAACATTCGCTTTCTTAGAGCACGTTGGAAACACTCTTTTTGTAGTGTCTGGAAGTGGACATTTGGAGCGCTTTGATGCCTTTGGTGAAAAAGGGAATGTCTTCCCATAAAAACTAGACAGAAGCATTCTCAGAAACTTGTTTGTGATGTGTGTACCCAGCTAAAGGAGTTGAACATTTCTATTGATAGAGCAGTTTTGAAACACTCTTTTTGTGGAAAATGCAAGTGGATATTTGGATAGCTTGGAGGATTTCGTTGGAAGCGGGATTTCAAATAAAAGGTAGACAGCAGCATTCTCAGAAATTTCTTTCTGATGTCTGCATTCAACTCATAGAGTTGAAGATTCCCTTTCATAGAGCAGGTTTGAAACACTCTTTCTGGAGTATCTGGATGTGGACATTTGGAGCGCTTTGATGCCTACGGTGAAAAAGTAAATATCTTCCCATAAAAACGAGAGAGAAGGATTCTCAGAAACAAGTTTGCGATGTGTGTACTCAGCTAAAAGAGTGGAACCTTTCTTTTTACAGAGCAGCTTTGAAACTCTATTGTTGTGGATTCTGCAAATTGATATTTAGATTGCTTTAACGATATCGTTGGAAAAGGGAATACCGTCATACAAAATCTAGACAGAAGCATTCTCACAAACTTCTTTGTGATGTGTGTCCTCAACTAACAGAGTTGAACCTTTCTTTTGATGCAGCAATTTGGAAACACCCTTTTGGTAGAAACTGTAAGTGGATATTTGGATAGCTCTAACGATTTCGTTGGAAACGGGAATATCATCATCTAAAATCTAGACAGAAGCACTATTAGAAACTACTTGGTGATATCTGCATTCAAGTCACAGAGTTGAACATTCCCTTACTTTGAGCACGTTTGAAACACTCTTTTGGAAGAATCTGGAAGTGGACATTTGGAGCGCTTTGATGCCTTTGGTGAAAAGGAAACGTCTTCCAATAAAAGCCAGACAGAAGCATTCTCAGAAACTTGTTGGTGATGTATGTACTCAACTAAAAGAGTTGAACCTTTCTATTGATAGAGCAGTTTTGAAACACTCTTTTTGTGGATTCTGCAAGTGGATATTTGGATTGCTTTGAGGATTTCGTTGGAAGCGGGAATTCATATAAAAACAAGACAGCAGCATTCCCAGAAATTTCTTTCGGATATTTCCATTCAACTCATTGAGATGAACATCGCCTTTCATAGAGCAGGTTTGAAACACTCTTTTTGTAGTTTGTGGAAGTGGACATTTCGATCGCCTTGACGCCTACAGTGAAAAAGGAAATATCTTCCCATAAAAAATAGACAGAAGCATTCTCAGAAACTTGTTGGTGATATGTGTCCTCAACTAACAGAGTTGAACTTTGCCATTGATAGAGAGCAGTTTTGAAACACTCTTTTTGTGGAATCTGCAAGTGGATATTTGGATAGCTTGGAGGATTTCGTTGGAAGCGGGAATTCAAATAAAAGGTAGACAGCAGCATTCTCAGAAATTTCTTTCTGATGTCTGCATTCAACTCATAGAGTTGAAGATTCCCTTTCATAGAGCAGGTTTGAAACACTCTTTCTGGAGTATCTGGATGTGGACATTTGGAGCGCTTTGATGTCTACGGTGGAAACGTAAATATCTTCCCATAAAAACGAGACAGAAGGATTCTGAGAAACAAGTTTGTGATGTGTGTACTCAGCTAACAGAGTGGAACCTCTCTTTTGATGCAGCAGTTTGGAAACACTCTTTTTGTAGAAACTGTAAGTGGATATTTGGATAGCTCTAATGATTTCGTTGGAAACGGGAATATCATCATCTAAAATCTAGACAGAAGCCCTCTCAGAAACTACTTTGTGATATCTGCATTCAAGTCACAGAGTTGAACATTCGCTTTCTTAGAGCACGTTGGAAACACTCTTTTTGTAGTGTCTGGAAGTGGACATTTGGAGCGCTTTGTTGCCTTTGGTGAAAAAGGGAACGTCTTCCCATAAAAACTAGACAGAAGCATTCTCAGAAACTTGTTTGTGATGTGTGTACCCAGCCAAAGGGAGTTGAACATTTCTATTGATAGAGCAGTTTTGAAACACTCTTTTTGTGGAAAATGCAAGTGGATATTTGGATAGCTTGGAGGATTTCGTTGGAAGCGGGAATTCAAATAAAAGGTAGACAGCAGCATTCTCAGAAATTTCTTTCTGATGTCTGCATTCAACTCATAGAGTTGAAGATTCCCTTTCATAGAGCAGGTTTGAAACACTCTTTCTGGAGTATCTGGATGTGGACATTTGGAGCGCTTTGATGCCTACGGTGAAAAAGTAAATATCTTCCCATAAAAACGAGACAGAAGGATTCTGAGAAACAAGTTTGTGATGTGTGTACTCAGCTAACAGAGTGGAACCTTTCTTTTTACAGAGCAGCTTTGAAACTCTATTTTTGTGGATTCTGCAAATGGATATTTAGATTGCTTTAATGATATCGTTGGAAAAGGGAATATCGTCATACAAAATACTAGACAGAAGCATTCTCACAAACTTACTTTGTGATGTGTGTCCTCAACTAACAGAGTTGAACCTTTCTTTTGATGCAGCAATTTGGAAACACCCTTTTGGTAGAAACTGTAACTGGATATTTGGATAGCTCTAACGATTTCGTTGGAAAAGGGAATATCATCATCTAAAATGTAGACAGAAAGCACTATTAGAAACTACTTGGTGATATCTGCATTCAAGTCACAGAGTTGAACATTCCCTTACTTTGAGCACGTTTGAAACACTCTTTTGGAAGAATCTGGAAGTGGACATTTGGAGCGCTTTGATGATGCCTTTGGTGAAAAGGAAACGTCTTCCAATAAAAGCCAGACAGAAGCATTCTCAGAAACTTGTTTGTGATGTGTGTACTCAACTAAAAGAGTTGAACCTTTCTATTGATAGAGCAGTTTTGAAACACTCTTTTTGTGGATTCTGCAAGTGGATATTTGGATTGCTTTGAGGATTTCGTTGGAAGCGGGAATTCGTATAAAAACTAGACAGCAGCATTCCCAGAAATTTCTTTCGTATATTTCCATTCAACTCATAGAGATGAACATGGCCTTTCATAGAGCAGGTTTGAAACACTCTTTTTGTAGTTTGTGGAAGTGGACATTTCGATCGCCTTGACGCCTACGGTGAAAAAGGAAATATCTTCCCATAAAAAATAGACAGAAGCATTCTCAGAAACTTGTTGGTGATATGTGTCCTCAACTAACAGAGTTGAACTTTGCCATTGATAGAGAGCAGTTTTGAAACACTCTTTTTGTGGAATCTGCAAGTGGATATTTGGATAGCTTGGAGGATTTCGTTGGAAGCGGGAATTCAAATAAAAGGTAGACAGCAGCATTCTCAGAAATTTCTTTCTGATGTCTGCATTCAACTCATAGAGTTGAAGATTCCCTTTCATAAAGCAGGTTTGAAACACTCTTTCTGGAGTATCTGGATGTGGACATTTGGAGCGCTTTGAGGCCTAAGGTGAGAAAGTAAATATCTTCCCATAAAAACGAGACAGAAAGGATTCTCAGAAACAAGTTTGTGATGTGTGTACTCAGCTAACAGAGTGGAACCTCTCTTTTGATGCAGCAGTTTGGAAACACTCTTTTTGTAGAAACCGTAAGTGGATATTTGGATAGCTCTAATGATTTCGTTGGAAACGGGAATATCATCATCTAAAATCTAGACAGAAGCCCTCTCAGAAACTACTTTGTGATTTCTGCCTTCAAGTCACAGAGTTGAACATTCGCTTTCTTAGAGCACGTTGGAAACACTCTTTTTGTAGTGTCTGGAAGTGGACATTTGGAGCGCTTTGATTCCTTTGGTGAAAAAGGGAATGTCTACCCATAAAAACTAGACAGAAGCATTCTCAGAAACTTGTTTGTGATGTGTGCACCCAGCTAAAGGAGTTGAACATTTCTATTGATAGAGCAGTTTTGAAGCACTCTTTTTGTGGAAAATGCAAGTGGATATTTGGATAGCTTGGAAGATTTCGTTGGAAGCGGGAGTTCAAATAAAAGGTAGACAGCAGCATTCTCAGAAATTTCTTTCTGATTCTGCATTCAACTCATAGAGTTGAAGATTCCTTTTCATAGAGCAGGTTTGAAACACTCGTTCTGGAGTATCTGGATGTGGACATTTGGAGCGCTTTGATGCCTACAGTGGAAAAGTAAATATCTTCCCATAAAAACGAGACAGAAGGTTTCTCAGAAACAAGTTTGTGATGTGTGTACTCAGCTAACAGAGTGGAACCTTTCTTTTTACAGAGCAGCTTTGAAACTCTATTTTTGTGGATTCTGCAAATTGATATTTAGATTGCTTTAACGATATCGTTGGAAAAGGGAATATCGTCATACAAAATCTAGACAGAAGCATTCTCACAAACTTCTTTGTGATGTGTGTCCTCAACTAACAGAGTTGAACCTTTCTTTTGATGCAGCAATTTGGAAACACCCTTTTGGTAGAAACTGTAACTGGATATTTGGATAGCTCTAACGATTTTGTTGGAAACGGGAATATCATCATCTAAAATGTAGACAGAAGCACTATTAGAAACTACTTGGTGATATCTGCATTCAAGTCACAGCAGTTGAACATTCCCTTACTTTGAGCACGTTTGAAACACTCTTTTGGAAGAATCTGGAAGTGGACATTTGGAGCGCTTTGATGCCTTTGGTGAAAAGGAAACGTCTTCCAATACAAGCCAGACAGAAGCATTCTCAGAAACTTGTTTGTGATGTGTGTACTCAACTAAAAGAGTTGAACCTTTCTATTGATAGAGCAGTTTTGAAACACTCTTTTTGTGGATTCTGCAAGTGGATATTTGGATTCCTTTGAGGATTTCGTTGGAAGCGGGAATTCGTATAAAAACTAGACAGCAGCATTCCCAGAAATTTCTTTCGGATATTTCCATTCAACTCATAGAGATGAACATCGCCTTTCATAGAGCAGGTTTGAAACACTCTTTTTGTAGTTTGTGGAAGTGGACATTTCGATCGCCTTGACGCCTACGGTGAAAAAGGAAATATCTTCCCATAAAAAATAGACAGAAGCATTCTCAGAAACTTGTTGGTGATATGTGTCCTCAACTAACAGAGTTGAACTTTGCCATTGATAGAGAGCAGTTTTGAAACACTCTTTTTGTGGAATCTGCAAGTGGATATTTGGATAGCTTGGAGGATTTCGTTGGAAGCGGGAATTCAAATAAAAGGTAGACAGCAGCATTCTCAGAAATTTCTTTCTGATGTCTGCATTCAACTCATAGAGTTGAAGATTCCCTTTCATAGAGCAGGTTTGAAACACTCTTTCTGGAGTATCTGGATGTGGACATTTGGAGTGCTTTGATGCCTACGGTGAAAAAGTAAATATCTTCCCATAAAAACGAGACAGAAGGATTCTGAGAAACAAGTTTGTGATGTGTGTACTCAGCTAACAGAGTGGAACCTCTCTTTTGATGCAGCAGTTTGGAAACACTCTTTTTGTAGAAACTGTAAGTGGATATTTGGATAGCTCTAATGATTTCGTTGGAAACGGGAATATCATCATCTAAAATCTAGACAGAAGCCCTCTCAGAAACTACTTTGTGATATCTGCATTCAAGTCACAGAGTTGAACATTCGCTTTCTTAGAGCACGTTGGAAACACTCTTTTTGTAGTGTCTGGAAGTGGACATTTGGAGCGCTTTGATGCCTTTGGTGAAAAAGGGAATGTCTTCCCATAAAAACCAGACAGAAGCATTCTCAGAAACTTGTTTGTGATGTGTGCACCCAGCTAAAGGAGTTGAACATTTATTGATAGAGCAGTTTTGAAGCACTCTTTTTGTGGAAAATGCAAGTGGATATTTGGATAGCTTGGAGGATTTCGTTGGAAGCGGGAGTTCAAATAAAAGGTAGACAGCAGGATTCTGAGAAACAAGTTTGTGATGTGTGTACTCAGCTAACGGAGTGGAACCTTTCTTTTTACAGAGCAGCTTTGAAACTCTATTTTTGTGGATTCTGCAAATTGATATTTAGATTGCTTTAACGATATCATTGGAAAAGGGAATATCGTCATACAAAATCTAGACAGAAGCATTCTCACAAACTTCTTTGTGATGTGTGTCCTCAACTAACAGTAGTTGAACCTTTCTTTTGATGCAGCAATTTGGAAACACCCTTTTGGTAGAAACTGTAACTGGATATTTGCTTAGCTCTAACGATTTCGTTGGAAACGGGAATATCATCATCTAAAATCTAGACAGAAGCACTATTAGAAACTACTTGGTGATATCTGCATTCAAGTCACAGAGTTGAACATTCCCTTACTTTGAGCACGTTTGAAACACTCTTTTGGAAGAATCTGGAAGTGGACATTTGGAGCGCTTTGATGCCTTTGGTGAAAAGGAAACGTCTTCCAATAAAAGCCAGACAGAAGCATTCTCAGAAACTTGTTTGTGATGTGTGTACTCAACTAAAAGAGTTGAACCTTTCTATTGATAGAGCAGTTTTGAAACACTCTTTTTGTGGATTCTGCAAGTGGATATTTGGATTGGTTGAGGATTTCGTTGGAAGCGGGAATTCGTATAAACACTAGACAGCAGCATTCCCAGAAATTTCTTTCGGATATTTCCATTCGACTCATAGAGATGAACATGGCCTTTCATAGAGCAGGTTTGAAACACTCTTTTTGTAGTTTGTGGAAGTGGACATTTCGATCGCCTTGACGCCTACGGTGAAAAAGGAAATATCTTCCCATAAAAAATAGACAGAAGCATTCTCAGAAACTTGTTGGTGATATGTGTCCTCAACTAACAGAGTTGAACTTTGCCATTGATAGAGAGCAGTTTTGAAACACTCTTTTTGTGGAATCTGCAAGTGGATATTTGGATAGCTTGGAGGATTTCGTTGGAAGCGGGAATTCAAATAAAGGGTAGACAGCAGCATTCTCAGAAATTTCTTTCTGATCTCTGCATTCAACTCATAGAGTTGAACATTCCCTTTCATAGGGCAGGTTTGAAATACTCTTTCTGTAGTATCTGGATGTGGACATTTGGAGCGCTTTGATGCCTACGGTGAAAAAGTAAATATCTTCCCATAAAAACGAGACAGAAGGATTCTGAGAAACAAGTTTGTGATGTGTGTACTCAGCTAACAGAGTGGAACCTCTCTTTTGATGCAGCAGTTTGGAAACACTCTTTTTGTAGAAACTGTAAGTGGATATTTGGATAGCTCTAATGATTTCGTTGGAAACGGGAATATCATCATCTAAAATCTAGACAGAAGCCCTCTCAGAAACTACTTTGTGATATCTGCATTCAAGTCACAGAGTTGAACATTCGCTTTCTTAGAGCACGTTTGAAACACTCTTTTTGTAGTGTCTGGAAGTGGACATTTGGAGGGCTTTGATTCCTTTGGTGAAAAAGGGAATGTCTACCCATAAAAACTAGACAGAAGCATTCTCAGAAACTTGTTTGTGATGTGTGTACCCAGCCAAAGGAGTTGAACATTTCTATTGATAGAGCAGTTTTGAAACACTCTTTTTGTGGAAAATGCAGGTGGATATTTGGATAGCTTGGAGGATTTCGTTGGAAGCGGGAATTCAAATAAAAGGTAGACAGCAGCATTCTCAGAAATTTCTTTCTGATGTCTGCATTCAACTCATAGAGTTGAAGATTCCCTTTCATAGAGCAGGTTTGAAACACTCTTTCTGGAGTATCTGGATGTGGACATTTGGAGCGCTTTGATGCCTACGGTGAAAAAGTAAATATCTTCCCATAAAAACGAGACAGAGGATTCTGAGAGACAAGTTTGTGATGTGTGTACTCAGCTAACAGAGTGGAACCTTTCTTTTTACAGCAGCAGCTTTGAAACTCTATTTTTGTGGATTCTGCAAATGGATATTTAGATTGCTTTAATGATATCGCTGGAAAAGGGAATATGGTCATACAAAATCTAGACAGAAGCATTCTCACAAACTTCTTTGTGATGTGTGTCCTCAACTAACAGAGTTGAACCTTTCTTTTGATGCAGCAGTTTGGAAACACTCTTTTTGTAGAAACTGTAAGTGGATATTTGGATAGCTCTAACGATTTCGTTGGAAACGGGAATATCATCATCTAAAATCTAGACAGAAGCACTATTAGAAACTACTTGGTGATATCTGCATTCAAGTCACAGAGTTGAACATTCCCTTACTTTGGGCACGTTTCAAACACTCTTTTGGAAGAATCTGGAAGTGGACATTTGGAGCGCTTTGATGCCTTTGGTGAAAAGGAAACGTCTTCCAATAAAAGCCAGACTGAAGCATTCTCAGAAACTTGTTCGTGATGTGTGTACTCAACTAAAAGAGTTGAACCTTTCTTTGGATAGCGCAGTTTTGAAACACTCTTTTTGTGGATTCTGCAAGTGGATATTTGGATTGCTTTGAGGATTTCGTTGGAAGCGGGAATTCGTATAAACACTAGACAGCAGCATTCCCAGAAATTTCTTTCGGATATTTCCATTCAACTCATAGAGATGAACATGGCCTTTCATAGAGCAGGTTTGAAACACTCTTTTTGTAGTTTGTGGAAGTGGACATTTCGATCGCCTTGACGCCTACGGTGAAAAAGGAAATATCTTCCCATAAAAAATAGACAGAAGCATTCTCAGAAACTTGTTGGTGATATGTGTCCTCAACTAACAGAGTTGAACTTTGCCATTGATAGAGAGCAGTTTTGAAACACTCTTTTTGTGGAATCTGCAAGTGGATATTTGGATAGCTTGGAGGATTTCGTTGGAAGCGGGAATTCAAATAAAAAGTAGACAGCAGCATTCTCAGAAATTTCTTTCTGATGTCTGCATTCAACTCATAGAGTTGAAGATTCCCTTTCATAGAGCAGGTTTGAAACACTCTTTCTGGAGTATCTGGATGTGGACATTTGGAGCGCTTTGATGCCTACGGTGAAAAAGTAAATATCTTCCCATAAAAACGACACAGAAGGATTCTGAGAAACAAGTTTGTGATGTGTGTACTCAGCTAACAGAGTGGAACCTCTCTTTTGATGCAGCAGTTTGGAAACACTCTTTTTGTAGAAACTGTAAGTGGATATTTGGATAGCTCTAATGATTTCGTTGGAAACGGGAATATCATCATCTAAAATCTAGAAAGAAGCCCTCTCAGAAACTACTTTGTGATATCTGCATTCAAGTCACAGAGTTGAACATTCGCTTTCTTAGAGCACGTTGGAAACACTCTTTTTGTAGTGTCTGGAAGTGGACATTTGGAGCGCTTTGATGCCTTTGGTGAAAAAGGGAATGTCTTCCCATAAAAAGTAGACAGAAGCATTCTCAGAAACTTGTTTGTGATGTGTGTACCCAGCTAAAGGAGTTGAACATTTCTATTGATAGAGCAGTTTTGAAACACTCTTTTTGTGGAAAATGCAAGTGGATATTTGGATAGCTTGGAGGATTTCGTTGGAAGCGGGAATTCAAATAAAAGGTAGACAGCAGCATTCTCAGAAATTTCTTTCTGATGTCTGCATTCAACTCACAGAGTTGAAGATTCCCTTTCATAGAGCAGGTTTGAAACACTCTTTCTGGAGTATCTGGATGTGGACATTTGGAGCGCTTTGATGCCTACGGTGAAAAAGTAAATATCTTCCCAGAAAAACGAGACAGAAGGATTCTGAGAAACAAGTTTGTGATGTGTGTACTCAGCTAACAGAGTGGAACCTTTCTTTTTACAGAGCAGCTTTGAAACTCTATTTTTGTGGATTCTGCAAATGGATATTTAGATTGCTTTAACGATATCGTTGGAAAAGGGAATATCGTCATACAAAATCTAGACAGAAGCATTCTCACAAACTTCTTTGTGATGTGTGTCCTCAACTAACAGAGTTGAACCTTTCTTTTGATGCAGCAGTTTGGAAACACCCTTTTGGTAGAAACTGTAAGTGGATATTTTGATAGCTCTAACGATTTCGTTGGAAACGGGAATATCATCATCTAAAATCTAGACAGAAGCACTATTAGAAACTACTTGGTGATATCTGCATTCAAGTCAAAGAGTTGAACATTCCCTTACTTTGAGCACGTTTGAAACACTCTTTTGGAAGAATCTGGAAGTGGACATTTGGAGCGCTTTGATGCCTTTGGTGAAAAGGAAACGTCTTCCAATAAAAGCCAGACAGAAGCATTCTCAGAAACTTGTTGGTGATGTGTGTACTCAACTAAAAGAGTTGAACCTTTCTATTGATAGAGCAGTTTTGAAACACTCTTTTTGTGGATTCTGCAAGTGGATATTTGGATTGCTTTGAGGCTTTCGTTGGAAGCGGGAATTCATATAAAAACTAGACAGCAGCATTCCCAGAAATTTCTTTCGGATATTTCCATTCGACTCATAGAGATGAACATGGCCTTTCATAGAGCAGGTTTGAAACACTCTTTTTGTAGTTTGTGGAAGTGGACATTTCGATCGCCTTGACGCCTACGGTGAAAAAGGAAATATCTTCCCATAAAAAATAGACAGAAGCATTCTCAGAAACTTGTTGGTGATATGTGTCCTCAACTAACAGAGTTGAACTTTGCCATTGATAGAGAGCAGTTTTGAAACACTCTTTTTCCTGAATCTGCAAGTGGATATTTGGATAGCTTGGAGGATTTCGTTGGAAGCGGGAATTCAAATAAAAGGTAGACAGCAGCATTCTCAGAAATTTCTTTCTGATGTCTGCATTCAACTCATAGAGTTGAACATTCCCTTTCATAGAGCAGGTTTGAAACACTCGTTCTGGAGTATCTGGATGTGGACATTTGGAGCGCTTTGATGCCTACGGTGAAAAAGTAAATATCTTCCCATAAAAACGAGACAGAAGGATTCTCAGAAACAAGTTTGTGATGTGTGTACTCAGCTAACAGAGTGGAACCTCTCTTTTGATGCAGCAGTTTGGAAACACTCTTTTTGTGGAAACTGTAAGTGGATATTTGGATAGCTCTAATGATTTCGTTGGAAACGGGAATATCATCATCTAAAATCTAGACAGAAGCACTCTCAGAAACTACTTTGTGATATCTGCATTCAAGTCACAGAGTTGAACATTTGCTTTCTTAGAGCACGTTTGAAACACTCTTTTTGTAGTGTCTGGAAGTGGACATTTGGAGCGCTTTGATGCCTTTGGTGAAAAAGGGAACGTCTTCCCATAAAAACTAGACAGAAGCATTCTCAGAAACTTGTTTGTGATGTGTGTACCCAGCTAAAGGAGTTGAACATTTCTATTGATAGAGCAGTTTTGAAACACTCTTTTTGTGGAAAATGCAAGTGGATATTTGGATAGCTTGGAGGATTTCGTTGGAAGCGGGATTTCAAATAAAAGGTAGACAACAGCATTCTCAGAAATTTCTTTCTGATGTCTGCATTCAACTCATAGAGTTGAAGATTCCCTTTCATAGAGCAGGTTTGAAACACTCTTTCTGGAGTATCTGGATGTGGACATTTGGAGCGCTTTGATGCCTAAGGTGAAAAAGTAAATATCTTCCCATAAAAACGAGACAGAAGGATTCTCAGAAACAAGTTTGTGATGTGTGTACTCAGCTAACAGAGTGGAACCATTCTTTTTACAGAGCAGCTTTGAAACTCTATTTTTGTGGATTCTGCAAATGGATATTTAGATTGCTTTAACGATATCGTTGGAAAAGGGAATATCGTCATACAAAATCTGGACAGAAGCATTCTCACAAACTTCTTTGTGATGTGTGTCCTCAACTAACAGAGTTGAACCTTTCTTTTGATGCAGCAGTTTGGAAACACTCTTTTTGTAGAAACTGTAAGTGGATATTTGGATAGCTCTAACGATTTCGTTGGAAACGGGAATATCATCATCTAAAATCTAGACAGAAGCACTATTAGAAACTACTTGGTGATATCTGCATTCAAGTCAAAGAGTTGAACATTCCCTTACTTTGAGCACGTTTGAAACACTCTTTTGGAAGAATCTGGAAGTGGACATTTGGAGCGCTTTGATGCCTTTGGTGAAAAGGAAACGTCTTCCAATAAAAGCCAGACAGAAGCATTCTCAGAAACTTGTTTGTGATGTGTGTACTCAACTAAAAGAGTTGAACCTTTCTATTGATAGAGCAGTTTTGAAACCCTCTTTTTGTGGATTCTGCAAGTGGATATTTGGATTGCCTTGAGGATTTCGTTGGAAGCGGGAATTCGTATAAACACTAGACAGCAGCATTCCCAGAAATTTCTTTCGGATATTTCCATTCAACTCATAGAGATGAACATGGCCTTTCATATTGAAACACTCTTTTTGTAGTTTGTGGAAGTGGACATTTCGATCGCCTTGACGCCTACGGTGAAAAAGGAAATATCTTCCCATAAAAAATAGACAGAAGCATTCTCAGAAACTTGTTTGTGATGTGTGTACCCAGCTAAAGGAGTTGAACGTTTCTATTGATAGAGCAGTTTTGAAACACTCTTTTTGTGGAAAATGCAAGTGGATATTTGAATAGCTTGGAGGATTTCGTTGGAAGCGGGAATTCAAATAAAAGGTAGACAGCAGGATTCTGAGAAACAAGTTTGTGATGTGTGTACTCAGCTAACAGAGTGGAACCTGTCTTTTGATGCAGCAGTTTGGAAACACTCTTTTTGTAGAAACTGTATGTGGATATTTGGATAGCTCTAATGATTTCGTTGGAAACGGGAATATCATCATCTAAAATCTAGACAGAAGCCCTCTCAGAAACTACTTTGTGATATCTGCATTCAAGTAACAGAGTTGAACATTCGCTTTCTTAGAGCACGTTGGAAACACTCTTTTTGTAGTGTCTGGAAGTGGACATTTGGAGCACTTTGATGCCTTTGGTGAAAAAGGGAACGTCTTCCCATAAAAAGTAGACAGAAGCATTCTCAGAAACTTGTTTGTGATGTGTGTACCCAGCCAAAGGAGTTGAACATTTCTATTGATAGAGCAGTTTTGAAACGCTCTTTTTGTGGAAAATGCAGGTGGATATTTGGATAGCTTGGAGGATTTCGTTGGAAGCGGGAATTCAAATAAAAGGTAGACAGCAGCATTCTCAGAAATTTCTTTCTGATGTCTGCATTCAACTCATAGAGTTCAAGATTCCCTTTCATAGAGCAGGTTTGAAACACTCTTTCTGGAGTATCTGGATGTGGACATTTGGAGCGCTTTGATGCCTACGGTGAAAAAGTAAATATCTTCCCATAAAAACGAGACAGAAGGATTCTCAGAAACAAGTTTGTGATGTGTGTACTCAGCTAACAGAGTGGAACCTTTCTTTTTACAGAGCAGCTTTGAAACTCTATTTTTGTGGATTCTGCAAATGGATATTTAGATTGCTTTAATGATATCGCTGGAAAAGGGAATATGGTCATACAAAATCTAGACAGAAGCATTCTCACAAACTTCTTTGTGATGTGTGTCCTCAACTAACAGAGTTGAACCTTTCTTTTGATGCAGCAGTTTGGAAACACTCTTTTTGTAGAAACTGTAAGTGGATATTTGGATAGCTCTAACGATTTCGTTGGAAACGGGAATATCATCATCTAAAATCTAGACAGAAGCACTATTAGAAACTACTTGGTGATATCTGCATTCAAGTCACAGAGTTGAACATTCCCTTACTTCGAGCACGTTTGAAACACTCTTTTGGAAGAATCTGGAAGTGGACATTTGGAGCGCTTTGATGCCTTTGGTGAAAAGGAAACGTCTTCCAATAAAAGCCAGACAGAGCATTCTCAGTAAACTTGTTTGTGATGTGTGTACTCAACTAAAAGAGTTGAACCTTTCTATTGATAGAGCAGTTTTGAAACACTCTTTTTGTGGATTCTGCAAGTGGATATTTGGATTGCTTTGAGGATTTCGTTGGAAGCGGCAATTCGTATAAAAACTAGACAGCAGCATTCCCAGAAATTTCTTTCGGATAATTCCCATTCGACTCATAGAGATGAACATGGCCTTTCATAGAGCAGGTTTGAAACACTCTTTTTGTAGTTTGTGGAAGTGGACATTTCGATCGCCTTGACGCCTACGGTGAAAAAGGAAATATCTTCCCATAAAAAATAGACAGAAGCATTCTCAGAAACTTGTTGGTGATATGTGTCCTCAACTAACAGAGTTGAACTTTGCCATTGATAGAGAGCAGTTTTGAAACACTCTTTTTGTGGAATCTGCAAGTGGATATTTGGATAGCTTGGAGGATTTCGTTGGAAGCGGGAATTCAAATAAAAGGTAGACAGCAGCATTCTCAGAAATTTCTTTCTGATGTCTGATTCAGCTCATAGAGTTGAAGATTCCCTTTCATAGAGCAGGTTTGAAACACTCTTTCTGGAGTATCTGGATGTGGACATTTGGAGCGCTTTGAGGCCTACGGTGAGAAAGTAAATATCTTCCCATAAAAACGAGACAGAAGGATTCTGAGAAACAAGTTTGTGTTGTGTGTACTCAGCTAACAGAGTGGAACCTCTCTTTTGATGCAGCAGTTTGGAAACACTCTTTTTGTAGAAACTGTAAGTGGATATTTGGATAGCTCTAATGATTTCGTTGGAAACGGGAATATCATCATCTAAAATCTAGACAGAAGCCCTCTCAGAAACTACTTTGTGATATCTGCATTCAAGTCACAGAGTTGAACATTCGCTTTCTTAGAGCACGTTTGAAACACTCTTTTTGTAGTGTCTGGAAGTGGACATTTGGAGCGCTTTGATGCCTTTGGTAAAAAAGGGAATGTCTTCCCATAAAAACTAGACAGAAGCATTCTCAGAAACTTGTTTGTGATGTGTGTACCCAGCTAAAGGAGTTGAACATTTCTATTGATAGAGCAGTTTTGAAACACTCTTTTTGTGGAAAATGCAAGTGGATATTTGGATAGCTTGGAGGATTTCGTTGGAAGCGGGAATTCAAATAAAAGGTAGACAGCAGCATTCTCAGAAATTTCTTTCTGATGTCTGCATTCAACTCATAGAGTTGAAGATTCCCTTTCATAGAGCAGGTTTGAAACACTCTTTCTGGAGTATCTGGATGTGGACATTTGGAGGGCTTTGATGCCTACGGTGAAAAAGTAAATATCCTCCCATAAAAACGAGACAGACAAGGATTCTGAGAAACAAGTTTGTGATGTGTGTACTCAGCTAACAGAGTGGAACCTCTCTTTTGATGCAGCAGTTTGGAAACACTCTTTTTGTAGAAACTGTAAGTGGATATTTGGATAGCTCTAATGATTTCGTTGGAAACGGGAATATCATCATCTAAAATCTACACAGAAGCATTCTCACAAACTTCTTTGTGATGTGTGTCCTCAACTAACAGAGTTGAACCTTTCTTTTGATGCAGCAGTTTGGAAACACTCTTTTTGTAGAAACTGTAAGTGGATAATTGGATAGCTGTAACGATTTCGTTGGAAACGGGAATATCGTCATCTAAAATTTAGACAGAAGCACTATTAGAAACTACTTGGTGATATCTGCATTCAAGTCACAGAGTTGAACATTCCCTTACTTTGAGCACGTTTCAAACACTCTTTTGGAAGAATCTGGAAGTGGACATTTGGAGCGCTTTGATGCCTTTGGTGAAAAGGAAACGTCTTCCAATAAAAGCCAGACAGAAGCATTCTCAGAAACTTGTTCGTGATGTGTGTACTCAACTAAAAGAGTTGAACCTTTCTATTGATAGAGCAGTTTTGAAACACTCTTTTTGTGGATTCTGCAAGTGGATATTTGGATTGCTTTGAGGATTTCGTTGTAAGCGGGAATTCGTATAAAAACTAGACAGCCAGCATTCCCAGAAATTTCTTTCGGATATTTCCATTCGACTCATAGAGATGAACATGGCCTTTCATAGAGCAGGTTTGAAACACTCTTTTTGTAGTTTGTGGAAGTGGACATTTCGATCGCCTTGACGCCTACGGTGAAAAAGGAAATATCTTCCCATAAAAAATAGACAGAGCATTCTCAGAAACTTGTTGGTGATATGTGTCCTCAACTAACAGAGTTGAACTTTGCCATTGATAGAGAGCAGTTTTGAAACACTCTTTTTGTGGAATCTGCAAGTGGATATTTGGATAGCTTGGAGGATTTCGTTGGAAGCGGGAATTCAAATAAAAGGTAGACAGCCAGCATTCTCAGAAATTTCTTTCTGATGTCTGCATTCAACTCATAGAGTTGAACATTCCCTTTCATAGAGCAGGTTTGAAATACTCTTTCTGTAGTATCTGGATGTGGACATTTGGAGCGCTTTGATGCCTACGGTGAAAAAGTAAATATCTTCCCATAAAAACGAGACAGAAGGATTCTGAGAAACAAGTTTGTGATGTGTGTACTCAGCTAACAGAGTGGAACCTCTCTTTTGATGCAGCAGTTTGGAAACACTCTTTTTGTAGAAACTGTAAGTGGATATTTGGATAGCTCTAATGATTTTGTTGGAAACGGGAATATCATCATCTAAAATCTAGACAGAAGCCCTCTCAGAAACTACTTTGTGATATCTGCATTCAAGTCACAGAGTTGAATATTCGCTTTCTTAGAGCACGTTGGAAACACTCTTTTTGTAGTGTCTGGAAGTGGACATTTGGAGCGCTTTGATGCCTTTGGTGAAAAAGAGAACGTCTTCCCATAAAAACTAGACAGAAGCATTCTCAGAAACTTGTTTGTGATGTGTGTACCCAGCCAAAGGAGTTGAACATTTCTATTGATAGAGCAGTTTTGAAACACTCTTGTTGTGGAAAATGCAGGTGGATATTTGGATAGCTTGGAGGATTTCGTTGGAAGCGGGAATTCAAATAAAAGGTACACAGCAGCATTCTCAGAAATTTCTTTCTGATGTCTGCATTCAACTCATAGAGTTGAAGATTCCCTTTCATAGAGCAGGTTTGAAACACTCTTTCTGGAGTATCTGGATGTGGACATTTGGAGCGCTTTGATGCCTACGGTGAAAAAGTAAATATCTTCCCATAAAAACGAGACAGAAGGATTCTCAGAATCAAGTTTGTGATGTGTGTACTCAGCTAACAGAGTGGAACCTTTCTTTTTACAGAGCAGCTTTGAAACTCTATTTTTGTGGATTCTGCAAATTGATATTTAGATTGCTTTAACGATATCGTTGGAAAAGGGAATATCGTCATACAAAATCTAGACAGAAGCATTCTCACAAACTTCTTTGTGACGTGTGTCCTCAACTAACAGAGTTGAACCTTTCTTTTGATGCAGCAGTTTGGAAACACTGTTTTTGTAGCAACTGTAAGTGGATATTTGGATAGCTCTAACGATTTCGTTGGAAACGGGAATATCATCATCTAAAATCTAGACAGAAGCACTATTAGAAACTACTTGGTGATATCTGCATTCAAGTCAAAGAGTTGAACATTCCCTTACTTTGAGCACGTTTGAAACACTCTTTTGGAAGAATCTGGAAGTGGACATTTGGAGCGCTTTGATGCCTTTGGTGAAAAGGAAACGTCTTCCAATAAAAGCCAGACAGAAGCATTCTCAGAAACTTGTTTGTGATGTGTGTACTCAACTAAAAGAGTTGAACCTTTCTATTGATAGAGCAGTTTTGAAACACTCTTTTTGTGGATTCTGCAATTGGATATTTGGATTGCTTTGAGGATTTCGTTGGAAGCGGGAATTCGTATAAAAACTAGACAGCAGCATTCCCAGAAATTTCTTTCGGATATTTCCATTCGACTCATAGAGATGAACATGGCCGTTCATAGAGCAGGTTTGAAACACTCTTTTTGTAGTTTGTGGAAGTGGACATTTCGATCGCCTTGACGCCTACGGTGAAAAAGGAAATATCTTCCCATAAAAAATAGACAGAAGCATTCTCAGAAACTTGTTGGTGATATGTGTCCTTAACTAACAGAGTTGAACTTTGCCATTGATAGAGAGCAGTTTTGAAACACTCTTTTTGTGGAATCTGCAAGTGGATATTTGGATAGCTTGGAGGATTTCGTTGGAAGCGGGAATTCAAATAAAAGGTAGACAGCAGCAGTCTCAGAAATTTCTTTCTGATGTCTGCATTCAACTCATAGAGTTGAACATTCCCTTTCATAGAGCAGGTTTGAAACACTCTTTCTGGAGTATCTGGATGTGGACATTTGGAGCGCTTTGATGCCTACGGTGAAAAAGTAAATATCTTCCCATAAAAACGAGACAGAAGGATTCTGAGAAACAAGTTTGTGATGTGTGTACTCAGCTAACAGAGTGGAGCCTCTCTTTTGATGCAGCAGTTTGGAAACACTCTTTTTGTAGAAACTGTAAGTGGATATTTGGATAGCTCTAATGATTTCGTTGGAAACGGGAATATCATCATCTAAAATCTAGACAGAAGCCCTCTCAGAAACTACTTTGTGATATCTGCATTCAAGTCACAGAGTTGAACATTCGCTTTCTTAGAGCACGTTGGAAACACTCTTTTTGTAGTGTCTGGAAGTGGACATTTGGAGCGCTTTGATTCCTTTGGTGAAAAAGGGAATGTCTACCCATAAAAACTAGACAGAAGCATTCTCAGAAACTTGTTTGTGATGTGTGTACCCAGCCAAAGGAGTTGAACATTTCTATTGATAGAGCAGGTTTGAAACACTCTTTTTGTGGAAAATGCAGGTGGATATTTGGATAGCTTGGTGGATTTCGTTGGAAGCGGGAATTCAAATAAAAGGTAGACAGCAGCATTCTCAGAAATTTCTTTCTGATGTCTGCATTCAACTCATAGAGTTGAAGATTCCCTTTCATAGAGCAGGTTTGAAACACTCGTTCTGGAGTATCTGGATGTGGACATTTGGAGCGCTTTGATGCCTACGGTGGAAAAGTAAATATCTTCCCATAAAAACGAGACAGAAGGATTCTGAGAAACAAGTTTGTGATGTGTGTACTCAGCTAACGGAGTGGAACCTTTCTTTTTACAGAGCAGCTTTGAAAGTCTATTTTTGTGGATTCTGCAAATTGATATTTAGATTGCTTTAACGATATCGTTGGAAAAGGGAATATCCTCATACAAAATCTAGACAGAAGCATTCTCACAAACTTCTTTGTGACGTGTGTCCTCAACTAACAGAGTTGAACCTTTCTTTTGATGCAGCAGTTTGGAAACACTGTTTTTGTAGCAACTGTAAGTGGATATTTGGATAGCTCTAACGATTTCGTTGGAAACGGGAATATCATCATCTAAAATCTAGACAGAAGCACTATTAGAAACTACTTGGTGATATCTGCATTCAAGTCACAGAGTTGAACATTCCCTTACTTTGAGCACGTTTGAAACACTCTTTTGGAAGTATCTGGAAGTGGACATTTGGAGCGCTTTGATGCCTTTGGTGAAAAGGAAACGTCTTCCAATAAAAGCCAGACAGAAGCATTCTCAGAAACTTGTTCGTGATGTGTGTACTCAACTAAAAGAGTTGAACCTTTCTATTGATAGAGCAGTTTTGAAACACTCTTTTTGTGGATTCTGCAAGTGGATATTTGGATTGCTTTGAGGATTTCGTTGGAAGCGGGAATTCGTATAAACACTAGACAGCAGCATTCCCAGAAATTTCTTTCGGATATTTCCATTCAACTCATAGAGATGAACATGGGCTTTCATAGAGCAGGTTTGAAACACTCTTTTTGTAGTTTGTGGAAGTGGACATTTCGATCGCCTTGACGCCTACGGTGATAAAGGAAATATCTTCCCATAAAAAATAGACAGAAGCATTCTCAGAAACTTGTTGGTGATATGTGTCCTCAACTAACAGAGTTGAACTTTGCCATTGATAGAGAGCAGTTTTGAAACACTCTTTTTGTGGAATCTGCAAGTGGATATTTGGATAGCTTGGAGGATTTCGTTGGAAGCGGGAATTCAAATAAAAGGTAGACAGCAGCATTCTCAGAAATTTCTTTCTGATGTCTGCATTCAACTCATAGAGTTGAAGATTCCCTTTCATAGAGCAGGTTTGAAACACTCTTTCTGGAGTATCTGGATGTGGACATTTGGAGCGCTTTGATGCCTACGGTGAGAAAGTAAATATCTTCCCATAAAAACGAGACAGAAGGATTCTGAGAAACAAGTTTGTGATGTGTGTACTCAGCTAACAGATTGGAACCTCTCCTTTGATGCAGCAGTTTGGAAACACTCTTTTTGTAGAAACTGTAAGTGGATATTTGGATAGCTCTAATGATTTCGTTGGAAACGGGAATATCATCATCTAAAATCTAGACAGAAGCACTCTCAGAAACTACTTTGTGATATCTGCATTCAAGTCACAGAGTTGAACATTCGCTTTCTTAGAGCACGTTTGAAACACTCTTTTTGTAGTGTCTGGAAGTGGACTTTTGGAGCGCTTTGATTCCTTTGGTGAAAAAGGGAATGTCTACCCATAAAAACTAGACAGAAGCATTCTCAGAAACTTGTTTGTGATGTGTGTACCCAGCCAAAGGAGTTGAACATTTCTATTGATAGAGCAGTTTTGAAACACTCTTTTTGTGGAAAATGCAGGTGGATATTTGGATAGCTTGGAGGATTTCGTTGGAAGCGGGAATTCAAATAAAAGGTAGACAGCAGCATTCTCAGAAATTTCTTTCTGATGTCTGCATTCAACTCATAGAGTTGAACATTCCCTTTCATAGAGCAGGTTTGAAACACTCTTTCTGGAGTATCTGGATGTGGACATTTGGAGCCCTTTGATGCCTACGGTGAAAAAGTAAATATCTTCCCATAAAAACGAGACAGAAGGATTCTCAGAAACAAGTTTGTGATGTGTGTACTCAGCTAACAGAGTGGAACCTTTCTTTTTACAGAGCAGCTTTGAAACTCTATTTTTGTGGATTCTGCAAATGGATATTTAGATTGCTTTAACGATATCGTTGGAAAAGGGAATATCGTCATACAAAATCTAGACAGAAGCATTCTCACAAACTTCTTTGTGATGTGTGTCCTCAACTAACAGAGTTGAACCTTTCTTTTGATGCAGCAGTTTGGAAACACCCTTTTGGTAGAAACTGTAACTGGATATTTGGATAGCTCTAACGATTTCGTTGGAAACGGGAATATCATCATCTAAAATCTAGACAGGAGCACTATTAGAAACTACTTGGTGATATCTGCATTCAAGTCACAGAGTTGAACATTCCCTTACTTTGAGCACGTTTCAAACACTCTTTTGGAAGAATCTGGAAGTGGACATTTGGAGCGCTTTGATGCCTTTGGTGAAAAGGAAACGTCTTCCAATAAAAGCCAGACAGAAGCATTCTCAGAAACTTGTTTGTGATGTGTGTACTCAACTAAAAGAGTTGAACCTTTCTATTAATAGAGCAGTTTTGAAACACTCTTTTTGTGGATTCTGCAAGTGGATATTTGGATTGCTTTGAGGATTTCGTTGGAAGCGGGAATTCGTATAAAAACTAGACAGCAGCATTCCCAGAAATTTCTTTCGGATATTTCCATTCAACTCATAGAGATGAACATGGCCTTTCATAGAGCAGGTTTGAAACACTCTTTTTGTAGTTTGTGGAAGTGGACATTTCGATCGCCTTGACGCCTACGGTGAAAAAGGAAATATCTTCCCATAAAAAATAGACAGAAGCATTCTCAGAAACTTGTTTGTGATGTGTGTACCCAGCTAAAGGACTTGAACATTTCTATTGATAGAGCAGTTTTGAAACACTCTTTTTGTGGAATCTGCAGGTGGATATTTGGATAGCTTGGAGGATTTCGTTGGAAGCGGGAATTCAAATAAAAGGTAGACAGCAGCATTCTCAGAAATTTCTTTCTGATGTCTGCATTCAACTCATAGAGTTGAAGATTCCCTTTCATAGAGCAGGTTTGAAACACTCTTTCTGGAGTATCTGGATGTGGACATTTGTAGCGCTTTGATGCCTACGGTGAAAAGGTAAATATCTTCCCATAAAAACGAGACAGAAGGATTCTCAGAAACAAGTTTGTGATGTGTGTACTCAGCTAACAGAGTGGAACCTCTCTTTTGACACAGCAGTTTGGAAACACTCTTTTTGTAGAAACTGTAAGTGCACATTTGGATAGCTCTAATGACTTCGTTGGAAACGGGAATATCATCATCTAAAATCTAGACAGAAGCACTCTCAGAAACTACTTTGTGATATCTGCATTCAAGTCACAGAGTTGAACATTCGCTTTCTTACAGCACTTTTGAAACACACTTTTTGTAGTATCTGGAAGTGGACATTTGGAGCGCTTTGATGCCTTTGGTGAAAAAGGAAATGTCTTCCCATAAAAACTAGACAGAAGCATTCTCAGAAACTTGTTTGTGATGTGTGTACCCAGCCAAAGGAGTTGAACATTTCTATTGATAGAGCAGTTTTGAAACACTCTTTTTGTGGAAAATGCAAGTGGATATTTGGATAGCTTGGAGGATTTCGTTGGAAGCGGGAATTCAAATAAAAGGTAGACAGCCAGCATTCTCAGAAATTTCTTTCTGATGTCTGCATTCAACTCATAGAGTTGAAGATTCCCTTTCATAGGAGCAGGTTTGAAACACTCTTTCTGGAGTATCTGGATGTGGACATTTGGAGCGCTTTGATGCCTACGGTGAAAAAGTAAATATCTTCCCAGAAAAACGAGACAGAGGATTCTGAGAAACAAGTTTGTGATGTGTGTACTCAGCTAACAGAGTGGAACCTCTCTTTGGATGCAGCAGTTTGGAAACACACTTTTTGTAGAAACTGTAAGTGGATATTTGGATAGCTCTAATGATTTCGTTGGAAACGGGAATATCATCATCTAAAATCTAGACAGAAGCATTCTCACAAACTTCTTTGTGATGTGTGTCCTCAACTAACAGAGTTGAACCTTTCTTTTGATGCAGCAATTTGGAAACACCCTTTTGGTAGAAACTGTAACTGGATATTTGCTTAGCTCTAACGATTTCGTTGGAAACGGGAATATCATCATCTAAAATGTAGACAGAAGCACTATTAGAAACTACTTGGTGATATCTGCATTCAAGTCACAGAGTTGAACATTCCCTTACTTTGAGCACGTTTGAAACACTCTTTTGGAAGAATCTGGAAGTGGACATTTGGAGCGCTTTGATGCCTTTGGTGAAAAGGAAACGTCTTCCAATAAAAGCCAGACAGAAGCATTCTCAGAAACTTGTTGGTGATGTGTGTACTCAACTAAAAGAGTTGAACCTTTCTATTGATAGAGCAGTTTTGAAACACTCTTTTTGTGGATTCTGCAAGTGGATATTTGGATTGCTTTGAGGATTTCGTTGGAAGCGGGAATTCGTATAAACACTAGACAGCCAGCATTCCCAGGAAATTTCTTTCGGATATTTCCATTCAACTCATAGCAGGATGAACATGGCCTTTCATAGAGCAGGTTTGAAACACTCTTTTTGTAGTTTGTGGAAGTGGACATTTCGATCGCCTTGACGCCTACGCTGAAAAAGGAAATATCTTCCCATAAAAAATAGACAGAGCATTCTCAGAAACTTGTTGGTGATATGTGTCCTCAACTAACAGAGTTGAACTTTGCCATTGATAGAGAGCAGTTTTGAAACACTCTTTTTGTGGAATCTGCAAGTGGATATTTGGATAGCTTGGAGGATTTCGTTGGAAGCGGGAATTCGTATAAAAACTAGACAGCAGCATTCTCAGAAATTTCTTTCTGATGTCTGCATTCAACTCATAGAGTTGAAGATTCCCTTTCATAGAGCAGGTTTGAAACACTCTTTCTGGAGTATCTGGATGTGGACATTTGGAGCGCTTTGATGCCTATGGTGAAAAAGTATAATCTTCCCATAAAAACGAGACAGAAGGATTCTGAGAAACAAGTTTGTGATGTGTGTACTCAGCTAACAGAGTGGAACCTCTCTTTTGATGCAGCAGTTTGGAAACACTCTTTTTGTAGAAACTGTAAGTGGATATTTGGATAGCTCTAATGATTTCGTTGGAAACGGGAATATCATCATCTAAAATCTAGACAGAAGCACTCTCAGAAACTACTGTGTGATATCTGCATTCAAGTCACAGAGTTGAACATTCCCTTTCTTAGAGCACGTTTGAAACACTCTTTTTGTAGTGTCTGGAAGTGGACATTTGGAGCGCTTTGATTCCTTTGGTGAAAAAGGGAATGTCTACCCATAAAAACTAGACAGAAGCATTCTCAGAAACTTGTTGGTGATATGTGTCCTCAACTAACAGAGTTGAACTTTGCCATTGATAGAGAGCAGTTTTGAAACACTCTTTTTGTTGAATCTGCAAGTGGATATTTGGATAGCCTGGAGGATTTCGTTGGAAGCGGGAATTCAAATAAAAGGTAGACAGCAGCATTCTCAGAAATTTCTTTCTGATGTCTGCATTCAACTCATAGAGTTGAAGATTCCCTTTCATAGAGCAGGTTTGAAACACTCTTTCTGGAGTATCTGGATGTGGACATTTGGAGCAGCTTTGATGCCTACAGTGAAAAAGTAAATATCTTCCCATAAAAACCGAGACAGAAGGATTCTCAGAAACAAGTTTGTGATGTGTGTACTCAGCTAACAGAGTGGATCCTTTCTTTTTACAGAGCAGCTTTGAAACTCTATTTCTGTGGATTCTGCAAATTGATATTTGGGTTGATTTAACGATATCGATGGAAAAGGGAATATCTTCATTCAAAATCTAGACAGAAGCATTCTCACAAACTTCTTTGTGATGTGTGTCCTCAACTAACAGTAGTTGAACCTTTCTTTTGATGCAGCAGTTTGGAAACACTCTTTTTGTAGAAACTGTAAGTGGATATTTGGATAGCTCTAACGATTTCGTTGGAAACGGGAATATCATCATCTAAAATCTAGACAGAAGCACTATTAGAAACTACTTGGTGATATCTGCATTCAAGTCACAGAGTTGAACATTCCCTTACATTGAGCACGTTTGCAACACTCTTTTGGAAGAATCTGGAAGTGGACATTTGGAGCGCTTTGATGCCTTTGGTGAAAAGGAAACGTATTCCAATAAAAGCCAGACAGAAGCATTCTCAGAAACTTGTTTGTGAAGTGTGTACTCAACTAAAAGAGTTGAACCTTTCTATTGATAGAGCAGTTTTGAAACACTCTTTTTGTGGATTCTGCAAGTGGATATTTGGATTGCTTTGAGGATTTCGTTGGAAGCGGGAATTCGTATAAAAACTAGACAGCAGCATTCCCAGAAATTTCTTTCGGATATTTCCATTCAACTCATAGAGATGAACATGGCCTTTCATAGAGCAGGTTTGAAACACTCTTTTTGTAGTTTGTGGAAGTGGACATTTCGATCGCCTTGACGCCTACGGTGAAAAAGGAAATATCTTCCCATAAAAAATAGACAGAAAGCATTCTCAGAAACTTGTTTGTGATGTGTGTACCCAGCTAAAGGACTTGAACGTTTCTATTGATAGAGCAGTTTTGAAACACTCTTTTTGTGGAAAATGCAAGTGGATGTTTGGATAGCTTGGAGGATTTCGTTGGAAGCGGGAATTCAAATAAAAGGTAGACAGCAGCATTCTCAGAAATTTCTTTCTGATGTCTGCATTCAACTCATAGAGTTGAACATTCCCTTTCATAGAGCAGGTTTGAAATACTCTTTCTGTAGTATCTGGATGTGGACATTTGGAGCGCTTTGAGGCCTACGATGAAAAAGTAAATATCTTCCCATAAAAACGAGACAGAAGGATTCTGAGAAACAAGTTTGTGATGTGTGTACTCAGCTAACAGAGTGGAACCTCTCTTTTGATGCAGCAGTTTGGAAACACTCTTTTTGTAGAAACTGTAAGTGGATATTTGGATATCTCTAATGATTTCGTTGGAAACGGGAATATCATCATCTAAAATCTAGACAGAAGCCCTCTCAGAAACTACTTTGTGATATCTGCATTCAAGTCACAGAGTTGAACATTCGCTTTCTTAGGGCACGTTGGAAACACTCTTTTTGTAGTGTCTGGAAGTGGACATTTGGAGCGCTTTGATGCCTTTGGTGAAAAAGGGAACGTCTTCCCATAAAAACTAGACAGAAAGCATTCTCAGAAACTTGTTTGTGATGTGTGTACCCAGCCAAAGGAGTTGAACATTTCTATTGATAGAGCAGTTTTGAAACACTCTTTTTGTGGAAAATGCAAGTGGATATTTGGATAGCTTGGAGGATTTCGTTGGAAGCGGGAATTCAAATAAAAGGTAGACAGCAGCATTCTCAGAAATTTCTTTCTGATGTCTGCATTCAACTCATAGAGTTGAAGATTCCCTTTCATAGAGCAGGTTTGAAACACTCGTTCTGGAGTATCCGGATGTGGACATTTGGAGCGCTTTGATGCCTACGGTGGAAAAGTAAATATCTTCCCATAAAAACGAGACAGAAGGATTCTCAGAAACAAGTTTTTGATGTGTGTACTCAGCCAAAAGAGTGGAACCTTTCTTTTTACAGAGCAGCTTTGAAACTGTATTTTTGTGGATTCTGCAAATTTATATTTAGATTGTTTTAACGATATCGTTGGAAAAGGGAATATCGTCATACAAAATCTAGAGAGAAGCATTCTCACAAACTTCTTTCTGATGTGTGTCCTCAACCAACAGAGTTGAACCTTTCTTTTGATGCAGCAGTTTGGAAACACTCTTTTTGTAGAAACTGTAACTGGATATTTGGATAGCTCTAACGATTTCGTTGGAAACGGGAATATCATCATCTAAAATCTAGACAGAAGCACTATTAGAAACTACTTGGTGATATCTGCATTCAAGTCACAGAGTTGAACATTCCCTTACTTTGAGCACGTTTGAAACACTCTTTTGGAAGAATCTGGAAGTGGACATTTGGAGCGAATTGATGCCTTTGGTGAAAAGGAAACGTCTTCCAATAAAAGCCAGACAGAAGCATTCTCAGAAACTTGTTCGTGATGTGTGTACTCAACTAAAAGAGTTGAACCTTTCTATTGATAGAGCAGTTTAGAAACACTCTTTTTGTGGATTCTGCAAGTGGATATTTAGATTGCTTTGAGGATTTCGTTGGAAGCGGGAATTCGTATAAACACTAGACAGCAGCATTCCCAGAAATTTCTTTCGGATATTTCCATTCGACTCATAGAGATGAACATGGCCTTTCATAGAGCAGGTTTGAAACACTCTTTTTGTAGTTTGTGGAAGTGGACATTTCGATCGCCTTGACGCCTACGGTGAAAAAGGAAATATCTTCCCATAAAAAATAGACAGAAGCATTCTCAGAAACTTGTTGGTGATATGTGTCCTCAACTAACAGAGTTGAACTTTGCCATTGATAGAGAGCAGTTTTGAAACACTCTTTTTGTCGAATCTGCAAGTGGATATTTGGATAGCTTGGAGGATTTCGTTGGAAGCGGGAATTCAAATAAAAGGTAGACAGCAGCATTCTCAGAAATTTCTTTGTGATGTTTGCATTCAACTCATAGAGTTGAACATTCCCTTTAATAGAGCAGGTTTGAAACACTCTTTCTGTACTATCTGGATGTGGACATTTGGAGCACTTTGAGGCCTACGGTGAAAAAGGAAATGTCTTCCCATAAAAAATTGAAGAAGGATTCTGAGAAACAAGTTTGTGATGTGTGTACTCAGCTAACAGTGGAACCTCTCTTTTGATGCAGCAGTTTGGAAACACTCTTTTTGTAGAAACTGTAAGTGGATATTTGGATAGCTCTAATGATTTCGTTGGAAACGGGAATATCATCATCTAAAATCTAGACAGAAGCCCTCTCAGAAACTACTTTGTGATATCTGCATTCAAGTCACAGAGTTGAACATTCGCTTTCTTTGAGCACGTTGGAAACACTCTTTTTGTAGTGTCTGGAAGTGGACTTTTGGAGCGCTTTGATGCCTTTGGTGAAAAAGGGAACGTCTTCCCATAAAAACTAGACAGAAGCATTCTCAGAAACTTGTTTGTGATGTGTGTACCCAGCCAAAGGAGTTGAACATTTCTATTGATAGAGCAGTTTTGAAACGCTCTTTTTCTGGAAAATGCAGGTGGATATTTGGATAGCTTGGAGGATTTCGTTGGAAGCGGGAATTCAAATAAAAGGTAGACAGCAGGATTCTCAGAAACAAGTTTGTGATGTGTGTACTCAGCTAACAGAGTGGAACCTTTCTTTTTACAGAGCAGCTTTGAAACTCTATTGTTGTGGATTCTGCAAATTGATATTTAGATTGCTTTAACGATATCGTTGGAAAAGGGAATACCGTCATACAAAATCTAGACAGAAGCATTCTCACAAACTTCTTTGTGACGTGTGTCCTCAACTAACAGAGTTGAACCTTTCTTTTGATGCAGCAGTTTGGAAACACTGTTTTTGTAGCAACTGTAAGTGGATATTTGGATAGCTCTAACGATTTCGTTGGAAACGGGAATATCATCATCTAAAATCTAGACAGAAGCACTATTAGAAACTACTTGGTGATATCTGCATTCAAGTCACAGAGTTGAACATTCCCTTACTTTGAGCACGTTTGAAACACTCTTTTGGAAGAATCTGGAAGTGGACATTTGGAGCGCTTTGATGCCTTTGGTGAAAAGGGAAACGTCTTCCAATAAAAGCCAGACAGAAGCATTCTCAGAAACTTGTTCGTGATGTGTGTACTCAACTAAAAGAGTTGAACCTTTCTATTGATAGAGCAGTTTTGAAACACTCTTTTTGTGGATTCTGCAAGTGGATATTTGGATTGCTTTGAGGATTTCGTTGGAAGCGGGAATTCGTATAAACACTAGACAGCAGCATTCCCAGAAATTTCTTTCGGATATTTCCATTCGACTCATAGAGATGAACATGGCCTTTCATAGAGCAGGTTTGAAACACTCTTTTTGTAGTTTGTGGAAGTGGACATTTCGATCGCCTTGACGCCTACGGTGAAAAAGGAAATATCTTCCCATAAAAAATAGACAGAAGCATTCTCAGAAACTTGTTGGTGATATGTGTCCTCAACTAACAGAGTTGAACTTTGCCATTAATAGAGAGCAGTTTTGAAACACTCTTTTTGTGGAATCTGCAAGTGGATATTTGGATAGCTTGGAGGATTTCGTTGGAAGCGGGAATTCAAATAAAAGGTAGACAGCAGCATTCTCAGAAATTTCTTTCTGATGTCTGCATTCAACTCATAGAGTTGAACATTCCCTTTCATAGAGCAGGTTTGAAACACTCTTTCTGGAGTATCTGGATGTGGACATTTGGAGCGCTTTGATGCCTACGGTGAAAAAGTAAATATCTTCCCATAAAAACGAGACAGAAGGATTCTGAGAAACAAGTTTGTGATGTGTGTACTCAGCTAACAGAGTGGAACCTCTCTTTTGATGCAGCAGTTTGGAAGCACTCTTTTTGTAGAAACTGTAAGTGGATATTTGGAAGCTCTAATGATTTTGTTGGAAACGGGAATATCATCATCTAAAATCTAGACAGAAGCACTCTCAGAAACTACTTTGTGATATCTGCATTCAAGTCACAGAGTTGAACATTCGCTTTCTTAGAGCACGTTTGAAACACTCTTTTTGTAGTGTCTGGAAGTGGACATTTGGAGCGCTTTGATTCCTTTGGTGAAAAAGGGAATGTCTACCCATAAAAACTAGACAGAAGCATTCTCAGAAACTTGTTTGTGATGTGTGTACCCAGCCAAAGGAGTTGAACATTTCTATTGATAGAGCAGTTTTGAAACGCTCTTTTTGTGGAAAATGCAGGTGGATATTTGGATAGCTTGGAGGATTTCGTTGGAAGCGGGAATTCAAATAAAAGGTAGACAGCAGAATTCTCAGAAATTTCTTTCTGATGTCTTCATTCAACTCATAGAGTTGAAGATTCCCTTTCATAGAGCAGGTTTGAAACACTCTTTCTGGAGTATCTGGATGTGGACATTTGGAGCGCTTTGATGCCTACGGTGGAAAAGTAAATATCTTCCCATAAAAACGAGACAGAAGGATTCTCAGAAACAAGTTTGTGATGTGTGTACTCAGCTAACAGAGTGGATCCTTTCTTTTTACAGAGCAGCTTTGAAACTCTATTTCTGTGGATTCTGCAAATTGATATTTGTGTTGATTTAACGATATCGTTGGAAAAGGGAATATCTTCATACAAAATCTAGACAGAAGCTTTCTCAGAAACTTCTTTGTGATGTGTGTCCTCAACTAACAGAGTTGAACCTTTCTTTTGATGCAGCAGTTTGGAAACACTCTTTTTGTAGAAACTGTAAGTGGATATTTGGATAGGTCTAACGATATCGTTGGAAACGGGAATATCTTCATCTAAAGTATACACAGAAGCACTATTAGAAACTACTTGGTGATATCTGCATTCAAGTCACAGAGTTGAACATTCCCTTACTTTGAGCACGTTTCAAACACTCTTTTGGAAGAATCTGGAAGTGGACATTTGGAGCGCTTTGATGCCTTTGGTGAAAAGGAAACGTCTTCCAATAAAAGCCAGACAGAAGCATTCTCAGAAACTTGTTTGTGATGTGTGTACTCAACTAAAAGAGTTG
The DNA here is from genome assembly GCF_000001405.40 of Homo sapiens. Classification (NCBI taxonomy): domain Eukaryota; kingdom Metazoa; phylum Chordata; class Mammalia; order Primates; family Hominidae; genus Homo; species Homo sapiens. The sequence continues at coordinate 14,972,114 of NC_000022.11, forward strand.
AACCTTTCTATTGATAGCGCAGTTTTGAAACACTCTTTTTGTGGATTCTGCAAGTGGATATTTGGATTGCTTTGAGGATTTCGTTGGAAGCGGGAATTCGTATAAAAATTAGACAGCAGCATTCCCAGAAATTTCTTTCGGATATTTCCATTCAACTCATAGAGATGAACATGGCCTTTCATAGAGCAGGTTTGAAACACTCTTTTTGTAGTTTGTGGAAGTGGACATTTCGATCGCCTTGACACCTACGCTGAAAAAGGAAATATCTTCCCATAAAAAATAGACAGAAGCATTCTCAGAAACTTGTTGGTGATATGTGTCCTCAACTAACAGAGTTGAACTTTGCCATTGATAGAGAGCAGTTTTGAAACACTCTTTTTGTGGAATCTGCAAGTGGATATTTGGATAGCTTGGAGGATTTCGTTGGAAGCGGGAATTCAAATAAAAGGTAGACAGCAGCATTCTCAGAAATTTCTTTCTGATGTCTGCATTCAACTCATAGATTTGAAGATTCCCTTTCATAGAGCAGGTTTGAAACACTCTTTCTGGAGTATCTGGATGTGGACATTTGGAGCGCTTTGATGCCTACGGTGAGAAAGTAAATATCTTCCCATAAAAACGAGACAGAAGGATTCTGAGAAACAAGTTTGTGATGTGTGTACTCAGCTAACAGAGTGGAACCTCTGTTTTGATGCAGCAGTTTGGAAACACTCTTTTTGTAGAAACTGTAAGTGGATATTTGGATAGCTCTAATGATTTCGTTGGAAACGGGAATATCATCATCTAAAATCTAGACAGAAGCACTCTCAGAAACTACTTTGTGATATCTGCATTCAAGTCACAGAGTTGAACATTCGCTTTCTTAGAGCACGTTTGAAACACTCTTTTTGTAGTGTCTGGAAGTGGACATTTGGAGCGCTTTGATTCCTTTGGTGAAAAAGGGAATGTCTACCCATAAAAACTAGACAGAAGCATTCTCAGAAACTTGTTTGTGATGTGTGTACCCAGCCAAAGGAGTTGAACATTTCTATTGATAGAGCAGTTTTGAAACACTCTTTTTGTGGAAAATGCAGGTGGATATATGGATAGCTTGGAGGATTTCGTTGGAAGCGGGAATTCAAATAAAAGGTAGACAGCAGCATTCTCAGAAATTTCTTTCTGATGTCTGCATTCAACTCATAGAGTTGAAGATTCCCTTTCATAGAGCAGGTTTGAAACACTCTTTCTGGAGTATCTGGATGTGTACATTTGGAGCGCTTTGATGCCTACGGTGAAAAAGTAAATATCTTCCCATAAAAACGAGACAGAAGGATTCTGAGAAACAAGTTTGTGATGTGTGTACTCAGCTAACAGAGTGGAACCTTTCTTTTTACAGAGCAGCTTTGAAACTCTATTTTTGTGGATTCTGCAAATGGATATTTAGATTGCTTTAATGATATCGCTGGAAAAGGGAATATGGTCATACAAAATCTAGACAGAAGCATTCTCACAAACTTCTTTGTGATGTGTGTCCTCAACTAACAGAGTTGAACCTTTCTTTTGATGCAGCAGTTTGGAAACACTCTTTTTGTAGAAACTGTAAGTGGATATTTGGATAGCTCTAACAATTTCGTTGGAAACGGGAATATCATCATCTAAAATCTAGACAGAAGCACTATTAGAAACTACTTGGTGATATCTGCATTCAAGTCACAGAGTTGAACATTCCCTTACTTTGAGCACGTTTCAAACACTCTTTTGGAAGAATCTGGAAGTGGACATTTGGAGCGCTTTGATGCCTTTGGTGAAAAGGAAACGTCTTCCAATAAAAGCCAGACAGAAGCATTCTCAGAAACTTGTTCTTGATGTGTATACTCAACTAAAAGAGTTGAACCTTTCTATTGATAGAGCAGTTTTGAAACACTCTTTTTGTGGATTCTGCAAGTGGATATTTGGATTGCTTTGAGGATTTCGTTGGAAGCGGGAATTCGTATAACAACTAGACAGCAACATTCCCAGAAATTTCTTTCGGATATTTCCATTCAACTCATAGAGATGAACATGGCCTTTCATAGAGCAGGTTTGAAACACTCTTTTTGTAGTTTGTGGAAGTGGACATTTCGATCGCCTTGACGCCTACGGTGAAAAAGGAAATATCTTCCCATAAAAAATAGACAGAAGAATTCTCAGAAACTTGTTTGTGATGTGTATCCTCAACTGACAGAGTTGAACCTTGCCATTGATAGAGCAGTTTAGAAACACTCTTTTTGTGGAATCTGCAAGTGGATATTTGGATAGCCTGGAGGATTTCGTTGGAAGCGGGAATTCAAATGAAAGGTAGACAGCAGCATTCTCAGAAATTTCTTTGTGACGTTTGCATTCAACTCATAGAGTTGAACATTCCCTTTCATAGAGCAGGTTTGAAACGCTCTTTCTGTACTATCTGGATGTGGACATTTGGAACGCTTTGATGCCTACGGTGAAAAAGAAAATATCTTCCCATAAAAGCTAGACAGAAGGATTCTGAGAAACAAGTTTGTGATGTGTGTACTCAGCTAACAGAGTGGAACCTCTCTTTTGATGCAGCAGTTTGGAAACACTCTTTTTGTAGAAACTGTAAGTGGATATTTGGATAGCTCTAATGATTTCTTTGGAAACGGGGAATATCATCATCTAAAATCTAGACAGAAGCACTATTAGAAACTACTTTGTGATATCTGCATTCAAGTCACAGAGTTGAACATTCGCTTTCTTAGAGCACGTTGGAAACACTCTTTTTGTAGTGTCTGGAAGTGGACATTTGGAGCGCTTTGATGCCTTTGGTGAAAAAGGGAATGTATTCCCATAAAAACTAGACAGAAGCATTCTCAGAAACTTGTTTGTGATGTGTGTACCCAGCTAAAGGAGTTGAACATTTCTATTGATAGAGCAGTTTTGAAACACTCTTTTTGTGGAAAATGCAAGTTGATATTTGGATAGCTTGGAGGATTTCGTTGGAAGCGGGAATTCAAATAAAAGGTAGACAGCAGCATTCTCAGAAATTTCTTTCTGATGTCTGCATTCAACTCATAGAGTTGAAGATTCCCTTTCATAGAGCAGGTTTGAAACACTCGTTCTGGAGTATCTGGATGTGGACATTTGGAGCGCTTTGATGCCTACCGTGGAAAAGTAAATATCTTCCCATAAAAACGAGACAGAAGGATTCTCAGAAACAAGTTTGTGATGTGTGTACTCAGCTAGCAGAGTGGAACCTTTCTTTTTACAGAGCAGCTTTGAAACTCTATTGTTGTGGATTCTGCAAATTGATATTTAGATTGCTTTAACGATATCGTTGGAAAAGGGAATACCGTCATACAAAATCTAGACAGAAGCATTCTCACAAACTTCTTTGTGACGTGTGTCCTCAACTAACAGAGTTGAACCTTTCTTTTGATGCAGCAGTTTGGAAACACTGTTTTTGTAGCAACTGTAAGTGGATATTTGGATAGCTCTAACGATTTCGTTGGAAACCGGGAATATCATCATCTAAAATCTAGACAGAAGCACTATTAGAAACTACTTGGTGATATCTGCATTCAAGTCACAGAGTTGAACATTCCCTTACTTTGAGCACGTTTCAAACACTCTTTTGGAAGAATCTGGAAGTGGACATTTGGAGCGCTTTGATGCCTTTGGTGAAAAGGAAACGTCTTCCAATAAAAGCCAGACAGAAACATTCTCAGAAACTTGTTTGTGATGTGTGTACTCAACTAAAAGAGTTGAACCTTTCTATTGATAGAGCAGTTTTGAAACACTCTTTTTGTGGATTCTGCAAGTGGATATTTGGATTGCTTTGAGGATTTCGTTGGAAGCGGGAATTCATATAAAAACTAGACAGCAGCATTCCCAGAAATTTCTTTCGGATATTTCCATTCAACTCATAGAGATGAACATCGCCTTTCATAGAGCAGGTTTGAAACACTCTTTTTGTAGTTTGTGGAAGTGGACATTTCGATCGCCTTGACGCCTACGGTGAAAAAGGAAATATCTTCCCATAAAAAATAGACAGAAGCATTCTCAGAAACTTGTTGGTGATATGTGTCCTCAACTAACAGAGTTGAACTTTGCCATTGATAGAGAGCAGTTTTGAAACACTCTTTTTGTGGAATCTGCAAGTGGATATTTGGATAGCTTGGAGGATTTCGTTGGAAGCGGGAATTCAAATAAAAGGTAGACAGCAGCATTCTCAGAAATTTCTTTCTGATCTCTGCATTCAACTCATAGAGTTGAAGATTCCGTTTCATAGGGCAGGTTTGAAATACTCTTTCTGTAGTATCTGGATGTGGACATTTGGAGCGCTTTGATGCCTACGGTGAAAAAGTAAATATCTTCCCATAAAAACGAGACAGAAGGATTCTCAGAAACAAGTTTGTGATGTGTGTACTCAGCTAACAGAGTGGAACCTCTCTTTTGATGCAGCAGTTTGGAAACACTCTTTTTGTAGAAAGTGTAAGTGGATATTTGGATAGCTCTAATGATTTCGTTGGAAACGGGAATATCATCATCTAAAATCTAGACAGAAGCACTCTCAGAAACTACTGTGTGATATCTGCATTCAAGTCACAGAGTTGAACATTCGCTTTCTTAGAGCACGTTTGAAACACTCTTTTTGTAGTGTCTGGAAGTGGACATTTGGAGCGCTTTGATTCCTTTGGTGAAAAAGGGAATGTCTACCCATAAAAACTAGACAGAAGCATTCTCAGGAAACTTGTTTGTGATGTGTGTACCCAGCCAAAGGAGTTGAACATTTCTATTGATAGAGCAGTTTTGAAACGCTCTTTTTGTGGAAAATGCAGGTGGATATTTGGATAGCTTGGAGGATTTCGTTGGAAGCGGGAATTCAAATAAAAGGTAGACAGCAGCATTCTCAGAAATTTCTTTCTGATGTCTGCATTCAACTCATAGAGTTGAAGATTCCCTTTCATAGAGCAGGTTTGAAACACTCGTTCTGGAGTATCTGGATGTGGACATTTGGAGCGCTTTGATGCCTACGGTGGAAAAGTAAATATCTTCCCATAAAAACGAGACAGAAGGATTCTCAGAAACAAGTTTGTGATGTGTGTACTCAGCTAACAGAGTGGAACCTTTCTTTTTACAGAGCAGTTTTGAAACTCTATTTTTGTGGATTCTGCAAATTGATATTTAGATTGCTTTAACGATATCGTTGTAAAAGGGAATATCGTCATACAAAATCTAGACAGAAGCATTCTCACAAACTTCTTTGTGATGTGTGTCCTCAACTAACAGAGTTGAACCTTTCTTTTGATGCAGCAGTTTGGAAACACTCTTTTTGTAGAAACTGTAAGTGGATATTTGGATAGCTGTAACGATTTCGTTGGAAACGGGAATATCATCATCTAAAATCTAGACAGAAGCACTATTAGAAACTACTTGGTGATATCTGCATTCAAGTCACAGAGTTGAACATTCCCTTACTTTGAGCACGTTTGAAACACTCTTTTGGAAGAATCTGGAAGTGGACATTTGGAGCGCTTTGATGCCTTTGGTGAAAAGGGAAACGTCTTCCAATAAAAGCCAGACAGGAAGCATTCTCAGAAACTTGTTCGTGATGTGTGTACTCAACTAAAAGAGTTGAACCTTTCTATTGATAGCGCAGTTTTGAAACACTCTTTTTGTGGATTCTGCAAGTGGATATTTGGATTGCTTTGAGGATTTCGTTGCAAGCGGGAATTCATATAAAAACTAGACAGCAGCATTCCCAGAAATTTCTTTCGGATATTTCCATTCAACTCATAGAGATGAACATGGCCTTTCATAGAGCAGGTTTGAAACACTCTTTTTGTTGTTTGTGGAAGTGGACATTTCGATCGCTTTGACGCATACGGTGAAAAAGGAAATATCTTCCCATAAAAATTAGACAGAAGCATTCTCAGAAACTTGTTGGTGATATGTGTCCTCAACTAACAGAGTTGAACTTTGCCATTGATAGAGAGCAGTTTTGAAACACTCTTTTTGTGGAATCTGCAAGTGGATATTTGGATAGCTTGGAGGATTTCGTTGGAAGCGGGAATTCAAATAAAAGGTAGACAGCAGCATTCTCAGAAATTTCTTTCTGATGTCTGCATTCAACTCATAGAGTTGAAGATTCCCTTTCATAGAGCAGGTTTGAAACACTCTTTCTGGAGTATCTGGATGTGGACATTTGGAGCGCTTTGATGCCTACGGTGAAAAAGCAAATATCTTCCCATAAAAACGAGACAGAAGGATTCTGAAAAACAAGTTTGTGATGTGTGTACTCAGCTAACAGAGTGGAACCTCTCTTTTGATGCAGCAGTTTGGAAACACTCTTTTTGTAGAAACTGTAAGTGGATATTTGGATAGCTCTAATGATTTCGTTGGAAACGGGAATATCATCATCTAAAATCTAGACAGAAGCACTCTCAGAAACTACTGTGTGATATCTGCATTCAAGTCACAGAGTTGAACATTCGCTTTCTTAGAGCACGTTTGAAACACTCTTTTTGTAGTGTCTGGAAGTGGACATTTGGAGCGCTTTGATTCCTTTGGTGAAAAAGGGAATGTCTACCCATAAAAACTACACAGAAGCATTCTCAGAAACTTGTTTGTGATGTGTGTACCCAGCCAAAGGAGTTGAACATTTCTATTGATAGAGCAGTTTTGAAACACTCTTTTTGTGGAAAATGCAGGTGGATATTTGGATAGCTTGGAGGATTTCGTTGGAAGCGGGAATTCAAATAAAAGGTTGACAGCAGCATTCTCAGAAATTTCTTTCTGATGTCTGCATTCAACTCATAGAGTTGAAGATTCCCTTTCATAGAGCAGGTTTGAAACACTCGTTCTGGAGTATCTGGATGTGGACATTTGGAGCGCTTTGATGCCTACGGTGGAAAAGTAAATATCTTCCCATAAAAACGAGACAGAAGGATTCTCAGAAACAAGTTTGTGATGTGTGTACTCAGCTAACAGAGTGGAACCTTTCTTTTTACAGAGCAGCTTTGAAACTCTATTGTTGTGGATTCTGCAAATTGATATTTAGATTGCTTTAACGATATCGTTGGAAAAGGGAATATCGTCATACAAAATCTAGACAGAAGCATTCTCACAAACTTCTTTGTGATGTGTGTCCTCAACTAACAGAGTTGAACCTTTCTTTTGATGCAGCAGTTTGGAAACACCCTTTTGGTAGAAACTGTAAGTGGATATTTGGATAGCTCTAACGAATTCGTTGGAAACGGGAATATCATCATCTAAAATCTAGACAGAAGCACTATTAGAAACTACTTGGTGATATCTGCATTCAAGTCACAGAGTTGAACATTCCCTTACTTTGAGCACGTTTGAAACACTCTTTTGGAAGAATCTGGAAGTGGACATTTGGAGCGTTTTGATGCCTTTGGTGAAAAGGAAACGTCTTCCAATAAAAGCCAGACAGAAGCATTCTCAGAAACTTGTTTGTGATGTGTGTACTCAACTAAAAGAGTTGAACCTTTCTATTGATAGAGCAGTTTTGAAACACTCTTTTTGTGGATTCTGCAAGTGGATATTTGGATTGCTTTGAGGATTTCGTTGGAAGCGGGAATTCGTATAACAACTACACAGCAGCATTCCCAGAAATTTCTTTCGGATATTTCCATTCAACTCATAGAGATGAACATGGCCTTTCATAGAGCAGGTTTGAAACACTCTTTTTGTAGTTTGTGGAAGTGGACATTTCGATCGCCTTGATGCCTACGGTGAAAAAGGAAATATCTTCCCATAAAAAATAGACAGAAGCATTCTCAGAAACTTGTTGGTGATATGTGTCCTCAACTAACAGAGTTGAACTTTGTCATTGATAGAGAGCAGTTTTGAAACACTCTTTTTGTGGAATCTGCAAGTGGATATTTGGATAGCTTGGAGGATTTCGTTGGAAGCGGGAATTCAAATAAAAGGTAGACAGCAGCATTCTCAGAAATTTCTTTCTGATGTCTGCATTCAACTCATAGAGTTGAAGATTCCCTTTCATAGAGCAGGTTTGAAACACTCTTTCTGTAGTATCTGGATGTGGACATTTGGAGCGCATTGATGCCTACGGTGAAAAAGTATAATCTTCCCATAAAAACGAGACAGAAGGATTCTGAGAAACAAGTTTGTGATGTGTGTACTCAGCTAACAGAGTGGAACCTCTCTTTTGATGCAGCAGTTTGGAAACACTCTTTTTGTAGAAACTGTAAGTGGATATTTGGATAGCTCTAATGATTTCGTTGGAAACGGGAATATCATCATCTAAAATCTAGACAGAAGCCCTCTCAGAAACTACTTTGTGATATCTGCATTCAAGTCACAGAGTCGAACATTCGGTTTCTTAGAGCACGTTGGAAACACTCTTTTTGTAGTGTCTGGAAGTGGACATTTGGAGCGCTTTGATGCCTTTGGTGAAAAAGGGAATGTCTTCCCATAAAAACTAGACAGAAGCATTCTCAGAAACTTGTTTGTGATGTGTGCACCCAGCTAAAGGAGTTGAACATTTATTGATAGAGCAGTTTTGAAGCACTCTTTTTGTGGAAAATGCAAGTGGATATTTGGATAGCTTGGAGGATTTCGTTGGAAGCGGGAGTTCAAATAAAAGGTAGACAGCAGCATTCTCAGAAATTTCTTTCTGATTCTGCATTCAACTCATAGAGTTGAAGATTCCCTTTCATAGAGCAGGTTTGAAACACTCGTTCTGGAGTATCTGGATGTGGACATTTGGAGCGCTTTGATGCCTACAGTGGAAAAGTAAATATCTTCCCATAAAAACGAGACAGAAGGTTTCTCAGAAACAAGTTTGTGATGTGTGTACTCAGCTAACAGAGTGGAACCTTTCTTTTTACAGAGCAACTTTGAAACTCTATTTTTGTGGATTCTGCAAATTGATATTTAGATTGCTTTAACGATATCGTTGGAAAAGGGAATATCGTCATACAAAATCTAGACAGAAGCATTCTCACAAACTTCTTTGTGATGTGTGTCCTCAACTAACAGAGTTGAACCTTTCTTTTGATGCAGCAATTTGGAAACACCCTTTTGGTAGAAACTGTAACTGGATATTTGGATAGCTCTAACGATTTCGTTGGAAACGGGAATATCATCACCTAAAATCTAGACAGAAGCACTATTAGAAACTACTTGGTGATATCTGCATTCAAGTCACAGAGTAGAACATTCCCTTACTTCGACCACGTTTGAAACACTCTTTTGGAAGAATCTGGAAGTGGACATTTGGAGCGCTTTGATGCCTTTGGTGAAAAAGGGAATGTCTTCCCATAAAAACTAGACAGAAGCATTCTCAGAAACTTGTTCGTGATGTGTGTACTCAACTAAAAGAGTTGAACCTTTCTATTGATAGAGCAGTTTTGAAACACTCTTTTTGTGGATTCTGCAAGTGGATATTTGAATTGCTTTGAGGATTTCGTTGGAAGCGGGAATTCGTATAAGCACTAGACAGCAGCATTCCCAGAAATTTCTTTCGGATATTTCCATTCAACTCATAGAGATGAACATGGCCTTTCATAGAGCAGGTTTGAAACACTCTTTTTGTAGTTTGTGGAAGTGGACATTTCGATCGCCTTGACGCCTACGGTGAAAAAGGAAATATCTTCCCATAAACAATAGACAGAAGCATTCTCAGAAACTTGTTGGTGATATGTGTCCTCAACTAACAGAGTTGAACTTTGCCATTGATAGAGAGCAGTTTTGAAACACTCTTTTTGTGGAATCTGCAAGTGGATATTTGGATAGCTTGGAGGATTTCGTTGGAAGCGGGAATTCAAATAAAAGGTAGACAGCAGCATTCTCAGAAATTTCTTTCTGATGTCTGCATTCAACTCATAGAGTTGAAGATTCCCTTTCATAGAGCTGGTTTGAAACACTCTTTCTGGAGTATCTGGATGTGGACATTTGGAGCGCTTTGATGCCTACGGTGAAAAAGTAAATATCTTCCCATAAAAACGAGACAGAAGCATTCTCACAAACTTCTTTGTGATGTGTGTCCTAAACTAACAGAGTTGAACCTTTCTTTTGATGCAGCAGTTTGGAAACACTCTTTTTGTAGAAACTGTAAGTGGATATTTGGATAGCTCTAATGATTTCGTTGGAAATGGGAATATCATCATCTAAAATCTAGACAGAAGCCCTCTCAGAAACTACTTTGTGATATCTGCATTCAAGTCACAGAGTTGAACATTCGCTTTCTTAGAGCACGTTTGAAACACTCTTTTTGTAGTGTCTGGAAGTGGACATTTGGAGCGCTTTGATGCCTTTGGTGAAAAAGGGAATGTCTTCCCATAAAAACTAGACAGAAGCATTCTCAGAAACTTGTTTGTGATGTGTGTACCCAGCCAAAGGAGTTAAACATTTCTATTGATAGAGCAGTTTTGAAACACTCTTTTTGTGGAAAATGCAGGTGGATATTTGGATAGCTTGGAGGATTTCGTTGGAAGCGGGAATTCAAATAAAAGGTAGACAGCAGCATTCTCAGAAATTTCTTTCTGATGTCTGCATTCAACTCATAGAGTTGAAGATTCCCTTTCATAGAGCAGGTTTGAAACACTCGTTCTGGAGTATCTGGATGTGGACATTTGGAGCGCTTTGATGCCTACGGTGGAAAAGTAAATATCTTCCCATAAAAACGAGACAGAAGGATTCTCAGAAACAAGTTTGTGATGTGTGTACTCAGCTAACAGAGTGGAACCTTTCTTTTTACAGAGCAGCTTTGAAACTCTATTTTTGTGGAATCTGCAAATTGATATTTAGATTGCTTTAACGATATCGTTGGAAAAGGGAATATCGTCATACAAAATCTAGACAGAAGCATTCTCACAAACTTCTTTGTGATGTGTGTCCTCAACTAACAGAGTTGAACCTTTCTTTTGATGCAGCAGTTTGGAAACACTCTTTTTGTAGAAACTGTAAGTGGATATTTGGATAGCTCTAACGATTTCGTTGGAAACGGGAATATCATCATCTAAAATCTAGACAGAAGCACTATTAGAAACTACTTAGTGATATCTGCATTCAAGTCACAGAGTTGAACATTCCCTTACTTTGAGCACGTTTCAAACACTCTTTTGGAAGAATCTGGAAGTGGACATTTGGAGCGCTTTGATGCCTTTGGTGAAAAGGAAACGTCTTCCAATAAAAGCCAGACAGAAGCATTCTCAGAAACTTGTTTGTGATGTGTGTACTCAACTAAAAGAGTTGAACCTTTCTATTGATAGAGCAGTTTTGAAACACTCTTTTTGTGGATTCTGCAAGTGGATATTTGGATTGCTTTGAGGATTTCGTTGGAAGCGGGAATTCGTATAAAAACTAGACAGCAGCATTCCCAGAAATTTCTTTCGGATATTTCCATTCAACTCATAGAGATGAACATGGCCTTTCATAGAGCAGTTTTGAATCACTCTTTTTGTAGTTTGTGGAAGTGGACATTTCGATCGCCTTGACGCATACGGTGAAAAAGGAAATATCTTCCCATAAAAAATAGACAGAAACATTCTCAGAAACTTGTTGGTGATATGTGTCCTCAACTAACAGAGTTGAACTTTGCCATTGATAGAGAGCAGTTTTGAAACACTCTTTTTGTGGAATCTGCAAGTGGATATTTGGATAGCTTGGAGGATTTCGTTGGAAGCGGGAATTCAAATAAAAGGTAGACAGCAGCATTCTCAGAAATTTCTTTCTGATGTCTGCATTCAACTCATAGAGTTGAAGATTCCCTTTCATAGAGCAAGTTTGAAACACTCTTTCTGGAGTATCTGGATATGGACATTTGGAGCGCTTTGATGCCTACGGTGAAAAAGTAAATATCTTCCCATAAAAACGAGACAGAAGGATTCTGAGAAACAAGTTTGTGATGTGTGTACTCAGCTAACAGAGTGGAACCTCTCTTTTGATGCAGCAGTTTGGAAACACTCTTTTTGTAGAAACTGTAAGTGGATATTTGGATAGCTCTAATGATTTCGTTGGAAACGGGAATATCATCAACTAAAATCTAGACAGAAGCCCTCTCAGAAACCACTTTGTGATATCTGCATTCAAGTCACAGAGTTGAACATTCGCTTTCTTAGAGCACGTTTGAAACACTCTTTTTGTAGTGTCTGGAAGTGGACATTTGGAGCGCTTTGATGCCTTTGGTGAAAAAGGGAACGTCTTCCCATAAAAACTAGACAGAAGCATTCTCAGAAACTTGTTTGTGATGTGTGTACCCAGCCAAAGGAGTTGAACATTTCTATTGATAGAGCAGTTTTGAAACACTCTTGTTGTGGAAAATGCAGGTGGATATTTGGATAGCTTGGAGGATTTCGTTGGAAGCGGGAATTCAAATAAAAGGTAGACAGCAGCATTCTCAGAAATTTCTTTCTGATGTCTGCATTCAACTCATAGAGTTGAAGATTCCCTTTCATAGAGCAGGTTTGAAACACTCTTTCTGGAGTATCTGGATGTGGACATTTGGAGCGCTTTGATGCCTACGGTGAAAAAGTAAATATCTTCCCATAAAAACGAGACAGAAGGATTCTCAGAAACAAGTTTGTGATGTGTGTACTCAGCTAACAGAGTGGAACCTTTCTTTTTACAGAGCAGCTTTGAAACTCTATTTTTGTGGATTCTGCAAATTGATATTTAGATTGCTTTAAGGATATCGTTGGAAAAGGGAATATCGTCATACAAAATCTAGACAGAAGCATTCTCACAAACTTCTTTGTGATGTGTGTCCTCAACTAACAGAGTTGAACCTTTCTTTTGATGCAGCAGTTTGGAAACACTCTTTTTGTAGAAACTGTAAGTGGATATTTGGATAGCTCTAACGATTTCGTTGGAAACGGGAATATCATCATCTAAAATCTAGACAGAAGCACTATTAGAAACTACTTGGTGATATCTGCATTCAAGTCACAGAGTTGAACATTCCCTTACTTCGACCACGTTTGAAACACTCTTTTGGAAGAATCTGGAAGTGGACACTTGGAGCGCTTTGATGCCTTTGGTGAAAAGGAAACGTCTTCCAATAAAAGCCAGACAGAAGCATTCTCAGAAACTTGTTTGTGATGTGTGTACTCAACTAAAAGAGTTGAACCTTTCTATTGATAGTGCAGTTTTGAAACACTCTTTTTGTGAATTCTGCAAGTGGATATTTGGATTGCTTTGAGGATTTCGTTGGAAGCGGGAATTCGTATAAACACTAGACAGCAGCATTCCCAGAAATTTCTTTCGGATATTTCCATTCGACTCATAGAGATGAACATGGCCTTTCATAGAGCAGGTTTGAAACACTCTTTTTGTAGTTTGTGGAAGTGGACATTTCGATCGCCTTGACGCCTACGGTGAAAAAGGAAATATCTTCCCATAAAAAATAGACAGAAGCATTCTCAGAAACTTGTTGGTGATATGTGTCCTCAACTAACAGAGTTGAACTTTGCCATTGATAGAGAGCAGTTTTGAAACACTCTTTTTGTGGAATCTGCAAGTGGATATTTGGATAGCTTGGAGGATTTCGTTGGAAGCGGGAATTCAAATAAAAGGTAGACAGCAGGATTCTGAGAAACAAGTTTGTGATGTGTGTACTCAGCTAACAGAGTGGAACCTCTCTTTTGATGCAGTAGTTTGGAAACACTCTTTTTGTAGAAACTGGAAGTGGATATTTGGATAGCTCTAATGATTTCGTTGGAAACGGGAATATCATCATCTAAAATCTAGACAGAAGCACTCTCAGAAACTACTGTGTGATATCTGCATTCAAGTCACAGAGTTGAACATTCGCTTTCTTAGAGCACGTTTGAAACACTCTTTTTGTAGTGTCTGGATGTGGACATTTGGAGCGCTTTGATTCCTTTGGTGAAAAAGGGAATGTCTACCCATAAAAACTAGACAGAAGCATTCTCAGAAACTTGTTTGTGATGTGTGTACCCAGCCAAAGGAGTTGAACATTTCTATTGATAGAGCAGTTTTGAAACACTCTTGTTGTGGAAAATGCAGGTGGATATTTGGATAGCTTGGAGGATTTCGTTGGAAGCGGGAATTCAAATGAAAGGTAGACAGCAGGATTCTGAGAGACAAGTTTGTGATGTGTGTACTCAGCTAACAGAGTGGAACCTTTCTTTTTACAGAGCAGCTTTGAAACTCTATTTTTGTGGATTCTGCAAATGGATATTTAGATTGCTTTAACGATATCGTTGGAAAAGGGAATATCGTCATACAAAATCTGGACAGAAGCATTCTCACAAACTTCTTTGTGACGTGTGTCCTCAACTAACAGAGTTGAACCTTTCTTTTGATGCAGCAGTTTGGAAACACTGTTTTTGTAGCAACTGTAAGTGGATATTTGGATAGCTCTAACGATTTCGTTGGAAACGGGAATATCATCATCTAAAATCTAGACAGAAGCACTATTAGAAACTTCTTGGTGATATCTGCATTCAAGTCACAGAGTAGAACATTCCCTTACTTCGAGCACGTTTGAAACACTCTTTTGGAAGAATCTGGAAGTGGACATTTGGAGCGCTTTGATGCCTTTGGTGAAAAGGAAACGTCTTCCAATAAAAGCCAGACAGAAGCATTCTCAGAAACTTGTTTGTGATGTGTGTACTCAACTAAAAGAGTTGAACCTTTCTATTGATAGAGCAGTTTTGAAACCCTCTTTTTGTGGATTCTGCAAGTGGATATTTGGATTGCTTTGAGGATTTCGTTGGAAGCGGGAATTCGTATAAACACTAGACAGCAGCATTCCCAGAAATTTCTTTCGGATCTTTCCATTCAACTCATAGAGATGAACATGGCCTTTCATATTGAAACACTCTTTTTGTAGTTTGTGGAAGTGGACATTTCGATCGCCTTGACGCCTACGGTGAAAAAGGAAATATCTTCCCATAAAAAATAGACAGAAGCATTCTCAGAAACTTGTTGGTGATATGTGTCCTCAACTAACAGAGTTGAACTTTGCCATTGATAGAGAGCAGTTTTGAAACACTCTTTTTGTGGAATCTGCAAGTGGATATTTGGATAGCTTGGAGGATTTCGTTGGAAGCGGGAATTCAAATAAAAGGTAGACAGCAGCATTCTCAGAAATTTCTTTCTGATGTCTGCATTCAACTCATAGAGTTGAAGATTCCCTTTCATAGAGCAGGTTTGAAACACTCTTTCTGGAGTATCTGGATGTGGACATTTGGAGCGCTTTGATGCCTACGGTGAAAAAGTAAATATCTTACCCAGAAAAACGAGACAGAAGGATTCTGAGAAACAAGTTTGTGATGTGTGTACTCAGCTAACAGAGTGGAACCTCTCTTTTGATGCAGCAGTTTGGAAACACTCTTTTTGTAGAAACTGTAAGTGGATATTTGGATAGCTCTAATGATTTCGTTGGAAAAGGGAATATCATCATCTAAAATCTAGACAGAAGCCCTCTCAGAAACTACTTTGTGATATCTGCATTCAAGTCACAGAGTTGAACATTCGCTTTCTTAGGGCACGTTGGAAACACTCTTTTTGTAGTGTCTGGAAGTGGACATTTGGAGTGCTTTGATGCCTTTGGTGAAAAAGGGAATGTCTTCCCATAAAAACTAGACAGAAGCATTCTCAGAAACTTGTTTGTGATGTGTGTACCCAGCTAAAGGAGTTGAACATTTCTATTGATAGAGCAGTTTTGAAACACTCTTTTTGTGGAAAATGCAAGTGGATATTTGGATAGCTTGGAGGATTTCGTTGGAAGCGGGAATTCAAATAAAAGTAGACAGCAGCATTCTCAGAAATTTCTTTCTGATGTCTGCATTCAACTCATAGAGTTGAAGATTCCCTTTCATAGAGCAGGTTTGAAACACTCGTTCTGGAGTATCTGGATGTGGACATTTGGAGCGCTTTGATGCCTACGGTGGAAAAGTAAATATCTTCCCATAAAAACGAGACAGAAGGATTCTGAGAAACAAGTTTGTGATGTGTGTACTCAGCTAACAGAGTGGAACCTTTCTTTTTACAGAGCAGCTTTGAAACTCTATTTTTGTGGATTCTGCAAATGGATATTTAGATTCCTTTAACGATATCGTTGGAAAAGGGAATATCGTCATACAAAATCTAGACAGAAGCATTCTCACAAACTTCTTTGTGACGTGTGTCCTCAACTAACAGAGTTGAACCTTTCTTTTGATGCAGCAGTTTGGAAACACTGTTTTTGTAGCAACTGTAAGTGGATATTTGGATAGCTCTAACGATTTCGTTGGAAACGGGAATATCATCATCTAAAATCTAGACAGAAGCACTATTAGAAACTACTTGGTGATATCTGCATTCAAGTCACAGAGTAGAACATTCCCTTACTTCGAGCACGTTTGAAACACTCTTTTGGAAGAATCTGGAAGTGGACATTTGGAGCGCTTTGATGCCTTTGGTGAAAAGGAAACGTCTTCCAATAAAAGCCAGACAGAAGCATTCTCAGAAACTTGTTTGTGATGTGTGTACTCAACTAAAGAGTTGAACCTTTCTATTGATAGAGCAGTTTTGAAACCCTCTTTTTGTGGATTCTGCAAGTGGATATTTGGATTGCTTTGAGGATTTCGTTGGAAGCGGGAATTCGTATAAACACTAGACAGCAGCATTCCCAGAAATTTCTTTCGGATATTTCCATTCGACTCATAGAGATGAACATGGCCTTTCATAGAGCAGGTTTGAAACACTCTTTTTGTAGTTTGTGGAAGTGGACATTTCGATCGCCTTGACGCCTACGGTGAAAAAGGAAATATCTTCCCATAAAAAATAGACAGAAGCATTCTCAGAAACTTGTTGGTGATATGTGTCCTCAACTAACAGAGTTGAACTTTGCCATTGATAGAGAGCAGTTTTGAAACACTCTTTTTGTGGAATCTGCAAGTGGATATTTGGATAGCTTGGAGGATTTCATTGGAAGCGGGAATTCAAATAAAAGGTAGACAGCAGCATTCTCAGAAATTTCTTTCTGATGTCTGCATTCAACTCATAGAGTTGAAGATTCCCTTTCATAGAGCAGGTTTGAAACACTCTTTCTGGAGTATCTGGATGTGGACATTTGGAGCGCTTTGATGCCTACGGTGAAAAAGTAAATATCTTCCCATAAAAACGATACAGAAGGATTCTAAGAAACAAGTTTGTGATGTGTGTACTCAGCTAACAGAGTGGAACCTCTCTTTTGATGCAGCAGTTTGGAAACACTCTTTTTGTAGAAACTGTATGTGGATATTTGGATAGCTCTAATGATTTCGTTGGAAACGGGAATATCATCATCTAAAATCTAGACAGAAGCCCTCTCAGAAACTACTTTGTGATATCTGCATTCAAGTCACAGGGTTGAACATTCGCTTTCTTAGAGCACGTTTGAAACACTCTTTTTGTAGTGTCTGGAAGTGGACATTTGGAGCGCTTTGATGCCTTTGGTGAAAAAGGGAATGTCTTCCCATAAAAACTAGACAGAAGCATTCTCAGAAACTTGTTTGTGATGTGTGTACCCAGCCAAAGGAGTTGAACATTTCTATTGATAGAGCAGTTTTGAAACACTCTTTTTGTGGAAAATGCAAGTGGATATTTGGATAGCTTGGAGGATTTCGTTGGAAGCGGGAATTCAAATAAAAGGTAGACAGCAGCATTCTCAGAAATTTCTTTCTGATGTCTGCATTCAACTCATAGAGTTGAACATTCCCTTTCATAGAGCAGGTTTGAAACACTCGTTCTGGAGTATCTGGATGTGGACATTTGGAGCGCTTTGATGCCTACGGTGGAAAAGTAAATATCTTCCCATAAAAACGAGACAGAAGGATTCTCAGAAACAAGTTTGTGATGTGTGTACTCAGCTAACAGAGTGGAACCTTTCTTTTTACAGAGCAGCTTTGAAACTCTATTTTTGTGGATTCTGCAAATTGATATTTAGATTGCTTTAACGATATCGTTGGAAAAGGGATATCGTCATACAAAATCTAGACAGAAGCATTCTCACAAACTTCTTTGTGCTGTGTGTCCTCAACTAACAGAGTTGAACCTTTCTTTTGATGCAGCAATTTGGAAACACCCTTTTGGTAGAAACTGTAACTGGATATTTGGATAGCTCTAACGATTTCGTTGGAAACGGGAATATCATCATCAAAAGGTAGACAGAAGCACTATTAGAAACTACTTGGTGATATCTGCATTCAAGTCACAGAGTTGAACATTCCCTTACTTTGAGCAGGTTTGAAACACTCTTTTGGAAGAATCTGGAAGTGGACATTTGGAGCGCTTTGATGCCTTTGGTGAAAAGGAAACGTCTTCCAATAAAAGCCAGACAGAAGCATTCTCAGAAACTTGTTTGTGATGTGTGTACTCAACTAAAAGAGTTGAACCTTTCTATTGATAGAGCAGTTTTGAAACACTCTTTTTGTGGATTCTGCAAGTGGATATTTGGATTGCTTTGAGGATTTCGTTGGAAGCGGGAATTCGTATAACAACTAGACAGCAGCATTCCCAGAAATTTCTTTCGGATATTTCCATTCAACTCATAGAGATGAACATGGCCTTTCATAGAGCAGGTTTGAAACACTCTTTTTGTAGTTTGTGGAAGTGGACATTTCGATCGCCTTGACACCTACGGTGAAAAAGGAAATATCTTCCCATAAAAAATAGACAGAAGCATTCTCAGAAACTTGTTGGTGATATGTGTCCTCAACTAACAGAGTTGAACTTTGCCATTGATAGAGAGCAGTTTTGAAACACTCTTTTTCCTGAATCTGCAAGTGGATATTTGGATAGTTTGGAGGATTTCGTTGGAAGCGGGAATTCAAATAAAAGGTAGACAGCAGGATTCTGAGAAACAAGTTTGTGATGTGTGTACTCAGCTAACAGAGTGGAAGCTCTCTTTTGATGCAGCAGTTTGGAAACACTCTTTTTGTAGAAACTGTAAGTGGATATTTGGATAGCTCTAATGATTTCGTTGGAAACGGGAATATCATCATCTAAAATCTAGACAGAAGCACTCTCAGAAACTACTTTGTGATATCTGCATTCAAGTCACAGAGTTGAACATTCGCTTTCTTAGAGCACTTTTTAAACACTCTTTTTGTAGTATCTGGAAGTGGACATTTGGAGCTCTTTGATGCCTTTGGTGAAATAGGAAATGTCTTCCCATAAAAACTAGACAGACAAGCATTCTCAGAAACTTGTTTGTGATGTGTGCACCCAGCTAAAGGAGTTGAACATTTATTGATAGAGCAGTTTTGAAGCACTCTTTTTGTGGAAAATGCAAGTGGATATTTGGATAGCTTGGAGGATTTCGTTGGAAGCGGGAGTTCAAATAAAAGGTAGACAGCAGCATTCTCAGAAATTTCTTTCTGATGTCTGCATTCAACTCATAGAGTTGAAGATTCCCTTTCATAGAGCAGGTTTGAAACACTCTTTCTGGAGTATCTGGATGTGGACATTTGGAGCGCTTTGATGCCTACGGTGAAAAAGTAAATATCTTCCCATAAAAACGAGACAGAAGGATTCTGAGAGACAAGTTTGTGATGTGTGTACTCAGCTAACAGAGTGGAACCTTTCTTTTTACAGAGCAGCTTTGAAACTCTATTTTTGTGGATTCTGCAAATGGATATTTAGATTGCTTTAATGATATCGTTGGAAAAGGGAATAACGTCATACAAAATCTGGACAGAAGCATTCTCACAAACTTCTTTGTGATGTGTGTCCTCAACTAGCAGAGTTGAACCTTTCTTTTGATGCAGCAATTTGGAAACACCCTTTTGGTAGAAACTGTAACTGGATATTTGGATAGCTCTAACGATTTCGTTGGAAACGGGAATATCATCATCTAAAATGTAGACAGAAGCACTATTAGAAACTACTTGGTGATATCTGCATTCAAGTCACAGAGTTGAACATTCCCTTACTTTGAGCACGTTTGAAACACTCTTTTGGAAGAATCTGGAAGTGGACATTTGGAGCGCTTTGATGCCTTTGGTGAAAAGGAAACGTCTTCCAATAAAAGCCAGACAGAAGCATTCTCAGAAACTTGTTTGTGATGTGTGTACTCAACTAAAAGAGTTGAACCTTTCTATTGATAGAGCAGTTTTGAAACACTCTTTTTGTGGATTCTGCAAGTGGATATTAGGATTGTTTTGAGGATTTCGTTGGAAGCGGGAATTCGTATAAAATCTAGACAGCAGCATTCCCAGAAATTTCTTTCGGATATTTCCATTCGACTCATAGAGATGAACATGGCCTTTCATAGAGCAGGTTTGAAACACTCTTTTTGTAGTTTGTGGAAGTGGACATTTCGATCGCCTTGACGCCTACGGTGAAAAAGGAAATATCTTCCCATAAAAAATAGACAGAAGAATTCTCAGAAACTTGTTTGTGATGTGTATCCTCAACTGACAGAGTTGAACCTTGCCATTGATAGAGCAGTTTAGAAACACTCTTTTTGTGGAAAATGCAAGTGGATATTTGGATAGCTTGGAGGATTTCGTTGGAAGCGGGAATTCAAATAAAAGGTAGACAGCAGGATTCTGAGAAACAAGTTTGTGATGTGTGTACTCAGCTAACAGAGTGGAACCTCTGTTTTGATGCAGCAGTTTGGAAACACTCTTTTTGTAGAAACTGTAAGTGGATATTTGGATAGCTCTAATGATTTCGTTGGAAACGGGAATATCATCATCTAAAATCTAGACAGAAGCCCTCTCAGAAACTACTTTGTGATATCTGCATTCAAGTCACAGAGTTGAACATTCGCTTTCTTAGAGCACGTTGGAAACACTCTTTTTGTAGTGTCTGGAAGTGGACATTTGGAGCGCTTTGATGCCTTTGGTGAAAAAGGGAATGTCTTCCCATAAAAACTAGACAGAAGCATTCTCAGAAACTTGTTTGTGATGTGTGCACCCAGCTAAAGGAGTTGAACATTTCTATTGATAGAGCAGTTTTCAAACACTCTTTTTGTGGAAAATGCAAGTGGATATTTGGATAGCTTGGAGGATTTCGTTGGAAGCGGGAGTTCAAATAAAAGGTAGACAGCAGCATTCTCAGAAATTTCTTTCTGATGTCTGCATTCAACTCATAGCAGTTGAAGATTCCCTTTCATAGAGCAGGTTTGAAACACTCTTTCTGGAGTATCTGGATGTGGACATTTGGAGCGCTTTGATGCCTACGGTGAAAAAGTAAATATCTTCCCATAAAAACGAGACAGAAGGATTCTCAGAAACAAGTTTGTGATGTGTGTACTCAGCTAACAGAGTGGAACCTTTCTTTTTACAGAGCAGCTTTGAAACTCTATTTTTGTGGATTCTGCAAATGGATATTTAGATTGCTTTAATGATATCGCTGGAAAAGGGAATATGGTCATACAAAATCTAGACAGATGCATTCTCACAAACTTCTTTGTGATGTGTGTCCTCAACTAACAGAGTTGAACCTTTCTTTTGATGCAGCAATTTGGAAACACCCTTTTGGTAGAAACTGTAACTGGATATTTGGATAGCTCTAACGATTTCGTTGGAAACGGGAATATCATCATCTAAAATCTAGACAGAAGCACTATTAGAAACTACTTGGTGATATCTGCATTCAAGTCAAAGAGTTGAACATTCCCTTACTTTGAGCACGTTTGAAACACTCTTTTGGAAGAATCTGGAAGTGGACATTTGGAGCGCTTTGATGCCTTTGGTGAAAAGGAAACGCCTTCCAATAAAAGCCAGACAGAAGCATTCTCAGAAACTTGTTTGTGATGTGTGTACTCAACTAAAAGAGTTGAACCTTTCTATTGATAGAGCAGTTTTGAAACACTCTTTTTGTGGATTCTGCAAGTGGATATTTGGATTGCTTTGAGGATTTCGTTGGAAGCGGGAATTCGTATAAAAACTAGACAGCAGCATTCCCAGAAATTTCTTTCGGATATTTCCATTCACCTCATAGAGATGAACATGGCCTTTCATAGAGCAGGTTTGAAACACTCTTTTTGTAGTTTGTGGAAGTGGACATTTCGATCGCCTTGACGCCTACGGTGAAAAAGGAAATATCTTCCCATAAAAAATAGACAGAAGCATTCTCAGAAACTTGTTGGTGATATGTGTCCTCAACTAACAGAGTTGAACTTTGCCATTGATAGAGAGCAGTTTTGAAACACTCTTTTTGTGGAATCTGCAAGTGGATATTTGGATAGCTTGGAGGATTTCGTTGGAAGCGGGAATTCAAATAAAAGGTAGACAGCAGCATTCTCAGAAATTTCTTTCTGATGTCTGCATTCAACTCATAGAGTTGAAGATTCCCTTTCATAGAGCAGGTTTGAAGCACTCTTTCTGGAGTATCTGGATGTGGACATTTGGAGCGCTTTGATGCCTACGGTGAAAAAGTAAATATCTTCCCATAAAAACGAGACAGAAGGATTCTGAGAAACAAGTTTGTGATGTGTGTACTCAGCTAACAGAGTGGAACCTCTCTTTTGATGCAGCAGTTTGGAAACACTCTTTTTGTAGAAACTGTAAGTGGATATTTGGATAGCTCTAATGATTTCGTTGGAAACGGGAATATCATCATCTAAAATCTAGACAGAAGCCCTCTCAGAAACTACTTTGTGATATCTGCATTCAAGTCACAGAGTTGAACATTCGCTTTCTTAGAGCACGTTTGAAACACCCTTTTTGTAGTGTCTGGAAGTGGACATTTGGAGCGCTTTGATGCCTTTGGTGAAAAAGGGAATGTCTTCCCATAAAAACTAGACAGAAGCATTCTCAGAAACTTGTTTGTGATGTGTGTACCCAGCCAAAGGAGTTGAACATTTCTATTGATAGAGCAGTTTTGAAACACTCTTTTTGTGGAAAATGCAGGTGGATATTTGGATAGCTTGGAGGATTTCGTTGGAAGCTGGAATTCAAATAAAAGGTAGACAGCAGCATTCTCAGAAATTTCTTTCTGATGTCTGCATTCAACTCATAGAGTTGAAGATTCCCTTTCATAGAGCAGGTTTGAAACACTCTTTCTGGAGTATCTGGATGTGGACATTTGGAGCGCTTTGATGCCTACGGTGAGAAAGTAAATATCTTCCCATAAAAACGAGACAGAAGGATTCTGAGAAACAAGTTTGTGATGTGTGTACTCAGCTAACAGAGTGGAACCTTTCTTTTTACAGAGCAGCTTTGAAACTCTATTTTTGTGGATTCTGCAAATGGATATTTAGATTGCTTTAATGATATCGCTGGAAAAGGGAATATGGTCATACAAAATCTAGACAGAAGCATTCTCACAAACTTCTTTGTGATGTGTGTCCTCAACTAACAGAGTTGAACCTTTCTTTTGATGCAGCAGTTTGGAAACACTGTTTTTGTAGCAACTGTAAGTGGATATTTGGATAGCTCTAACGATTTCGTTGGAAACGGGAATATCATCATCTAAAATCTAGACAGAAGCACTATTAGAAACTACTTGGTGATATCTGCATTCAAGTCACAGAGTTGAACATTCCCTTACTTTGAGCACGTTTGAAACACTCTTTTGGAAGAATCTGGAAGTGGACATTTGGAGCACTTTGATGCCTTTGGTGAAAAGGAAACGTCTTCCAATAAAAGCCAGACAGAAGCATTCTCAGAAACTTGTTCGTGATGTGTGTACTCAACTAAAAGAGTTGAACCTTTCTATTGATAGAGCAGTTTTGAAACACTCTTTTTGTGGATTCTGCAAGTGGATATTTGGATTGCTTTGAGGATTTCGTTGGAAGCGGGAATTCGTATAAACACTAGACAGCAGCATTCCCAGAAATTTCTTTCGGATATTTCCATTCAACTCATAGAGATGAACATGGCCTTTCATAGAGCAGGTTTGAAACACTCTTTTTGTAGTTTGTGGAAGTGGACATTTCGATCGCCTTGACGCCTACGGTGAAAAAGGAAATATCTTCCCATAAAAAGTAGACAGAAGCATTCTCAGAAACTTGTTGGTGATATGTGTCCTCAACTAACAGAGTTGAACTTTGCCATTGATAGAGAGCAGTTTTGAAACACTCTTTTTGTGGAATCTGCAAGTGGATATTTGGATAGCTTGGAGGATTTCGTTGGAAGCGGGAATTCAAATAAAAGGTAGACAGCAGCATTCTCAGAAATTTCTTTCTGATGTCTGCATTCAACTCGTAGAGTTGAACATTCCCTTTCATAGAGCAGGTTTGAAACACTCTTTCTGGAGTATCTGGATGTGGACATTTGGAGCGCTTTGATGCCTACGGTGAAAAAGTAAATAACTTCCCATAAAAACGAGACAGAAGGATTCTGAGAAACAAGTTTGTGATGTGTGTACTCAGCTAACAGAGTGGAACCTCTCTTTTGATGCAGCAGTTTGGAAACACTCTTTTTGTAGAAACTGTAAGTGGATATTTGGATAGCTCTAATGATTTCGTTGGAAACGGGAATATCATCATCTAAAATCTAGACAGAAGCCCTCTCAGAAACTACTTTGTGATATCTGCATTCAAGTCACAGAGTTGAACATTCGCTTTCTTAGAGTACGTTGGAAACACTCTTTTTGTAGTGTCTGGAAGTGGACATTTGGAGCGCTTTGATGCCTTTGGTGAAAAAGGGAACGTCTTCCCATAAAAACTAGACTGAAGCATTCTCAGAAACTTGTTTGTGATGTGTGTACCCAGCCAAAGGAGTTGAACATTTCTATTGATAGAGCAGTTTTGAAGCGCTCTTTTTGTGGAAAATGCAGGTGGATATTTGGATAGCTTGGAGGATTTCGTTGGAAGCGGGAGTTCAAATAAAAGGTAGACAGCAGCATTCTCAGAAATTTCTTTCTGATGTCTGCATTCAACTCATAGAGTTGAATATTCCCTTTCATAGAGCAGGTTTGAAACACTCTTTCTGGAGTATCTGGATGTGGACATTTGGAGCGCTTTGATGCCTACGGTGGAAAAGTAAATATCTTCCCATAAAAACGAGACAGAAGGATTCTGAGAAACAAGTTTGTGATGTGTGTACTCAGCTAACAGAGTGGAACCTTTCTTTTTACACAGCAGCTTTGAAACTCTATTTTTGTGGATTCTGCAAATGGATATTTAGATTGCTTTAATGATATCGCTGGAAAAGGGAATATGGTCATACAAAATCTAGACAGAAGCATTCTCACAAACTTCTTTGTGATGTGTGTCCTCAACTAACAGAGTTGAACCTTTCTTTTGATGCAGCAGTTTGGAAACACTCTTTTTGTAGAAACTGTAAGTGGATATTTGGATAGCTCTAACGATTTCGTTGGAAACGGGAATATCATCATCTAAAATCTAGACAGAAGCACTATTAGAGACTACTTGGTGATATCTGCATTCAAGTCACAGAGTTGAACATTCCCTTACTTTGAGCACGTTTGAAACACTCTTTTGGAAGAATCTGGAAGTGGACATTTGGAGCGCTATGATGCCTTTGGTGAAAAGGAAACGTCTTCCAATAAAAGCCAGACAGAAGCATTCTCAGAAACTTGTTTGTGATGTGTGTACTCAACTAAAAGAGTTGAACCTTTCTATTGATAGAGCAGTTTTGAAACACTCTTTTTGTGGATTCTGCAAGTGGATATTTGGATTGCTTTGAGGATTTTGTTGGAAGCGGGAATTCGTATAAAAACTAGACAGCAGCATTCCCAGAAATTTCTTTCGGATATTTCCATTCAACTCATAGAGATGAACATGGCCTTTCATAGAGAAGGTTTGAAACACTCTTTTTGTAGTTTGTGGAAGTGGACATTTCGATCGCCTTGACGCATACGGTGAAAAAGGAAATATCTTCCCATAAAAAATAGACAGAAGCATTCTCAGAAACTTGTTGGTGATATGTGTCCTCAACTAACAGAGTTGAACTTTGCCATTGATAGAGAGCAGTTTTGAAACACTCTTTTTCCTGAATCTGCAAGTGGATATTTGTATAGCTTGGAGGATTTCGTTGGAAGCGGGAATTCAAATAAAAGGTAGACAGCAGCATTCTCAGAAATTTCTTTCTGATGTCTGCATTCAACTCATAGAGTTGAACATTCCCTTTCATAGGACAGGTTTGAAATACTCTTTCTGTAGTATCTGGATGTGGACATGTGGAGCGCTTTGATGCCTACAGTGAAAAAGTAAATATCTTCCCATAAAAACGAGACAGAAGGATTCTGAGAAACAAGTTTGTGATGTGTGTACTCAGCTAACAGAGTGGAACCTCTCTTTTGATGCAGCAGTTTGGAAACACTCTTTTTGTAGAAACTGTAAGTGGATATTTGGATAGCTCTAATGATTTCGTTGGAAACGGGAATATCATCATCTAAAATCTAGACAGAAGCCCTCTCAGAAACTACTTTGTGATATCTGCATTCAAGTCACAGAGTTGAACATTTGCTTTCTTAGAGCACGTTGGAAACACTCTTTTTGTAGTGTCTGGAAGTGGACATTTGGAGCGCTTTGATGCCTTTGGTGAAAAAGGGAATGTCTTCCCATAAAAACTAGACAGAAGCATTCTCAGAAACTTGTTTGTGATGTGTGTACCTAGCTAAAGGAGTTGAACATTTCTATTGATAGAGCAGTTTTGAAACACTCTTTTTGTGGAAAATGCAGGTGGATATTTGGATAGGTTGGAAGATTTCGTTGGAAGCGGGAATTCAAATAAATGGTAGACAGCAGCATTCTCAGAAATTTCTTTCTGATGTCTGCATTCAACTCATAGAGTTGAAGATTCCCTTTCATAGAGCAGGTTTGAAACATTCTTTCTGGAGTATCTGGATGTGGACATTTGGAGCGCTTTGATGCCTACGGTGAAAAAGTAAATATCTTCCCATAAAAACGAGACAGAAGGATTCTCAGAAACAAGTTTGTGATGTGTGTACTCAGCTAACAGAGTGGAACCTTTCTTTTCACAGAGCAGCTTTGAAACTCTATTTTTGTGGATTCTGCAAATGGATATTTAGATTGCTTTAACGATATCATTGGAAAAGGGAATATCGTCATACAAAATCTGGACAGAAGCATTCTCACAAACTTCTTTGTGACGTGTGTCCTCAACTAACAGAGTTGAACCTTTCTTTTGATGCAGCAGTTTGGAAACACTGTTTTTGTAGCAACTGTAAGTGGATATTTGGATAGCTCTAACGATTTCGTTGGAAACGGGAATATCATCATCTAAAATCTAGACAGAAGCACTATTAGAAACTACTTGGTGATATCTGCATTCAAGTCACAGAGTTGAACATTCCCTTACTTTGAGCACGTTTGAAACACTCTTCTGGAAGAATCTGGAAGTGGACATTTGGAGCGCTTTGATGCCTTTGGTGAAAAGGAAACGTCTTCCAATAAAAGCCAGACAGAAGCATTCTCAGAAACTTGTTCGTGATGTGTGTACTCAACTAAAAGAGTTGAACCTTTCTATTGATAGAGCAGTTTTGAAACACTCTTTTTGTGGATTCTGCAAGTGGATATTTGGATTGCTTTGAGGATTTCGTTGGAAGCGGGAATTCGTATAAACACTAGACAGCAGCATTCCCAGAAATTTCTTTCGGATATTTCCATTCAACTCATAGAGATGAACATGGCCTTTCATAGAGCAGGTTTGAAACACTCTTTTTGTAGTTTGTGGAAGTGGACATTTCGATCGCCTTGACGCCTACGGTGAAAAAGGAAATATCTTCCCTTAAAAAATAGACAGAAACATTCTCAGAAACTTGTTGATGATATGTGTCCTCAACTAACAGAGTTGAACTTTGCCATTGATAGAGAGCAGTTTTGAAACACTCTTTTTGTGGAATCTGCAAGTGGATATTTGGATAGCTTGGAGGATTTCGTTGGAAGCGGGAATTCAAATAAAAGGTAGACAGCAGGATTCTTGAGAAACAAGTTTGTGATGTGTGTACTCAGCTAACAGAGTGGAACCTCTCTTTTGATGCAGCAGTTTGGAAACACTCTTTTTGTAGAAACTGTAAGTGGATATTTGGATAGCTCTAATGATTTCGTTGGAAACGGGAATATCATCATCTAAAATCTAGACAGAAGCCCTCTCAAAAACTACTTTGTGATATCTGCATTCAAGTCACAGAGTTGAACATTCGCTTTCTTAGAGCACGTTTGAAACACTCTTTTTGTAGTGTCTGGAAGTGGACATTTGGAGCGCTTTGATGCCTTTGGTGAAAAAGGGAATATCTTCCCATAAAAACTAGACAGAAGCATTCTCAGAAACTTGTTTGTGATGTGTGTACCCAGCTAAAGGAGTTGAACATTTCTATTGATACAGCAGTTTTGAAACACTCTTTTTGTGGAAAATGCAAGTGGATATTTGGATAGCTTGGAGGATTTCGTTGGAAGCGGGAATTCAAATAAAAGGTAGACAGCAGCATTCTCAGAAATTTCTTTCTGATGTCTGCATTCAACTCATAGAGTTGAAGATTCCCTTTCATAGAGCAGGTTTGAAACACTTTCTGGAGTATCTGGATGTGGACATTTGGAGCGCTTTGATGCCTACGGTGAAAAAGTAAATATCTTCCCATAAAAACGAGACAGAAGGATTCTCAGAAACAAGTTTGTGATGTGTGTACTCAGCTAACAGAGTGGAACCTTTCTTTTTACAGAGCAGCTTTGAAACTCTATTTTTGTGGATTCTGCAAATGGATATTTAGATTGCTTTAACGATATCGCTGGAAAAGGGAATATGGTCATACAAAATCTAGACAGAAGCATTCTCACAAACTTCTTTGTGATGTGTGTCCTCAACTAACAGAGTTGAACCTTTCTTTTGATGCAGCAGTTTGGAAACACTCTTTTTGTAGAAACTGTAAGTGGATATTTGGATAGCTCTAACGATTTCGTTGGAAACGGGAATATCGTCATCTAAAATCTAGACAGAAGCACTATTAGAAACTACTTGGTGATATCTGCATTCAAGTCAAAGAGTTGAACATTCCCTTACTTTGAGCACGTTTGAAACACTCTTTTGGAAGAATCTGGAAGTGGACATTTGGAGCGCTTTGATGCCTTTGGTGAAAAGGAAACGTCTTCCAATAAAAGCCAGACAGAAGCATTCTCAGAAACTTGTTTGTGATGTGTGTACTCAACTAAAAGAGTTGAACCTTTCTATTGATAGAGCAGTTTTGAAACACTCTTTTTGTGGATTCTGCAAGTGGATATTTGGATTGCTTTGAGGATTTCGTTGGAAGCGTGAATTCGTATAAAAACTAGACAGCAGCATTCCCAGAAATTTCTTTCGGATATTTCCATTCAACTCATAGAGATGAACATGGCCTTTCATAGAGCAGGTTTGAAACACTCTTTTTGTAGTTTGTGGAAGTGGACATTTCGATCGCCTTGACGCCTACGGTGAAAAAGGAAATATCTTCCCATAAAAAATAGACAGAAGCATTCTCAGAAACTTGTTGGTGATATGTGTCCTCAACTAACAGAGTTGAACTTTGCCATTGATAGAGAGCAGTTTTGAAACACTCTTTTTGTGGAATCTGCAAGTGGATATTTGGATAGCTTGGAGGATTTCGTTGGAAGCGGGAATTCAAATAAAAGGTAGACAGCAGCATTCTCAGAAATTTCTTTCTGATGTCTGCATTCAACTCATAGAGTTGAACATTCCCTTTCGTAGAGCAGGTTTGAAACACTCTTTCTGGAGTATCTGGATGTGGACATTTGGAGCGCTTTGATGCCTACGGTGAAAAAGTAAATATCTTCCCATAAAAACGAGACAGAAGGATTCTCAGAAACAAGTTTGTGATGTGTGTACTCAGCTAACAGAGTGGAACCTCTCTTTTGACGCAGCAGTTTGGAAACACTCTTTTTGTAGAAACTGTAAGTGGATATTTGGATAGCTCTAATGATTTCGTTGGAAACGGGAATATCATCATCTAAAATCTAGACAGAAGCGCTCTCAGAAACTACTTTGCGATATCTGCATTCAAGTCACAGAGTTGAACATTCGCTTTCTTACAGCACTTTTGAAACACACTTTTTGTAGTATCTGGAAGTGGACATTTGGAGCTCTTTGATGCCTTTGGCGAAAAAGGAAATGTCTTCCCATAAAAACTAGACAGAAGCATTCTCAGAAACTTGTTTGTGATGTGTGTACCCAGCTAAAGGAGTTGAACATTTCCATTGATAGAGCAGTTTTGAAACACTCTTTTTGTGGAAAATGCAAGTGGATATTTGGATAGCTTGGAGGATTTCGTTGGAAGCGGGAATTCAAATAAAAGGTAGACAGCAGGATTCTGAGAAACAAGTTTGTGATGTGTGTACTCAGCTAACAGAGTGGAACCTTTCTTTTTACAGAGCAGCTTTGAAACTCTATTTTTGTGGATTCTGCAAATTGATATTTAGATTGCTTTAACGATATCGTTGGAAAAGGGAATATCGTCATACAAAATCCTAGACAGAGAGCATTCTCACAAACTTCTTTGTGATGTGTGTCCTCAACTAACAGAGTTGAACCTTTCTTTTGATGCAGCAGTTTGGAAACACTGTTTTTGTAGCAACTGTAAGTGGATATTTGGATAGCTCTAACGATTTCGTTGGAAACGGGAATATCATCATCTAAAATCTAGACAGAGCACTATTAGAAACTACTTGGTGATATCAGCATTCAAGTCACAGAGTTGAACACTCCCTTACTTCGACCACGTTTGAAACACTCTTTTGGAAGAATCTGGAAGTGGACATTTGGAGCGCTTTGATGCCTTTGGTGAAAAGGAAACGTCTTCCAATAAAAGCCAGACAGAAGCATTCTCAGAAACTTGTTCGTGATGTGTGTACTCAACTAAAAGAGTTGAACCTTTCTATTGATAGCACAGTTTTGAAACACTCTTTTTGTGGATTCTGCAAGTGGATATTTGGATTGCTTTGAGGATTTCGTTGGAAGCGGGAATTCATATAAAAACTAGACAGCAGCATTCCCAGAAATTTCTTTCGGATATTTCCATTCAACTCATAGAGATGAACATGGCCTTTCATAGAGCAGGTTTGAAACACTCTTTTTGTAGTTTGTGGAAGTGGACATTTCGATCGCCTTGACGCCTACGGTGAAAAAGGAAATATCTTCCCATAAAAAATAGACAAAAGCATTCTCAGAAACTTGTTTGTGATGTGTGTACCTAGCTAAAGGAGTTGAACATTTCTATTGATAGAGCAGTGTTGAAACACTCTTTTTGTGGAAAATGCAAGTGGATATTTGGATAGCTTGGAGGATTTCGTTGGAAGCGGGAATTCAAATAAAAGGTAGACAGCAGGATTCTCAGAAACAAGTTTGTGATGTGTGTACTCAGCTAACAGAGTGGAACCTCTGTTTTGATGCAGCAGTTTGGAAACACTCTTTTTGTAGAAACTGTAAGTGGATATTTGGATAGCTATCATGATTTCGTTGGAAACGGGAATATCATCATCTAAAATCTAGACAGAAGCCCTCTCAGAAACTACTTTGTGATATCTGCATTCAACTCACAGAGTTGAACATTCGGTTTCTTAGAGCACGTTTGAAACACTCTTTTCGTAGTGTCTGGAAGTGGACATTTGGAGCGCTTTGATGCCTTTGGTGAAAAAGGGAATGTCTTCCCATAAAAACTAGACAGAAGCGTTCTCAGAAACTTGTTTGTGATGTGTGTACCCAGCTAAAGGAGTTGAACGTTTCTATTGATAGAGCAGTTTTGAAACACTCTTTTTGTGGAAAATGCAAGTGGATGTTTGGATAGCTAGGAGGATTTCGTTGGAAGCGGGAATTCAAATAAAAGGTAGACAGCAGCATTCTCAGAAATTTCTTTCTGATGTCTGCATTCAACTCATAGAGTTGAAGATTCCCTTTCATAGAGCAGGTTTGAAACACTCTTTCTGGAGTATCTGGATGTGGACATTTGGAGCGCTTTGATGCCTACGGTGGAAAAGTAAATATTTTCCCATAAAAACGAGACAGAAGGATTCTCAGAAACAAGTTTGTGATGTGTGTACTCAGCTAACAGAGTGGAACCTTTATTTTTACAGAGCAGCTTTGAAACTCTATTTTTGTGGATTCTGCAAATTGATATTTAGATTGCTTTAACGATATCGTTGGAAAAGGGAATATCGTCATACAAAATACTAGACAGAAGCATTCTCACAAACTTCTTTGTGATGTGTGTCCTCAACTAACAGAGTTGAACCTTTCTTTTGATGCAGCAATTTGGAAACACCCTTTTGGTAGAAACTGTAAGTGGATATTTGGATAGCTCTAACGATTTCGTTGGAAACGGGAATATCATCATCTAAAATCTAGACAGAAGCACTATTAGAAACTACTTGGTGATATCTGCATTCAAGTCACAGAGTAGAACATTCCCTTACTTCGAGCACGTTTGAAACACTCTTTTGGAAGAATCTGGAAGTGGACATTTGGAGCGCTTTGATGCCTTTGGTGAAAAGGAAACGTCTTCCAATAAAAGCCAGACAGAAGCCTTCTCAGAAACTTGTTCGTGATGTGTGTACTCAACTAAAAGAGTTGAACCTTTCTATTGATAGAGCAGTTTTGAAACACTCTTTTTGTGGATTCTGCAAGTGGATATTTCGATTGCTTTGAGGATTTCGTTGGAAGCGGGAATTCGTATAAACACTAGACAGCAGCATTCCCAGAAATTTCTTTCGGATATTTCCATTCAACTCATAGAGATGAACATGGCCTTTCATAGAGCAGGTTTGAAACACTCTTTTTGTAGTTTGTGGAAGTGGACATTTCGATCGCCTTGACGCCTACGCTGAAAAAGGAAATATCTTCCCATAAAAAATAGACAGAAGCATTCTCAGAAACTTGTTGGTGATATGTGTCCTCAACTAACAGAGTTGAACTTTGCCATTGATAGAGAGCAGTTTTGAAACACTCTTTTTGTGGAATCTGCAAGTGGATATTTGGATAGCTTGGAGGATTTCGTTGGAAGCGGGAATTCAAATAAAAGGTAGACAGCAGCATTCTCAGAAATTTCTTTCTGATGTCTGCATTCAACTCATAGAGTTGAACATTCCCTTTCATAGAGCAGGTTTGAAACACTCTTTCTGGAGTATCTGGATGTGGACATTTGGAGCGCTTTGATGCCTACGGTGAAAAAGTATAATCTTCCCATAAAAACGAGACAGAAGCATTCTCACAAACTTCTTTGTGATGTGTGTCCTCAACTAACAGAGTTGAACCTTTCTTTTGAAGCAGCAGTTTGGAAACACTCTTTTTGTAGAAACTGTAAGTGGATGTTTGGATAGCTCTAATGATTTCGTTGGAAACGGGAATATCATCATCTAAAATCTAGACAGAAGCCCTCTCAGAAACTACTTTGTGATATCTGCATTCAAGTCACAGAGTTGAACATTCGCTTTCTTAGAGCACGTTGGAAACACTCTTTTTGTAGTGTCTGGAAGTGGACATTTGGAGCGCTTTGATGCCTTTGGTGAAAAAGGGAATGTCTTCCCATAAAAACTAGACAGAAGCATTCTCAGAAACTTGTTTGTGATGTGTGTACCCAGCTAAAGGAGTTGAACATTTCTATTGATAGAGCAGTTTTGAAACACTCTTTTTGTGGAAAATGCAGGTGGATATTTGGATAGCTTGGAGGATTTCGTTGGAAGCGGGAATTCAAATAAAAGGTAGACAGCAGCATTCTCAGAAATTTCTTTCTGATGTCTGCATTCAACTCATAGAGTTGAAGATTCCCTTTCATAGAGCAGGTTTGAAACACTCGTTCTGGAGTATCTGGATGTGGACATTTGGAGCGCTTTGATGCCTACGGTGGAAAAGTAAATATCTTCCCATAAAAACGAGACAGAAGGATTCTGAGAAACAAGTTTGTGATGTGTGTACTCAGCTAACAGAGTGGAACCTTTCTTTTTACAGAGCAGCTTTGAAACTCTATTTTTGTGGATTCTGCAAATTGATATTTAGATTGCTTTAACGATATCGTTGGAAAAGGGAATATCGTCATACAAAATCTAGACAGAAGCATTCTCACAAACTTCTTTGTGACGTGTGTCCTCAACTAACAGAGTTGAACCTTTCTTTTGATGCAGCAGTTTGGAAACACTGTTTTTGTAGCAACTGTAAGTGGATATTTGGATAGCTCTAACGATTTCGTTGGAAACGGGAATATCATCATC
The DNA here is from genome assembly GCF_000001405.40 of Homo sapiens. Lineage (NCBI taxonomy): Eukaryota > Metazoa > Chordata > Mammalia > Primates > Hominidae > Homo > Homo sapiens. Next base: position 15,006,198 of record NC_000022.11, read on the forward strand.
TAAAATCTAGACAGAAGCAAGTATTAGAAACTACTTGGTGATATCTGCATTCAAGTCACAGAGTTGAACATTCCCTTACTTTGAGCACGTTTCAAACACTCTTTTGGAAGAATCTGGAAGTGGACATTTGGAGCGCTTTGATGATGCCTTTGGTGAAAAGGAAACGTCTTCTAATAAAAGCCAGACAGAAGCATTCTCAGTAAACTTGTTTGTGATGTGTGTACTCAACTAAAAGAGTTGAACCTTTCTATTGATAGAGCAGTTTTGAAACACTCTTTTTGTGGATTCTGCAAGTGGATATTTGGATTGCTTTGAGGATTTCGTTGGAAGCGGGAATTCATATAAAAACTAGACAGCAGCATTCCCAGAAATTTCTTTCGGATATTTCCATTCAACTCATAGAGATGAACATCGCCTTTCATAGAGCAGGTTTGAAACACTCTTTTTGTAGTTTGTGGAAGTGGACATTTCGATCGCCGTGACGCCTACAGTGAAAAAGGAAATATCTTCCCATAAACAATAGACAGAAGCATTCTCAGAAACTTGTTGGTGATATGTGTCCTCAACTAACAGAGTTGAACTTTGCCATTGATAGAGAGCAGTTTTGAAACACTCTTTTTGTGGAATCTGCAAGTGGATATTTGGATAGCTTGGAGGATTTCGTTGGAAGCAGGAATTCAAATAAAAGGTAGACAGCAGCATTCTCAGAAATTTCTTTCTGATGTCTGCATTCAACTCATAGAGTTGAAGATTCCCTTTCATAGAGCAGGTTTGAAACACTCTTTCTGGAGTATCTGGATGTGGACATTTGGAGCGCTTGGATGCCTACGGTGAAAAAGTAAATATCTTCCCATAAAAACGAGACAGAAGGATTCTGAGAAACAAGTTTGTGATGTGTGTACTCAGCTAACAGAGTGGAACCTCTCTTTTGATGCAGCAGTTTGGAAACACTCTTTTTGTAGAAACTGTAAGTGGATATTTGGATAGCTCTAATGATTTCGTTGGAAACGGGAATATCATCATCTAAAATCTAGACAGAAGCCTTCTGAGAAACTACTTTGTGATATCTGCATTCAAGTCACAGAGTTGAACATTCGCTTTCTTAGAGCACGTTGGAAACACTCTTTTTGTAGTGTCTGGAAGTGGACATTTGGAGCGCTTTGATGCCTTTGGTGAAAAAGGGAATGTCTTCCCATAAAAACTAGACAGAAGCATTCTCAGAAACTTGTTTGTGATGTGTGTACCCAGCCAAAGGAGTTGAACATTTCTATTGATAGAGCAGTTTTGAAACACTCTTTTTGTGGAAAATGCAAGTGGATATTTGGATAGCTTGGAGGATTTCGTTGGAAGCGGGAATTCAAATAAAAGGTAGACAGCAGCATTCTCAGAAATTTCTTTCTGATGTCTGCATTCAACTCATAAAGTTGAAGATTCCCTTTCATAGAGCAGGTTTGAAACACTCTTTCTGGAGTATCTGGATGTGGACATTTGGAGCGCTTTGATGCCTACGGTGAAAAAGTAAATATCTTCCCATAAAAACGAGACAGACAAGGATTCTGAGAGACAAGTTTGTGATGTGTGTACTCAGCTAACAGAGTGGAACCTTTCTTTTTACAGAGCAGCTTTGAAACTCTATTTTTGTGGATTCTGCAAATGGATATTTAGATTGCTTTAACGATATCGTTGGAAAAGGGAATATCGTCATACAAAATCTGGACAGAAGCATTCTCACAAACTTCTTTGTGATGTGTGTCCTCAACTAACAGAGTTGAACCTTTCTTTTGATGCAGCAGTTTGGAAACACTCTTTTTGTAGAAACTGTAAGTGGATATTTGGATAGCTCTAACGATTTCGTTGGAAACGGGAATATCATCATCTAAAATCTAGACAGAAGCACTATTAGAAACTACTTGGTGATATCTGCGTTCAAGTCACAGAGTTGAACATTCCCTTACTTTGAGCACGTTTGAAACACTCTTTTGGAAGAATCTGGAAGTGGACATTTGGAGCGCTTTGATGCCTTTGGTGAAAAGGAAACGTCTTCCAATAAAAGCCAGACAGAAGCATTCTCAGAAACTTGTTCATGATGTGTGTACTCAACTAAAAGATTTGAACCTTTCTATTGATAGAGCAGTTTTGAAACACTCTTTTTGTGGATTCTGCAAGTGGATATTTGGATTGCTTTGAGGATTTCGTTGGAAGCGGTAATTCGTATAAAAACTAGACAGCAGCATTCCCAGAAATTTCTTTCGGATATTTCCATTCAACTCATAGAGATGAACATGGCCTTTCATAGAGCAGGTTTGAAACACTCTTTTTGTAGTTTGTGGAAGTGGACATTTCGATCGCCTTGACGCCTACGGTGAAAAAGGAAATATCTTCCCATAAAAAATAGACAGAAGCATTCTCAGAAACTTGTTGGTGATATGTGTCCTCAACTAACAGAGTTGAACTTTGCCATTGATAGAGAGCAGTTTTGAAACACTCTTTTTGTGGAATCTGCAAGTGTATATTTGGATAGCATGGAGGATTTCGTTGGAAGCGGGAATTCAAATAAAAGGTAGACAGCAACATTCTCAGAAATTTCTTTCTGATGTCTGCATTCAACTCATAGAGTTGAAGATTCCCTTTCATAGAGCAGGTTTGAAACACTCTTTCTGGAGTATCTGGATGTGGACATTTGGAGCGCTTTGATGCCTACGGTGAAAAAGTAAATATCTTCCCATAAAAACGAGACAGAAGGATTCTGAGAAACAAGTTTGTGATGTGTGTACTCAGCTAACAGAGTGGAACCTCTGTTTTGATGCAGCAGTTTGGAAACACTCTTTTTGTAGAAACTGTAAGTGGATATTTGAATAGCTCTAATGATTTCGTTGGAAACGGGAATATCATCATCTAAAATCTAGACAGAAAGCCCTCTCAGCAAACTACTTTGTGATATCTGCATTCAAGTCACAGAGTTGAACATTCGCTTTCTTAGAGCACGTTTGAAACACTCTTTTTGTAGTGTCTGGAAGTGGACATTTGGAGCGCTTTGATGCCTTTGGTGAAAAAGGGAACGTCTTCCCATAAAAACTAGACAGAAGCATTCTCAGAAACTTGTTTGTGATGTGTGTACCCAGCTAAAGGAGTTGAACATTTCTATTGATAGAGCAGTTTTGAAACACTCTTTTTGTGGAAAATGCAAGTGGATATTTGGATAGCTTGGAGGATTTCGTTGGAAGCGGGAATTCAAATAAAAGGTAGACAGCAGCATTCTCAGAAATTTCTTTCTGATGTCTGCATTCAACTCATAGAGTTGAAGATTCCCTTTCATAGAGCAGGTTTGAAACACTCGTTCTGGAGCATCTGGATGTGGACATTTGGAGCGCTTTGATGCCTACGGTGGAAAAGTAAATATCTTCCCATAAAAACGAGACAGAAGGATTCTCAGAATCAAGTTTGTGATGTGTGTACTCAGCTAACAGAGTGGAACCTTTCTTTTTACAGAGCAGCTTTGAAACTCTATTTTTGTGGATTCTGCAAATTGATATTTAGATTGCTTTAACGATATCGTTGGAAAAGGGAATATCGTCATACAAAATCTAGACAGAAGCATTCTCACAAACTTCTTTGTGGTGTGTGTCCTCAACTAACAGAGTTGAACCTTTCTTTTGATGCAGCAATTTGGAAACACCCTTTTTGTAGAAACTGTAACTGGATATTTGCTTAGCTCTAACGATTTCGTTGGAAACGGGAATATCATCATCTAAAATCTAGACAGAAGCACTATTAGAAACTACTTGGTGATATCTGCATTCAAGTCACAGAGTTGAACATTCCCTTACTTTGAGCACGTTTGAAACACTCTTTTGGAAGAATCTGGAAGTGGACATTTGTAGCGCTTTGATGATGCCTTTGGTGAAAAGAAAACGTCTTCCAATAAAAGCCAGACAGAAGCATTCTCAGAAACTTGTTCGTGATGTGTGTACTCAACTAAAAGAGATGAACCTTTCTATTGATAGAGCAGTTTTGAAACACTCTTTTTGTGGATTCTGCAAGTGGATATTTGGATTGCTTTGAGGATTTCGTTGGAAGCGGGAATTCGTATAAACACTAGACAGCAGCATTCCCAGAAATTTCTTTCGGATATTTCCATTCAACTCATAGAGATGAACATGGCCTTTCATAGAGCAGGTTTGAAACACTCTTTTTGTAGTTTGTGGAAGTGGACATTTCGATCGCCTTGACGCCTACGGTGAAAAAGGAAATATCTTCCCATAAAAAATAGACAGAAGCATTCTCAGAAACTTGTTGGTGATATGTGTCCTCAACTAACAGAGTTGAACTTTGCCATTGATAGAGAGCAGTTTTGAAACACTCTTTTTGTGGAATCTGCAAGTGGATATTTGGATAGCTTGGAGGATTTCGTTGGAAGCGGGAATTCAAATAAAAGGTAGACAGCAGCATTCTCAGAAATTTCTTTCTGATGTCTGCATTCAACTCATAGAGTTGAACATTCCCTTTCATAGAGCAGGTTTGAAACACTCTTTCTGGAGTATCTGGATGTGGACATTTGGAGCGCTTTGATGCCTACGATGAAAAAGTAAATATCTTCCCATAAAAACGAGACAGAAGGATTCTGAGAAACAAGTTTGTGATGTGTGTACTCAGCTAACAGAGTGGAACCTCTCTTTTGATGCAGCAGTTTGGAAACACTCTTTTTGTAGAAACTGTAAGTGGATATTTGGATAGCTCTAATGATTTCGTTGGAAACGGGAATATCATCATCTAAAATCTAGACAGAAGCCCTCTCAGAAACTACTTTGTGATATCTGCATTCAAGTCACAGCAGTTGAACATTCGCTTTCTTAGAGCACGTTGGAAACACTCTTTTTGTAGTGTCTGGAAGTGGACATTTGGAGCGCTTTGATGCCTTTGGTGAAAAAGGGAATGTCTTCCCATAAAAACTAGACAGAAGCATTCTCAGAAACTTGTTTGTGATGTGTGTACCCAGCCAAAGGAGTTGAACATTTCTATTGATAGAGCAGTTTTGAAACACTCTTTTTGTGGAAAATGCAGGTGGATATTTGGATAGCTTGGAGGATTTCGTTGGAAGCGGGAATTCAAATAAAAGTTAGACAGCAGCATTCTCAGAAATTTCTTTCTTATGTCTGCATTCAACTCATAGAGTTGAAGATTCCCTTTCATAGAGCAGGTTTGAAACACTCGTTCTGGAGTATCTGGATGTGGACATTTGGAGCGCTTTGATGTCTACGGTGGAAAAGTAAATATCTTCCCATAAAAACGAGACAGACAAGGATTCTCAGAAACAAGTTTGTGATGTGTGTACTCAGCTAACAGAGTGGAACCTTTCTTTTTACAGAGCAGCTTTGAAACTCTATTTTTGTGGATTCTGCAAATTGATATTTAGATTGCTTTAACGATATCGTTGGAAAAGGGAATATCGTCATACAAAATCTAGACAGAAGCATTCTCACAAACTTCTTTGTGGTGTGTGTCCTCAACTAACCGAGTTGAACCTTTCTTTTGATGCAGCAATTTGGAAACACCCTTTTTGTAGAAACTGTAACTGGATATTTGCTTAGCTCTAACGATTTCGTTGGAAACGGGAATATCATCATCTAAAATCTAGACAGATAAGCACTATTAGAAACTACTTGGTGATATCTGCATTCAAGTCACAGAGTAGAACATTCCCTTACTTCGAGCACGTTTGAAACACTCCTTTGGAAGAATCTGGAAGTGGACATTTGGAGCGCTTTGATGCCTTTGGTGAAAAGGAAACGTCTTCCAATAAAAGCCAGACAGAAGCATTCTCAGAAACTTGTTGGTGATGTGTGTACTCAACTAAAAGAGTTGAACCTTTCTATTGATAGAGCAGTTTTGAAACACTCTTTTTGTGGATTCTGCAAGTGGATATTTGGATTGCTTTGAGGATTTCGTTGGAAGCGGGAATTCATATAAAAACTAGACAGCAGCATTCCCAGAAATTTCTTTCGGATATTTCCATTCAACTCATAGAGATGAACATGGCCTTTCATAGAGCAGGTTTGAAACACTCTTTTTGTAGTTTGTGGAAGTGGACATTTCGATCGCCTTGACGCCTACGCTGAAAAAGGAATTATCTTCCCATAAAAAATAGACAGAAGCATTCTCAGAAACTTGTTGGTGATATGTGTCCTCAACTAACAGAGTTGAACTTTGCCATTGATAGAGAGCAGTTTTGAAACACTCTTGTTGTGGAAAATGCAGGTGGATATTTGGATAGCTTGGAGGATTTCGTTGGAAGCGGGAATTCAAATAAAAGGTAGACAGCAGCATTCTCAGAAATTTCTTTCTGATGTCTGCATTCAACTCATAGAGTTGAACATTCCCTTTCATAGAGCAGGTTTGAAACACTCTTTCTGGAGTATCTGGATGTGGACATTTGGAGCGCTTTGATGCCTACGGTGAAAAAGTAAATATCTTCCCATAAAAACGAGACAGAAGGATTCTGAGAAACTAGTTTGTGATGTGTGTACTCAGCTAACAGAGTGGAACCTCTGTTTTGATGCAGCAGTTTGGAAACACTCTTTTTGTAGAAACTGTAAGTGGATATTTGGATAGCTCTAATGATTTCGTTGGAAACGGGAATATCATCATCTAAAATCTAGACAGAAGCCCTCTCAGAAACTACTTTGTGATATCTGCATGCAAGTCACAGAGTTGAACATTCGCTTTCTTAGAGCACGTTGGAAACACTCTTTTTGTAGTGTCTGGAAGTGGACATTTGGAGCGCTTTGATGCCTTTGGTGAAAAAGGGAATGGTCTTCCCATAAAAACTAGACAGAAGCATTCTCAGAAACTTGTTTGTGATGTGTGTACCCAGCTAAAGGAGTTGAACATTTCTATTGATAGAGCAGTTTTGAAACACTCTTTTTGTGGAAAATGCAAGTGGATATTTGGATAGCTTGGAGGATTTCGTTGGAAGCGGGAATTCAAATAAAAGGTAGACAGGAGCATTCTCAGAAATTTCTTTGTGATGTCTGCATTCAACTCATAGAGTTGAAGATTCCCTTTCATAGAGCAGGTTTGAAACACTCTTTCTGGAGTATCTGGATGTGGACATTTGGAGCGCTTTGATGCCTACGGTGGAAAAGTAAATATCTTCCCATAAAAACGAGACAGAAGGATTCTGAGAGACAAGTATGTGATGTGTGTACTCAGCTAACAGAGTGGAACCTTTCTTTTTACAGAGCAGCTTTGAAACTCTATTTTTGTGGATTCTGCAAATGGATATTTAGATTGCTTTAATGATATCGTTGGAAAAGGGAATATCGTCATACAAAATCTGGACAGAAGCATTCTCACAAACTTCTTTGTGATGTGTGTCCTCAACTAACAGAGTTGAACCTTTCTTTTGATGCAGCAGTTTGGAAACACTCTTTTTGTAGAAACTGTAAGTGGATAATTGGATAGCTGTAACGATTTCGTTGGAAACGGGAATATCGTCATCTAAAATTTAGACAGAAGCACTATTAGAAACTACTTGGTGATATCTGCATTCAAGTCACAGAGTTGAACATTCCCTTACTTTGAGCACGTTTGAAACACTCTTTTGGAAGAATCTGGAAGTGGACATTTGGAGCGCTTTGATGCCTTTGGTGAAAAGGAAACGTCTTCCAATAAAAGCCAGACAGAAGCATTCTCAGAAACTTGTTTGTGATGTGTGTACTCAACTAAAAGAGTTGAACCTTTCTATTGATAGAGCAGTTTTGAAACACTCTTTTTGTGGATTCTGCAAGTGGATATTTGGATTGCTTTGAGGATTTCGTTGGAAGCGGGAATTCGTATAAAAACTAGACAGCAGCATTCCCAGAAATTTCTTTCGGATATTTCCATTCGACTCATAGAGATGAACATGGCCTTTCATAGAGCAGGTTTGAAACACTCTTTTTGTAGTTTGTGGAAGTGGACATTTCGATCGCCTTGACGCCTACGGTGAAAAAGGAAATATCTTCCCATAAAAAATAGACAGAAGCATTCTCAGAAACTTGTTGGTGATATGTGTCCTCAACTAACAGAGTTGAACTTTGCCATTGATAGAGAGCAGTTTTGAAACACTCTTTTTGTGGAATCTGCAAGTGGATATTTGGATAGCTTGGAGGATTTCGTTGGAAGCGGGAATTCAAATAAAAGGTAGACAGCAGCATTCTCAGAAATTTCTTTCTGATGTCTGCATTCAACTCATAGAGTTGAAGATTCCGTTTCATAGAGCAGGTTTGAAACACTCTTTCTGGAGTATCTGGATGTGGACATTTGGAGCGCTTTGATGCCTACGGTGAAAAAGTAAATATCTTCCCATAAAAACGAGACAGAAGGATTCTGAGAAACAAGTTTGTGCTGTGTGTACTCAGCTAACAGAGTGGAACCTCTCTTTTGATGCAGCAGTTTGGAAACACTCTTTTTGTAGAAACTGTAAGTGGATATTTGGATAGCTCTAATGATTTCGTTGGAAACGGGAATATCATCATCTAAAATCTAGACAGAAGCCCTCTCAGAAAACTACTCTGTGATATCTGCATTCAAGTCACAGAGTTGAACATTCGTTTTCTTAGAGCACGTTTGAAACACTCTTTTTGTAGTGTCTGGAAGTGGACATTTGGAGCGCTTTGATGCCTTTGGTGAAAAAGGGAATGTCTTCCCATAAAAACTAGACAGAAGCATGCTCAGAAACTTGTTTGTGATGTGTGTACCCAGCCAAAGGAGTTGAACATTTCTATTGATAGAGCAGTTTTGAAACACTCTTTTTGTGGAAAATGCAGGTGGATATTTGGATAGCTTGGAGGATTTCGTTGGAAGCGGGAATTCAAATAAAAGGTAGACAGCAGGATTCTGAGAAACAAGTTTGTGATGTGTGTACTCAGCTAACAGAGTGGAACCTTTCTTTTTACAGAGCAGCTTTGAAACTCTATTTTTGTGGATTCTGCAAATTGATATTTAGATTGCTTTAACGATATCGTTGGAAAAGGGAATATCGTCATACAAAATCTAGACAGAAGCATTCTCACAAACTTCTTTGTGATGTGTGTCCTCAACTAACAGAGTTGAACCTTTCTTTTGATGCAGCAATTTGGAAACACCCTTTTGGTAGAAACTAACTGGATATTTGGATAGCTCTAACGATTTCGTTGGAAACGGGAATATCATCATCAAAATGTAGACAGAAGCACTATTAGAAACTACTTGGTGATATCTGCATTCAAGTCACAGCAGTTGAACATTCCCTTACTTTGAGCACGTTTCAAACACTCTTTTGGAAGAATCTGGAAGTGGACATTTGGAGCGCTTTGATGCCTTTGGTGAAAAGGAAACGTCTTCCAATAAAAGCCAGACAGAAGCATTCTCAGAAACTTGTTTGTGATGTGTGTACTCAACTAAAAGAGTTGAACCTTTCTATTGATAGAGCAGTTTTGAAACACTCTTTTTGTGGATTCTGCAAGTGGATATTTGGATTGCTTTGAGGATTTCGTTGGAAGCGGGAATTCGTATAAAAACTAGACAGCAGCATTCCCAGAAATTTCTTTCGGATATTTCCATTCGACTCATAGAGATGAACATGGCCTTTCATAGAGCAGGTTTGAAACACTCTTTTTGTAGTTTGTGGAAGTGGACATTTCGATTGCCTTGACGCCTACGGTGAAAAAGGATATATCTTCCCATAAAAAATAGACAGAAGCATTCTCAGAAACTTGTTGGTGATATGTGTCCTCAACTAACAGAGTTGAACTTTGCCATTGATAGAGAGCAGTTTTGAAACACTATTTTTGTGGAATCTGCAAGTGGATATTTGGATAGCTTGGAGGATTTCGTTGGAAGCGGGAATTCAAATAAAAGGTAGACAGCAGGACTCTGAGAAACAAGTTTGTGATGTGTGTACTCAGCTAACAGAGTGGAACCTCTCTTTTGATGCAGCAGTTTGGAAACACTCTTTTTGTAGAAACTGTAAGTGGATATTTGGATAGCTCTAATGATTTCGTTGGAAACGGGAATATCATCATCTAAAATCTAGACAGAAGCACTCTCAGAAACCACTTTGTGATATCTGCATTCAAGTCACAGAGTTGAACATTCGCTTTCTTAGAGCACGTTTGAAACACTCTTTTTGTAGTGTCTGGAAGTGGACATTTGGAGCGCTTTGATGCCTTTGGTGAAAAAGGGAACGTCTTCCCATAAAAACTAGACAGAAGCATTCTCAGAAACTTGTTTGTGATGTGTGTACCCAGCCAAAGGAGTTGAACATTTCTATTGATAGAGCAGTTTTGAAACACTCTTGTTGTGGAAAATGCAGGTGGATATTTGGATAGCTTGGAGGATTTCGTTGGAAGCGGGAATTCAAATAAAAGGTAGACAGCAGCATTCTCAGAAATTTCTTTCTGATGTCTGCATTCAACTCATAGAGTTGAACATTCCCTTTCATAGAGCAGGTTTGAAACACTCTTTCTGGAGTATCTGGATGTGGACATTTGGAGCGCTTTGATGCCTACGGTGGAAAAGTAAATATCTTCCCATAAAAACGAGACAGAAGGATTCTCAGAAACAAGTTTGTAATGTGTGTACTCAGCTAACAGAGTGGAACCTTTCTTTTTACAGAGCAGCTTTGAAACTCTATTGTTGTGGATTCTGCAAATTGATATTTAGATTGCTTTAACGATATCGTTGGAAAAGGGAATACCGTCATACAAAATCTAGACAGAAGCATTCTCACAAACTTCTTTGTGATGTGTGTCCTCAACTAACAGAGTTGAACCTTTCTTTTGATGCAGCAATTTGGAAACACCCTTTTGGTAGAAACTGTAACTGGATATTTGGATAGCTCTAACGATTTCGTTGGAAACGGGAATATCATCATCTAAAATCTAGACAGAAGCACTATTAGAAACTACTTGGTGATATCTGCATTCAAGTCACAGAGTTGAACATTCCCTTACTTTGAGCACGTTTGAAACACTCTTTTGGAAGAATCTGGAAGTGGACATTTGGAGCGCTTTGATGCCTTTGGTGAAAAGGAAACGTCTTCCAATAAAAGCCCGACAGAAGCATTCTCAGAAACTTGTTTGTGATGTGTGTACTCAACTAAAAGAGTTGAACCTTTCTATTGATAGAGCAGTTTTGAAACACTCTTTTTGTGGATTCTGCAAGTGGATATTTGGATTGCTTTGAGGATTTCGTTGGAAGCGGGAATTCGTATAAAAACTAGACAGCAGCATTACCAGAAATTTCTTTCGGATATTTCCATTCAACTCATAGAGAAGAACATGACCTTTCATAGAGCAGGTTTGAAACACTCTTTTTGTAGTTTGTGGAAGTGGACATTTCGATCACCTTGACGCCTACGGTGAAAAAGGAAATATCTTCCCATAAAAAATAGACAGAAGCATTCTCAGAAACTTGTTGGTGATATGTGTCCTCAACTAACAGAGTTGAACTTTGCCATTGATAGAGAGCAGTTTTGAAACACTCTTTTTGTGGAATCTGCAAGTGGATATTTGGATAGCTTGGAGGATTTCGTTGGAAGTGGGAATTCAAATAAAAGGTAGACAGCAGCATTCTCAGAAATTTCTTTCTGATGTCTGCATTCAACTCATAGAGTTGAAGATTCCCTTTCATAGAGCAGGTTTGAAACACTCTTTCTGGAGTATCTGGATGTGGACATTTGGAGCGCTTTGAGGCCTATGGTGAGAAAGTAAATATCTTCCCATAAAAACGAGACAGAAGGATTCTGAGAAACTAGTTTGTGATGTGTGTACTCAGCTAACAGAGTGGAACCTCTCTTTTGATGCAGCAGTTTGGAAACACTCTTTTTGTAGAAACTGTAAGTGGATATTTGGATAGCTCTAATGATTTCGTTGGAAACGGGAATATCATCATCTAAAATCTAGACAGAAGCCCTCTCAGAAACTACTTTGTGATATCTGCATTCAAGTCACAGAGTTGAACATTCGCTTTCTTAGAGCACGTTTGAAACACTCTTTTTGTAGTGTCTGGAAGTGGACATTTGGAGCGCTTTGATGCCTTTGGTGAAAAAGGGAATGTCTTCCCATAAAAACTAGACAGAAGCATTCTCAGAAACTTGTTTGTGATGTGTGTACCCAGCTAAAGGAGTTGAACATTTCTATTGATAGAGCAGTTTTGAAACACTCTTTTTGTGGAAAATGCAAGTGGATATTTGGATAGCTTGGAGGATTTCGTTGGAAGCGTGAATTCAAATAAAAGGTAGACAGCAGCATTCTCAGAAATTTCTTTCTGATGTCTGCATTCAACTCATAGAGTTGAACATTCCCTTTCATAGAGCAGGTTTGAAATACTCTTTCTGTAGTATCTGGATGTGGACATTTGGAGCGCTTTGATGCCTACGGTGAAAAAGTAAATATCTTCCCATAAAAACGAGACAGAAGGATTCTGAGAAACAAGTTTGTGATGTGTGTACTCAGCTAACAGAGTGGAACCTTTCTTTTCACAGAGCAGCTTTGAAACTCTATTTTTGTGGATTCTGCAAATGGATATTTAGATTGCTTTAACGATATCGTTGGAAAAGGGAATATCGTCATACAAAATCTAGACAGAAGCATTCTCACAAACTTTTTTGTGATGTGTGTCCTCAACTAACAGAGTTGAATCTTTCTTTTGATGCAGCAGTTTGGAAACACCCTTTTGGTAGAAACTGTAAGTGGATATTTGGATAGCTCTAACGATTTCGTTGGAAACGGGAATATCATCATCTAAAATCTAGACAGAAGCACTATTAGAAACTACTTGGTGATATCTGCATTCAAGTCACAGAGTTGAACATTCCCTTACTTTGAGCACGTTTGAAACACTCTTTTGGAAGAATCTGGAAGTGGACATTTGGAGCGCTTTGATGCCTTTGGTGAAAAGGAAACGTCTTCCAATAAAAGCCAGACAGAAGCATTCTCAGAAACTTGTTCGTGATGTGTGTACTCAACTAAAAGAGTTGAACCTTTCTATTGATAGAGCAGTTTAGAAACACTCTTTTTGTGGATTCTGCAAGTGGATATTTGGATTGCTTTGAGGATTTCGTTGGAAGCGGGAATTCGTATAAACACTAGACAGCAGCATTCCCAGAAATTTCTTTCGGATATTTCCATTCAACTCATAGAGATGAACATGGCCTTTCATAGAGCAGGTTTGAAACACTCTTTTTGTATTTTGTGGAAGTGGACATTTCGATCGCCTTGACGCCTACGGTGAAAAAGGAAATATCTTCCCATAAAAAATAGACAGAAGCATTCTCAGAAACTTGTTGGTGATATGTGTCCTGAACTAACAGAGTTGAACTTTGCCATTGATAGAGAGCAGTTTTGAAACACTCTTTTTGTGGAATCTGCAAGTGGATATTTGGATAGTTTGGAGGATTTCGTTGGAAGCGGGAATTCAAATAAAAGGTAGACAGCAGCATTCTCAGAAATTTCTTTCTGATGTCTGCATTCAACTCATAGAGTTGAAGATTCCCTTTCATAGAGCAGGTTTGAAACACTCTTTCTGGAGTATCTGGATGTGGACATTTGGAGCGCTTTGATGCCTACGGTGAGAAAGTAAATATCTTCCCATAAAAACGAGACAGAAGGATTCTGAGAAACTAGTTTGTGATGTGTGTACTCAGCTAACAGAGTGGAACCTCTCTTTTGATGCAGCAGTTTGGAAACACTCTTTTTGTAGAAACTGTAAGTGGATATTTGTATAGCTCTAATGATTTCGTTGGAAACGGGAATATCATCATCTAAAATCTAGACAGAAGCACTCTCAGAAACTACTTTGTGATATCTGCATTCAAGTCACAGAGTTGAACATTCGCTTTCTTAGAGCACGTTTGAAACACTCTTTTTGTAGTGTCTGGAAGTGGACATTTGGAGCGCTTTGATGGCTTTGGTGAAAAAGGGAACGTCTTCCCATAAAAACTAGACAGAAGCATTCTCAGAAACTTGTTTGTGATGTGTGTACCCAGCCAAAGGAGTTGAACATTTCTATTGATAGAGCAGTTTTGAAACACTCTTTTTGTGGAAAATGCAGGTGGATATTTGGATAGCTTGGAGGATTTCGTTGGAAGCGGGAATTCTAATAAAAGGTAGACAGCAGCATTCTCAGAAATTTCTTTCTGATGTCTGCATTCAACTCATAGAGTTGAAGATTCCCTTTCATAGAGCAGGTTTGAAACACTCTTTCTGGAGTATCTGGATGTGGACATTTGGAGCGCTTTGATGCCTACAGTGAAAAAGTAAATATCTTCCCATAAAAACGAGACAGAAGGATTCTCAGAAACAAGTTTGTGATGTGTGTACTCAGCTAACAGAGTGGAACCTTTCTTTTTACAGAGCAGCTTTGAAACTCTATTTTTGTGGATTCTGCAAATGGATATTTAGATTGCTTTAACGATATCGTTGGAAAAGGGAATATCGTCATACAAAATCTAGACAGAAGCATTCTCACAAACTTCTTTGTGATGTGTGTCCTCAACTAACAGAGTTGAACTTTTCTTTTGATGCAGCAATTTGGAAACACCCTTTTGGTAGAAACTGTAACTGGATATTTGGATAGCTCTAGCGATTTCGTTGGAAACGGGAATATCATCATCTAAAATGTAGACAGAAGCACTATTAGAAACTACTTGGTGATATCTGCATTCAAGTCACAGAGTTGAAATTCCCTTACTTTGAGCACGTTTGAATCACTCTTTTGGAAGAATCTGGAAGTGGACATTTGGAGCGCTTTGATGCCTTTGGTGAAAAGGAAACGTCTTCCAATAAAAGCCAGACAGAAGCATTCTCAGAAACTTGTTTGTGATGTGTGAACTCAACTAAAAGAGTTGAACCTTTCTATTGATAGAGCAGTTTTGAAACACTCTTTTTGTGGATTCTGCAAGTGGATATTTGGATTGCTTTGAGGATTTCGTTGGAAGCGGGAATTCGTATAAAAACTAGACAGCAGCATTCCCAGAAATTTCTTTCGGATATTTCCATTCAACTCATAGAGATGAACATGGCCTTTCATAGAGCAGGTTTGAAGCACTCCTTTTGTAGTTTGTGGAAGTGGACATTTCGATCGCCTTGACGCCTACGGTGAAAAAGGAAATATCTTCCCATAAAAAATAGACAGAAGCATTCTCAGACAAACCTTTGTTGGTGATATGTGTCCTCAACTAACAGAGTTGAACTTTGCCATTGATAGAGAGCAGTTTTGAAACACTCTTTTTGTGGAATCTGCAAGTGGATATTTGGATAGCTTGGAGGATTTCGTTGGAAGCGGGAATTCAAATAAAAGGTAGACAGCAGCATTCTCAGAAATTTCTTTCTGATGTCTGCATTCAACTCATAGAGTTGAAGATTCCCTTTCATAGAGCAGGTTTGAAACACTCGTTCTGGAGTATCTGGATGTGGACATTTGGAGCGCTTTGATGCCTACGGTGGAAAAGTAAATATCTTCCCATAAAAAACGAGACAGAAGGATTCTGAGAAACAAGTTTGTGATGTGTGTACTCAGCTAACAGAGTGGAACCTCTCTTTTGATGCAGCAGTTTGGAAACTCTCTTTTTGTAGAAACTGTAAGTGGATATTTGGATAGCTCTAATGATTTCGTTGGAAACGGGAATATCATCATCTAAAATCTAGACAGAAGCCCTCTCAGAAACTACTTTGTGATATCTGCATTCAACTCACAGAGTTGAACATTCGCTTTCTTAGAGCACGTTTGAAACACTCTTTTTGTAGTGTCTGGAAGTGGACATTTGGAGCGCTTTGATGCCTTTGGTGAAAAAGGGAATGTCTTCCCATAAAAACTAGACAGAAGCATTCTCAGAAACTTGTTTGTGATGTGTGTACCCAGCTAAAGGAGTTGAACATTTCTATTGATAGAGCAGTTTTGAAACACTCTTTTTGTGGAAAATGCAAGTGGATATTTGGATAGCTTGGAGGATTTCGTTGGAAGCGGGAATTCAAATAAAAGGTAGACAGCAGCATTCTCAGAAATTTCTTTCTGATGTCTGCATTCAACTCATAGAGTTGAACATTCCCTTTCATAGGACAGGTTTGAAATACTCTTTCTGTAGTATCTGGATGTGGACATGTGGAGCGCTTTGATGCCTACAGTGAAAAAGTAAATATCTTCCCATAAAAACGAGACAGAAGGATTCTCAGAAACAAGTTTGTGATGTGTGTACTCAGCTAACAGAGTGGAACCTTTCTTTTTACAGAGCAGCTTTGAAACTCTATTTTTGTGGATTCTGCAAATTGATATTTAGATTGCTTTAACGATATCGTTGGAAAAGGGAATATCGTCATACAAAATCTGGACAGAAGCATTCTCACAAACAGCTTTGTGACGTGTGTCCTCAACTAACAGAGTTGAACCTTTCTTTTGATGCAGCAGTTTGGAAACACCCTTTTGGTAGAAACTGTAAGTGGATATTTGGATAGCTCTAACGATTTCGTTGGAAACGGGAATATCATCATCTAAAATCTAGACAGAAGCACTATTAGAAACTACTTGGTGATATCTGCATTCAAGTCACAGAGTTGAACATTCCCTTACTTTGAGCACGTTTCAAACACTCTTTTGGAAGAATCTGGAAGTGGACATTTGGAGCGCTTTGATGCCTTTGGTGAAAAGGAAACGTCTTCCAATAAAAGCCAGACAGAAGCATTCTCAGAAACTTGTTGGTGATGTGTGTACTCAACTAAAAGAGTTGAACCTTTCTATTGATAGAGCAGTTTTGAAACACTCTTTTTGTGGATTCTGCAAGTGGATATTTGGATTGCTTTGAGGATTTCGTTGGAAGCGGGAATTCGTATAAACACTAGACAGCAGCATTCCCAGAAATTTCTTTCGGATATTTCCATTCAACTCATAGAGATGAACATGGCCTTTCATAGAGCAGGTTTCAAACACTCTTTTTGTAGTTTGTGGAAGTGGACATTTCGATCGCCTTGACGCCTACGGTGAAAAAGGAAATATCTTCCCATAAAAAATAGACAGAAGCATCCTCAGAAACTTGTTGCTGATATGTGTCCTCAACTAACAGAGTTGAACTTTGCCATTGATAGAGAGCAGTTTTGAAACACTCTTTTTGTGGAATCTGCAAGTGGATATTTGGATAGCTTGGAGGATTTCGTTGGAAGCGGGAATTCAAATAAAAGGTAGACAGCAGCATTCTCAGAAATTACTTTCTGATGTCTGCATTCAACTCATTGAGTTGAAGATTCCCTTTCATAGAGCAGGTTTGAAACACTCTTTCTGTAGTATCTGGATGTGGTCATTTGGAGCGCTTTGATACCTACGGTGAAAAAGTAAATATCTTCCCATGAAAACTAGACAGAAGGATTCTGAGAAACAAGTTTGTGATGTGTGTACTCAGCTAACAGAGTGGAACCTCTCTTTTGATGCAGCAGTTTGGAAACACTCTTTTTGTAGAAACTGTAAGTGGATATTTGGATAGCTCTAATGATTTCGTTGGAAACGGGAATATCATCATCTAAAATCTAGACAGAAGCCCTCTCAGAAACTACTTGGTGATATCTGCATTCAAGTCACAGAGTTGAACATTCGCTTTCTTAGAGCACGTTTGAAACACTCTTTTTGTAGTGTCTGGAAGTGGACATTTGGAGCGCTTTGATGCCTTTGGTGAAAAAGGGAATGTCTTCCCACAAAAACTAGACAGAAGCATTCTCAGAAACTTGTTTGTGATGTGTGCACCCAGCTAAAGGAGTTGAACATTTCTATTGATAGAGCAGTTTTGAAGCACTCTTTTTGTGGAAAATGCAAGTGGATATTTGGATAGCTTGGAGGATTTCGTTGGAAGCGGGAGTTCAAATAAAAGGTAGACAGCAGCATTCTCAGAAATTTCTTTCTGATGTCTGCATTCAACTCATAGAGTTGAAGATTCCCTTTCATAGAGCAGGTTTGAAACACTCTTTCTGGAGTATCTGGATGTGGACATTTGGAGCGCTTTGATGCCTACGGTGAAAAAGTAAATATCTTCCCATAAAAACGAGACAGAAGGATTCTCAGAAACAAGTTTGTGATGTGTGTACTCAGCTAACAGAGTGGAACCTTTCTTTTTTGCAGAGCAGCTTTGAAACTCTATTTTTGTGGATTCTGCAAATTGATATTTAGATTGCTTTAACGATATCGTTGGAAAAGGGAATATCGTCATACAAAATCTAGACAGAAGCATTCTCACAAACTTCTTTGTGACGTGTGTCCTCAACTAACAGAGTTGAACCTTTCTTTTGATGCAGCAATTTGGAAACACCCTTTTGGTAGAAACTGTAACTGGATATTTGGATAGCTCTAGCGATTTCGTTGGAAACGGGAATATCATCATCTAAAATCTAGACAGAAGCACTATTAGAAACTACTTGGTGATATCTGCATTCAAGTCACAGAGTTGAACATTCCCTTACTATGAGCACGTTTGAAACACTCTTTTGGTAGAATCTGGAAGTGGACATTTGGAGCACTTTGATGCCTTTGGTGAAAAGGAAACGTCTTCCAATAAAAGCCAGACAGAAGCATTCTCAGAAACTTGTTCGTGATGTGTGTACTCAACTAAAAGAGTTGAACCTTTCTATTGATAGAGCAGTTTTGAAACACTCTTTTTGTGGATTCTGCAAGTGGATATTTGGATTGCTTTGAGGATTTCGTTGGAAGCGGGAATTCGTATAAACACTAGACAGCAGCATTCCCAGAAATTTCTTTCGGATATTTCCATTCAACTCATAGAGATGAACATGGCCTTTCATAGAGCAGGTTTGAAACACTCTTTTTGTAGTTTGTGGAAGTGGACATTTCGGATCGCCTTGACGCCTACGCTGAAAAAGGAAATATCTTCCCATAAAAAATAGACAGAAAGCATTCTCAGAAACTTGTTGGTGATATGTGTCCTCAACTAACAGAGTTGAACTTTGCCATTGATAGAGAGCAGTTTTGAAACACTCTTTTTGTGGAATCTGCAAGTGGATATTTGGATAGCTTGGAGGATTTTGTTGGAAGCGGGAATTCAAATAAAAGGTAGACAGCAGCATTCTCAGAAATTTCTTTCTGATGTCTGCATTCAACTCATAGAGTTGAAGATTCCCTTTCATAGAGCAGGTTTGAAACACTCTTTCTGGAGTATCTGATTGTGGACATTTGGAGCGCTTTGATGCCTACGGTGAAAAAGTAAATATCTTCCCATAAAAACGAGACAGAAGGATTCTGAGAAACAAGTTTGTGATGTGTGTACTCAGCTAACAGAGTGGAACCTCTCTTTTGATGCAGCAGTTTGGAAACACTCTTTTTGTAGAAACTGTAAGTGGATATTTGGATAGCTCTAATGATTTCGTTGGAAACGGGAATATCATCATCTAAAATCTAGACAGAAGCCCTCTCAGAAACTACTTTGTGATATCTGCATTCAAGTCACAGAGTTGAACATTCGCTTTCTTAGAGCACGTTTGAAACACTCTTTTTGTAGTGTCTGGAAGTGGACATTTGGAGCGCTTTGATTCCTTTGGTGAAAAAGGGAATGTCTACCCATAAAAACTAGACAGAAGCATTCTCAGAAACTTGTTTGTGATGTGTGTACCCAGCCAAAGGAGTTGAACATTTCTATTGATAGAGCAGTTTTGAAACATTCTTTTTGTGGAAAATGCAAGTGGATATTTGGATAGCTTGGAGGATTTCGTTGGAAGCGGGAATTCAAATAAAAGGTAGACAGCAGCATTCTCAGAAATTTCTTTCTGATGTCTGCATTCAACTCATAGAGTTGAAGATTCCCTTTCATAGAGCAGGTTTGAAACACTGTTTCTGGAGTATCTGGATGTGGACATTTGGAGCGCTTTGATGCCTACGGTGAAAAAGTAAATGTCTTCCCATAAAAACGAGACAGAAAGGATTCTGAGAGACAAGTTTGTGATGTGTGTACTCAGCTAACAGAGTGGAACCTTTCTTTTTACAGAGCAGCTTTGAAACTCTATTTTTGTGGATTCTGCAAATGGATATTTAGATTGCTTTAACGATATCGTTGGAAAAGGGAATATCGTCATACAAAATCTGGACAGAAGCATTCTCACAAACTTCTTTGTGATGTGTGTCCTCAACTAACAGAGTTGAACCTTTCTTTTGATGCAGCAGTTTGGAAACACTCTTTTTGTAGAAACTGTAAGTGGATATTTGGATAGCTCTAACGATTTCGTTGGAAACGGGAATATCATCATCTAAAATCTAGACAGAAGCACTATTAGAAACTACTTGGTGATATCTGCATTCAAGTCACAGAGTTGAACATTCCCTTACTTTGAGCACGTTTCAAACACTCTTTTGGAAGAATCTGGAAGTGGACATTTGGAGCGCTTTGATGCCTTTGGTGAAAAGGAAACGTCTTCCAATAAAAGCCAGACAGAAGCATTCTCAGAAACTTGTTCGTGATGTGTGTACCTCAACTAAAAGAGTTGAACCTTTCTATTGATAGAGCAGTTTTGAAACACTCTTTTTGTGGATTCTGCAAGTGGATATTTGGATTGCTTTGAGGATTTCGTTGGAAGCGGGAATTCGTATAAACACTAGACAGCAGCATTCCCAGAAATTTCTTTCGGATATTTCCATTCAACTCATAGAGATGAACATGGCCTTTCATAGAGCAGGTTTGAAACACTCTTTTTGTAGTTTGTGGAAGTGGACATTTCGATCGCCTTGACGCCTACGGTGAAAAAGGAAATATCTTCCCATAAAAAATAGACAGAAGCATTCTCAGAAACTTGTTGGTGATATGTGTCCTCAACTAACAGAGTTGAACTTTGCCATTGATAGAGAGCAGTTTTGAAACACTCTTTTTGTGGAATGTGCAAGTGGATATTTGGATAGCTTGGAGGATTTCGTTGGAAGCGGGAATTCAAATTAAAGGTAGACAGCAGCATTCTCAGTAAATTTCTTTCTGATGTCTGCATTCAACTCATAGAGTTGAAGATTCCCTTTCATAGAGCAGGTTTGAAACACTCTTTCTGGAGTATCTGGATGTGGACATTTGGAGCGCTTTGATGCCTACGGTGAAAAAGTAAATATCTTCCCATAAAAACGAGACAGACGGATTCTCAGAAACAAGTTTGTGATGTGTGTACTCAGCTAACAGAGTGGAACCTCTCTTTTGATGCAGCAGTTTGGAAACACTCTTTTTGTAGAAACTGTAAGTGGATATTTGGATAGCTCTAATGATTTCGTTGGAAACGGGAATATCATCATCTAAAATCTAGACAGAAGCCCTCTCAGAAACTACTTTGTGATATCTGCATTCAAGTCACAGAGTTGAACATTCGCTTTCTTAGAGCACGTTTGAAACACTCTTTTTGTAGTGTCTGGAAGTGGACATTTGGAGCGCTTTGATGCCTTTGGTGAAAAAGGGAATGTCTTCCCATAAAAACTAGACAGAAGCATTCTCAGAAACTTGTTTGTGATGTGTGTACCCAGCCAAAGGAATTGAACATTTCTATTGATAGAGCAGTTTTGAAACACTCTTTTTGTGGAAAATGCAGGTGGATATTTGGATAGCTTGGAGGATTTCGTTGGAAGCGGGAATTCAAATAAAAGTTAGACAGCAGCATTCTCAGAAATTTCTTTCTGATGTCTGCATTCAACTCATAGAGTTGAAGATTCCCTTTCATAGAGCAGGTTTGAAACTGGATGTGGACATTTGGAGCGCTTTGATGCCTACGGTGAAAAAGTAAATATCTTCCCAGAAAAACGAGACAGAAGGATTCTGAGAAACAAGTTTGTGATGTGTGTACTCAGCTAACAGAGTGGAACCTTTCTTTTTACAGAGCAGCTTTGAAACTCTATTTTTGTGGATTCTGCAAATGGATATTTAGATTGCTTTAACGATATCGTTGGAAAAGGGAATATCGTCATACAAAATCTAGACAGAAGCATTCTCACAAACTTCCTTTGTGATGTGTGTCCTCAACTAACAGAGTTGAACCTTTCTTTTGATGCAGCAGTTTGGAAACACCCTTTTGGTAGAAACTGTAAGTGGATATTTGGATAGCTCTAACGATTTCGTTGGAAACGGGAATATCATCATCTAAAATCTAGACAGAAGCACTATTAGAAACTACTTGGTGATATCTGCATTCAAGTCACAGAATTGAACATTCCCTTATTTTGAGCACGTTTGAAACACTCTTTTGGAAGAATCTGGAAGTGGACATTTGGAGCGCTTTGATGCCTTTGGTGAAAAGGAAACGTCTTCCAATAAAAGCCAGACAGAAGCATTCTCAGAAACTTGTTCGTGATGTGTGTACTCAACTAAAAGATTTGAACCTTTCTATTGATAGAGCAGTTTTGAAACACTCTTTTTGTGGATTCTGCAAGTGGATATTTGGATTGCTTTGAGGATTTCGTTGGAAGCGGGAATTCGTATAAAAACTAGACAGCAGCATTCCCAGAAATTTCTTTCGGATATTTCCATTCAACTTATAGAGATGAACATCGCCTTTCATAGAGCAGGTTTGAAACACTCTTTTTGTAGTTTGTGGAAGTGGACATTTCGATCGCCTTGATGCCTACGGTGAAAAAGGAAATATCTTCCCATAAAAAATAGACAGAAGCATTCTCAGAAACTTGTTGGTGATATGTGTCCTCAACTAACAGAGTTGAACTTTGCCATTGATAGAGAGCAGTTTTGAAACACTCTTTTTGTGGAATCTGCAAGTGGATATTTGGATAGCTTGGAGGATTTCGTTGGAAGCGGGAATTCAAATAAAAGGTAGACAGCAGGATTCTCAGAAACAAGTTTGTGATGTGTGTACTCAGCTAACAGAGTGGAACCTTTCTTTTTACAGAGCAGCTTTGAAACTCTATTTTTGTGGATTCTGCAAATGGATATTTAGATTGCTTTAACGATATCGTTGGAAAAGGGAGTATCGTCATACAAAATCTGGACAGAAGCCCTCTCAGAAACTACTTTGTGATATCTGCATTCAACTCACAGAGTTGAACATTCGCTTTCTTAGAGCACGTTTGAAACACTCTTTTTGTAGTGTCTGGAAGTGGACATTTGGAGCGCTTTGATGCCTTTGGTGAAAAAGGGAACGTCTTCCCATAAAAACTAGACAGAAGCATTCTCAGAAACTTGTTTGTGATGTGTGTACCCAGCCAAAGGAGTTGAACATTTCTATTGATAGAGCAGTTTTGAAACACTCTTTTTGTTGAAAATGCAGGTGGATATTTGGATAGCTTGGAGGATTTCGTTGGAAGCGGGAACTCAAATAAAAGGTAGACAGCAGGATTCTCAGAAACAAGTTTGTGATGTGTGTACTCAGCTAACAGCAGTGGAACCTTTCTTTTTACAGAGCAGCTTTGAAACTCTATTTTTGTGGATTCTGCAAATTGATATTTAGATTGCTTTAACGATATCGTTGGAAAAGGGAATATCGTCATACAAAATCTAGACAGAAGCATTATCACAAACTTCTTTGTGATGTGTGTCCTCAACTAACAGAGTTGAACCTTTCTTTTGATGCAGCAGTTTGGAAACACTCTTTTTGTAGAAACTGTAAGTGGATATTTGGATAGCTCTAACGATTTCGTTGGAAACGGGAATATCATCATCTAAAATCTAGACAGAAGCACTATTAGAAACTACTTGGTGATATCTGCATTCAAGTCACAGAGTTGAACATTCCCTTACTTTGAGCACGTTTCAAACACTCTTTTGGAAGAATCTGGAAGTGGACATTTGGAGCGCTTTGATGCCTTTGGTGAAAAGGAAACGTCTTCCAATAAAAGCCAGACAGAAGCATTCTCAGAAACTTGTTCGTGATGTGTGTACTCAACTAAAAGAGTTGAACCTTTCTATTGATAGAGCAGTTTTGAAACACTCTTTTTGTGGATTCTGCAAGTGGATATTTGGATTGCTTTGAGGATTTCGTTGGAAGTGGGAATTCGTATAAACACTAGACAGCAGCATTCCCAGAAATTTCTTTCGGATATTTCCATTCAACTCATAGAGATGAACATCGCCTTTCATAGAGCAGGTTTGAAACACTCTTTTTGTAGTTTGTGGAAGTGGACATTTCGATCGCCTTGACGCCTACGGTGAAAAAGGAAATATCTTCTCATAAAAAATAGACAGAAGCATTCTCAGAAACTTGTTGGTGATATGTGTCCTCAACTAACAGAGTTGAACTTTGCCATTGATAGAGAGCAGTTTTGAAACACTCTTTTTGTGGAATCTGCAAGTGGATATTTGGATAGCTTGGAGGATTTCGTTGGAAGCGGGAATTCAAATAAAAGGTAGACAGCAGCATTCTCAGAAATTTCTTTCTGATGTCTGCATTCAACTCATAGAGTTGAAGATTCCCTTTCATAGAGCAGGTTTGAAACACTCTTTCTGTAGTATCTGGATGTGGACATTTGGAGCGCTTTGATGCCTACGGTGAAAAAGTATAATCTTCCCATAAAAACGAGACAGAAGGATTCTGAGAAACAAGTTTGTGATGTGTGTACTCAGCTAACAGAGTGGAACGTCTCTTTTGATGCAGCAGTTTGGAAACACTCTTTTTGTAGAAACTGTAAGTGGATATTTGGATAGCTCTAATGATTTCGTTGGAAACGGGAATATCATCATCTAAAATCTAGACAGAAGCCCTCTCAGAAACTACTTTGTGATATCTGCATTCAAGTCACAGAGTTGAACATTCGCTTTCTTAGAGCACGTTGGAAACACTCTTTTTGTAGTGTCTTGAAGTGGACATTTGGAGCGCTTTGATGCCTTTGGTGAAAAAGGGAACGTCTTCCCATAAAAACTAGACAGAAGCATTCTCAGAAACTTGTTTGTGATGTGTGTACCCAGCCAAAGGAGTTGAACATTTCTATTGATAGAGCAGTTTTGAAACACTCTTTTTGTGGAAAATGCAAGTGGATATTTGGATAGCTTGGAGGATTTCGTTGGAAGCGGGAATTCAAATAAAAGGTAGACAGCAAGCATTCTCAGAAATTTCCTTCTGATGTCTGCATTCAACTCATAGAGTTGAAGATTCCCTTTCATAGAGCAGGTTTGAAACACTCTTTCTGGAGTATCTGGATGTGGACATTTGGAGCGCTTTGATGCCTGCGGTGAAAAAGTAAATATCTTCCCATAAAAACGAGACAGAAGGATTCTCAGAAACAAGTTTGTGATGTGTGTACTCAGCTAACAGAGTGGAACCTTTCTTTTTACAGAGCAGCTTTGAAACTCTATTTTTGTGGATTCTGCAAATTGATATTTAGATTGCTTTAACGATATCGTTGGAAAAGGGAATATCGTCATACAAAATCTAGACAGAAGCATTCTCACAAACTTCTTTGTGATGTGTGTCCTCAACTAACAGAGTTGAACCTTTCTTTTGATGCAGCAATTTGGAAACACCCTTTTGGTAGAAACTGTAACTGGATATTTGGATAGCTCTAACGATTTCTTTGGAAACGGGAATATCATCATCTAAAATGAGACAGAATCACTATTAGAAACTACTTGGTGATATCTGCATTCAAGTCACAGAGTTGAACATTCCCTTACTTTGAGCACGTTTCAAACACTCTTTTGGAAGAATCTGGAAGTGGACATTTGGAGCGCTTTGATGCCTTTGGTGAAAAGGAAACGTCTTCCAATAAAAGCCAGACAGAAGCATTCTCAGAAACTTGTTTGTGATGTGTGTACTCAACTAAAAGAGTTGAACCTTTCTATTGATAGAGCAGTTTTGAAACACTCTTTTTGTGGATTCTGCAAGTGGATATTTGGATTGCTTTGAGGATTTCGTTGGAAGCGGGAATTCGTATAAAAACTAGACAGCAGCATTCCCAGAAATTTCTTTCGGATATATCCATTCAACTCATAGAGATGAACATGGCCTTTCATAGAGCAGGTTTGAAACACTCTTTTTGTAGTTTGTGAAAGTGGACATTTCGATCGCCTTGACGCCTACGGTGAAAAAGGGAATATCTTCCCTTAAAAAATAGACAGAAGCATTCTCAGAAACTTGTTGGTGATATGTGTCCTCAACTAACAGAGTTGAACTTTGCCATTGATAGAGAGCAGTTTTGAAACACTCTTTTTGTGGAATCTGCAAGTGGATATTTGGATAGCTTGGAGGATTTCGTTGGAAGCGGGAATTCAAATAAAAGGTAGACAGCAGCATTCTCAGAAATTTCTTTCTGATGTCTGCATTCAACTCATAGAGTTGAAGATTCCCTTTCATAGAGCAGGTTTGAAACACTCTTTCTGTAGTATCTGGATGTGGACATTTGGAGCGCTTTGATGCCTACGGTGAAAAAGTAAATATCTTCCCATAAAAACGAGACAGAAGGATTCTGAGAAACAAGTTTGTGATGTGTGTACTCAGCTAACAGAGTGGAACCTCTCTTTTGATGCAGCAGTTTGGAAACACTCTTTTTGTAGAAACTGTAAGTGGATATTTGGATAGCTCTAATGATTTCGTTGGAAACGGGAATATCATCATCTAAAATCTAGACAGAAGCACTCTCAGAAACTACTGTGTGATATCTGCATTCAAGTCACAGAGTTGAACATTCGCTTTCTTAGAGCACGTTTGAAACACTCTTTTTGTAGTGGCTGGAAGTGGACATTTGGAGCGCTTTGATTCCTTTGGTGAAAAAGGGAATGTCTACCCATAAAAACTAGACAGAAGCATTCTCAGAAACTTGTTTGTGATGTGTGTACCCAGCCAAAGGAGTTGAACATTTCTATTGATAGAGCAGTTTTGAAACGCTCTTTTTGTGGAAAATGCAGGTGGATATTTGGATAGCTTGGAGGATTTCGTTGGAAGCGGGAATTCAAATAAAAGGTAGACAGCAGGATTCTCAGAAACAAGTTTGTGATGTGTGTACTCAGCTAACAGAGTGGAACCTTTCTTTTTACAGAGCAGCTTTGAAACTCTATTTTTGTGGATTCTGCAAATTGATATTTAGATTGCTTTAACGATATCGTTGGAAAAGGGAATATCGTCATACAAAATCTAGACAGAAGCATTCTCACAAACTTCTTTGTGATGTGTGTCCTCAACTAACAGAGTTGAACCTTTCTTTTGATGCAGCAATTTGGAAACACCCTTTTGGTAGAAACTGTAACTGGATATTTGGATACCTCTAACGATTTCGTTGGAAACGGGAATATCATCATCTAAAATGTAGACAGAAGCACTATTAGAAACTACTTGGTGATATCTGCATTCAAGTCACAGAGTTGAACATTCCCTTACTTTGAGCACGTTTGAAACACTCTTTTGGAAGAATCTGGAAGTGGACATTTGGAGCGCTTTGATGCCTTTGGTGAAAAGGAAACGTCTTCCAATAAAAGCCAGACAGAAGCATTCTCAGAAACTTGTTCGTGATGTGTGTACTCATCTAAAAGAGTTGAACCTTTCTATTGATAGAGCAGTTTTGAAACACTCTTTTTGTGGATTCTGCAAGTGGATATTTGGATTGCTTTGAGGATTTCGTTGGAAGCGGGAATTCGTATAAACACTAGACAGCAGCATTCCCAGAAATTTCTTTCGGATATTTCCATTCAACTCATAGAGGTGAACATGGCCTTTCATAGAGCAGGTTTGAAACACTCTTTTTGTAGTTTGTGGAAGTGGACATTTCGATCGCCTTGACGCCTACGGTGAAAAAGGAAATATCTTCCCATAAAAAATAGACAGAAGCATTCTCAGAAACTTGTTGGTGATATGTGTCCTCAACTAACAGAGTTGAACTTTGCCATTGATAGAGAGCAGTTTTGAAACACTCTTTTTGTGGAATCTGCAAGTGGATATTTGGATAGCTTGGAGGATTTCGTTGGAAGCGGGAATTCAAATAAAAGGTAGACAGCCGGATTCTGAGAAACAAGTTTGTGATGTGTGTACTCAGCTAACAGAGTGGAACCTCTCTTTTGATGCAGCAGTTTGGAAACACTCTTTTTGTAGAAACTGTAAGTGGATATTTGGATAGCTCTAATGATTTCGTTGGAAACGGGAATATCATCATCTAAAATCTAGACAGAAGCCCTCTCAGAAACTACTTTGTGATATCTGCATTCAAGTCACAGAGTTGAACATTCGCTTTCTTAGAGCACGTTGGAAACACTCTTTTTGTAGTGTCTGGAAGTGGACATTTGGAGCGCTTTGATGACTTTGGTGAAAAAGGGAACGTCTTCCCATAAAAACTAGACAGAAGCATTCTCAGAAACTTGTTTGTGATGTGTGTACCCAGCCAAAGGAGTTGAACATTTCTATTGATAGAGCAGTTTTGAAACACTCTTGTTGTGGAAAATGCAGGTGGATATTTGGATAGCTTGGAGGATTTCGTTGGAAGCGGGAATTCAAATAAAAGGTAGACAGCAGCATTCTCAGAAATTTCTTTCTGATGTCTGCATTCAACTCATAGAGTTGAAGATTCCCTTTCATAGAGCAGGTTTGAAACACTCGTTCTGGAGTATCTGGATGTGGACATTTGGAGCGCTTTGATGCCTACGGTGGAAAAGTAAATATCTTCCCATAAAAACGAGACAGAAGGATTCTCAGAAACAAGTTTGTGATGTGTGTACTCAGCTAACAGAGTGGAACCTTTCTTTTTACAGAGCAGCTTTGAAACTCTATTTTTGTGGATTCTGGAAATTGATATTTAGATTGCTTTAACGATATCGTTGGAAAAGGGAATATCGTCATACAAAATGCTGGACAGAAGCATTCTCACAAACTTCTTTGTGATGTGTGTCCTCAACTAACAGAGTTAAACCTTTCTTTTGATGCAGCAATTTGGAAACACCCTTTTGGTAGAAACTGTAACTGGATATTTGGATAGCTCTAACGATTTCGTTGGAAACGGGAATATCATCATCTAAAATCTAGACAGAAGCACTATTAGAAACTACTTGGTGATATCTGCATTCAAGTCACAGAGTTGAACATTCCCTTACTTTGAGCACGTTTGAAACACTCTTTTGGAAGAATCTGGAAGTGGACATTTGGAGCGCTTTGATGCCTTTGGTGAAAAGGAAACGTCTTCCAATGAAAGCCAGACAGAAGCATTCTCAGAAACTTGTTCGTGATGTGTGTACTCAACTAAAAGAGTTGAACCTTTCTATTGATAGCGCAGTTTTGAAACACTCTTTTTGTGGATTCTGCAAGTGGATATTTGGATTGCTTTGAGGATTTCGTTGGAAGCGGGAATTCATATAAAAACTAGACAGCAGCATTCCCAGAAATTTCTTTCGGATATTTCCATTCAACTCATAGAGATGAACATGGCCTTTCATAGAGCAGGTTTGAAACACTCTTTTTGTAGTTTCTGGAAGTGGACATTTCGATCGCCTTGACGCCTACGCTGAAAAAGGAAATATCTTCCCATAAAAAATAGACAGAAGCATTCTCAGAAACTTGTTGGAGATATGTGTCCTCAACTGACAGAGTTGAACTTTGCCATTGATAGAGAGCAGTTTTGAAACACTCTTTCTGTGGAATCTGCAAGTGGATATTTGGATAGCTTGGAGGATTTCGTTGGAAACGGGAATTCAAATAAAAGATAGACAGCAGCATTCTCAGAAATTTCTTTCTGATGTCTGCATTCAACTCATAGAGTTGAAGATTCCCTTTCATAGAGCAGGTTTGAAATACTCTTTCTGTAGTATCTGGATGTGGACATTTGGAGCGCTTTGATGCCTACGGTGAAAAAGTAAATATCTTCCCATAAAAACGAGACAGAAGGATTCTGAGAAACAAGTTTGTGATGTGTGTACTCAGCTAACAGAGTGGAACCTCTCTTTTGATGCAGCAGTTTGGAAACACTCTTTTTGTAGAAACTGTAAGTGGATATTTGGATAGCTCTAATGATTTCTTTGGAAACGGGAATATCATCATCTAAAATCTAGACAGAAGCCCTCTCAGAAACTACTTTGTGATATCTGCATTCAAGTCACAGCAGTTGAACATTCGCTTTCTTAGAGCACGTTGGAAACACTCTTTTTGTAGTGTCTGGAAGTGGACATTTGGAGCGCTTTGATGCCTTTGGTGAAAAAGGGAATGTCTTCCCATAAAAACTAGACAGAAAGCATTCTCAGCAAACTTGTTTGTGATGTGTGTACCCAGCCAAAGGAGTTGAACATTTCTATTGATAGAGCAGTTTTGAAACACTCTTTTTGTGGAAAATGCAGGTGGATATTTGGATAGCTTGGAGGATTTCGTTGGAAGCGGGAATTCAAATAAAAGGTAGACAGCAGGATTCTCAGAAACAAGTTTGTGATGTGTGTACTCAGCTAACAGAGTGGAACCTTTCTTTTTACAGAGCAGCTTTGAAACTCTATTTTTGTGGATTCTGCAAATTGATATTTAGATTGCTTTAACGATATCGTTGGAAAAGGGAATATGGTCATACAAAATCTAGACAGAAGCATTCTCACAAACTTCTTTGTGATGTGTGTCCTCAAATAACACAGTTGAACCTTTCTTTTGATGCAGCAGTTTGGAAACACCCTTTTGGTAGAAACTGTAAGTGGATATTTGGATAGATCTAACGATTTCGTTGGAAACGGGAATATCATCATCTAAAATCTAGACAGAAGCACTATTAGAAACTACTTGGTGATATCTGCATTCAAGTCACAGAGTTGAACATTCCCTTACTTTGAGCACGTTTCAAACACTCTTTTGGAAGAATCTGGAAGTGGACATTTGGAGCGCTTTGATGCCTTTGGTGAAAAGGAAACGTCTTCCAATAAAAGCCAGACAGAAGCATTCTCAGAAACTTGTTCGTGATGTGTGTACTCAACTAAAAGAGTTGAACCTTTCTATTGATAGAGCAGTTTTGAAACACTCTTTTTGTGGATTCTGCAAGTGGATATTTGGATTGCTTTGAGGATTTCGTTGGAAGCAGGAATTCGTATAAACACTAGACAGCAGCATTCCCAGAAATTTCTTTCGGATATTTCCATTCAACTCATAGAGATGAACATGGCCTTTCATAGAGCAGGTTTGAAACACTCTTTTTGTAGTTTGTGGAAGTGGACATTTCGATCGCCTTGACGCCTACGCTGAAAAAGGAAATATCTTCCCATAAAAAATAGACAGAAGCATTCTCAGAAACTTGTTGGTGATATGTGTCCTCAACTAACAGAGTTGAACTTTGCCATTGATAGAGAGCAGTTTTGAAACACTCTTTTTGTGGAATCTGCAAGTGGATATTTGGATAGCTTGGAGGATTTCGTTGGAAGCGGGAATTCAAATAAAAGGTAGACAGCAGCATTCTCAGAAATTTCTTTCTGATGTCTGCATTCAACTCATAGAGTTGAAGATTCCCTTTCATAGCAGCAGGTTTGAAACACTCTTTCTGGAGTATCTGGATGTGGACATTTGGAGCGCTTTGATGCCTACGGTGAAAAAGTAAATATCTTCCCATAAAAACGACACAGAAGGATTCTCAGAAACAAGTTTGTGATGTGTGTACTCAGCTAACAGAGTGGAACCTCTCTTCTGATGCAGCAGTTTGGAAACACTCTTTTTGTAGAAACTGTAAGTGGATATTTGGATAGCTCTAATGATTTCGTTGGAAACGGGAATATCATCATCTAAAATCTAGACAGAAGCCCTCTCAGAAACTACTTTGTGATATCTGCATTCAAGTCACAGAGTTGAACATTCGCTTTCTTAGAGCACGTTTGAAACACTCTTTTTGTAGTGTCTGGAAGTGGACATTTGGCGCGCTTTGATGCCTTTGGTGAAAAAGGGAAT
Source organism: Homo sapiens (assembly GCF_000001405.40). Classification (NCBI taxonomy): domain Eukaryota; kingdom Metazoa; phylum Chordata; class Mammalia; order Primates; family Hominidae; genus Homo; species Homo sapiens. The sequence continues at coordinate 15,037,988 of NC_000022.11, forward strand.
GTCTTCCCATAAAAACTAGACAGAAGCATTCTCAGAAACTTGTTTGTGATGTGTGTACCCAGCCAAAGGAGTTGAACATTTCTATTGATAGAGCAGTTTTGAAACGCTCTTTTTGTGGAAAATGCAGGTGGATATTTGGATAGCTTGGAGGATTTCGTTGGAAGCGGGAGTTCAAATAAAAGGTAGACAGCAGCATTCTCAGAAATTTCTTTCTGATGTCTGCATTCAACTCATAGAGTTGAAGATTCCCTTTCATAGAGCAGGTTTGAAACACTCTTTCTGGAGTATCTGGATGTGGACATTTGGAGCGCTTTGATGCCTACGGTGAAAAAGTAAATATCTTCCCATAAAAACGAGACAGAAGGATTCTGAGAAACAAGTTTGTGATGTGTGTACTCAGCTAACAGAGTGGAACCTTTCTTTTTACAGAGCAGCTTTGAAACTCTATTTTTGTGGATTCTGCAAATTGATATTTAGATTGCTTTAACGATATCGTTGGACAAGGGAATATGGTCATACAAAATCTAGACAGAAGCATTCTCACAAACTTCTTTGTGATGTGTGTCCTCAACTAACAGAGTTGAACCTTTCTTTTGATGCAGCAATTTGGAAACACCCTTTTGGTAGAAACTGTAACTGGATATTTGGATAGCTCTAACGATTTCGTTGGAAACGGGAATATCATCATCAAAATGTAGACAGAAGCACTATTAGAAACTACTTGGTGATATCTGCATTCAAGTCACAGAGTTGAACATTCCCTTACTTTGAGCACGTTTGAAACACTCTTTTGGAAGAATCTGGAAGTGGACATTTGGAGTGCTTTGATGCCTTTGGTGAAAAGGAAACGTCTTCCAATAAAAGCCAGACAGAAGCATTCTCAGAAACTTGTTTGTGATGTGTGTACTCAACTAAAAGAGTTGAACCTTTCTATTGATAGAGCAGTTTTGAAACACTCTTTTTGTGGATTCTGCAAGTGGATATTTGGATTGCTTTGAGGATTTCGTTGGAAGCGGGAATTCGTATAAAAACTAGACAGCAGCATTCCCAGAAATTTCTTTCGGGTATTTCCATTCGACTCATAGAGATGAACATGGCCTTTCATAGAGCAGGTTTGAAACACTCTTTTTGTAGTTTGTGGAAGTGGACATTTCGATCGCCTTGACGCCTACGGTGAAAAAGGAAATATCTTCCCATAAAAAATAGACAGAAGCATTCTCAGAAACTTGTTGGTGATATGTGTCCTCAACTAACAGAGTTGAACTTTGCCATTGATAGAGAGCAGTTTTGAAACACTCTTTTTGTGGAATCTGCAAGTGGATATTTGGATAGCTTGGAGGATTTCGTTGGAAGCGGGAATTCAAATAAAAGGTAGACAGCAGCATTCTCAGAAATTTCTTTCTGATGTCTGCATTCAACTCATAGAGTTGAAGATTCCATTTCATAGAGCAGGTTTGAAACACTCTTTCTGGAGTATCTGGATGTGGACATTTGGAGCGCTTTGATGCCTACGGTGAAAAAGTAAATATCTTCCCATAAAAACGAGACAGAAGGATTCTGAGAAACAAGTTTGTGATGTGTGTACTCAGCTAACAGAGTGGAACCTCTCTTTTGATGCAGCAGTTTGGAAACACTCTTTTTGTAGAAACTGTAAGTGGATATTTGGATAGCTCTAATGATTTCGTTGGAAACGGGAATATCATCATCTAAAATCTAGACAGAAGCACTCTCAGAAACTACTTTGTGATATCTGCATTCAAGTCACAGAGTTGAACATTCGCTTTCTTAGAGCACGTTTGAAACACTCTTTTTGTAGTGTCTGGAAGTGGACATTTGGAGCGCTTTGATTCCTTTGGTGAAAAAGGGAATGTCCACCCATAAAAACTAGACAGAAGCATTCTCAGAAACTTGTTTGTGATGTGTGTACCCAGCCAAAGGAGTTGAACATTTCTATTGATAGAGCAGTTTTGAAACACTCTTTTTGTGGAAAATGCAGGTGGATATTTGGATAGCTTTGAGGATTTCGTTGGAAGCGGGAATTCAAATAAAAGGTAGACAGCAGCATTCTCAGAAATTTCTTTCTGATGTCTGCATTCAACTCATAGAGTTGAAGATTCCCTTTCATAGAGCAGGTTTGAAACACTCGTTCTGGAGTATCTGGATGTGGACATTTGGAGCGCTTTGATGCCTACGGTGGAAAAGTAAATATCTTCCCATAAAAACGAGACAGAAGGATTCTCAGAAACAAGTTTGTGATGTGTGTACTCAGCTAACAGAGTGGAACCTTTCTTTTTACAGAGCAGCTTTGAAACTCTATTTTTGTGGATTCTGCAAATTGATATTTAGATTGCTTTAACGATATCGTTGGAAAAGGGAATATCGTCATACAAAATGTAGACAGAAGCATTCTCACAAACTTCTTTGTGATGTGTGTCCTCAACTAACAGAGTTGAACCTTTCTTTTGATGCAGCAATTTGGAAACACCCTTTTGGTAGAAACTGTAACTGGATATTTGGATAGCTCTAGCGATTTCGTTGGAAACGGGAATATCATCATCTAAAATGTAGACAGAAGCACTATTAGAAACTACTTGGTGATATCTGCATTCAAGTCACAGAGTAGAACATTCCCTTACTTCGAGCACGTTTGAAACACTCTTTTGGAAGAATCTGGAAGTGGACATTTGGAGCGCTTTGATGCCTTTGGTGAAAAGGAAACGTCTTCCAATAAAAGCCAGACAGAAGCATTCTCAGAAACTTGTTTGTGATGTGTGTACTCAACTAAAAGAGTTGAACCTTTCTATTGATAGAGCAGTTTTGAAACACTCTTTTTGTGGATTCTGCAAGTGGATATTTGGATTGCTTTGAGGATTTCGTTGGAAGCGGGAATTCGTATAAAAACTAGACAGCAGCATTCCCAGAAATTTCTTTCGGATATTTCCATTCAACTCATAGAGATGAACATGGCCTTTCATATTGAAACACGCTTTTTGTAGTTTGTGGAAGTGGACATTTCGATCGCCTTGACGCCTACGGTGAAAAAGGAAATATCTTCCCATAAAAAATAGACAGAAGCATTCTCAGAAACTTGTTGGTGATATGTGTCCTCAACTAACAGAGTTGAACTTTGCCATTGATAGAGAGCAGTTTTGAAACACTCTTTTTGTGGAATCTGCAAGTGGATATCTGGATAGCTTGGAGGATTTCGTTGGAAGCGGGAATTCAAATAAAAGGTAGACAGCAGGATTCTGAGAAACAAGTTTGTGATGTGTGTACTCAGCTAACAGAGTGGAACCTCTCTTTTGATGCAGCAGTTTGGAAACACTCTTTTTGTAGAAACTGTAAGTGGATATTTGGATAGCTCTAATGATTTCGTTGGAAACGGGAATATCATCATCTAAAATCTGGACAGAAGCCCTCTCAGAAACTACTTTGTGATATCTGCTTTCAAGTCACAGAGTTGAACATTCGCTTTCTTAGAGCACGTTGGAAACACTCTTTTTGTAGTGTCTGGAAGTGGACATTTGGAGCGCTTTGATGCCTTTGGTGAAAAAGGGAATGTCTTCCCATAAAAACTAGACAGAAGCATTCTCAGAAACTTGTTTGTGATGTGTGTACCCAGCCAAAGGAGTTGAACATTTCTATTGATAGAGCAGTTTTGAAACGCTCTTTTTGTGGAAAATGCAGGTGGATATTTGGATAGCTTGGAGGATTTCGTTGGAAGCGGGAATTCAAATAAAAGGTAGACAGCAGCATTCTCAGAAATTTCTTTCTGATGTCTGCATTCAACTCATAGAGTTGAAGATTCCCTTTCATAGAGCAGGTTTGAAACACTCGTTCTGGAGTATCCGGATGTGGACATTTGGAGCGCTTTGATGCCTACGGTGGAAAAGTAAATATCTTCCCATAAAAACGAGACAGAAGGATTCTGAGAAACAAGTTTGTGATGTGTGTACTCAGCTAACAGAGTGGAACCTTTCTTTTTACAGAGCAGCTTTGAAACTCTATTTTTGTGGATTCTGCAAATGGATATTTAGATTGCTTTAACGATATCGTTGGAAAAGGGAATATCGTCATACAAAATCTAGACAGAAGCATTCTCACAAACTTCTTTGTGATGTGTGTCCTCAACTAACAGAGTTGAACCTTTCTTTTGATGCAACAATTTGGAAACACCCTTTTGGTAGAAACTGTAACTGGATATTTGGATAGCTCAAACGATTTCGTTGGAAACGGGAATATCATCATCTAAAACCTAGACAGAAGCACTATTAGAAACTACTTGGTGATATCTGCATTCAAGTCACAGAGTTGAACATTCCCTTACTTTGAGCACGTTTGAAACACTCTTTTGGAAGAATCTGGAAGTGGACATTTGGAGCGCTTTGATGCCTTTGGTGAAAAGGAAACGTCTTCCAATAAAAGCCAGAGAGAAGCATTCTCAGAAACTTGTTCGTGATGTGTGTACTCAACTAAAAGAGTTGAACCTTTCTATTGATAGAGCAGTTTTGAAACACTCTTTTTGTGGATTCTGCAAGTGGATATTTGGATTGCTTTGAGGATTTCGTTGGAAGCGGGAATTCGTATAAACACTAGACAGCAGCATTCCCAGAAATTTCTTTCGGATATTTCCATTCAACTCATAGAGATGAACATGGCCTTTCATATTGAAACACTCTTTTTGTAGTTTGTGGAAGTGGACATTTCGATCGCCTTGACGCCTGCGGTGAAAAAGGAAATATCTTCCCATAAAAAATAGACAGAAGCATTCTCAGAAACTTGTTGGTGATATGTGCCCTCAACTAACAGAGTTGAACTTTGCCATTGATAGAGAGCAGTTTTGAAACACTCTTTTTGTGGAATCTGCAAGTGGATATTTTGATAGCTTGGAGGATTTCGTTGGAAGCGGGAATTCAAATAAAAGGTAGACAGCAGCATTCTCAGAAATTTCTTTCTGATGTCTGCATTCAACTCATAGAGTTGAACATTCCCTTTCATAGAGCAGGTTTGAAACACTCTTTCTGGAGTATCTGGATGTGGACATTTGGAGCGCTTTGATGCCTACGGTGAAAAAGTAAATATCTTCCCATAAAAACGAGACAGAAGGATTCTGAGAAACAAGTTTGTGATGTGTGTACTCAGCTAACAGAGTGGAACCTCTCTTTTGATGCAGCAGTTTGGAAACACTCTTTTTGTAGAAACTGTAAGTGGATATTTGGATAGCTCTAATGATTTCGTTGGAAACGGGAATATCATCATCTAAAATGCTAGACAGAAGCCCTCTCAGAAACTACTTTGTGATATCTGCATTCAAGTCACAGAGTTGAACATTCGCTTTCTTAGAGCACGTTGGAAACACTCTTTTTGTAGTGTCCGGAAGTGGACATTTGGAGCGCTTTGATGCCTTTGGTGAAAAAGGGAATGTCTTCCCATAAAAACTAGACAGAAGCATTCTCAGAAACTTGTTTGTGATGTGTGTACCCAGCTAAAGGAGTTGAACATTTCCATTGATAGAGCAGTTTTGAAACACTCTTTTTGTGGAAAATGCAAGTGGATATTTGGATAGCTTGGAGGATTTCGTTGGAAGCGGGAATTCAAATAAAAGGTAGACAGGAGGATTCTGAGAAACAAGTTTGTGATGTGTGTACTCAGCTAACAGAGTGGAACCTTTCTTTTTACAGAGCAGCTTTGAAACTCTAATTTTGTGGATTCTGCAAATGGATATTTAGATTGCTTTAATGATATCGCTGGAAAAGGGAATATGGTCATACAAAATCTAGACAGAAGCATTCTCACAAACTTCTTTGTGACGTGTGTCCTCAACTAACAGAGTTGAACCTTTCTTTTGATGCAGCAGTTTGGAAACACTGTTTTTGTAGCAACTGTAAGTGGATATTTGGATAGCTCTAACGATTTCGTTGGAAACGGGAATATCATCATGCTAAAATCTAGACAGAAGCATTCTCAGAAATTTCTTTCTGATGTCTGCATTCAACTCATAGAGTTGAACATTCCCTTACTTTGAGCACGTTTGAAACACTCTTTTGGAAGAATCTGGAAGTGGACATTTGGAGCGCTTTGATGCCTTTGGTGAAAAGGAAACGTCTTCCAATAAAAGCCAGACAGAAGCATTCTCAGAAACTTGTTCGTGATGTGTGTACTCAACTAAAAGAGTTGAACCTTTCTATTGATAGAGCAGTTTTGAAACACTCTTTTTGTGGATTCTGCAAGTGGATATTTGGATTGTTTTGAGGATTTCGTTGGAAGCGGGAATTCGTATAAACACTAGACAGCAGCATTCCCAGAAATTTCTTTCGGATATTTCCATTCAACTCATAGAGATGAACATGGCCTTTCATAGAGCAGGTTTGAAACACTCTTTTTGTAGTTTGTGGAAGTGGACATTTCGATCGCCTTGACGCCTACGGTGAAAAAGGAAATATCTTCCCATAAAAAATAGACAGAAGCATTCTCAGAAACTTGTTGGTGATATGTGTCCTGAACTAACAGAGTTGAACTTTGCCATTGATAGAGAGCAGTTTTGAAACACTCTTTGTGTGGAATCTGCAAGTGGATATTTGGATAGTTTGGAGGATTTCGTTGGAAGCGGGAATTCAAATAAAAGGTAGACAGCAGCATTCTCAGTAAATTTCTTTCTGATGTCTGCATTCAACTCATAGAGTTGAAGATTCCCTTTCATAGAGCAGGTTTGAAACACTCTTTCTGGAGTATCTGGATGTGGACATTTGGAGCGCTTTGATGCCTACGGTGAAAAAGTAAATATCTTGCCATAAAAACGACACAGAAGGATTCTGAGAAACAAGTTTGTGATGTGTGAACTCAGCTAACAGAGTGGAACCTCTCTTTTGATGCAGCAGTTTGGAAACACTCTTTTTGTAGAAACTGTAAGTGGATATTTGGATAGCTCTAATGATTTCGTTGGAAACGGGAATATCATCATCTAAAATCTAGACAGAAGCCCTCTCAGAAACTACTTTGTGATATCTGCATTCAAGTCAGAGAGTTGAACATTGGGTTTCTTAGAGCACGTTTGAAACACTCTTTTTGTAGTGTCTGGAAGTGGACATTTGGAGCGCTTTGATGCCTTTGGTGAAAAAGGGAATGTCTTCCCATAAAAACTAGACAGAAGCATTCTCAGAAACTTGTTTGTGATGTGTGTACCCAGCCAAAGGAGTTGAACATTTCTATTGATAGAGCAGTTTTGAAACACTCTTGTTGTGGAAAATGCAGGTGGATATTTGGATAGCTTGGAGGATTTCGTTGGAAGCGGGAATTCAAATAAAAGGTAGACAGCAGCATTCTCAGAAATTTCTTTCTGATGTCTGCATTCAACTCATAGAGTTGAAGATTCCCTTTCATAGAGCAGGTTTGAAACACTCGTTCTGGAGTATCTGGATGTGGACATTTGGAGCGCTTTGATGCCTACGGTGGAAAAGTAAATATCTTCCCATAAAAACGAGACAGAGGATTCTCAGAAACAAGTTTGTGATGTGTGTACTCAGCTAACAGAGTGGAACCTTTCTTTTTACAGAGCAGCTTTGAAACTCTATTTTTGTGGATTCTGCAAATGGATATTTAGATTGCTTTAATGATATCGCTGGAAAAGGGAATATGGTCATACAAAATACTAGACAGAAGCATTCTCACAAACTTCTTTGTGACGTGTGACCTCAACTAACAGAGTTGAACCTTTCTTTTGATGCAGCAGTTTGGAAACACTGTTTTTGTAGCAACTGTAAGTGGATATTTGGATAGCTCTAACGATTTCGTTGGAAACGGGAATATCATCATCTAAAATCTAGACAGAAGCACTATTAGAAACTACTTGGTGATATCTGCATTCAAGTCACAGAGTAGAACATTCCCTTACTTCGAGCACGTTTGAAACACTCTTTTGGAAGAATCTGGAAGTGGACATTTGGAGCGCTTTGATGCCTTTGGTGAAAAGGAAACGTCTTCCAATAAAAGCCAGACAGAAGCATTCTCAGAAACTTGTTTGTGATGTGTGTACTCAACTAAAAGAGTTGAACCTTTCTATTGATAGAGCAGTTTTGAAACACTCTTTTTGTGGATTCTGCAAGTGGATATTTGGATTGCTTTGAGGATTTCGTTGGAAGCTGGGAATTCGTATAAAAACTAGACAGCAGCATTCCCAGAAATTTCTTTCGGATATTTCCATTCAACTCATAGAGATGAACATGGCCTTTCATAGAGCAGGTGTGAAACACTCTTTTTGTAGTTTGTGGAAGTGGACATTTCGATCGCCTTGACGCCTACGGTGAAAAAGGAAATATCTTCCCATAAAAAATAGACAGAAGCATTCTCAGAAACTTGTTGGTGATATGTGTCCTCAACTAACAGAGTTGAACTTTGCCATTGATAGAGAGCAGTTTTGAAACACTCTTTTTGTGGAATCTGCAAGTGGATATTTGGATAGCTTGGAGGATTTCGTTGGAAGCGGGAATTCAAATTAAAGGTAGACAGCAGGATTCTCAGAAACAAGTTTGTGATGTGTGTACTCAGCTAACAGAGTGGAACCTCTCTTTTGATGCAGTAGTTTGGAAACACACTTTTTGTAGAAACTGTAAGTGGATATTTGGATAGCTCTAATGATTTCGTTGGAAACGGGAATATCATCATCTAAAATCTAGACAGAAGCCCTCTCAGAAACTACTTTGTGATATCTGCATTCAAGTCACAGAGTTGAACATTCGCTTTCTTAGAGCACGTTTGAAACACTCTTTTTGTAGTGTCTGGAAGTGGACATTTGGAGCGCTTTGATGCCTTTGGTGAAAAAGGGAACGTCTTCCCATAAAAACTAGACAGAAGTATTCTCAGAAACTTGTTTGTGATGTGTGTACCCAGCCAAAGGAGTTGAACATTTCTATTGATAGAGCAGTTTTGAAACACTCTTTTTGTGGAAAATGCAGGTGGATATTTGGATAGCTTGGAGGATTTCGTTGGAAGCGGGAATTCAAATAAAAGGTAGACAGCAGCATTCTCAGAAATTTCTTTCTGATGTCTGCATTCAACTCATAGAGTTGAAGATTCCCTTTCATAGAGCAGGTTTGAAACACTCGTTCTGGAGTATCTGGATGTGGACATTTGGAGCGCTTTGATGCCTACGGTGGAAAAGTAAATATCTTCCCATAAAAACGAGACAGAAGGATTCTGAGAAACAAGTTTGTGATGTGTGTACTCAGCTAACAGAGTGGAACCTTTCTTTTTACAGAGCAGCTTTGAAACTCTATTTTTGTGGATTCTGCAAATGGATATTTAGATTGCTTTAATGATATCGCTGGAAAAGGGAATATGGTCATACAAAATTCTAGACAGATAAGCATTCTCACAAACTTCTTTGTGATGTGTGTCCTCAACTAACAGAGTTGAACCTTTCTTTTGATGCAGCAGTTTGGAAACACTGTTTTTGTAGCAACTGTAAGTGGATATTTGGATAGCTCTAACGATTTCGTTGGAAACGGGAATATCATCATCTAAAATCTAGACAGAAGCACTATTAGAAACTACTTGGTGATATCTGCATTCAAGTCACAGAGTTGAACATTCCCTTACTTTGAGCACGTTTCAAACACTCTTTTGGAAGAATCTGGAAGTGGACATTTGGAGCGCTTTGATGCCTTTGGTGAAAAGGAAACGTCTTCCAATAAAAGCCAGACAGAAGCATTCTGAGAAACTTGTTCGTGATGTGTGTACTCAACTAAAAGAGTTGAACCTTTCTATTGATAGAGCAGTTTTGAAACACTCTTTTTGTGGATTCTGCAAGTGGATATTTGGATTGCTTTGAGGATTTCGTTGGAAGCGGGAATTCGTATAAACACTAGACAGCAGCATTCGCAGAAATTTCTTTCGGATATTTCCATTCAACTCATAGAGATGAACATGGCCTTTCATAGAGCAGGTTTGAAACACTCTTTTTGTAGTTTGTGGAAGTGGACATTTCGATCGCCTTGACGCCTACGGTGAAAAAGGAAATATCTTCCCATAAAAAATAGACAGAAGCATTCTCAGAAACTTGTTGGTGATATGTGTCCTCAACTAACAGAGTTGAACTTTGCCATTGATAGAGAGCAGTTTTGAAACACTCTTTTTGTGGAATCTGCAAGTGGATATTTGGATAGCTTGGAGGATTTCGTTGGAAGCGGGAATTCAAATAAAAGGTAGACAGCAGCATTCTCAGAAATTTCTTTCTGATGTCTGCATTCAACTCATAGAGTTGAAGATTCCCTTTCATAGTGGAGGTTTGAAACACGCTTTCTGGAGTATCTGGACGTGGACATTTGGAGCGCTTTGATACCTACGGTGAAAAAGTAAATATCTTCCCATAAAAACGAGACAGAAGGATTCTCAGAAACAAGTTTGTGATGTGTGTACTCAGATAACAGAGTGGAACCTCTCTTCTCATGCAGCAGTTTGGAAACACACTTTTTGTAGAAACTGTAAGTGGATATTTGGATAGCTCTAATGATTTCGTTGGAAATGGGAATACCATCATCTAAAATCTAGACAGAAGCACTCTCAGAAACTACTTTGTGATATCTGCATTCAAGTCACAGAGTTGAACATTCGCTTTCTTAGAGCACTTTTGAAACACTCTTTTTGTATATCTGGAAGTGGACATTTGGAGCTCTTTGATGCCTTTGGTGAAAAAGGAAATGTCTTCCCATAAAAACTAGACAGAAGCATTCTCAGAAACTTGTTTGTGATCTGTGTACCCAGCGAAAGGAGTTGAACATTTCTATTGATAGAGCAGTTTTGAAACACTCTTTTTGTGGAATCTGCAAGTGGATATTTGGATAGCTTGGAGTTTTTCGTTGGAAGCGGGAATTCACATAAAAGCTAGACAGCAGCATTCTCAGAAATTTCTTTCTGATGTCTGCATTCAACTCATAGAGTTGAAGATTCCCTTTCATAGAGCAGGTTTGAAACACTCGTTCTGGAGTATCTGGATGTGGACATTTTGGAGCGCTTTGATGCCTACGGTGGAAAAGTAAATATCTTCCCATAAAAACGAGACAGAAGGATTCTCAGAAACAAGTTTGTGATGTGTGTACTCAGCTAACAGAGTGGAACCTCTCTTTTGATGCAGCAGTTTGGAAACACTCTTTTTGTAGAAACTGTAAGTGGATATTTGGATAGCTCTAATGATTTCGTTGGAAACGGGAATATCATCATCTAAAGTCTAGACAGAAGCATTCTCACAAACTTCTTTGTGATGTGTGTCCTCAACTAACAGAGTTGAACCTTTCTTTTGATGCAGCAATTTGGAAACACCCTTTTGGTAGAAACTGTAACTGGATATTTGGATAGCTCTAACGATTTCATTGGAAACGGGAATATCATCATCTAAAATGTAGACAGAAGCACTATTAGAAACTACTTGGTGATATCTGCATTCAAGTCTCAGAGTTGAACATTCCCTTACTTTGAGCACGTTTGAAACACTCTTTTGGAAGAATCTGGAAGTGGACATTTGGAGCGCTTTGATGCCTTTGGTGAAAAGGAAACGTCTTCCAATAAAAGCCAGACAGAAGCATTCTCAGAAACTTGTTTGTGATGTGTGTACTCAACTAAAAGAGTTGAACCTTTCTATTGATAGAGCAGTTTTGAAACACTCTTTTTGTGGATTCTGCAAGTGGATATTTGGATTGCTTTGAGGATTTCGTTGGAAGCGGGAATTCATATAAAAACTAGACAGCAGCATTCCCAGCAAATTTCTTTCGGATATTTCCATTCAACTCATAGAGATGAACATGGCCTTTCATAGAGCAGGTTTGAAACACTCTTTTTGTAGTTTGTGGAAGTGGACATTTCGATCGCCTTGACGCCTACGCTGAAAAAGGAAATATCTTCCCATAAAAAATAGACAGAAGCATTCTCAGAAACTTGTTGGTGATATGTGTCCTCAACTAACAGAGTTGAACTTTGCCATTGATAGAGAGCAGTTTTGAAACACTCTTTTTCTGGAATCTGCAAGTGGATATTTGGATAGCTTGGAGGATTTCGTTGGAAGCGGGAATTCAAATAAAAGGTAGACAGCAGCATTCTCAGAAATTTCTTTCTGATGTCTGCATTCAACTCATAGAGTTGAACATTCCCTTTCATAGAGCAGGTTTGAAACACTCTTTCTGGAGTATCTGGATGTGGACATTTGGAGCGCTTTGATGCCTACGGTGAAAAAGTAAATATCTTCCCATAAAAGCGAGACAGAAGGATTCTGAGAAACAAGTTTGTGATGTGTGTACTCAGCTAACAGAGTGGAACCTCTCTTTTGATGCAGCAGTTTGGAAACACTCTTTTTGTAGAAACTGTAAGTGGATATTTGGATAGCTCTAATGATTTCGTTGGAAACGGGAATATCATCATCTAAAATCTAGACAGAAGCACTCTCAGAAACTACTGTGTGATATCTGCATTCAAGTCACAGAGTTGAACATTCGCTTTCTTAGAGCACGTTTGAAACACTCTTTTTGTAGTGTCTGGAAGTGGACTTTTGGAGCGCTTTGATTCCTTTGGTGAAAAAGGGAATGTCTACCCATAAAAACTAGACAGAAGCATTCTCAGAAACTTGTTTGTGATGTGTGTACCCAGCCAAAGAGTTGAACATTTCTATTGATAGAGCAGTTTTGAAACACTCTTGTTGTGGAAAATGCAGGTGGATATTTGGTTAGCTTGGAGGATTTCGTTGGAAGCGGGAATTCAAATAAAAGGTAGACAGCAGCATTCTCAGAAATTTCTTTCTGATGTCTGCATTCAACTCATAGAGTTGAAGATTCCCTTTCATAGAGCAGGTTTGAAACACTCGTTCTGGAGTATCTGGATGTGGACATTTGGAGCGCTTTGATGCCTACGGTGGAAAAGTAAATATCTTCCCATAAAAACGAGACAGAAGGATTCTGAGAAACAAGTTTGTGATGTGTGTACTCAGCTAACAGAGTGGAACCTTTCTTTTTACAGAGCAGCTTTGAAACTCTATTTTTGTGGATTCTGCAAATGGATATTTAGATTGCTTTAATGATATCGCTGGAAAAGGGAATATGGTCATACAAAATATAGACAGAAGCATTCTCACAAACTTGTTTGTGATGTGTGTCCTCAACTAACAGAGTTGAACCTTTCTTTTGATGCAGCAATTTGGAAACACCCTTTTGGTAGAAACTGTAACTGGATATTTGGATAGCTCTAACGATTTCGTTGGAAACGGGAATATCATCATCTAAAATCTAGACAGAAGCACTATTAGAAACTACTTGGTGATATCTGCATTCAAGTCACAGAGTTGAACATTCCCTTACTTTGAGCACGTTTGAAACACTCTTTTGGAAGAATCTGGAAGTGGACATTTGGAGCGCTTTGATGCCTTTGGTGAAAAGGAAACGTCTTCCAATAAAAGCCAGACAGAAGCATTCTCAGAAACTTGTTCGTGATGTGTGTACTCAACTAAAAGGGTTGAACCTTTCTATTGATAGAGCAGTTTTGAAACACTCTTTTTGTGGATTCTGCAAGTGGATATTTGGATTGCTTTGAGGATTTCGTAGGAAGCGGGAATTCGTATAAAAACTAGACAGCAGCATTCCCAGAAATTTCTTTCGGATATTTCCATTCAACTCATAGAGATGATCATGGCCTTTCATAGAGCAGGTTTGAAACACTCTTTTTGTAGTTTGTGGAAGTGGACATTTCGATCGCCTTGACGCCTACGGTGAAAAAGGAAATATCTTCCCATAAAAAATAGACAGAAGCATTCTCAGAAACTTGTTGGTGATATGTGTCCTCAACTAATAGAGTTGAACTTTGCCATTGATAGAGAGCAGTTTTGAAACACTCTTTTTGTGGAATCTGCAAGTGGATATTTGGATAGCTTGGAGGATTTCGTTGGAAGCAGGAATTCAAATAAAAGGTAGACAGCAGCATTCTCAGAAATTTCTTTGTGATGTTTGCATTCAACTCATAGAGTTGAACATTCCCTTTCATAGAGCAGGTTTGAAACACTCTTTCTGTACTATCTGGATGTGGACATTTGGAACGCTTTGATGCCTACGGTGAAAAAGTAAATATCTTCCCATAAAAACTAGACAGACGGATTCTGAGAAACAAGTTTGTGATGTGTGTACTCAGCTAACAGAGTGGAACCTCTCTTTTGATGCAGCAGTTTGGAAACACTCTTTTTGTAGAAACTGTAAGTGGATATTTGGATAGCTGTAATGATTTCGTTGGAAACGGGAATATCATCATCTAAAATCTAGACAGAAGCACTCTCAGAAACTACTTTGTGATATCTGCATTCAAGTCACAGAGTTGAACATTCGCTTTCTTAGAGCACGTTTGAAACACTCTTTTTGTAGTGTCTGGAAGTGGACATTTGGAGCGCTTTGATGCCTTTGGTGAAAAAGGGAATGTCTACCCATAAAAACTAGACAGAAGCATTCTCAGAAACTTGTTTGTGATGTGTGTACCCAGCCAAAGGATTTGAACATTTCTATTGATAGAGCAGTTTTGAAACACTCTTGTTGTGGAAAATGCAGGTGGATATTTGGATAGCTTGGAGGATTTCGTTGGAAGCGGGAATTCAAATAAAAGGTAGACAGCAGCATTCTCAGAAATTTCTTTCTGATGTCTGCATTCAACTCATAGAGTTGAAGATTCCCTTTCATAGAGCAGGTTTGAAACACTCGTTCTGGAGTATCTGGATGTGGACATTTGGAGCGCTTTGATGCCTACGGTGGAAAAGTAAATATCTTCCCATAAAAACGAGACAGAAAGGATTCTCAGTAAACAAGTTTGTGATGTGTGTACTCAGCTAACAGAGTGGAACCTTTCTTTTTACAGAGCAGCTTTGAAACTCTATTTTTGTGGATTCTGCAAATTGATATTTAGATTGCTTTAACGATATCGTTGGAAAAGGGAATATGGTCATACAAAATCTAGACAGAAGCATTCTCACAAACTTCTTTGTGATGTGTGTCCTCAACTAACAGAGTTGAACCTTTCTTTTGATGCAGCAATTTGGAAACACCCTTTTGGTAGAAACTGTAACTGGATATTTGGATAGCTCTAACGATTTCGTTGGAAACGGGAATATAATCATCTAAAATCTAGACAGAAGAACTATTAGAAACTACTTGGTGATATCTGCATTCAAGTCACAGAGTAGAAGATTCCCTTACTTCGAGCACGTTTGAAACACTCTTTTGGAAGAATCTGGAAGTGGACATTTGGAGCGCTTTGATGCCTTTGGTGAAAAGGAAACGTCTTCCAATAAAAGCCAGACAGAAGCATTCTCAGAAACTTGTTTGTGATGTGTGTACTCAACTAAAAGAGTTGAACCTTTCTATTGATAGAGCAGTTTTGAAACACTCTTTTTGTGGATTCTGCAAGTGGATATTTGGATTGCTTTGAGGATTTCGTTGGAAGCGGGAATTCGTATAAACACTAGACAGCAGCATTCCCAGAAATTTCTTTCGGATATTTCCATTCAACTCATAGAGATGAACATGGCCTTTCATAGAGCAGGTTTGAAACACTCTTTTTTTAGATTGTAGAAGTGGACATTTCGATCGCCTTGAGGCCTACCGTGAAAAAGGAAATATCTTCCTATAAAAAATAGACAGAAGCATTCTCAGAAACTTGTTTGTGCTGTGTGTACCCAGCCAAAGGAGTTGAACATTTCTATTGATAGAGCAGTTTTGAAACTCTCTTTTTGTGGAAAATGCAGGTGGATATTTGGATAGCTTGGAGGATTTCGTTGGAAGCGGGAATTCAAATAAAAGGTAGACAGCAGCATTCTCAGAAATTTCTTTCTGATGTCTGCATTCAACTCATAGAGTTGAAGATTCCCTTTCATAGAGCAGGTTTGAAACACTCTTTCCGGAGTATCTGGATGTGGACATTTGGAGCGCTTTGATGCCTACGGTGAAAAAGTAAATATCTTCCCATAAAAACGAGACAGAAGGATTCTGAGAAACAAGTTTGAGATGTGTGTACTCAGCTAACAGAGTGGAACCTCTCTTTTGATGCAGCAGTTTGGAAACACTCTTTTTGTAGAAACTGTAAGTGGATATTTGGATAGCTCTAATGATTTCGTTGGAAACGGGAATATCATCATCTAAAATCTAGACAGAAGCCCTCTCAGAAACTACTTTGTGATATCTGCATTCAAGTCACAGAGTTGAACATTCGCTTTCTTAGAGCACGTTGGAAACACTCTTTTTGTAGTGTCTGGAAGTGGACATTTGGAGCGCTTTGATGCCTTTGGTGAAAAAGGGAATGTCTTCCCATAAAAACTAGACAGA